>NC_000004.12:100171381-100796381 GCF_000001405.40 Homo sapiens | reverse complement strand
ATCCAAGGAGAAATGTATATAGAGATTTTCCCAGTGGGATACTCACAGGAACACTTTTTCCAACCTCTCCACCCCCTTCCAGAGTTCTGTGAGAACACATCAACAATGCTATGAGGTTAATGAACCCATAAAATCATCATTAGTTTTTCAGCTTTTAAAATTATGTGCAGTAATTGGCTCTTTGGATGTTTGTCAAGGGACCAGTTGCCAAAAACTTCTTCCCAGGAAAAATTTGAAATCTCACCTTCAAAATAATAGTTGTCCTTCAATACCTTAAAAATGTGAATATTGCAGGGTAACATTACAATATACCCCTTTGTAAGAAAAGTAGATGTATAAAAATAGAATACAGATTCAAAAAACATATATCAGGAGATTACGTACCTTCTATGCACTGGGAAAACTATACTGAACCTAATATAACATTTTCCTCCTTTGGGGGGCTTCCTGGGCCTGTCCAGAATAGCTGAACTTAGTGTATACTGTCAGGCTATACAGGTAGGCCCCCCAGGCTAACAGGCAACTATGTCCAGCAAGTGCCATCTGCTGTTCTTGGCAGTGACCAAGCCTGCAGGTTGAAGTCCTTCTGCAAAACCTCGTCTCCCAGGGCTCATCAGCAGGGAGTTGGCACAGGTGGCTCTGTCAAAATGTGTTTTCCTGTGCCCTGTGTTCTGAACAAGTTCTGGGAAAATTTAATTCACACATTACCATTTTTTGACCACTCTCTCTGATTATTGTTATGGCTTTAAAATAATCTCAAATGTCATCCAAAGTGCAAGAGGTCATGCCCAAAAGAGGCCAGAGAAAGTCACAAACAAAAACTCCTCTGCCACATTGTAAGACTAGCTTAGGAGTTAAGGTTTTCTCATTCCTGCATTCTTTTCTTGGGTCCATATTCTCTCCCCTTTAGCTCTCTTCACTCTAACCCTTTCCCCTTTGAACATGATACTCCTCCACTACATAACCCACCTAACCACTGAATCATTCACCAGTGGGACAGCTTTTCATTGAACTCCTCAGGGCCTTAGGTTTGGTGTTTATAAAATGGGCATAATATAATAATCTTGCAGGATGATGTCAGTGAAACCATTTTGAAAATAAATGTTCATATATTAACTTCTTCTACAATTATTTGATTAGGAAACAGAAAACAGAAAAGCTCTCCTAAGAACTCTAGTGATTCTGAAAATTTCTAAGAGAAGTTGGGGGTCTCTAAAATGCTGTAGCTACCAACATCCTTTCATTGGATTACAAATATTCTGGAATAATTATATTTTCTTTGATTTGCTCTTTTCCTACTTCCCTGCTTTTCTGCCTGACTTTTCTCTTTTATATCTCTCTTCTCCTCTATTCTCCATTTTTCCTGTTTCTCTCCTCAATCTCCTGCTTCTCTTTCTCTACAGGAAAAAAAAAAAAAAGAAAAGAAAAAGAAAAAAAAAACACAGGGAAGATCTTGCTTGGTTTGGATCACTATTTCTCAATGGATGAATGAGTTAAGTGTAAACTGAGATCATCTAAAACAATAATACCCCTACTACGGTGGTCCTTAGTGCAGCTTGCCATGTATTTCTGGTGCTCTGCATTCTGGGGATATGGTAGAATTGCACTTCCTAGGCCACTGTAGTTGGCTGTGTGACTAGTTCTGAACAGCTGTGAGCAGATGAGATGTATGCTACTTCTGGGCAGGAACATCTGATTGCTTATATGAAACCCTCCAGAACTATACCTCCCTGGGACAGCAGCTAGAAATGTTTGAGATGATACCTGTTTTATCAGCCTGGCCCATGATTAATTACAAAAAACAGAGGTCTTAAGAGACATGTAAGAAACGTAGATCATGAGTGAGAAATAAACTTCAGTTACTTTAGGAGACTGAGATTTTAAGAATTAGTTTTTACCACGGTAGAAGTTAGCATGATTCAACTGACGCATTTACTAAACTGTGAGCTTCTCTAGGGAAGAGAAGAAAGGAAAGAAAGCTGTTACTTCTATTTCTGTGAGGCACTTTCATAACAACAAATTGTTATGAATAACAAAATGTTATTCTTCATTGTTGACCCAAAGGATTCACGCTATAGCTTTCAATAGTTTTTTTTTTATTGCTTTGTAGTATAATACAGCCTTTAACATCTTTTAACATAATGCTTTTTAACACAGAGGTAACTAAGATAATGAGCAATACTTTCAAGTTGAAGACCTAGGTCAGTAAACATAAACTCTCATGGTAACAATCTAAATCTCAACAGAGAATTTGAAGGGAAATGGTCACCATTTTATTTACCTACTGTATTCATTTTTCAAATATTTATTGAGCACCTACTTGGTCAGGTATTATGTTATGTACTGGAAAAATAGTAACCAACTTAGAGAAGTACTTTACTGTACTTGGAGCAGTTTTCCATATATTACCTAATTTTACCTCATAATAACAGAATGTTTGCTCTATTTCAAAGATAAGGAAGCCGAGACACAAGGAATTGAGTAACTTGTCGAGCTCACTCAGGTAGGTGGTAAAAAACCTGGGACAAAACCCCTATTGTCACACTAAAGTCTGTGTTAAGTATTTCACAGTTACAAGAAAGGACCACTGGGGCAAAGTAGAAAATGGGAATGTGATTATAAAATGTATCATTATTTGCATGCTAGTAAAAAGGAATTTTTGATGGTGAGTACATGGAAGACTTATTTTGTGGACCCCTGAAATTGTAGACAACCCATAAAAGTCCCTGAGAGTAGTCAATGACCAAAAAACATTAAGAGCAACTGTTCCACAATTATATAGCATAGCAAAGAGATACCAGAATTCTATTTTTTGACATTATATTTTCCATGAATTCCAGCACTGATAAAGAAATAGTATTACATTTTCTTTATTTACTTGTACTTATAAAATTAAATAGATAAAAATAATGTGAAAGGCAAGACAAAAATTTTATTTGAAATTTTTTCAATATTTTATTGATGGCAGTCCTTGAGAAGGGGTTCTTGAGTCAATTTTCTCTTTCATAGAATTACTGAATAGTGGAGATGGAAAAGAACATAAAAATTAATCTCTTTAGATAAACTTATTTTAATGCTTCAAATAAATTTTGTTTAGGATGTGTACACTGATACCCAGAGAAAGAAGCTATTGAGTCAGCGATGGGCCTGGGGCTGGAACTCAGGCCTTCAGACTTGCTCTCATCACGTTTGAGTCCATTTGAAGAAGAATACTTCCTCCACCCTTTAATTTTTATTCAAATGGCACATGAATAAATTTTAAAACATTTTATTACACTTGTATGAAATTAGAATATGTGATAATTTAGGTATCTGAGCCATTTAAAAAAGTGTTATATTTGGAGTAAAGAAATAAGAATGCTGAAATGTAACATTAGCACAACAAAAATTACACAACAAAACCCTTTGCTCTGTGTCTTAAGTTGCCATCTATCTACTTAATATACAGATCAAAGTCCTTCTCTGTACATATCAATACATAAAAATTAATTTACACATAAAATTTGCATTGGAATGTGATTGACATACTTAAGTTTATTCTCCCTTTTTACAAGCCAACAACACAGGAACTTATCTGGCACTGTGGAATAATGAGAGCCAAGCCAAGAGTCAGAAGACCTGAAATTCATATCTATTTCAACTCATTTAGTTGCTGGTTGTGAGACCTTGGGTGAGTCACTTTACTTCTCAGAAACTTGGTTCCCTTGTTTTTAAAATGAGGCTACTGCACTCCAGTCTCTAAGATGCCTCCAAGTTCTAACACTCTCTGATGGCCTATCAGTTAAGCTCCTGGCAGGGTACAGAATTTTATTTAGATGGTTCAAATAAAGAGGCTGCAATGAGGGGACTACTTTCAGAATTTTGAGCAAACAAATGATGATGAGGTGCTCAGGAACTAGCATAGTGGGAGGCTTTTGCCAACCCTAGATTTGAAGGAGGAGGTGAGGAAACAGAGTCATTAGATCCCCAGGAGTGCTGAGATTCTGGCAGAGGCTTCACCAGGCGGGCTCTAGTCAGAGACGTGTATGGAGGGATGGAACTACTGCCAGAGGTACAGCCTCAAAACAGGGAGGAGTCAGGGAAGAAATATTCTGGCCTCTCTCTTCTCCTGTCTTCCAGTACCCTTTCACTGCCAAACACAACCAGTTCTCTCCCCTTCCCATGGAGTTTATACAACAATTTTACATACCTCTTTCATACCACTTTGTTCATAATTCAGGCACCATTTCTAAAAACCACCATAAAACCAGCATATTAAAAAATCATTCCCCTTCAAAGGAAAAGAAATGAAAGACATTATTGAAATTTAGGTACCGTAATGTGCCAATATAATGACACATTGGTCAATGATGACCATTACACATGGTGGTCCTATAAGATTACAATACTATATTTTTACTGTACCTTGTATTTAGAAACACAAATACTTGTCATTGTTTACAGTCACCTACAGTATTCAGTACAGTAACATTCTGTACAGGTTTCTAGCCTAGGAGCAATAGGCTATACCATATAGCTTAGGTGTGTTACCGTAGGCTATACCATCTAGGTTTGTGTAAGTACAGACTACAATGTACTAATAACACTTAATGATGCATTCTCAGAATGAATCCACATCATTAAGTGACACATGACTGTAATTGTAAAAACAGCAGAGGTGGGTACAGTTTATTCTAATCAGGTTATGAGTTTGTCAGATTTCACATGTAATCTGGAACTGGAATGTAGCTGTGTCAAATGTTGGATTGTGTGTTTTGTGCACACCAATAGGTGACATGCATAAACACTGTGCAGCACAGCACTCATCTGCTTGGGATCCCTTCTACTGAAAGGTCCCTGCAGGGAGCATCCCTGGTGACAACAGACAGGTTTTGCAGAGAATTGCATTTATTTCTTCCTTTGATTCAACTCCCTGCAGAGGTTTTTCCAGAACACAATGTCACTATTTCCAGGTCAGACAAGATTCTCCTGCCAAGCAGGGTGCCATGAAGAAAATCTAGCTTACAGTGTGAGCCAAAAGAAATCAAAGTGGAAACAGAAATGTCAGAGGACTAGAGAGTAAATGACAGGAGTCTCCACAGTCATCATTAGCATCAACGTTTCACATGCAGTGGCTTTATTCAAGCCCACGCAAGATACAGGAGTCATTGTCAGTAACGTGAGGACTAAAACAGAGCAAATGTCACCTTGTCCCTGCATCAGCTCCAGAAAGGTACACACAGTGGGAATTACTCCTTTGTTGCATGCTTTTGGAGGGGGCAGAGGGACTATTACTGAGCTGCGGAGACAGAAATGGAATTTGTACTTTCACAGGGTAAAGGGTGGGTCTCTGCCTGTAATAGGCACCTTGAAGTCGGCCTTTAGAACCAGGAAATTGAGTCTATCTCTGATATGCCTCAGAGGTGAAAGGCATACAACTTTTCATATGTAAATCTAATGATTTGACTTGTGCTTCACAGATACCACGTAGCTCAGGCTCGGGGCTTCTAATTCTCAGGAGAACTAGCGGTGTTTGCGGCCTCCACAGTCAGTATGCTAGATATACTTGTTTCTGTTCTTACACAGCACGACCATTGTCCTTTGAGGGAGGAAGGAAGAATGACATGCTTTGTGTTTATGTTTTTAAAATAGCTTCTGCGTTTTTGAAAAATTCTACTTTGAAATGCGTACTGAATTATTTAAATATTTTTTTCCCTACTTACCTCTCTGAGCAATTGTCAATAGCTGACTGCCCTGGAGGTGGACCGTTCCATCAAAGAACAGTTGGGAAAATATGTAAATTTGTAGTTTTAAATGAGGATACTCTAATTTCAACTGTGAGACGAATAAGCAGGCAGTCATACAGCTCAGCATCTACCTGAAAAGTGCAAAATTATATTCTAGAATGTTCTCTATTTCTGTTGCTTTAGTCTTCTCCCTCGACTTCCCCATCCTGCCCCACATGTTTTCTTCAACTCTTTCTCCCCAGGATGGCTTCTGCTTTATCCTTTGCTCTGAATGCTTTCTCCAATCTTCCCCTCATCTAAATATTACTCATGTGAAGACCCAGTTCAAGCCCCTTCACATTCATAAAAATTTTCCTGACCACTGCAAACCATTGAATGTCTGAATTCTGTTTTGACTTTTAGTAGTACTAACATATTCTCTAATAATTTCAGGTGCTATTACATTATTTCCCTAAGCAGATGGCAAGCTGCATGATGCCTAGGGATGTGACTATATTATTTTTGTATTTACTGTAAGAAGTAGCCCAGTGCAAGGCATAGTAAGTGATGTTAATTACTCACTAGTTATTTTCCTTTCCTATAATATTTTCTTTTCAGAATTTTCAGATGGTTCCAGATTATTTCTTCACAGTATCATCATATTCTTTATCTACATCTTCCTCTAATAATTAACACTTTTATAAACCTGGGTCCTGTCTTTGCAAGAGCAATAGATGGATGAGTATATCTAATGGAGAAGTAGATTTTCTCTCTAGCCCCTCTGTGTGAGTGTGCAAGTGTGTGTGTGTGTGTCTTTGTGTTTGAGCAGGCTATGGGAAGGGCAAGAGAAATGGAAAGATTACATGACTGGCTGTTATTTGGATGACAGTAAGATCACTGCTCAGAAAAGAAAGAGTTAAACTTTTGACAGTTCTCCATTAGCCGATAGTGTAATTATCAATTGACTAAAACTGCTTTTTTTTTTTTCTATCAAGGAAGAAAAGCCAAGTTTGGATTAAAAAATGGGGACAATTTTCTACGTGTAATATTTTTCAGTTTTGGAACAGAATCTAATAAATGAAGCAGTGGAAATAAATTAGAAAATGGTAAATGAAAAGGTATACCACTTGACAGTCAGTCTTGTCTTGTCCACATGTTATAACTATGGAAACTGTACAAGCTCCCTGAGGACATGGAAGGGCAGCTTGGATATTTTAAAGATTAGATTATTTATAAAAAATACATTGTGACATTTGGGTTTAATGAATATAATACGCTAGTCATAAATACTTGGTGAAAGAGTTAGGTTAATTTTGGAACCTACAGGGATAATTTTGTTTAGGTCATAAAAGCCAGCATTGGATCCTAGTTGTGTATTGAGTGGATTAAGGAAATTACAGAATCTGAAAAGGCTGTGTTTTCTCTGACCCTGTGAATACTCCCATTTTATATGACAAAATGTCTTGTCCTGGAATGTGGCTGTTGAAATCAGTTACCTGACCCATATAAGAAAATATGTTTTCCTGTATCTGAATCTGTTCTCTAGCTATTTTCACCTATACACAAACGTATCTGCATGTTTGTCTATGTGTATGTGTGTGTGTGTGTGTGTGTGTGTGTGTGTGTGTGTGTGTGTAGATGTACAGTTTTTTCTTGGTATCTTGAAACAAAGTTTGGAATATTTTGAAAATGCCGTAATTAGTTGTTCATAATTTGATTTCTAGGTTGTTGAGAGTCTTTCTTTCTAGGCTGAAGGATAACATTTTAGACCCACAGAGAAGAATATCTGGTCAGATATGTTTATGTCACCAAGATGAACAGAAATGCCATTAGTCTCTGTGGTGTGATTTGCTAATTAGGAAAAGGCACCCCCTCCGTGTAGGTATAGCCCTGTGGGCCACAGCTTGGCTCCTGGGCAGGGGTGGATTTCAGCCCCCACTCCCCCCTCGCAGCCTGGCATCATTGCACAATTCATGTACTTTACAAGGGTATGTGGGAGCTCTAAATATTAAGGTGTGAAATGGCTAGCAGCACTGGAATAAGTCTACAGGAGGTTTTGCTTGAATATTAAATATAGAGGCCATGATTATTGATTACTTAATGGCCAGTCCTAGATATTTAAACCACCCTGGAGATCTGGAGATGGGGAGGAGATGGGTGAAGATGTTCTCAACCTTTTTAGCCAGACTCTCTTCTATTATGTTGCACTCATAGGGCTTATGTTTTGAGATAATTGGTCTAACTAAATAAAGTTAATTATTTAATAACTGTTTGTTTGCATATATTGATCTCTTAACCAAATAGACATAACTGCCAACTTTTGAGAGCTTTTGAGCAATATATATGAATATTTTCATATTGGGTTCATGTGATTTTTAGGCCAGACAAAATAATTCTTTTACTAAAAAAGAATTTTTTATTAAAAAATTTTTATTTAATCCATGTGTCTATGGCCCAAGTAAATGTATGATTTTCACATGGTGTTTTGCTTTTGATATTTATTTATATATCCTAAAGTTCAGAAATTTTACATTAGAAATAAGTAAACAGGTCCACAAAGGACCTATTGCTCTTAAACGTATTCTATTCTCATTATTGATAATCCTGAGTGACAATGTAGGCAACATTAAACAAGCAAAATATGGTGATTGGGTCACTAAGAAGTGAAGATCTCTCTAACTCTTTAATCTTCCAATGTGTAAATATTTGATAAAAACCTGCCCTTTTGTTTAACTTTAATTTTTCTTTTGAGGAGAGAAAGCATTTTAACTACATACCAAAGAATAGACAGATGCAAACAAACCTTGACTGCTACTTGCCCGATAAAGGAAAAAACTGGTCGTCTGGTCTGTTTATTGTTTTGTAAATTGAAAGATATATAAAATAATGGTTCCAACATGTTCTAGTAAAGTCATCAGGATCTTAAATGAGTTGGTGAGACTTAAAGGGAGAAAAATAAATCCCTAAGGAACATTTTTAGAGGCATGAAATATTATGATTGTAAGAGTAATGTTTTTATTTATATGAATACATTTAAACAAATATATGTAACCCTAGTGTGTGCATATATGTATATATTTATGAGTGTGTATGCTTGTATATATGTATATTCTAGAAATATACGTATTCATTTTAGAAAAAAATATAGATATGGTGGTGCTGAGTCATTGTTTTAAATAGAAAGCAAAGACCTGGTTTTTAATAACAGGCTTCAGTAATTGGTCATATTTTTGTCCATTCTATTTTGGACAGGTAATATAGCAACATTTGAAGCAGAAGCTATCAGTACTCCAGCAATTCTCCTCAGATTCTTCTGACTCTTTCTGTGTGCCCATCCTCTGGCTTCAACATGCTTGGCTCCTAGAGACTGGCATCTCTAAGTCTCTTTGAAGGACTGCCCTTGGGCCACTGGCACCATGGTGCCTGCAATGCACAGCCAGCCAGCATCCATGGTGGTAACATGCCCTCAAGGATAGCCCTCACCAAGGACAGACAGGCACAGATTATAAAATCTCAGCAACCTTGCCCCAAGGAGGAACAAATCTGAGGTTTAATTTAGGTTCCAGGGCTCCCCATCAGGATGAACCTGAGGTTGAAAGTTTACCTGAAATTATACCCTTGCTAGTCTTCTCCTTCCTTCCTTGCTTCCCTCATCTATTCACAGGCATCTCCTATACTGTACTGTACTGACTCCAACTGTACTGAATCACTTGCACACAAACTCTTGTCTTATTGTCTTCTTCTGGGAAACCTAAAATCATATCTAGCTGTCACTGTGGTAAAAATTTCATAGGCACAAAGAAGTTTATTATGTCTTGGATGCCCTGCTAATTTTAACATGTTGCAATGAAGTTACTCCCTCCCTACCCCCTCAGCAATGACTGGGAATCATGGCTAATGTCTGGTAAAGCATAAATCAAGCCAACTTTTTCCCCTGCTAGAACCACAGGAAATGGTGGTATTGTTTTTGATTATACACTTCCCAGTACATCAGGGAGAAGATTAATCCTCAGAGGCTTAAATGACCAGAATTATGAATTGAGGTAATTCTAGGCATAGGAGATCAAAAGAAATAGCCATGGACCTTATGTTTCCTGTGAGAAGAAAGCAAGAGAGCTGGCAGATGCATGGCAAGTTTGAGACTTGATTTATTCCTGAAAGCAACTGACCGGAGGTAACATTTGGCTCTAGCCCTGGCTCAGCTCCTTACTGTGGATTCCTGAGCAAGCTAGTTCTCCTAGACCTTAGTTCACTCACCTGAGTACTTGCACTGAATGATACATAAACTTCCTTCTGGATTTTAGTTTTGTGATTCTGTTTGCACAATCATAAAACAGCCAACAGAAAAGCCATACGTGAAGCTTCAGAAGCTGGAAAGTTTAAGCACATATCAGTTACTCGTGAGTTATACTTTTCTGTGTCTGAGAGCATATGAGGAGCTTTGCTTGAGTAGCAGCAAAGGAGCTTGTTAAGAATTCAGAAGCATAGGAGTAGTAGAGTATTAAATGGCTAAGAAAAAGACACCAGCTATCTCACTGGTGACACAAAGCAGAATTTCACAACTTAATCTCATTCCCACCAGGAGTCTATTACACATTCAAGACCTTGAAAGACTACAAAGTCAAGAATGGAAGGAACAGATTAAAGGTGGAATATTACTTTCAGAAGGAAAGGGAAAGAAACAAAACGAACAAAATGCAGATACTGTTTAATTTTAGTGAAAACTCTTTCTTAAGCCAAAGGAGTCTTACTTTTCTCAGCCCACAATATCTGTGGGAATGTCGATGGAATTTTCTGTTTCCTCATCTTTAGTTTGTGAGAGGCATGTGCCTGCCCCATTGCAGCTCTTAAGAACGCACCTTCATACTACTTGTCAATTCCACAAATCCTGAAATGCATTATATGATTGGGCTGGACCCATCAAAATGTTGAATATATCTTTGAAGTGCCAATGACAGTGCTAACTCAAGTCACTACAAGTGTTCAGCAAAGGCCTTGTAAAACAATTACTCAAAACACCCTTATCCCTGCCCTTTGACCGCATTCTTATGGCTTTTGGAATGGGGACTAACTACATCAAGTCATTCTGCAGAACAAACTTGTAGAAGAAGTGTGAATAATTTTTTTCATATTATTAAGATATTTATAATCAGAAGTATTTACCCAAAACCGTAAACCATTCATATATTCCAAAGATGTTACGTGACTTTTCTGAAATTAGGACATTAGAAGTATATGGAAATTTAAATTTGTTTTTGTATCAATTTGCTTTTTAAAATAAATACATTTACATGATACAAAATTTTAAAAGCATAAAATGAAATTTTCCCTCCTGCCCCTGTTCACCCAGTATTCCTCTGTGGAGATAACCAATGTTATCAGTTTATTAGTTTCTTTCGGAGATATTTTATATAAGCAAATAGTCTTGTGGGTGTGCATTTGTATGTTTTACATACTGTTAAATACCTTCCTTTTCTCACATAATATACATTAGGAATTATTCTATATTGGTACTGAAAACCTCTTCTCATTTTAAATACAGCATTTCAACACTTCATGCTCTCTATCTCTCTTACCTGCTTAAAAGAAAAACCAGAACTAACTACCATTTTTTATTTGTTTATTGTCTCTGACCCCCAACTAGAATGTTAATTACATGAGAGTAAATATTTTCAACTGTTTTTTTCACTGCACTCATTATTAACGCCCAGTACAGTGCCTGGCATATAATAATTACACAATAAATATTTGAATTTATTCAATAAATGAATATGTTAGACTTGATAACTAATTTTATTCTATTGCATATAATTAATTAAATGTGTTAAGTCACTGTTCTATTGATGGGCATTTAAGTAGTGTCTGGTCTTTTGTTCTTAGAGACTCTGCTGAGATGTGCATTTTGGTTCATACATCATTAATCCTAGAGCCAGTTTGTCTTTAGGGAAAATTTCTAAAAGTGAAATTGTAGTTTCAAAGAATGCAGATTTTTTTTTTTTTTTTTGAGATGGAGTCTTTCTCTGTTGCCCAGGGTGGAGTGCAGTGGCCTAATCTCGGCTCACTGCAACCTCTGCCTCCTGGATTCAAGCGATTCTCCTGCCTCAGCCTCCCGAGTAGCTGGGACTACAGGCGTGTGCCACCAGGCCTGGCTAATTTTTGTATTTTTAGTAGAGATGGAGGTTTCACTATCTTGGCCAGACTGGTCTCAAACTCTTGACCTAGTGATCTTCCCGCCTCAGCCTCCCAAAGTGCTGGGATTACACGCATGAGCCACCGCACCCAGCCTGAAATTTTTAATTTTGATAGATAATGCCAAATTGTTGTCTTTGGGGGTAATACTAATTTTTACATTTACCAGCAATATATCTATGCATAAATACAATTGTCTTTAATTTAAAGGAAAATATATTAAAAGTAATAACAAAACTGCAATTACTTTTGCGCCAAACTAATAATATTTATTTTTGAAGATGCCAGAGCATTTAAAAGAAACTTCAACCCAAATTAAAACAAAATCTAACAAGCTTCAATAAAGAAAAATTTCTCCTATTGATTGAGTTCTTGTGGCTAAATCTATATGACGTGTCTTCCTTAGAGAGAGGATTTTCCAAATTTAAGCAGAGGCAAGATAAGAACTTGAATGGTAATAACACTAGCCCGGCCCTGAAAGTCTAGGATCTGATAAACCAGTAGCCTTTTCAAGGGTCAAAAAGCAGGTACTGGAAAGAAATTATTGTACATAATCAAATAGGTGAACCACTGTATGATTGGAACCAAGAAGTGATGGATTTAAAATGGCAACAAGCCAAGGTCCGGGAAGATAACAGACCCAGGAGAGATGTGGCAGTTTTAGAGGGCAATCATCTCCCAGGCTGAGGTGGAAAGGTATGATTACTGATAAGGGCATGGCAGGATGCAATTCTTGAAGAAATGGAATGGCAAAGTAGAGACTTGCAAAAGTGACAGCCCAGCACATCAAATATGAATAAAAAGCAGCTTCGACAAAATCATTTTGAATCTTGTATAAGTATTTTCTTTCTACTTGCTTTTAGCCCTCCTACTAACTACTCTTCTCTATTTTGTTTGTTTGTTTGTTTGTTCTATCCACTCACACACTACTGGAACAGAGTCATGGTGTTCATATATCTCTGGATACCTGACCTAACTTGGCCACAGGTTGTCTTTCTTGTGAGTCCGTTCAATCCTGATGCACACAGGCTCAGCAGTGAGTCTTTGTATGTTGGAGCCTAATTATGAGTACTGGATTTTTCCTGGAATATCTTCTGTTGATCCACTCTTGTCTATTGACTTTTGCCTTAAGCAGCTCAAGATTTTTTATTTTGGGAGACTCTATTTGTTACCACTTCACTCTTGGCCTCACTCTCTAGACCACCTCCCTTGCCTGCCCTCTCGCCCAAAGCTAGAGAGCAACTTTCCCTGGACATACTCAAAGATAAATATTGATAGTCATTCAGGCTCTGGGGAAATATGACATGTGCCCCATTATAGTGTGATCCAACATTGGCAAATACTGATGATGACGATGATGATGATGATGATGATGATGATGATGATGATGATGTTGATAATGATGATAATAATAGCTTGGAAACTAGGCATTGTGCTGCTTTTTACAGAGTTTCAAATTTATTTCTTATAAAGCCCCAGCAAGTTAAGTGTAACATTATTACAATTTTACAGAAAAGGAAAATGAGGTAACTTGCCCAAAGGCACATAGATAGCAATCCAGAAGGCAAACCAGGCAGTCTGTCTCCAGGGCCAACCATTTTAAACTGGGTCACAGGATCACAGCAGTAGTATAAGAAAACTTGACTTCTTGCTGATAACTTATTTAGTGACCTAGATTTCTAAAATTAACTTAAGAAGAAACGGGATTGGCCTCGGAGCCCTAGGTGTGCTGAAACTTAAAAGAACAACTAGATTTGACTTAACTGAGCCTCCAGTTTTTTTGCTGACTAGAAACAATAAGAAGGCTGCTGGTCAGTTTACCAGGAGCTTTTATAGCATGTTTTGGCAAAGTGGGAAAATTCTTATTTGTCTCACAGAAGATAGTGTGCCAGACGCTTGCTGGATACTCAACAATCCTACTTCCTCTTCTTAGACATGCAGAAAAGCCACGTTTCACAATCACCATTTCAGTAAGTTTGAGGCTACATGAACTGAGCTCTGGCCAACAAAATGAGAGTAAAAGTAACGTATACTCCCTAGAGATCTGGCCTCTCAAACAACCTACGTGATCGCCATTCATGCACTCTTGTGCACATCTTCTCTCTTTCCTCTATGTAACTGGAAAAATCAGAGCTCCAAGATAACTAAAAGGAACACAGTGGAAAGAGGCTGGCTCCTGAGTCTTTCTCTCAAGGAATGTTTCTCAGGAGAGGGCCTGACCTACACGGAACTGTGTCAAAAAAGACACATGCACACGTATGTTTATTACGGCACTATTCACAATAGCAAAGACTTGGAACCAACCCAAATGTCCATCAATGATAGACTGGATTAAGAAAATGTGGCACATATACACCATGGAATACTATGCAGCCATAAAAAATGGTGAGTTCATGTCCTTTGTAGAGACGTGGATGAAGCTGGAAACCATCATTCTCAGCAAACTATCGCAAGGACAAAAAACCAAACACCACATGTTCTCACTCATAGGTGGGAATTGAACAATGAGAACACATGGACACAGGAAGGGGAACATCACACACCGGGGCCTGTTGTGGGGTGGGGGGAGGGGGGAGGGACAGCATTAGGAGATATACCTAATGTAAATGACGAGTTAATGGGTGCAGCACACCAATATGGCACATGTATACATATGTAACAAACCTGCATGTTGTGCACATGTACCCTAAAACTTAAAGTATAATTTAAAAAAACACAAAATAAACTTTTTTAAAATCTTTCTTTTCTTTTTGCACATGTTAAACCACTTTAATTAGGGTTGTTCTTTATAGCAGCTAATGTTAATTTGCTGTGACTCATACAGATAGCATATAAAGTTCTTCCTTGAAGCAAAAGGGCAGTATAACTCCTTAGGGAAACCAGTCCCTTTCTGATTGGGTCACTTTCTGCTTGGGTCTACTGGTGCTTAAAAGTTTAAAACCCAAGTCAACCAGAGATTCTGCTCTCTGTTTTGCTCCCTGCAGACCTATTTCCCAGGAACTGGACCCTATTCCTACTCTTCACTGCCTTATTTCTGAATAGAATTCAGAACCAAATTCCAAATATTATATGATCCAACATCTCTCAGTGCATGCAAAGCTATGGCATAATTTGATCTTGGATCACAACCCCCTTTCCTTTCTATATTTTAGTTCTGTGGATCATTGCTTTATAATCAGGCTTGCATACCCAATCAATCTAGTATATTTGATACAGAAGAGTTGAGTAAGGACACTAGTGGACAAGAACTTCATACCTCATTGTATTATATGTGTTAACAATAAAACCTTCAAGGACAAGTGGCTAGGCCAGAATGCCATATGAATAGAGACAAACTATGGGTCTAGGACCAGGGGCCAAGGACACTTCTTATCTTGTTTGCATGGAATTACCTTTGCAAATAATATGCTTCTAGAAATTCAGAAATTATATGGGATGTACATAGAACTCTTCAGGAATAAAGAGAAAAAACATCTACCCAGCCTGATGGAGCAAATCTACCCTGAGGTCCTTAGAGTATTACAAGTGTCACACTAGGATTTTACTTACCTCCAAAGGTAAAGAGTATTAATGAGGGATACAGGAGGAGGAGGAGGAGAGAGAAACTTATGAAGTGCCCTGGAAAATATTTCCTGTTATTGTTCTTTGATATATTTTTATCATAATTTAATCACAATGAAAAAAAAACTATTTTCTCTGTTTTTTTTAGTCACAGATGACAAAAGACTATCTATGTCTAAATTTAGGAATGAATGCAAGTAAGTTGTGTGATGTAAGTTCTTTCCCAGGTCAAGAAATGGCTATAAGTGGAATAACATCTTTTATATTCCTTGATGAGTGCATTTTCTTATTCCAATATTAGAATCAACAACAGGGTCAACAAGTTTTACGGGGAAATACTTCAATGATCAGAAGATATATTGTCTATTCTAAATTGTATTAAGAAAGAGAACATTTGAAGGCAGAAGGGATATAATGAATTGGATGGTTAAAAAGCAATGAAGTTGAGGTTCAAAGAAGCAGTGCAAAAATTAAACTCTTTAACTAGCAATCATACCTTAAGTTGGAATATTTATATCAGAGATCCAGAAGTGCTGACCTGACATTTGCTTTATTCTTTGTGACATGTTGACAGATGCCCTTGAAAGAGCACATTTCAAATATCACAAGCACAGATGTGATCAGCAAGTTTGAGGTTTTATTGACTTACTATTGGCATCTTATTTGCTATCTCAGTTTTAGCTGCCAAGAGGGAGATTTACTTATGCTTTATGACTCAGCATTAGCTCCATACATTGGGCATACAGAATTTTCTTCTAAACCATTCTATGAATATACTGCAATATATTTATCCATCATACCGATGATGGGCATTTAAATTGTTTTAAGACACTCACTATTATAGATAATCTTATAATGGGCATTGTGTGTATTTCCCTGTGCACATGAGCAAGAGTTTCTTAAGAATATATACTTAGAAGTGTTATTGATGGGCTGTAGGTATGGACATTTGCAACAAATTTAATTAAAATTTGTTTTTCAATATGGTTGTACCAATTTGTTTATTCAGATAAACATCTCAGCATAGTCTAACTTTATAATGTTTGCCAATAGTATCATATTTTCACTGCTTTGATTACTGTTGAGGTTAAATTGAGGGTCATTACATATATTTATTGGACATTTGGATTTTATCTTGAAGAAACTATTTATCTCTTCTGTCATTTTTTTTCTATCAGATTATCAGTTCATAGAAACTATTTTCTTTGTAGGAATTTGTAGGAATTCTTTAAAGATTTGGAGGAATTCTAATCTTTTCCTAGTGTCAACCTAAATAACAGACAGAGATATCCCCTAAAAGAAAATGGTATTGATTTGTGATTGAGCACTGCAATGGGAATTCAATGGACATATTCAGAGAGGTAAAGGGTTTTTAAAGGAAAAATGAGGAAGAGTACATAGGTTGTTTTGAGATAGTTATTTCTGGCTACAAGGATCAATAACAAGGATGTTGTCAGTCCAAGGTTGGACAGGAAGTTGCTGGGCAGATGTCATCACAGAGTATTTTTTTGTGTAAGGTTGCACTGGTTTTTGTGCAAAATTGTGGTTTTTGCAGTCTTTTCTAATACTTCTTGTTATCAGGCAACATGAGTGAGCACCATTCTTCATGGACTTCTCCAGCTCCATTTGTCAGCTTGACACAAATGATTCTGTTTTGTTTCTTACAAGTTTCATACTCATTACATGCATTGCATGTATCTTCTCCCACTCTGTGGATTTTACCTTGTTTATGAAAGCATCTGCTCTATAGGTGTTTATCATTTTGACATGGTTAATGTTCTTAATCTTTAATTCTGGAATTTGCACTTTTGTGTCTTAATTAAGCTCTTTCTTTTTTTGTTTTCTCCAGGGTGGTGGATTAGAGGCTTTTAGCATACCTCAGCCACTCGGAAATAGCATAAAAATTAACTCCATGAGCTTTAATTCAAGAAGAAAAACAGGAATCCACCAGAATCATGAAGGATGTCCCAAATCCCAGGGAGGAGAACATGGGAGAAAAGCACCAGTGATGGTGTCCAGCTGATAAAACTGAGCAAAGTCCTATATACGATAGGCAGAGAGCCTCCCTGTGTGATTCACTTTTCCACTGGGGATCTGAGCAACATAGGCCAAGGGGGAATACTTTGTTTCTCTCAAGACCTAGAGCTAAATTGGGAAGATGCTTGGAAATGCTCAGAGGGAAAAACACCAGGAAAAGCTGCAGGCACTTTTCTAGACCAAGAGCAGGATGACATTTTTAATCTAACTGCATAGAAAGTCAGTCATTTCTTGGCGACCTGGCAGCATGCCATGCAGGCAGTTTAATCTCGAGTCAGAGATTGGAGTTGTTCGCTCTGGAGTGGAGTAGAGGCCTTGACAGCCACATTTATGGAAAGTGCCTCAGCAGTGTGTGCTGCAATTGTGCTCTTCCCTGTTTCAGTTTCTCCTGGACAATAAGACTTGTACCCACGGCCAGCTTTTCAACCCGGAACTGGTCTAAATGTGTTGCTGGGTGCTTCAGCCTGCTCTCTGAGATTGTGATGCAGCAAGGACCTCTCTGCTCTACTCACAGGTAGAAGTCCAGGCATTTGGAGCAGCTTGGTTGAAACAGCAGCTTGAACTGCCCCACCCTTCTGTGCAGAGACTGTGGTGCTCAGAGCCCTCTCTGCTCCACATCCAGGCAAGTCTCCAGGCATTTGAGATACCCACTCACCTAGATCACCATTCTGAGCTGCATCACCCTTTTTGTGCATAGATTGTGATGCAGTGAGGCCTTCTCTGCTCCATGCCTAGGCAGGTCTCCAGGCATTCAAAGCACCTGCTTGCCCAGACTGGCAGCTTAAGCCACTCCACCATCACTTTTCAAAGATCCAGGTGCAAGGGAGCCCTCTCCACTCCATGTCCAAGCAGATATCCAGGCACTTGGAGCACCCACTTGCCTGACTCAGAAGCCTGTCACTCCATCCCTCGTGTACAAAGATCCTGGTGCAAGAGAGGTTCTTTTTGGTTCATGGCCAGGCAGATTGTCAGACATTTGGGACAACTGCTCAGCCAGATTCACAGCCTGAGCTATCCCTCCCTTCCAATACAGAGATTGTGGTGCATCAGGGCCTTCTCCACTCCATGACCATGTGGATGTCTAGGTATTTCAAGCACCAGGGCTTTCTCCACTCCATGACCAGGTGGATCTCTAGGTATTTCGGGCACCACTCACCTGGAACAGCTTCAGCTGACCCATTTTTCCTATGCATGGGTCATGATGCAGTAGGGCCCTCTCTACTCCATGCCCAGGCAGATCTCCAGGTATTTGGAGCACCTGCTTGCTTGAATCAGCTGCTGGACCTGCTGCACCCTTCCTTTGCAGGGATCCTGGTACATAGGGGTTCTCTCTGCTACATGCCCAGGCAGATCACCAGGCAGTCAGAAGACCCATTGATATGGTTTGGCTCTGTGCTCCCACCCAAATCTCACCTTAAATTGTAATAATCCTCAAGTGTTAAGGGTGAGACCGGGGGAGATAATTGAATCATGGGGGCATTTTCCCCTATACTGTTCTCTTGATAGTAAGTGAATTCTTATGAGATCTGATGGATTTTTCTAAAGGGCTTCCCCCTTTGCTCAGCTCTCATACCACCATGATTGTAAGTTTCCTGAGGCCTTCCCAGCCATGCAGAACTGTGAGTCAATTAAACATCTTTCCTTTATAAACTACTCAGGATTGGGCAGTACTTTAAAGCAGTGTGAGAATGGACTAATACACCCATTTTCCTAAATTAACAGCCTGAGCTACTCCACCCTCCCTCTGTAGAGATAGGAGTGCAGTGGGGCCATCTACTTTCCATGCCTAGGCAGATATCCAGGTATTTGGAGCACCTACTCTCCTGAATTAGGAGTTTCAGTAGGTCACCCCCACATCCCCACCATGCAAAGAACTTGGGGCTGAGGAAGTTTTTCAGGTTCACGCCTAGGTGCTCCTCTGGGCACTTGGTGACCACCCACTGGATTCTCCTTCTGTGCTAGTGTTTGTGTCTGACATCAGGAGACCTATAGGTGGCTCTGCCCAATCTTGCCTTACCCATCTTGCCCCCTACCACCCCAGGGCTGAGCAGAGAGCTCAGATCACTGTCACTCCATGGATCAGCCCATTGCCTGAGGAAATAGAGAGCTTCTCCCAGTAAACAAGGACCAAGTATATACCCAGCCACATTGCCCACAGTAGGCTCTTACCTTTAAGCACCTTCTATTGGCCTGTAGGCTGAACCACACAGCCCAGTGTAAAACCTGCTGGCAGAAGTGCTTAGGGAAGCAAATTCAAAAGACCCTACCCAACATTCTCTATAGTTACATCCCAAGGGATGAGGTGAAAGGGAAATTTAAAATAATAAAAATATAGGGAAAGAAAGAAAAATAAAAAATCCTAACCACATAAAAATAGTTATAAAAATTAGTAGTGTGGCCAGGTGTGGTGGCTCACACCTGTAATCCCAGCATTTTGGGAGGCCGAGTGGGTGGATCACCTGAGGTTGGGAGTTTGAGATCAGCCTGGCTAACATGGTGAAACCCTGTCTATACTAAAAATACAAAATTAGCTGGGCATGGTGGCAGGCGCCTGTAATTCCAGTTACTCAGGAGGCTGAGGCAGGAGACTCACTTGAATCCTGGAGGTGGAGGTTGCAGTGAGCTGGGATCATGCAACTGCACTCTAGCATGGGCAACAGAGTGAGAATCAATTTCCAAAACAAAAAAAATTAGTAGTGCAAATAACCCCAGATGAGAAGGAATTAATGCAAGAATTCTGCCACCATGAAAAATCTGAAAGTTGTGGTATCATCAAAATATCACACTAGCTCTCCAGCAACAGTCCCTACAAAAATGAAGACTCACAAATGACAAATAACCAATTAAAAGCACAGATTGTAAAGAGGCTCAATGAGATCTACGACACAGTGTAAAATCAACACGAAAAAACTTCTAAAGCAATCCAGGAAATGAAGGAAGAGATATACACTTTAATAAATCAATCAGTGCTTCTGGAATTGTAAGACTTGAGGAATTTCAAAATACAATTGAAAGCAATATCAATAGACTGGACCAAGCAGAAGAAAGAATTTCAGACCTTGAAATCCTGTCTTTTGAAGTAACTCAGTCCAACAAAAATAGATAAAAAATAATTTTTAAGAATAAACAAAATTTTGAGAAATATGGATTATATAAAGTGACCAAATCTATGAGTTATTGGCATTCCTGAGAGAAAAGAAGAAAAAGTAAACAACCTGGAAAGCAAACTTGAGGAAATAATTCAAGACAAAATTTTCTAATCTTGCTAGAGAGGTAGATATTCAGATAGAAGAAATCTAGAGAACATTTTTGAGATACTATACAAAATGAATATCACCAAGTCATGTAGTCACCAGATCATCCAAGGTCAAAGCTAAAGAAAAAATTTTGTAAGGCAGCTAGAGAAAAAGGTCACACAAGGTACGCAAGGAACCCTATTAGGCAAAAGACGACTTCTTCTCACAGGCCAGAAGAGATTAGGTGCCAATTTTCAGCAATGTTAAAAAAAAAAAAAAAAAAGAAATTACAACCAAAAATTTCATATTCCACCAAACAGCTTCGTAAGTGAAGGAGAAATAAATATTTTCCAGGTAAGCAAGCACTAAGGGAATTAGTTACCACTAGACCAGCCTTATAAAAAAATCTTTAAAGGAGTTTTAAAAATAGAATCAAAAAAACAATAAATGCTACCATGAAAACACAGATAAATACATATCCCACAGACACTATAAAGCAACCATGCAATAGAAACTACAAAGCAACAAGCTAAAAACCTCATGATAGAATCAAAACCTCACATATCAATATTAATCATGAACGTAAATGGTCTAAATACCTCCACATAGAAGGCCCAGAGTGGCAAGTTGGATAAAGAACAAGACTCATCTGTCTGCTGTCTTCAAAAGACCAATTTCACACTTAACAATACCCACAGGCTCAAAGTAAGGGCTGGAGAAACATCTATCACAGAAATGGAGAACAAAAAAGAGCAAGACTGATGATTCTTATATAAAATAAAGCAGACTTTAAACCAAAAACAGAAAAAAAGTACAAAGAAGGGCATTACATAATGATAAAGAGTTCAATTCAACAAGAAGACTTTACTATTCTAAATATATATACACCCAACACTAGTGCACCCAGATTCACAAAATAAGAACTTCTACATCTCCAAAAAGACTTAGCCAGCCACACAATAATATGGGGGATTTGAATACCCTAATGACAGTGGTACAAAGATCAATGAAGCAGAAAACAAAGAAATTCTAGACTTAAATTTAAAACCTGACCAATTGGACCTAATAGCCATTTACAGCATACTCACCGCATCAACCACAGAATACACATTATTTACACCTGCACATGAATTATACTACAAGATTGACTACGTGCTCAACCATAAAGGAAGTATCAATAAATTAAACTTATAAAAATCAAAAGTATACCAATCATACTCTTGGACCACAGTGAAATAAAAAAGGAAATCACTACCAAAAACCTCTCTCTAAACTACACAATTGCATGGAAATTAAACAACTTGCTACTGAATTACTTTTGGTTAACCAAAAAAATCAAGACAAAAATCAAAATATTCTTTAAAATAAATAAAAATAGAGACAAAAACATGGCAAAATCTACGGAATGTAACAAAAGTGGTGTTAAGAGGAAAGTTTATAGTGCTAAATGCCTACCTCACAAAGTTAAAAAAACTGCAAATTAACAATCTAACATCACACCTAGAGAAACTAGAAAAAAGAAAGAAAGAAAGAAAAGCATATCCCAAAACAAGAAGAAAAGAAAGAACTAAAATCAGGGCAGAACTGAAAGAAATTAGTCCCTAAAATCTATACAAAGAATCAACAAACCCCAAAGTTGTTTGTTTAAAAGGACAAAGAAGATTGATAGACTGCTACCTAGATTAACAAAGAAAAAAAGAGAGGATCCAAATAAGTACAACTTGAAATGACAAAGGTGACATTACAACCAATCTTACAGAAACACAAAAGATCCTCAAAGACTACTGTGAACACCTCTATGCACACAAACTAGAAAATCTAAAGGAAATGGATAAATTCTTGGAAGCACACAACCTCCCAAGATTGAATCAGGAAGAAATTAAAACCCTGAACTGACCAATATAGAGTTTTAAAATTCAATCAATAATAAACTACCAAATAAAAAGGGTCTTGGACCAGATGGATTCACAGTTGAACTCTATCGGATGTACAAAGAGGGGCTGGTACCAAGTCTACTCTCACTATTCCAAAAAATCAAAAAGGAGGGACTCCTCCCTAATCTACTCTATGAAGCCAGCATCAAAACAGACAAAAATCTGGCAGAGACACAACAAAAAAAGAAACCTACAGGCCATACCCCTGATGAACATAGGTGCAAAAATCCTCAACAAATCACTGGCAAATCAAATCCAGCAGCACATGATCAAGTAGGCTTTATTCCTGGGATGCAAGGTTGTTTCTACATATGCAAATCAATAAGTGTGATTCACTACACAAACAAAAACTATATGAACATCTCAATAGACCCATAAAAAGATTCCAGTAAAATCCAACATACCTTCTTGCCAAAAACCATCAAGAAACTAAGCATTGAAGGAACGTACCTCACAATAAGAGCCATCTATGAAAAACCCATAACCTACATAATATTGAATGGGTAAAAGCTGGACACATTCCCCTTGGGAACTGAAACAAGATGACATTCTCATCCACCACTCATATTCAATATAGTGTTTGAAGTGCTAGTCAGAGCAATTAGACAAGGGAAAGGAATAAAAGGCATCCAAGGAGGAAGAGAAGTCAAATTATGTCTCATCAGTGACACTGTAATTCTATATCTAGAACCCTAAAGATTCTGCCAAAAAACTTCTATAATTGAGAATTTCAATAAGGTGTCAGGATACAAAATCATTATATAAAAATTAGTAGCATTTCTATACATCAATATCATTCAAGCTGAGAGTCAAATCAATAATGCAATCTCATTTACAATAGCCACACAGCAAAACAAAATATCTAGGTATCCATCTAACCAAAGAGGTGAAAGAGCCCTACAAGGAGAACAATAAAACACTGCTGAATGAAGTCATAGATGAAACAAATAAATGGAAAAACATTTCCGGCTCAGGGATTGGAAGAATCGGTATCATTATAATGTCATACTGCTCAAAACAATCTACAGATTCAATGTTATTCCTATCAAACTACCAATGTCTTTTTTCACAGAATTAGAAAAAAACTACTCTAAAATGTATATAGAACCAAACATCAGCCTGAATAGCAAAAGCAATCCTAACCTAAAAGAACAAAACAAAATTGATTGCCTGTGTTTTGTTACATGAAAAAATTATTTCCAGGACAATTTCAGAAATCTTTTCTCCTATATGTTTTTCTATGACTTTTAGTTACAGGTCTGATGCTTAAGCATTTAATCCATTTTGAGTTGATTTTTTTTTTTTTTTTTTTTTGAGACAGGATCCTGCTCTATTGCCCAAGCTGGAGTTCAGCAGCATGATCACAGCTCACGGTAGCCTTGAATTTCTGGGCTCAAGTGATCCACCTACCTCAGCCTCCTGAGTAGCTGGGACTACATGCTTGTGCTACCACACCCAGCTGATTTTTAAAAATTTTATTTTTAGAGACAAGGTGTTGCTATGTCACCCAGTCTGGTCTTGACCTCCCATTCTCAAGAGATCCCCCTGCCTTAGCCTCCCAAAGTGTTGAATTACAAGCATCAGCCACCACACCTGGGTTGATTGTTGTAAGTGGTGTAAAACAAATAACCAATTTCATTCTTTTGCCTGTGGATATACAGTTTTTCCAACACTATTTATTAAATAGTCTATCCTTTCCTCATTGTGTGTTCTTGGCACCTTTGTCAAGAGTCAATTAACTGCAATATGTAGATTTACTTCTGGGTTCTCTGCTGTTCTGTTGGTCCATATGTCTGTTTTCATGCCGGCACCATGCTATTTGGATTACTATAGCTTTGTAGTATATTTTGAAATATACTGCAGGTAGTGTGATGCTTCAAGTTTTGTTCTTTTTGCTCAAGATTGCTTTGACTATTCAAGGTTTTTGTGGTTCTATATTAATTTTACAACTGCCATTGGAATTTTGATAGGGATTACACTGAATCTATAAATCACTTTATATAATATAGACATTTAAAAAATATTATTTCTTCCAATCTATTCATATGTTATATTTTTCCACTTATTTGTGTCTTTTCTTTCATCAGTGTTTTATAGTTTTCAGCATACAGATCTTTCGTCTTGGTTAAGTTTATTTCTAAGTGTGTTTGGACACTATTATAAATGTAATTTTTAAAAATTTATTTTTTAGATAATTCATTGTTAGTATAGTATATGGAAGTGCTACTGATTTTTGTATGTTGATTTTGCATCCTGCAGCTTTACTGGATTGGTTTATTAGCTACAGCAGTTTTTTTTGTGGAGTCTTTAGGGTTTTCTATATGTAATATGTCATCTCCAAAGAGACAATTTTACTCCCTCCTTTTGGATGTGGATGCCTTTTATTCCTTCCTTCCTTCCTTCCTTCCTCCCTTCCTTCCTTCCTTCTTTCCTTCCTTTCCTTCCTTCCCTTCCTTTCCTTCCTTCCCTTCCTTCCTTCCTTTCCTTACTTTCCCTCTTTTTTTCTTCCTCCCTCCTTCCCATTCCTTCCTTCCTTCCTTCTTTCCTTCCTTTCCTCCCTCCCTCCCCTCTCCTCCCCTATCCTCCCTCCCTCCCTCCCTTTCTTCCCTCCTTCCTTCCTCCCTCCCACCTTCCCTCCCTTCCTTTCTCCCTTCTTTCCTTCCTTCTCTCCTTCCTTCCTTTCTTCCTTTCTCTCTCGCTCTCTCCTCTGCTTAATTGCTCTGGCTAAAATTTTCATTGCTATGTTTAAATAAATGGTGAGACTAGCCATCCTTATCTTATTCTTTACCTTAGAGAAAAAGCTTTCAGCTATTCACCATTGAGTATGATGATAGTGGTAGGCTTATCATATATAACCTTTGTTATGTTGATGTGCATTCCTTCTATACCCAATTTGTTGTGAAGTGTTTTTTTTTTATCATAAAAGGGTGGCGAATTTTGTCAATTTTTTTCCCTCTATCAATAGAGATGATTATACGCAAAAACAGACAAATGAGATTGCATCAAACTAAAAAGCTTCACACACAAATGGAAGAAATCAGCAAAAGGAAAAGGCCACCTCTGGAATAGGAGACAATAGTTACAAACCATTCATTTAAGAGGTTAATATCCAAAATATATAAGAAACTCAAATGTAAATTAAAATTATCGTGAGATACCACCTCACATCTGCTAGAATGGCTATTTAAAAAAGACAAAAAAATGTTGGTAAGAATGTGGAGAAAAGGGAACCCTTGAACACTTTTTGTGAGAATGTAAATTAGTATCATCATATAGACAACAGTATGAATGTTCTTCAAAAAATTAAAAATAGGACTACCATATGGCCAATTTTACCACTGGGCACATTCCCAAAGGAACTGAAATCCCTATCTCAAAGATATATCTGCACTCCCATGCTTATTGCAGCATTAGTCACTATAACCAAGACATGGAATCAACCTAAGTGTCCATCAGTGTATGAATGGATAAAGAAAATGTGGTATAAATATGCAATGAAATACTAGTCCGCCACGAAGAAGGTGAAAATCCTTCCATTTGCAAAAACATGGATAAACCTGGAGAACATTATTTTAGGTGAAGTAAGTCAGACGCAGAAAGATGAATACTACATTAGCTGACTTACATGTGGAATCTAAAAAATATTGAACTCATAGAAGCAGAGAGTAGAATGCTGGCTGCCAGGGAAGTTGGGGAAAGGATGAGATGTTAGTCAAAAGGCAGGAAGTTTCAGTTATACACAGAATGAATAAGTTCTGAAATTTTATTGTACAGTATGGTGACTATAGTTAATAATGTAGTGTATATTTGAAAATTTCTAAGAGAGTAGGTCTCAAATGTTCTTACCACATATACAAACACACAAAGGCTAAGATAAGTGAGGTGCTGGGTATTTTAGTTAGCTTGATTTAATCATTTCACAATATATACATCAAAACATCATGTTGTATGCTATAAATGCTTATGATTTCTATTTGTTAATTATACCTTAATTAAAAAAGGAAAAAACAGTCTTGCAACTTCTTAAATGCAGTTTGCAGACTTTTACTACAAAGAAAGTCCTCAGTTGTCAAGAGGTATGTTTGAGGTGGATGTGGACTAATTCAGGTCAAGAAAGTTATTCCCTAAAGTTATATACAATATGTGGGAAAGGGACACCTTCTCTTCTGAGATTGATGGAAAAACAATAATGTGTTATTAATACATACTTAATGTTAACACATTAATATCAAATATTACATCTACAGCTATTTGGAGTAGTAGAGGATTTGTTGGAGGTTGGTTGGTTAGTTGGAAATAGAGATGAATAACACTGTCATCGAGAATAAAGGAATATTTAAAAAATTGAATGATAAAATTCCTTTGAAAACTGATTGGCCTGAAGAGGAAATAAGTTTTTTTAAACAATTAGATATAAAATCAAATTTATAAAAAGGCACAAATTATATAGAACAATTAGATGTAAAGTTAAATTTCTAAAAGGGTACTGTATAATAAAACAGTTTTATTATACTTTCTCCGTGCAGTATTGTTTTTACCCTTTTATAAGGGTTTTATCTTATTTAAGAGTTTTACCTTATAAAAGGGTAAAAACAATACTGTATGAAGAAAGTATAATAAAACTGCAACTGCTGTTTGGCTGTGTGCTGTAGTCATTTCTGGTGAGAATATATCATGTCTAGTGAGTCTTCAGTTATTTATAACATAAGATAAACTGATAGTGAGTTTGTGATTGAGTACCATGAAGATGTTTGATAAATTTATTTTTAGAAAGACATACACACAAATGTATATCTATATATGTATACCATATATTTACATGTTAGATAGATAGATATATTCCCATTGTGAATTAGATCTTTTATTTTATTCTATTACATTTTCCAAAATGTTTTTAATTGCATATATCAACACTGTTGGTTCTTGTGTGTTATTTATTTTCCTGGCAAACTATAGATTCTCTTCTTGGTTCTAACATTATTTTTCTGGATTTACTTGTAATTTCTTCATTGACAGTAAAATATTCTGCATTCAAAATAAGTTTAATTTCTTTATTTTCAATTTTTAAGTCTTTATTTCTTTTCTTGTTACATTGACTAGGATCTCCTAAATATGTGGGAGGCGAGAATTCTACCACTGAACCACCAAAACACCTCCTGTATCTCCTAAATATGTGGAATACAATCAGTGAAGCTATCCTTATCTTTCTCTTGACTTTATTTAGAATGTTTCTAAAATTTCATCATTAAATATGTTTGCAATAGATTTCTGACAAATCTTGTTTCACAAGTTATGAAATGTTCTTTTCTTATCTGTTTCATAAGCATTATTTTTCTTTTTATTATAAATGACTTTTGCAGAAAGCTTTTCCAAAATATTTGATATTTTTGTACAGTTTATCTCTTTTAATTTGTTGGTCTGGTTTAATGTGTGAATGAATATTCTGATATTGAATGATCTATGCATTCTTGAAGTAGTTAATAATTGATAATGGTATATTCATTTTCTTATATATTTCTGAATTTTTATAGTAATATTTTAAGATTTTTGCATCTATGTTTATATTTAAGATTTATTTATAGTATTTTGTTCTATTTGTATGGCCTCACATCAGAATTATTCTAGCCTTGTAAAATAAATCAAAGCTTTATGGATTTCTCTGTTCTTAAAAACTCTGCAAGAGCTATGAAAAGATATTGAATGATCTATGCATTCTTGAAGTAGTTAATAATTGATAATGGTATATTCATTTTCTTATATATTTCTGAATTTTTATAGTAATATTTTAAGATTTTTGCATCTATGTTTATATTTAAGATTTATTTATAGTATTTTGTTCTATTTGTATGGCCTCACATCAGAATTATTCTAGCCTTGTAAAATAAATCAAAGCTTTATGGATTTCTCTGTTCTTAAAAACTCTGCAAGAGCTATGAAAAGATATTGAATGATCTATGCATTCTTGAAATAGTTAATAATTGATAATGGTATATTCATTTTCTTATATATTTCTGAATTTTTATAGTAATATTTTAAGATTTTGCATCTTTGTTTATATGTAAGATTTATTTATAATATTTTGTTCTATTTGTATGGCCTCACATCAAAATTTTTCTAGCCTCATAAAATAAAGCTTTACTGATTTCTCTGTTCTTAAAGACTCCAAAAGAGCTATAAAAGATAGGGTTATGTACAAGTTTGGTGAAAATTGCCTGTAAAATTAGATGGCCTTGGTTGCCTCTTATAAATAAAATTTTAGATACTAATTTTGTTGATAAGTTGAGTGAGTGAATATATATGCATTTTTCAACAAAATAGTTATTTAGTATTTCTATCTTGTTTCCAAATCATATAAAGAAATTACCAGATAATGACTATGAGTATATATATCTCTTATCTTGCTATTGCTATGTAGAGTCTTAATTTTTAAAATTTTTGTGTTCTTTATTTTAAATAGAATTTATTTTTTAGAGAAGTTTTAGGTTCATACCAAAATTGAGGGGAAAGTACAGCGTTCTCATATGTCCTCTGTCCCTACACATGCATAACCTTCCCCACTGTCGACATCCTTCACCAGAGTGGTACATTTGTTACAATTCACAAACCTATGTTGACACATCATTATCACCCAAATAAAATAAATACAAGTCCACAGTTTATATTAGTGTTCACTCATGGTATTGTACATTCTATGGGTTTGGAAAAATGTGTCATAGGCTTGGACAAATGTATAATGACATGTATTTGCTATTAGAGTATCATAATGCATATTATCCATATATTATAGTACCATAGCTTGGGGAACAGGTGGTTTTTGGTACATGGGTAAGTTCCTTAGTGGTGATTTCTGAGATTTTTGTGCACCCGTTGTACGAGCAATGTATACTGCACCCAATGTGTAGTCTTCCACACTTTGCCCTCATCCCATCCTTCTCCTTGAGTCCCCAAAGTCCATTATATCATTCTCACACGTTTGTGTCCTCATAGCTTAGCTCCCACTTATAAATGAGAAGATATGATATTTGGCTGTCCATTCCTGAGTGACTTCATTTAGAATAATGGTCTCTAACTCCATCCAGGTTGTTGTGAATGTCATTATTTTGTTCTTTTTTTATAGCTGAGTAGTATTTCATGGTGTGTATATGTGTATATATATATATGTATCATGAAATGGTACCACATTTTCTTTATCCACTTGTTGGTTGGTAAGCATTTAGACTGGTTTCATATTTTTGCAATTGTCAATTGTGCTGCTATCGACATGCATGTGCAAGTGTCTTTTTCATATAATAACTTCTTTTCCTCTGGTTAGATACCCAGTAATGGGATTGCTGGATCAAATGGTAGTTCTACTTTTAGTTCTTTAAGGAATCTCCACACTGTTTTCCATAGTGGTTGTACTAGTTTACGTTCCTGCTAGCAGTGTAAAAGTGTACTCTTTTCACCACATCCATGCCAACATCTATTTTATTTTTATTTTTTATTTATGGCCATTCTTGCAGGAGTAAGATGGTATCTCATTGTGGTTTTAATTTGCATTTCCCTGATAATTAATAATGTTCAGCATTTTTTCATATGTATGTTGGCCATTTGTATATCTTTTTTTGGGAATTGCCTATTCATGTCCTTAGCCCACTTTTTGATAGAGTTGTTTGTTTTTTCTTGCTGATTTGTTTGAGTTTTTTGTAGATTCTGGATATTAGTCCTTTGTCACATGCAGAGTTTGTGAAGATTTTCTCCCACTCTGTGGGTTGTCTGTTTACTATGCTGATTATTTCTTCTGCTATGCAGAAGCTTTTTAACTTAATTAAGTTCCATCTATTTATCTTTGTCTTTGTTGCATTTGCTTTTGGGTTCCTGGTCATGAACTCCTTGCCTAAGCCAATGTCAAGAAAAGTTTTTCCAGTGTTATTTTCTATAATTTTTATGGCTTCAGGTCTTAGATCTAAGTCTTTGATTCATCTCGAGTTCATTTTTGTGTAAGGTGAGAGATGAGGATCCAGTTTCATTCTTCTACATGTGGCTTGTCAATTATCCCACCACCATTTGTTGAATAGGGTGTCTTTTCCCCACTTTGTTTTTGTTTGCTTTCTCAAAGATCAGTTGGCTATAAGTATCTGGCTTTATTTCAGAGTTCTCTGTTGTGTTCCATTTGTCTACATGCCTGTGTTTATACAAGTACCATGTTGTTTTGGTGACTATGGCCTTGTAGTATAGTTTGAAATCGGGTAATGTGATTCCTCCATATTTGTTCTTTTTGCTTAGTCTTCCTTTGGCTATGTGGGCTCTTTTTTGTTGCATATGAATTTTAGGATTGTTTTCTCTACTTCTGTGAAGAATGATGATGGTATTTTGTTGGGAATTGCATTGAATCTGTAGATTGCTTTTGGCAGTATAGTCATTTTCACAATATTGATTCTACCCATTCATGAGCATGGGATGTGTTTCCATTTGTTTCTGTGGGATGACTTCTTTCAGGAGTGTTTTGTAGCTTTCCTTGTAGATATCTTTTAACTCCTTGGTTAAGTATATTCCTAAGTATTTTATTATTTATTTTCTTTTGCAGCTGATGCAAGAGGGACTGAGTTCTTGATTTGATTCTCAGCTTGGTCATTGCTGGTGTATAGCAGTGCTATTGACTTTGTGTACATTTATTTTGTATCCTGAAATGTCACTGAATTTATTTATCAGATCTAGGAGCTTTTTGGATGAGTCTTAAGGGTTTTCTAGGTATACAATTATATCATTGGCAAAAAGCGACAGTTTGACTTCATCTTTACTGATTTGGATGTGTTTTATTTATTTCTCTTGTCTGATTGCTCTGGCTAGGACTTCCAGTACTATGGTTAATAGAAGTGATGAAAGTGGGCATTCTTGTCTTGTTCCAGTTCTCAGGTGAAATGCTTTCAACTTTTCCCCATTCAGTATAATGTTGGCTATGGGTTTGTCATAGATGGCTTTTATTACCTTGAGGTATGTCCTTTCTATGCCAATTTTGCTGAGGGCTATAATCATAAAGAGACGCTGGATTTTGTCAAATACCTTTTCTGTGTCTATGGAGATAATCATGTGATTTTTGTTTCTAATTCTTTTTACATGATATAACACATTTATTACTTGCATATGTTAAACCATCCCTGCATCCCTAGTATGAAACCCACTATTTCATTGTGTATTATCTTTTTGATATGCTGTTGGACTCAGCTAGTATTTTGCTGAAGATTTTTGCATCTATGTTCATCAGGGATATTGGTCTGTAGTTTTCCTTTTTTTGTTATATCCTTTCCTGGCTTTGGTATTAGGGTAATAATAGCTTCATATAATGATTTATGGAAGGTTCCCTCTTTATCTTTTGAAATAGCTTCAGTAAGATTTGTACCAATTATTTGAATATATGATAGAATTCAGCTATGAATCCATCTGGTCCTAGATTTTTTTTTTTGTTAGCAATTTTTAAGTTACTGTTTCAATCTCACTACTTGTTATTGGTCTGTTCAGAGTTTCCATTTTTTCATGGTTTAATCTATGGTGGTTGTATATTTCCAGGAATTTATCCATCTCCTCTAGATTTTCTGGTTTATGTGCATAAAGGTGTTCACAGTAGTCTTAAATGGTCTTTGTATTTCTGTGGTATTGGTTGTAATATCTCTCATTTTATTTCTAATGCAGATTATTTGGATCCTCTCCCTTCTTTTCCTGACTAATCTCAATTTTGTTTATATTTTCAAAGAACCAGTTTTTGTTTTATTTCTCTTTTGTGGGGTCTTTTTTTATTTCAATTTCATTTAGTTCTGCTCTGATCTTATTTATTTCTTTTATTCTGCAGGGGTTGGGTTTGGTTTGTTCTTGTTTCTCTAGTTCCATGAGATGTGATGTTAGCTTGTATATTTGTTCTCTTTCAAACTTTTTGATGTAGGCTTAATGCTATGAACTTTCCTCTTAGCACCACTTTTGCTATATCTCAGAGGTTTTGATAAATTGTGTCACTAATATCATTCAGTTCAAAGAATTTTTAAATTTCCATCTTGATTTATTTTTGACCCAAAGATCAATTAAAAGCAGAATATTTAAATCCCATGTATTTGGATAGTTTTGACAATTCTTTTTAGAGATAATTCTCAGTAATATTCCACTGTGGTCTGAAAGGATACTTGATACAATTTTGATTTTCTGAAATTTATCAAGACTTTTTTTTTCAGCTGAAGAAATTTACTTTTTTTTTCTAGGTGCATACATAACATAATTATAGACAAGTTTCAATACACAGGAAAACTCTTCTGTCCACCTCTCTTTATGCTCAATAAATCATCACAATAATTTTTACAATTTTTAAAACAATACACAGCTTTCTTGGGCTGAACATATTGTTGTGCAAGAACATATTGGTATTGGTACATTACAGCTACTTACAATGTTTTAAGAACAGCACTGGAGAAAAACAAGTTATTTAAATATTGATTTTTTTATATATAGAAAGTGCAATGCTGTTAGTTGTTATATAACATATTTAACAATTTCTTTCCTTTATCAATTTTAAATCAAGATAACTTAGACTCAGTCTATCATTTTTTTTCTGAAAATAATACAGTACACACATGGCAGCAGTGACCTAATGAAATGACATCTTTTGCTGCAGTTATGAAAGCAAACTTTACTATGTAGGAACTGATTGCCAATAGATTAGTAATTTCCAATGTCACCCATACCTGGGGGTTTAGAACAGAGAAAAGGCCTCTGACTAAAGCAAGGCCATGAAAGGATATCTGCCTCTTGGTTATCTGGGTATGTAAACAGTAATAGTTGGGGCTGACTGCATTTCCTTCCAGACAGCTCTGAAGTGAAAATTATCCATTATGTGTATGTGTAGCTACCTGAGCAAAACGGCCTTTCCAGGTTTCTCTTGTACTTTCCAAAGACAACAATTTTCACTGTTACTCAAAATTCTGTACCAAATGCAACTGATTGAAACTGGATATTGTTGAAGCCTACCACCTGTTTAATAATGTCCACAGGCAGCCCCAAACCATCTCAGTCAAACATCACACCCAAACATTCAGCTTTTCTCAGACCAAATTAAAAGTTTAAAGAGAAAAAAAAAAAGACCAAACAAACACTAAATATACTTAAAAAATCTAAAACAACACAATAAAGTTAAAACAATCTCAAACTAGATGTTCCCACTGAAAATTATTTGTGGTCCCTGAATTTGATTTTCTATTCAAAGGCATTGATTTTCAAAGAAGAGTGATAAAAATATGGTTTGGCATTCTCATAAACTCCAAAAAGTTTCCTCTTCTGCTGTGACTTTCACTTAAATGAAAATCCTACACTGAAAATGAACTGAAACTTGGAAATTCACATGAGATTTCTCCCTCTCCTTTGTTATCTCTTACATGATTTTGTGTATTTTTTAGCTCAGTTTAAGCAATGACGAGATCTGTCCAAATGTCAAGCCGAGGTATTTTGAAAGCAGGAAGAGAAGCCTGTTTACAGCACCCACCTCCACCATAGCACGTGAAATGCACTGAACACTTTAGCTATATGAGAACCCTGCAGCTTCATTACGTTGCAATTAGTCTAGGCCACAAAACAAGAGGACAAACATGAGCTGTTTTTAGGAGTTTAATAGAAATTTGGCAGCTTTAGCTTTTTATTCTACATTTCCACAATTTCTTCATATGGCATCTCATACAAGGTGAAAATTATTAGAGAAATATGCATTAGTTTTTAGTAATGCATATGAATGCATGAAAAAATACATCAACTGAGAATGTCTTTTCCCTCAGTAACATGGATCCAGACATGAGCAATATGCTAAAGATGGCTTTGTAATGTATGAAACCACTCCCCCTCCAACCCAAGGGAAATGATTTGTTTTAATAAGTAGATGAAATATTACAAAACTTTTAATCAAGAGCTTGTGGTCAAGGTGTTTATATTATAAATGATTGCATTTGATGCTTAAAATAGTGTTCATGATAAGAATGTAAAGGAAAATCATTTTGTAAGCAATGGGAATCTTAATAGTTTAGTTGTTTCAGTTTGCTGTTTGTTAGAATCAGAAAATTTATCAAGACTTTTTTTGTGACCTATCATACGGCCTATCTTGGAGAATGTTTCAGGTGCTGATGAAAATAATGTATATTCTACAGTTGTTGGGTAGAATGTTCTGTAAATATCTGTTAAGTCCATTTGTCCTAGGGTACAGTTTAAGTCCATTATTTCTTTGTTGATTTTCTGCCTTGATGACCTGTCTAATGCTTTCAGTGGAGTACTGAAGTACCAACTATTATTGTGTTGCCATCTATCTCATTTCTTAGGTCTAGTAGTAATTGTTTTATAAATTTGGCAGCTCCAGTGTTAGGTGCATTTGTATTTAGGATTGTGATATTTTCCTGTTGGACTAATCCTTTTATCATTATATAATGTTCCTCTTTGTCTTTTTTTTTCTGTTGCTGCTTTAAAGTCTGTTTTGTCTGATATAAAAATAGTTATTCCTGCTCACTTTTGATTTCCATTTGCGTGGAATACCTTTTTCCACCCCTTTACCCTAAGTTTATGGGAGTCATTATGTGTTAGGTGAGTGTTATGGAGACAGCAGATAATTGATTGGTGGATTTTTGTCCATTCTGTGATTCTGTATCTTTTAAGTGGAGGATTTAGGCCATTTATATTCAATGTTAGTATTGAAATGTGAGGTACTATTCTGCATGGTAGTTGCTTCCTAAATCCCTTTTTTTTCCATTGTGTTATTGTTTTATAGGCCCTGTGAGATTTGTGCTTTAAGGAGGTTCTATTTTGGTGGAATTTTGAAGTTTTGTTTCAAGATTTGGAGTTCCTTTTAGCAATTCTTGTAGTGGTGGCTTGCTAGTGGCAAATTCTCTCAGCATTTGTTTGTCTGAAAAAGACTTTATCACTCCTTTATTTATAAAGCTTAGTTTTGCTGGATACAAAACTATTTGCTGACAGTTATTTTGTTTCAGGGGGTTAAAGATAGGAACCCAATCTCCTCTGACTGGTAAGGTTTCTGCTGAGAAATCTGCTGTTAATCTGATAGTTTTCTATTACAGCTTACCTGATGCTTTTGTCTCACAGCTCTTAAGATTGTTTCCTTCATCTTGACTTTAAATAACCAGATGACTATGTGCCCAGTAATGATCGTTCTGCTATGAATTTCCCAGGTGTTCTTTGAGCTTCTTGTATTTGGATGCCTAGACCTCTAGCAAGACCAGTGAAGTTTTCCTCAATTATTGCCTCAAATAAAATTTCCAGACTTTTAAATTTCTCTTCTTCCTCAGGAACACCAATTAGTCTTAGGTTTGGCTGCTTAACATAATCTGAAATTTCTTGGAAGTTTTGTTCATTTTTGTAATTCTTTTTTGTCTTTGTCTGATTGGGTTAATTTTGAAGCCTTATCTTTGGACTCTGAAGTTCTTTCTTCTACTTGTTCTAGGCTATTGTTGATACTTTCAAATGCATTTTGTATTTCTGTAAGTATGTCTTTTATTTCCAGAAGTTGCGATTGTTTTTTCTTTATGTTATCTATTTTTTTCTGGAGTTTTTTAAATCCATATCCTGTACTGTTTGTTTAAAATTTCTTTAAATTGGTTTTCACCTTTCTGTGATATCTTTTTGAGTAGCTCAATAATCAAACTTCTGAATTCTCTGTCTGGCAATTCAGCAATTTTATCTTCATTTGGATCCCTTGCTGGGGGGGCTAGTGTAATATTTTGGAGAGTGCTATAGAGCACTGTTTTGTCATATTAGCAGAATTACTTTCCCGGTTCCTTCTCAGTTAGACTATTTTAGTGGAAAGGTCTGGAACTCAGGGCCTGCTGTTCATATTCTTTTGTCCCATGGGTGATCCCTTGATGTGGTGCTCTCCCTATTCCTTTAGGGATAGGGCTTTCTGAGAGCTGGACTGCAGTGTTTGTTATTGCTCATCTTGGTCTAGCCACCCAGCAGGGCTGCTAGGCTCTGGGTTGGTGCTGGAGGATGTCTGCAAAGATTCCTGAGAAGCGATCTGTCTTCAGGTCTCCCAGCCATGGATACCAGCACGTGCTCTGGTGGAGGTGGCAGGGGAATGAAGTAGACTCTGTGACAGTCCTTGGTTGTAGTGCACTGTCTTTCTCAAATGCTGGTTATGTTAGCAGTGAAGTTGTCATGTGGACAGACTCAGGACCTCTGATTAGCCGGGATGTTGCAGGCGGTGGAATTAGCTGTTGTTTTCTCATTTTGGGGAGCAGGATTATTCTGTCATGAGTTGCTGTAATGGCCTGAGTTGATTGGCCTCCAGCCAGGAGGTGGCACTTTGCAGAGAGCACCAGCTGCAGTGGTAGTAGGGGAATGTAAGCTCACCCTAAGTTGGCCAGTGTAGGTATGCTGGTTTCTCAGGCATCAGGCAGGGTCGTAAAGCTCCCAAGAGTTTCTATCTTTTGTGCTTAGCTACCATGGTGGGTAGAGAATTACCATCAGGTGGGGCCAGGGTTAGACAACTCTGGGTTCAAACTCTCCTGGGGTGGGGCTTGACTCAGCCACTGTGGGGAAGGCGGGGTGGTACTAAGGCCAATAGGGTTATAATAGGGTTATGTTCCAGAGGTGATTATGGCCTCTGTTGTGTCATATAGTTCACCAGGGAAGTGGGGGCTAGCTGATGGTAAAAGGCCTCACCCAGCTCCCATGCAGTTGATAAGGCTGGTCTCATTCCCACAGTGCCCCCACTCAGAACTTGCCCCAGGTTGTAAGCTTTCCTGTTGAGAAAGTAGGCATGACTTTTAGGCCTTACCTACCTCCACCTGCCCACAATGTCATCAGTGGCTCCTGTGCTTGTATCTGCAGCAGTTCCCATTAGCTTCCCAGATACTGCTCAAGAAAATTTGTGCCCAGTCAAAACTATTACAAATTTCATTTGGAAGCTTCTTTCACCCTGTGACTCCTCTTTAATTTTGCTGGCTGCCTTTCCTGAGGCCCCCTGTGAGATGTAGTCCTGGATGGCTTCCCTGGTCTTGAGCTGGAGACTGGGAGTGCCTACAAGGCTCTTCCCACTTATGCTTCAACTTTTATATTTCTCGTGGCTCCCTAAGTTCATTTCAGCTGTAAGTAAGGTTAAATCCTTCTCCTGTGATCTGGAATTTCAGACTCCCCAGTGGGGATGTGTGTTTGGATGCAGGTTTTCCTCCCTCTTGCATTTGGGAAACTCACAGTTTTTCACAAGTCCCATGGAATTTGCAGTGGCATGGCACTTCTTTCAAAGGATCTGTGAATTCTTTTGTTTTATCCTGGTGTGTTTCTGTGGTGGTTCTTGGAGCAAAAGGTCATGGTGTGGGTCTCCATACTCTGTTCTGTCCATCCAAGTGAGAGCTGAACATTAGCCATGTCTCCTATTTGCCATCTTCTTCTCCAACTACAGCTGCATCTTTCTCTGTATATTTTTGATAGCAATCCTTTATCGTATATGCCTTTTACAAATATTTTTCTCCAAGTCTGTGGTTTGTGTTTTCATTCTCTTGATAGTGTCTTTCACAGATATAAAGTTATTATTTTAATAAAATCCAGCTTACCAATTTTTTCTTTTATGGATTGTGCCATTGGTGTTGTATCTAAAAAAATCATCACCAAGCCCAAAGTTACTTAGATTTTCTCCTATGTCATCTTCTGGGAGTTTTATAGTTTTGCATTTTGCATTTAGATCTGTGATCCATTTTGAATTTATTTTTGTGAAGGGTATAAGGTCTATTTAAAGATTAATTTTTGTGCATGTGGATGTCCAGTTGTTCCAGCACCATTTATTGAAAAGACTATCTTTTCTCCACTGTATTACCTATATGATGTTGTCAAAAATCAGTTGACCATATTTATATGGGTCTATTTCTGTGCTCTCTGTTTGATCTCTTTGTTTATTCTTTTACCCGTACCACTCTATCTTAATTGTCATAGCTTTACAATAAGTCTTGAATTTGGGTAGTGTCAGTTCTTCACTTTGTTTTTCCTCAATATTGTGTTGGATATTCTGGGATTTTTGCCTCTCCATATAAATTTTGGTTTAAGTTTGTCAATATCTGCAAAATAATTTGTTAAGATACTGATTGGGATTGCATTGAATCTGTAGATCAAGTTGAGAAAAGCCGACATATTGACAATGTTGAGTCTTCCTATTCATGAATCTGGAATATTTCTCAATTTTTTAAATTATATGAACTCTTTTATCTGAGTCTTATCATTTTCCTCATGTAGATCTTGTATATATTTTGTTAGATTTATATTGAAATATTTCATTTTGGGGAGTACTAATGTAAATCTAATGTGTTTTTAATTTCAAAATTCGATTGTTCATTGTAGGCATATAGATAAGTGCTTTACTTTTGTATATTAACCTTCTATCTTGCAAATTTACTGTAACACCTTATTAGTTCAGAAGTTTTTGTGCTGACTTTTAGATTCCTTTTTACATAAACATGTCATCTGAAAATAACACAGTTTTGTCTTATTTTTAATCTGGATATATTTTATTTCTTTGTATTGACTTATGCATTACCTTGAAAATTGACATTGAAAATTAGTGGTGAGAGGAGATATCTGTACTTTGTTCCTGATTTTAGCAGGAGTTTTGAGTTTCTCACTATTAAATATGATGTTAGCTGTAGGTATTTTATAGATACTGTTTATCAAGTTGAGTAAGTTCCCCTCAATTCCTAGTTTACTGAGAGTTTTTGTCAAGAGCAGATACTGAATTTTGTCAAATGCTTTTTCTGCAACTATTGATATAATCTTGTGATATTTCTTCTTTAAACTATTGATGTGATGGATTACATTAAGTGATTTTTGAATCTCAAACTGGCTTTGCATACCTGGAATTAATCCCATTATTTCCATGATTGCGATGGTTAATATTGAGTGACAACTTGATTAGATTGAAGGATGCAAACTATTGTTCTTGGGTGTGTCTGTGAGGGTGTTGCTAAAGGAGATTAACATTTGTGTCAGTGGACTGGGAGAGGCAGACCCACTCTCATTCTGGGTGGGCACAAGCTAATCAGCTGCCAGAATGGCTAGAATAAAGCAGATAGAATAAATAGGAAAGACTTGACTTGCTGAGTCTTCCGGCCTTCATTTTTCTCCCATGCTGGATGCTTCCTGCCCTTGAAAATTGGACTCCAAGTTCATCAGCTTTTGGACTCTTGGACTTACACTAGTGGCTTTCCAGGGGCTCTTGGGCCAGAGACTGAAGGCTGCACTGTTGGCTTCCCTGCTATTGAGGTTTTGGGACTTGGACTGGCTTCTTTGCTCCTCAGCTTGCAGATGGCCTATTGTAGGACTTTACCATGTGATCTTGTGAGTCAATACTCTTTAATAAACTCCCCTTCATACATACCTATATCCTATTAGTTCTGTCCCTTTAGAGAACCCTTACTAATACAATGATGTATATTTGTTTATATACATTGTTGGATTTGATTTGGTAATATTTTATTGATGATTATTGCATCAGTGTTTATTAGAGATATTAATTTGTAGTTTTCTTGTCTTGTAATGTGTTTGTCTTGTTGTGGTATTACGGTTGTGCTGGCCTCACAGAATGTGTCGGATAGTATTTCCTTTTTTTCTACTGTTTTTAAAAATTTATTTTTATTTTTATTTAAGTTTTTGTGAGTACATAGTAGGTGTATATATTTATGGGGTATATGAGATGTTTGATACAAACATGACAAGTGAAATAAACAAGTCATGGGGAATGGGGGTATCCATCCCCTCAAAAATTTATCCTTTGATTTACAAAAAATCCAGTTACACTCTTTATTTAAAAATGTACAATTAATTTATTATTGACTATAGTCACCCTATTGTGCTATTAAAGAGAAGGTCTTATTCGTTTTTTTCTAACAACTTTTTTGTACCCATTAACCATCCCTACCTTCCCTGCAGACCCTCACTACTCTTCCCAGCCTCTGGTACCCATCCTTCTACCCTCTAAGTTCATGAGTTCAATTGTTTTGATTTTTAGATCCCACAAATAAGTGAGAACATGCAATGTTTGTCTTTCTGTGCCTGGCTTATTTTACATAACATAACGATCTCCAGTTCCATCCATCTTGTGAATGACTGGATCTCATTCTTTTTTATAGCTGAATAGTAATCTATTGTGTATATGCACCACATTTTCCTTATTCATTCATCTGTTCATGGACTCTTAGTTTGCTTCCAAATCTTAGCTATTGTAAACAGTGCTGCAACAAACATAAGAGTACAGCTATCTCTTCAATATACTGATTTCCTTTCTTTTGAGCATGTACCTAGCACTAGGATTGCTGGATTATGTAGTAGCTCAATTTTTGGTTTTTGAGGAACCTTCAAACTGTTCTCCATAGTTGTTGTACTAATTTACATTTACACCAACTGCATACAAGTGTTCCCTTTTCTTCAGTTCCTCACTAGCATTCGTTATTATCTGTCTTTTGAATATAAGCCATTTTAACTAGGGTGAGATAATATCTTATTGTAGTTCTGATTTTTTATTTCTCTGATGATCAATGATGTTGAGCATCTTTTCATATGCATGTTTGCCATTTTTATGTCTTCTTTTGAGAAATGCTTATTCAAATCTTTTGCCCATTTTTGATTGGATTATTATATTTTTTTCTATAGAGTTGTTTGAACTCCTTATATATTCTGGCTATTAATTCCTTGTCAAAGGGTGGTAGTTTGCAAATATTTTCTGCCATTCTGTGGGTTGTTGCTTAACTTTGCTGATCGCTTGCTTCACTGTGCAGAAGCCTTTTAACTTGATGTGATCCCATTTCTCTATTTTTTCTTTGGTTGCCTGTGGTTGTGAGGTATTGCTCAAGAAATCTTTGCCCAGACCAATGTCCTGGAGATTTTCCCCAATGTTTTCTTGTAGTAGTTTTATACATTGAGGTCTTACATTTAAGTCTTTAATCCATTCTGACTTAATTTCTGTATATGGTGATAGATAGGGGTCTAATTTTATTCTTCTGCATATGGATATTCAGTTTTACTATCATCATTTATTGAAGAGATTGTCTTTTCCCCAGTGTGTGTTCTTCACACCTTTGTTGAAAATGAATCTATTATAGGTGTGTGGATTTGTTTCTGGGTTTTCTACTTTGTTCCATTCATCTATATGTCTGTTTTTATACCAGTACTATGTTGTTTGGTTACTGTAGCTCTGTAGTATGGTAATGTGATTCCTCCAGGTTTGTTCTTTTTGCTTAGTATAGCTTTGGCTGTTCTGAGTCTTTTTGGGTTCCATATAAATTTTAGGATTGTGTGTTCTATTTTTGTAAAGAATGCCATTGGTACTTTGATACAGGTGACACTGAATTTGTAGATCGCTTTAAGTGGTATAGATAGTTTAACAATGTTAATTTTTTCAATCCATGAACATGGAATTTTTTTATTTTTTGTTGTCCACTTTATTTCATCAAGGTTTTATAGTTTTCATTAAAGGGATCTTTCAGTTCTTTGGATAAGTTAATTCCTAGGCATTTAATTTTATGTCTGGTTATTGTAAATTGAATTATTTTTTAAATTTCTTTTTTGCGTTGTTCATTGTTGGCATATAGAAATGCTACTGATTTTGTTTATTGGTTTTGTATCCTGCTACTTTACTGAATTTGTTGATCAGTTCTAATAGTTTTTTGGCTGGCTCTTTAGGTTTTGCCAAATATAAGGTTACATCATCTTCAAATAAATATAATTTCCATCTTGGCTGAGATGGTGAAACCCCGTTTCTATTAAAAATACAAAAAATTAGCCAGGCGTGGTGGCGGGCACCTGTAGTCCCAGCTACTCAGGAGGCTGAGGCAGGAGAATGGCATGAACGTGGGAGGCGGAGCTTGCAGTGAGTGGAGATCGCGCCACTGCACTCCAGCCTGGGCGACACAGCGAGACTCCATCTTAAAAAAAAAAAAAAAAAAAAAGATAATTTGACCTCTTCCTTGGCAATTTGGATGTTCTCGATTTTTTTCTCTTTTCTGATTACTCTAGCTTGGACTTCCAGTACTATGTTGAATAACAGTGGTGACAGTGAGCACCTTGTGTTTCAGATCTTAGAGAAAAGGCTTTCAGTTTTCCCCTGCTAAATATGATACTAGCTGTGGGTCTGTCATATATGGCTTTTATTATGTTGAGTTATGTTTCCAATATCCTCAGTTTTTCTCTTCCATAAGAAGCAACCCTTCATTCATTCAAAATCTATCATGAGATTGCAATCAATCTATCACATCTTGAGGCTCTGTTTCTAAATCTAGTTCTCTTACAATTTCCATCACATCTGCAGTTACTTCCGCCACTAAAGTCTTGAATCCCTCTAAGTCATCCATGAAGGTAGGAATCAACTTCTTTCCAACTCCTGTTAGTGTTGATGTTTTGACCTCCTCCCATGAATGACAAATGTTCTTATGGGAATCTGAAATGGTGAATCTTTTCCAGAATATTTTTAATTTACTTTATACAGATTCATCAGAAAACATCATTCCCTATTGCAGCAAAAGCCTTACAAAATGTATTTCTTAAATAATAAGACCTGAAAGTTTAAATTACTCCTTGATCTATGAGCTGCAGAGTGGTGTCGTGTTAGCAGGCACAAAAACATTAATATTTCATATCTTCATCAGAGCTGTCAATGATCAGTAATATTTTGAAAGCAATCTGTTTTTTTCCTAGGCAGTAGGTCTCAACAGTGGGCTTAAAATATTCAGTAAACCGTACTGCAAATAGATGTGCTATCATCCAGGCCTTGTTGTTTATGTATAGAGCACAAGCAGAGTTGATACAGCATAATTCTTAAGGGCCCTTTAATTTTCAAAATGGTAAGTTAGCATTGGCTTCAACTTAAAGTTGCCAGCTGCGTTAGTCCCTAATAAGGGAGTCAGCCTGTCCTTTAATGCTTTGAAGCCCTACATTGACTTCTCTAGGTATAAAAGTCCTAGATGGCATCTTCTTCCAATAGAAGACTGCTTCATCTCCACTGAAAATCTGTTGCTTAGTGTAGCCACCTTCATTAATTAGCCTAGCTAGGTCTTTTGTATAATTTGCTGCAGCTTCTCTTTCAGTATTTGCTGCATCACCTTGTGTTTTTATGTTATGGACAGAGATTTTTTCCTTAAATCTCATGAACTAACCTCTGCTAGCTTCCAACTTTTTTTCCTGCAGCTTCCTCACCTCTCTCAACTTTCATAGAATTGAACAGGGTTAGGACCTAGATATTGATTAGGCTTTGGCTTAAAGGAATGTTGTGCCTGGTGTAATCTTCTATCCAGACTGCTCACACTTTCTCCATATCAGCAATACAGCTGTTTTGCATTCTTATCATGTGTGTGTTCACTGCAGTAGCACTTTTTATTTCATTCAAGAACTTTTCCCTTGCTTTTACAACTTGGATAACTATTTGGCACAAGAGGTCTTGCTTTCAGCCTATCTGAGCTTTCAACATGCCTTCCTAACTAAGCTTAAGTATTTCTAGCTTGAGATTAAAAGTGAGAAATGTGCAACTCTTTTTTCACTTGAACACTGAGAGGCTGTTGTAGGATTATGAATTGGTGTAATTTCAATATGGTTGTCTTTAGAAAATAGGGAGGGCTAAAGGGAGAGAGAGAGACAGTGAAATGGCTTGTCATTGAAGCAGTCAGAACACACACAACATTTAATGATTAAGTTTGCCTTCTGGGTGTTCCAAAACAATTTTGAGAGTAATATCAAAGATTGCTGCTCATAGGTCACCATTATAGATATAATCATAATGAAAATGTTTGAAATATTGGGAGAATTGTCAAAACATTCCATAGAGACACAAAGTGAGCACATAATGTTGGAAAAATGGTACCAATAGACTTTCTCAACACAGCGTTGCCATAAACCTTCAATTTCTAAAAATGTGTAATATCTGTGAAGCACAATAATGCAAAGGGCAATAAAACAAGGTATGCCTATATGTGTCTCTGTGGTTAAAATGGGTTTCTTGTACACAATATATAATTGGATCTTATTTTTTATTTAACTATAACAATCTCTGCCTTTTAATTGGTGCATTTAGACCCTTGATGTTTAAAGTGATTACTGATGCAGTGTGCTTAATGTCACGTAGTTGTTACTGCTTTCTATTTGTTGTCCTTGTTCGTTGTTCCTATTTTGTCTTCTATTCTTTTTTCATTTTGTGTTTTTCATTGAGCATTTTATAAAATTTAATTTTCTCTCTTTTCTTAGCATATCACTTGTACCTTAAAAAAAATTTTTTTAGTAGTCGCCCCAGAGTTTGCAATATACATTTACAACTAATCTAAGTCCACTTGTCCACTTTCAAATAACACTATATGGCTTTACAGGTAGTGTGATTTCCTCATAATAACAAAATAATTCCAATTTTTCCCACCATCCCTTTTATAATCAATGTCATTCATTTTGGTAAAATGCCAGCATGCACAAGAATATATATGTATATATATACACCCACATAAACATATACAATTAAATGCAATGTTGCTATTATTATTTTGAACAAATTGTTATGTGAGATCAATTAATAGGAAAAATAAAGGTTTCATTTTACCTCCATTTATCCCTTTTCCATTGCTCTTCCTTTATGTAGATCTAAGTTTCTAACTTATTTTATTTTCCTTCTCTCTAAAGAACTTCTTTTAACATTTATTTCAAGACAATTTTTGTTATCTGGGTAAATCTTTATTTCTACTTTACTTTTGAGGGTTAACTTAGCAGTGTACAGAATCTAGGTTGATGGGTTTTTCTCTCAAAACTTTAAATATTTCACACCACTCTCTTCTTACTTACATGGTTTCTGAGAAGTTCAATGTCATGCTTTGCCTTTCTATGCATAAAGTATTATTTTCCTCTGCCTTTTTTCAGGATTTTAAAAATCTTTGTTTTACTGTACTTTGGAAATGATATACTAGTTGTCGTTTCTCTGGCATTTATCCTCCTGATGTTCTTTGATCTTCCTAGATCTTTGGGTTGGTGCCTGGCATTAATTTGGCAAATTCTGCGTCATTATTGTTTAAAATATTTCCCTTGTTCCTTGATCTCTTTTCCCCCCCATTTTGGTGTTTTCATTACACATATGTTACACCTTTTGTAGCTGTCTCACAGGTCTTGGATACTGTCTTCTGGTTTTCTTTACAGACTTTTTTCTCTTAGTTTTTCTTTTTTGGAGGTTTCTATGGAAATACCTTTAATTAAGCTCAGAGATTCTTTCCTCAGCTGTTTCCAGGCTACTAATAAGCCCATAAAAGCATTCTTCATTCCTGTGACAGTGTTTTGAGGGCAGCCATAGTCAAAGACACAATTGACAAGGAAATTTGTTACCTCTGTGGCACACAATAATTTAACATAATAATTATAATTATTACTGATAAGGTACACTAAATTATATTAGAATTATAGGAGTTTCCATGATTTTGCAACACATACAAATAACATTTACACAAATACAGCCCAGGCCAGGTGTGGTGGCTCATGCCTGTAATCCCAGCACTTTGGGAGGCCAAGATAGGCAGATCACCTGAAGTCAGAATTTCGAGACCTGCCTGACCAACATGGCAACCCCTCGTCTCTACTAAAAATACAAAAATTAGCAAGGCATGGTGGTGTGTGCCTACAGTCGCTGAGGTATGAGAATCATTTGAACCCGATGGGGCGAAGGCTGCAGTGAGCCAAGATTGCACCACTGCATTCCAGCCTGGGTGACAGAGCAAGACTTTGTCTCAAAAAACAAACAAACAAAGAGACAAACAAACAAATACAGCCCAAAGAAAACCAAACACCATTTCATATTTGACAATGCTTCCTATATAATTTCTGTACCAACTAAGTCAAATGATATCATTTTTGGACCTTAGGGAAACTAATATTTTAAAGGATTAATTAGGTCAGAAAAAGACACTATTTATAATTTGATTTTAATTATTAATTGGCTCTGAAAAGTTTGTCAAATATTAAAGATTTAAAACACTTGATATTACAGCTCATTGTATAAGTCATTCATTTGACCAAAGTGGTAACTCAAGAATTTCAAAAAAAGTCAAAAACCTTCATTCTTTGAGAACAGACTTAATTTTCTAAACAATAAGCCCTAATAAAAACAGCATTAATCCAATTAAATTTGTTTTTCAAAATTTTATAAACACTCTATAAAATTTTAATCTTGACCATAAGATATAACTTCCATAAACCTTTTATAAACTTTATAACATTTATTAAAGAGTCAGTTAATGCTTCAAGAAAACCTTGTTAATCTGACACAGGGGCCCATATGTTGGTCTTGCACTAGTGTGCTTTTGATATTAATAATTAATTTATAGAGAGACTGAACTTATTTTATCTCTTAAAATTGCCCCTCACAATATTACACACCCACCTCTTCCATGATAGTCACTGGGCCTTGAGGAGTTGAATAGCTTTAATTTCTAGCTCTGTGTCTCAGGAATGCAGTTTGTTTTGACTGGCATCTTCTACCAGGCCTGAAGATTGGGCTTTAGTTGCTATTTGTGTTTAAAATTTAGCAGGACTTGGTGTCCTTTTAGACTGAGGAGTCAAAGCCCTGTAACTCAAGGTCACAAGTACTTTAAAAGCACATATATAGAGAGACACATGAATGTAATAGCCTTATTTTTAAAAACTTTTAATCCAAGTTTTTTTTTCCTAAGCAAACCAAAACCTAATAATAATATGACAACTTGATCATATAAATTTTTTTATGTATATCCTGCTATTGTAACTTACGTAGACCATTCATGACATGGTTGGAGTTTCTCATTTGTCCTGAAGATTCCTCTTTTTTAAACAACCAGTCATTGTATTCTGGGATTAAATTTACCATACAAGATCATTTCTCATATAAAATTATTTCTCTTTAAGTTTTCTTATCAAAAACCTTTTAATTTTTATAACTTTCTTTACATCTCTCTTATTTCCTGGTTCCTTTAATTTTGTTTTATACATAACCTTTAAATAAGCTTTGAATTAGACAAAAATTGTCCACTCTTTTAGAAAGGACACACCTTTTTTTTTTAAGAAAGAATGATTTCCTACAAATATATTTTTATTGGAAAATACCCAAATAATGAAATATTTACTTAATTTAATATAACTTTAGATTCTAAATTATGATGAGTTTGTCTACAAGTATTTATCCTATTACATTTATCTAATTATTTTATTTTAATTGTTTACCTAGATTATTTTTGAGAACCACAGTAGTCATCATTTAAAGTTATAGAACCGTCATTGCAAAATTATAACTGAGACAGTGAAAAAGATTTGACCTAACTGACTCCATCTTGCTTTTAACCTCCAAGCTGTCCCTGATCATTCTTGAGCATAGGCCAAACTAATTTTGGGAAGAACTTATAGTTTAGCTTTGAAACAAAGACAATAACAAACCTTTCTGTCTGTGGACTAGACTGCTTAAAGCCACAAGATTAGAAGTTATGGTAATCTTACTAAGTTTAAGATGTAGCTGTTTTTATTGAACCATTATCAATGTCTTATTTATTAAAGATTGCACAAGCAAAGATCATTCTGTTTTGGGCTGGGTTTATAGTTTTGCAACCCCTATGCCAAATTTTGACACTTCATAGTATTTGGCAGGGATAAGTATGAAATTGCTTGATTAATAAATGCAAACAAAAATGTATGCTGGCAAATTGATATTGATACATGAAGTTATGATCCTATCATGAGGTTTTTAGCTGGTTGCTTTGTAGTTTCTATTGCATGATTGCTTTCGGAGTCTATGGGCTATGTACTTACATGTGTTTTTGTGGTAGCATGTATTGTTCTTTTGAGTCCATTTTAAAACTCCATTAAGGATCTCTTGGAGGCTGGTCTGGTGGTAACTAATTCTCTTAGTGCTTGGCTGTCTGGAAAAGATTTTATTTCTTCTTCACTTATGAAGCTTACTTGGATGGGATATGAAATTCTTGGTTGGGATTTCTATTTATTTATTTATTTATTTATTTATTTTTATTATACTTTAAGTTTTAGGGTACATGTGCACAATGTGCAGGTTAGTTACATATGTATACAAAATGTTGTAAATTTGTCCCCAATCTCTCCTGGCTCATAGGGTTTCTGCTAAGAAGTCTGCTATTAACCTGATGGGTGTTTCTTTTGTTTTTGATTTGACCTTTTTATCTAGCTGCCTGTAAGATTTTTTCTTTAGCTTTGGCCTTGGATGGTCTGGTGACTATAAGGCTTGGTGATATTTATTTTGTATGATATCCCCCAGGTGTTCTCTGGATTTGTTTTATCTGGATGTCTACATCTCTAGCAAGATTAGGGAAGTTTTCTTGAACCATTTTCTCCAATATATTTTCCAGGTTGTTTACTTTTTCTCATTCTTCCCCAAGAATGTCAATAATTTGTTGGTTTGGTCACTTTACATTATGCTAATTTTCTCAAAGACTTTGATTAGTTTTAAAAATTAATTTTCTCTATTTTTGTCTGACAGGGCAAGTTCAAAAGGCAGGTCTTTAAGGTCTGAAATACTTTCTTCTGCTTGATCCAGTCTATTGATTATGCTTTCAATTGTATTTTGAAATTCCTTAAGTAAGTTTTATAATTGCAGAAGCTCCGATTGATTTCTTTTTAAGATGTTTATCTTGTCCTTCATTTCCGGGATTTCTTTGGAAGTTTTTCTTTGTGTTGATTTCCAACCTTATCTTGGATCTCATTGAGCTTCTTTGCAATCCATGCTTTGAATTCTTCCTTTGTCATTTCTGAGTTTTCTTTTTGGTTTAGGGACTATTGCTGGAGAACTAATGTGATCTTCTGATCGTGTCATAACTTTCAGATTTTTCATGGTAGCAGAATTTTTTCACTGGTTTCTTCTCATTTGGCAATACTGGCACTACTAATTTTTGTAGTTATTTTCATGCAAACATGATTTTTTTATTTCTTTCTTTATATTGGTATTTTTTTTTCTTTCTTTCCCTTAACTTCCTCCCTAGGGGAAGTGACTGTAGAGTATGCTGGGCAGGGTCTTTTGACTTTGCTTTTACAGCTTTATATACTTCTGTCAGTATGTTTTACACAGGGCCTTGCAGTTTTATGTACAGATCAGTAGATGATGGTTATGGGTAAGAGTCATCTGTGGCTAACACAGCTGAGTATATACATAAAATCTTGTTTACTGGGAGGAACTCTCTGTTGCTTCAGGCAATTGGCTGATCCATGAATTGCACAGAGGTCTGGATTCCCTGCTCAGCCCCATTGGGAAGGCCAAGATGAGTGGCACTAGACTGGGCAGGCCTGACTCTAGGTTTGCCAATTATTGGCACAAGCACTAGCCCAGTGAGGGTATCCAGCACATGGCCACCAAGTGCCCAGAGGTCTGCCTAGGCATGGATCTGGGAAATCTTCTTGTCCTCAAGTCTCTGCACCAGGCAAGGGGGTGGCCTAAACTCCAAATCTGGGAAAGTGGGTGCTCCAAATACCTGGTGATCTGCTTGATCTTGGAGCAGAATGGGGCCCCCTGCACCACAATCTCTGTGTAGGAAGTATGTTGCAGCTCATGCTGCTGATCTTGGTGAAAAGATGCTCCAACTGCCTGGCGATCTGCATGAGTATGGGGCAGAGAGGGCCCTGCTACATCATGGTCTATGTGCAGGAAGCGTGAAGTGGCTCAGGCTGCTGATCCAGGTAAGTGAGTTCTCCAACCGCCTGATGATCTGCCTGGGCATGGAGCAGAAAGCACCCCATTGCCCCATGATCTCAGGGGAGAAGGCTGTGGCATCTAGCAATGATACTTGCAGACTGGTTCTAGGTCTCCAAGCTGGCTCTGCCTGGAAGTCTCATTGTCCTGGATAAACTGCATACAGAAAGTTTTATTAAATAGTGTAGGCTCTAGATAATCCAACTGACATGTTTATGAACAATAATATATGATAACAATCTTTTTTTCGAAACGGAGTCTCGCTCTGTCACCTAGGCTGGAGTGCAGTGGCACAATCTTGGCTCACTGAAACTTCTGCCTCCCAGGTTCAAGCGATCCTCCTGTTTCAGCCTCCCGAGTAGCTGGGACTACAGGCATGCGCCACCATGCCCAGCTAATTTTTGTATTTTTAGTAGAGGCAGGGTTTCACCATGTTGGTCAAGCTGGTCTCAAACTCAATCTTAAGTAAGGGACATAGAGTAGCAGTTCTGCTCTGTGATGTTGGGAATGTTCTATATCTTTACTGTTCAATAGAATTTTGTGAAATAATGTGCATGCTTTATATCTGCACTGTCCAATATGGTAACCACTAACTGCATGTGGCTATTGAATGTTTAAAATAGGTTTAGTGTTACTAAGGAACTAAATTTTTATTTTTATTTAATTTTAAATAATTTAACATAAATAATGATAGGTGGCTAGTGACTACCATGTTAGTAAGTACAGTTCAGTATTTTGTTTTAAAAGCAGAGAAGTATTGACTGCCTTCTTCAATGCCCAGTATATACTCAGTATTTAGTGATTCTTATATAAAGGAATGCCTACATGCTAAAAGATTGAAAATTGAATGTTTCTGCAGGAGGGCCTAATAAATCAAGCGAATGCTTTACTACTTCAGTATAAAATAAGCTATTCTTCTTTCAGTTTGATCTAAATTATGTCACCGATTCAGTTTTTCCAGGGTTCTGAGGTTAGAATAAAGAAAAAATATAGGGATTAAAGACTGAGGAGGCTTGGAAAGTTCAGAGAAATTTGATTCTGACAACTGGGAGATAATTTCATGTTAATTTTTTTCCTTATTATGGTTTTAGTAAAGGTCTGTACCAAACATAAGTGTAAACTGATGTGAACTTTTCTTTATTTAGAAACCTGATTCCTGGCCTAAAAGAGGAGCTGTTTTATATCCTTACATATAACATCAATTTTCCCTTCTTCAGTCAATGATCAAAGAAGTCAATTTACTTCTAGTTTATTCAGTAAAGAAATTGGAACTCCCACTTGTGCCTGGAACACAAATTATAAAAAATAATGTAGTCTTTTAATCAATGTCCAGAAAGCAAATGAGGAAAGCTAGTTTTTCAGGAAAAACAGTAACAACATTAAATTGGCCTCTTTATGAAGTCCATAGACTGACTTATACATTATGAACTTGTAATCCTATAAGAGTAGCAAGAACAATATAGAATTGCTGTGGAGGGAATGGTGTGCAAAGAGAAATGCTATCAGGGGAGGTGAGCCAATAGCATGTATAATAACTACTCTCTTGTATTTGTGTGCCTGCAAGAGTTTTACGGTACTCAGCCCAAACATGAACAGAGGCCCTCTGGCTCGATTCTAATTTCACCAAGAGAGCCTTCTTGATGTAGCCAGCCTTCCTTTATTAAAATGTCTAAGACTTTTAAAGAAGGCAAAGCTACTATAAAAACCCCAGTAAAATTGGTTTCTGGTACTATAACGTATTTTGGATATCTTATAAGTCCATTGATACTTTTAAGATTTTTGCTGCCTAGTCCAATATATTTTTTGGAATGAGCTCATTATGCTGCCATAATGAGTAGCCCCCAGACCTCAAGGTTTAATCCAACAAAGGTTATTTCCTGCTCATTCTTCACCTCTTGTAGGTCTGCCAGGGGGCTCTGCTCATCATAGTCACTCATTGCCCCAGGCTGACCCAGCCTACACCTTGACATATGCTTTCAAGTTGCCCAAGGCAGGGAAAAGGGAATGTAGCCAACTACATAGTGGCCCTTAAACCTTTGGCCTAGAAGTGACACAGGTCACAACTGCTACATTCATCTGGACAAATGCATGTTATTTGGTGATGCCTAACTGTTGAAGATGTAAAGAGGTACAAATCTATCACGGGCCTCAAAAGAGGGGAGAAGTGAATATCTGAGTAGCCTGTAGGTGGCTAGCATGTACCAGGGTACAGTTCAGTTGGACACTAAAGACATTCAGAAAGGAAATGATTCCATACTCCAGTACATTTGAAAACTTTGAGTCAAACAAACCGACCTATATTTCTTCATTGTGGGATTGTTAGTATTTAATGCTGTGAAGTGGATTGTGAATAATTAAGAACGTGTTATAATATGAGGAGTTTTCCAAATTCATTAAACTCATTAAAAAGAAAAACTTTTTTTCTTCACATAGCATCTGGAGAAACATTCTTTGCTCGGTGCTCTTTCCAAGATGGATTTCATGGTACTTTCTGAGCCCCTCTTCAATTTATCTAATTTATCTTTATTTAATAGGATAGTTTACATATTATTCATTAAAATATTTGATGCAGAGAGATAATAAGTAATAACTTTTGTAAGTAAAGATCATGAATGTCTAAACGAAGCTCCTTTTTCCAGAAAAGTTATACATTAGAATTTTAATGATGAATGTTAAAGTATATGGTGGCAGATAGACTAAGAGGCCTACTTCAAATTTCTTTGAGGCTCTAAAGAAGTGTCCATGGCTTTGTCTATACCACCTGACTATAGTACTTCTAAGTTTAAAGTTCAGGAGAGATTTAGCTTTTAAGAGCCTGCCAGATTGCAAGGTGTGATTTATCTAAAACTTCAGTGAGATAAAAATTAATTAAAGTTTATTAACTCTTGCTCAGAATAATATATTCTGCTAATTTGGAGAAAAAATTGTTAGCAATTGTTACATGGTATATGGAAACTAGATTAGAATATTTAGGGATAATAACAGGTTTTCACATATTTTTAATATCATACAATTTTGTATTAAAAATTGACACTTTATTTCTTGTATGAAGAATTACAACATATGAAGATAACAGTTAAGTAAAAAGAAGAGAGAAGTCACTAATAATGACAAGTCATTCAAACAATGAAAAGTGATAATGAGAAATTCAAATGAGAAGTAATTAATGAGTCACTTATCTAAGATGCTTATTCAGTTACATTACCTGTTAGGAATGAAGCTGTGTATCATAAAGCAAGTTACGAAAATTTTATGTGAGGAGACAAAATCAGAGTCACAAAATCCCTATGGTAAGATTTCTAAATTCTAGGCACATATTCAGTTCCCAATTACCCTTATTTTGTAAACAACTCTAACTAGGGTAGTTATTTGGTTTATAACTATAGGAAATCATGGGAATTGACAAGTGGGATTATGTACTATGGGCAGTGAAAAGCAAACAGAGAGTCTAGACATGTGACTGAATATTCTACTGAGTTAAATACTCAAAGGAGACAACAGTCTGAGATGCCTTTGCCTAGGATCAAATTTGCACTTGAGAAATATCTCTGATCTAGCATAGTAATTTATATTGATGATAATTATCTGTAGTCATCAAAATTGTTAATTATTTTCAGTGCAGTAGCTAAGACATTAGGGACTTGTGCAGTATCTTTGAAGAGGCTTTCTATCCAAAACTACTAAATAAAAGATATGTAAAAGCACGGATCCTGTGTAGCTGTCAAACTCAACTATCCAAAATGATTCATTCTCCAAGTACTTTTTTTTCTTTCTCATCTCGGTCATGTAAAACATCTCACAACATCATGTTGACCCATAGGTGGCAATATTGGTATTGTGCGAGTCAAGTCAAAAAGATGGGGGTGAGTAAGGCAACATAATTTAATAGCGCAATGAAGAAAATGATTGAATCTGAAATCCAACTTTGATGAACATAAAATAACTTTACCAAATCTTCTGGAATTTAGCCCTTACTTACAAAATAACCCCCACTGATTTATAGGCTTGGATTTGAAAAAAAAGTCTAAATTATATGTCCTGAAAAAATGTTATTGTATTTTGAATGTATTTTTGTTTATGTATAGTGGTTTGTTAAACTTTGTATTAAACCAGTTTTTCACAGCTATATTCCTAATATCTTTGTTTACATTTAGGAATATTAGGGTAAAATCCAAATTATACTGTCCAATATCTACAACTAGGAATTGTGTCAGCAACCTTGTGGAGGACTCAGGGACCACTTCTGGATGAATTAAGGCCGTTGGTCCCCAGAACGCTTAGTGAATTTCTGATGTCCATTGAAATAATGATTATATATAATGTCTTATGTGGTGAAAGGACCCTTCAGCCCTTTAGGACAATATGTTTTAATTGTTTTTAAGCTAATTTAATATTTCTTAAAGTTTGTAAACCCATGTGCCTATTTGTTCAACACAATAATCTCACAGCATCTCTTCTACCCCTTCCTAGATTCTGATACTTCACCTTGGGGAGAGGTATAGCTTTCTGTTGAAAACTGTGCTCTTCAAATCATCCCACCATTTTACTTTTCTATAATGTGTATAAATATTTTTCTCATTTTTCATTATAAAATTATAACATTGATTATGCAGGCATTTTCTTTTTTGCCCTCTAGTAACTCTGATATACTCCATCTCTCCAAGTTGATCATCATAGCCCTGAATAAAATCAGTTTAAGATGATAAATATGACAGTGAATAGAAAACAAAGAGAGGTATGTGCATGTGTGTATGTGTGTATGTTTGTGTGTGTGTGTGTGTATGTGAGACACGGAGAGACAGAGAGGGAGGGAGAGAGAAACAGAGACAAAGACAGAGAAAGAGAGACATACAATTGCGTGGCATAAAAGAAACACTGACAAACTTTGAAAAATTTTAAGTGACAAAAATAAACATTATGCAGTTTCTCTCACCTTCTAGACCTGAGATATCTAATACAACAACAAGTATCCACATGTGGCTATTTAAATTTTAGTAAAGTTAAAAATCTATTTCCTCAATCACATGAGCCACATCTCTAGTGCTGAATATGCACAGGTGGCAACTTTATTGGATGGTGTGGATATAGAACATTTCATTATCACAGAAAGCCCTATTGAACGGTGCTGCTCTATACTTTAAGTTCCTTGGGTTATGATCCTTTTAATTTTCTATTTCCCTACCTAAAACTTTGTATGTTAGAGGCATTCAGAAAATACTTGCTGAGTAAAAATAAAAGGGGATTTCTATTAAAAAGTCTAGAAAAAATTGTGAAAAGCTTCAGGGACTAATTTGATTATTTGGTTTCTTATTATAGAGAATATGAAATATTACATATGCAATATATGTAAATACAGATGTATAATATCGGTATTCATTGGTACTTCTAGTCTTATCTCCGGCTTCCCTTTCTCATTCCTTATAAGGCCACCATGGAAAAGCCTTTTGTCCAAAGTTCTATGCTGCAAAGGGACAAATTAGTCCCAACAATGGCTTTCCAAGCACACTCCAAAGATTGACCTGGCATTCGTTCCATGTTGTTCTCTTTAATTAATATTAATTAATTCACTCCTTTCTGGGTTTTCAATTTGCCTAGATAAGGCATTATAAATTAGAAAATGTAACACATTCAGTTTATAATTTAAAGGGCTCTCAGCTGATAGTTAATTAGCTTGATTCAGGAAGGATAAACCAAAAGAATGAATTTTTAATGCTAATTTAAAGGACATTAGTTGCTATGGGCAGAATGATTAAAATGCCAGTTTGAAGCAGGAAAATTAGAATGCAGCAGCAGTGGCAATCATAGATTATCAGTGGTTTTTGTATATATGCCAGGATTATAAGACATTCTGTCACCTGCCTATAGAAAAGCTTGACAAGTTCTGGAGGGTTATTTTGGTCTAAGACACATGATGGGTAAATCTTAATTGTCTTATCTTTTAACATGTGTTCATCCAAGTCTCCTCAGGGATGCAATAAAGTAGAGTTATATTTTAGAATGAGATGTATTTACCTGGCTTGATGCATTCATCACAAGTAGCAGAGGGTTGACACTAGCCTATCCTTCCAACCTTGTTTAACAACCACTTACTGAGTACCAAGCACTGTCCTAAGCATTTTACAAATACTAACTCAGGTAATTCTCATAACAAATCTATGAGTTTCATACCATGATCATCCCCATTTTTTTTTTCAGAAAGAAAACGGAAGCACAGAACGTTTAATTAATATGCTCAAGGTCACACAGGTTGTAGGTGGCAGGTCCTAGATTTGAACCCAAGCAATCTGGCTTCAGTGACTATACTGTTAACTAGATAAGAAATCCAACTCAGCAGATTATTATCAGCTAAAGACAGCCTCTCAGTTAACTTTAAATGCACTGTTATCAACATCCAAAGATTATCCTCAAAGATGTCATCCTTTCTGAGGAACTCCAGAACACAGACATAGTGAAATGTAAGGAGTTGAGGCTCACTTACTCTATATTTAAAGATCCTTAATGGATCAGAAGATTCTTGGGGATCAGCAAGGTGTCTCTAATGTTGCCAAACGATTAGCAAAAAAGCAAAGACATAAAGTTTCAAACAAAATTAATCTTTTAAATTCAATCACTCAAACATTTTTAAAAACATTTACAATAAACCAGGCACTAGTCTGGGTGCTGGATAGATGTGGATGAAAAAGACACCACCCCTGCTCACAAGGAGCTAAGAGTTTAGTGGGGTGGGGTGGGGGTGGGGGTGGGGCGGGGGAAATGTAGACAAAGGTAATTTTGTTATGGTATAGAAAGCTCAAGAATGGATATTATATCAAGTACTAAAAGAGGAAAGAGTAGGGATAGCTAACCCTTCTCCTGTAGTGAAGAATAATGTTCAGGGAAGGTTTTAAGGGAGGTGAGATTTGAACTGAGATGTAAGAATGAAGACTGAGAAGATTGCAGCATCCCCCAGCCTTGGCATTTTTGACAATTTGGACTGGATAATTTTTTGTTTGGAGGACTGGCCTGTACGTTGGAAGACGTTCGATGGAAGTCCTGGCCTCTACCCACTAGATGCCAGCAGTGTCTTTCCTCAGGTTATGACAATCAAAAAAGTCTTGAGGTATTGTCAGATGTCCCCTGGGAGACAAAATTGTCCAAAGTTGAGAACTACTGAGCTGGGAGAAAAGGTGGTGGGAGGTGGCTGGGACTAGTAGAAAGGGAAAGATGCCTGTCAGGGAGAGGACACACTGGGGATGAAGGCCTGGAGGTAAAAGAACTGGGTATGTATAAAGCTGTTGGGGCATAAGTGTGAGGTGCAATGTGGCCATGAATGGTTTCGATGATGATAGAGGAGGAAAAACTCACTGGTGACCTGGAGAGAACTCGTAGCAAGCACACACAGGCAGGAGATGGACTAAAGGTTACTCTGAATCATAAATTCAGCCAGGCTGCCTTATGGACTTATAAGGAACCAAAGCCAGCATCCACACCAGTTAGGTGGGGCACAAACAGACTGAGTGACTCATTCTGAGCAAAGGAGCTGCACTCTCCCCAAAGGCAGGTTGGAGGCTAGCTAAGTTCAGACAGTGGTTTTTTTTTTTTTTTTTTTTTTAAGGGAGACAGACATGGTCTAACATGAGGAGAGAGGATTGTGTTCACCCTAATCTTTTTGCTATGTAAAGCGTGAGACTGTGTGATAGGATATCTTCAGATCTGACAGCATAAGTGAATTCAGCAAGGCCCCACTGAGAACTAAAATCTTTGGTGAATGAGCTGCCCTATTTAAGTAGATTTTCCAAGATGATGAAAATCCTTAGTGCTTCAGTCCGCTCCCTTTAAACTTTAATCTTATTTTACTTTATATTGCTTTCTTAGCATAAATGAAACCTAATTGGACTTTTCCTTGATAATTTAATAGTAGTTACTATGATCATTAGGGTGGTGTCTCTGAAGGGTGATCTAATTTATTTTGCATCCTCGGGCAAATCAAATGGACCAACTATTGCAATTGTGTTTTGTAATTTTTTTGGTCTCATTTTTATAGCTAGATATCAGCTGTAGATTTTCACAACATTCTCATTTTGTTGTCTTCTGCCATAATTCAAAAACGTTGTTGGTAATCTTTTTCTTTTTTCCTGAGAAACATAATAACCAAGTTTGCTAGATTTAGGTCTAAAAACAGCTAATCTAAGCTCCAATAATGCCATAAACACTTATCTGATGTTTAATGTATGCCAGACAGTGTTCAAAATTGTAACACTCTCCTTAATACCAAAAGTACTTAAGTCTTAGTGCATCAGGTTTTACAACTATGTCAGTAGTCTTTTCCTTTTACTCTGAAGTTCTTTTATGTGTTCTGAGAAGTTAAGTGGCTAGAATTTTGATATTCAACTAAATGGGATTTTATATACTCATGATATAACACTTTTAGAAATTGCTAAACTCAGGAAGCAGGTGATACTTTTAGCAATCTGGAACTGTTCAACAGAGTAACAAGAAGCAAGGTGAGATTTTGTAAAAGAAAAACACATTAGGCTGAAGACTTTTGCACACATTCCATTCGGGACTCCCATCTTTTTGACCTCTTTAAAGCAGGAAGCTACTTAGGCTCCCTTATCAAACGACTGAAGCATGCACATTCACAAACATGGCTTCTTAGTTCAGGGAGGTCAAGAGATTCAGCAATTTGAAGAAAAAGGCAAATGCTCCAGGATGGATGTGTTCAAAAGACCTGGAAAGAAATTCTTGGAGGGTTGCCCTTTCTTCCTATGACACATCACAACTTCTGGTAGAAAATCAAGAAAGGAAACTGGGCAACCATGATGATTAGTCATAAGGAAGGAGACAACAGGCATTATGAAGCCAACAGCTGCAGAACAATGGGAACCATGAGAGGCTATTTTTGTTTGGTTTCAACAATTAATTGAACCTGACAGTGTACTCTGCCTTCTCTCAATCTTCTCTTACTAAAAGTGGAAAGTTTCCATGCTAAAAAAAAATAGTTATCTTTTTCCTGCTTAAGAATGATTAAAATGCCATTCTGCTCTTTCATCTTCATGTGTTTATCTCAAAATGTACTTATTACAAATATAAAAATATTCAAACCTATAAAATGACAAGTATCTGTTATTGTGTTTCCACTGCTAGTGCTTTGCTGCTATTTAAAAGGCTGCCATTTGGAATCCTAAATTTGAGATTGTAATATGTTAGGGACCTCCCTTGGCAGTAAATATGGAAAAGAATAGCCAAAGGCCTTTAGTAGCAGATGGCTTATGTGGCGGTCTTTATATTTTTTGTGTTGTTTTGTTTTGTTTTAATTCCAGTTGGTGTCATCACAAAAATAAAAATTCACCTAGGAATGATTTGGTTACCTCCTAATTTTTTTCTAGTATTTTCCAAACTGCTCCAAAGTGAAAGCAGATGGAAATTTTACACTATCAAATCAGAAAATAAAATTGTGAAACTTTTGAAAAAGCTGTTGCCAACTTATTGGGTCTTGGAGAAGCTGGTTATGGGTTTGGCAGTATCTTCCCAAACAACAGTGGTTCTTTGGAGCTTGTGGTTCTGAACAGTGAGTGGTTCTTCTGACTTAAGGGGATTTAGTACATTTTCTTAAGCATAGACACTCCTTTGAGCTGAAAGTTTCAAATATCCAAGACAGCCTTCAAATAAATGGATGCAGGTACCCTAGAAAGGTAACAGATGATTTTCATAGACATCTACTACTCATTAATGCCATGAGAAATATGGGCAAATTCAGGTGCATTCTCTTAAAGGGACTGTCGCAGAATTACAGAAAGGTAGCGATAAATGGAAAGGTTTTACATCCTTGGGCAGGAGTCATGAAATGCCAGTGGGAGAAAGACATGAACAAGCAAGAGTGAGTGTGAATACAGAATAGTTACATGGGATGAGGAAGATGTTTGGGAAAAATAATAGTGAACAGGAGGTGGAGATATGCAGGAAAAAGCCCCCATAAACTGTTTCTATGTCTTGTGCCTTCATCAGTGCTTCTCTACCTCTTAGCTTCTCTAACATCTCTGAGATTTAAATAAATTTTCTGGTCCCTTCTCCCAACCCACCAGTGTAAGCACAAAGACCATGGCATTCCTAATGGACACCTGCTGCTTTAGACCTCACTATTTATTCTATCTTTTCCTGCTAAATTTTCTTCCATTTGGGGTGCTATATTTTACCTATTGCATACAATCTGGTGTTATAGCATGTGATCCATACAGTTTATTGGAATTTTACTTTTGAGAACACCATCAAAAATACTTGCAAGGGTTAAGGCTCAATCCCCTCAAAGGTGGCATCCTGAAAAGACTGTTTATCAGTTCCTTCTATGCAGACTCCCCAGAGCTGAGTTTTGTCCTTCCGTAGCCTAGTCCTTTACTTGAGCTATTCCAATGCATTCCCTTTCTACTTGCAAATTTCTTTTGCTATGATGACTGGAAGATTGGTCTATTTTCTTGGACAACGATTTATACAGCCAAAGTGCAATTTTACTTGAAATGTTCTGACCTCAGACTGATGTACATAGTGTCCATTATCAGTGGTCTCTGTATAAAAGAATGTGTGTGTGTGTGTGTGTGTGTGTGTGTGTGTGTGTGGGAGAGAGAGAGAGAGAAGAGAGACAGAGAGTGCATAAGGGAAAATGACACCAATTAGTCTTGGAATATCAAGGCTTAACTTTGATTAAATAAATGATAGACACTTCTGAGATGTAAATGTCCCCATTTTATTGCTTGCTCTGTTGTGATCAGCACTCTTTTACAGGTAGTCTTGCATAAAATTCTTCGTGCAAAATCAATAGGGTTCAACTGGGGAGACCAATGGGCAATTGCTTAAGATTTATGTCATTTGCCACTTTTGAATGATGCCTTTTAATTTGTAGCTATTCCAGGCAAAGTACTGGTGAGCTTACGCCACTTATCAACTTTTTTCTCTCTTTTATTTGTGTTTTTGATAATAGTTATACATTTTCAAACTAGCCAGTAATTTGAAACACATTACTTTTTTTTCATTTTATCACTTATTTTTATTATTATACTTTAAGTTTTAGGGTACATGTGCACAACGTGCAGGTTAGTTACATATGTATATATGTGCCACGTTGGTGTGCTGCACCCTTTAACTGGTTGTTTAACATTAGGTATATCTCCTAATGCTATCCCTCCCCCCTCCCCCCACCCCACAACAGGCCCCTGTGTGTGATGTTCCCCTTCCTGTGTCCATGTGTTCTCATCTTAAATATATCATAAGTATATTAAAGCCTTACCACCTGTTCTTTTCTTGCTATTTTAAAATTATATTTTAGTTGAGTTTTGTCTCTTAATAGGAGGGGCTTATGTGAATTATTCTCTTTAGGTTCTTGCAGATGTGTCTGAAAAAAAATTTTATTTATCTATAGCCACTATGCTCAAAGGACAGTCTGACTAGGTATAAAAATCTTGACACACACTTTTTTTCTTGAGTGTTTTTCTTTCTTTCCTTGGAGATATTTTTTTCACTGCCTTCTAGTAAAAATTTGCTGGGGGGTGTCTGACCAGTTTGATTTTCTTTCCCCTAAAATTATTTTGATATTTCCTCCTGCTGCTCAAAGATTCTTTATCTTTAAAATTAAACATTTTCTTCAGGTTATGTCTCAATGTTGACCATTCTGTGTTATAGTGTACCCCTTCCCTGGTTTAGAGCTTTCTCTTCAATAACCAGATTCAAATATTCTTTAAGAAAGTTTTCTTGAATTAAATTTTTAAATATTGATACTCTTTCATTGTTTGATTTTCTTTGCAGTCCTAATTATGTGAATTTTGGATGTCTTTGGCTTATCTTTTACTCATCATACTATTTCCAATACTTTCTATATCTTTATTTCTATTAATGTTCATTTGATTTTCTCATTTTTCTCACCTACATCTCTTATTGTGCTTTCTACGGTATCAGTATCTCTTTTGATTCTGTAATTTATTCTTTATTTCTAATTTTCTTTTTCCTCCATTTTTCCTTAACTCCTACAGTTTCCCCTAAATCCTACAGTTTTACTGCGTATGTCTAGACATCACCTTCTCTTGTCCAGTCATGTTATCCTGAGTCCTTGTATTTCCTTCCTGGCTGTAATTGTATCTATATTGTTGGTAAAATGTTGTGTTGCAACTTGTATCTTTTCGTGGCAACATTTTTTTCTGTTAAGTTTCTTCTTTTATTAAGGAACTTTTGTTGCTATTTCCTATTTTAAGATATCTTTGAAAGGATTGTATCAGTTTTCCAAGGTTGTGACAAAGAAGTCCACAAAGTGGATAGCTTAAAACCACAGAAATGTATTGTCTCACAGTTTTGGAGGCTGGAAGTCCAAAGTCAAAATGTTTGCAGGGGAATGCACCCTTTGAAAGCTGTTGGGGAGAATCCTTCCTTGCCTGTCCTAATTTCTGGTAGTTTACCAGCAATCCTTAGCATTCCTTCACTTGCAGCTGTAGCATTACAATCTCTGCCTTTTTTCATGACATGGTGTTCTCTCTTGTGTCTCCCGGTCTTTTCTCTTCTTATAAAGCTATCAGTTATATTGGATTAAGGGTACACCCTACTCCAGTATGACTTCATTTTAACTAATCACATCTGCATCAACCTTATTTCCAAATACAGTCACATCTCAAGATACTGAGGGCAAGGATTTCAACATAACTTTTTTGGGGACATATTTGAGCCCTTATCAGGATGCTGTGGGGTTTACAATTACTCATATTTAAATGAATTAAAATTTCCAGACAATATATTAGCAGGAGACTTTTGTGGGGTTCAGAGCAGGAGTCTAGGGAGTGAGATAGTTTGCTAGGAGTCTAGGGCTAAAGAGATGGATTGTTTCATTATAATGAAATTTCTCTGCTTAGCCATGCCTCTGATGCTTCTCTGACCTAGCTTGAGGCCTTCACTAAACACTGCTATCAAGAACATAGTCCTTGCTTCCAAGGTATCCTTTAGTCTTTTGAAAGGTGGTGCTTTCTTACACCAAGAGGATCCAAGAGGGCTTTCAGTATCTTATGTCACAGCAGCTGCAGTGATTGTGCCCTTTTAGTCCTCAGCCTTGTCACAGCAGTTTCTATTTAAGAGAGACCTTTCCCTTATAGTAGTTCATATTTGCTGCTCTTTTCTGAGATCTGTCCGCTCTAGACCACCTTTGTCCTCCATGCTTCTCCCTACCATGCTGCTATAGCTTTCCGTGCAGATTTTGCTGGTTTTCCTTGCTGTTGCCCACACAGGCAATTTGTAGTTTTCAAATTTTCTCTGTCTCTTAGTTTCACTAAAGATGTAGTTTATAGGCTCCCTTTGCCCTCACTTCCTCCAGGATGAGAAGAGAGTAGATTTGGCACTAAGTTGCTATTGTGTTTCTACTGGAATAAGGAGCTCTTCGACTGCTTTCTTCCAAGAGTGAGGGTAGATAGCAACACGGACTTTTTTCTTTTGCTCCTCTATCCTTCCGCTTTTCCTCCTCATTTTCTCTCTGTATTATTTTGGAAAAATAAAATACTGTGCTTGGAGCAAGATCTTAATCGTTTTAGATCAGAATTATCTGTGCTGTCCAATACGGTAGCTACTGTCCAATGTTACTATTCAGTGCTTAAAATGTAGCTATGTGCATTAGAAACTAAATAACTAAATGTTTTACTTTATTCAATTAAGCTTAATAGCTGTGTGTGGCTAGTTATCCTACTGAAGGAGGCAGTTTTAGACAATGCAGGGAGGTGGAGGCTAGGAGATGGAGAGAACAAGGAAGGAAATAAAGAGGATGCCATAGTACATGAAGTGGTAGAATAAAAGAGAAATAAAGACATCTAGTTGTGATTATATAGGGTTTTGCTATTTAATATATGATGTAAAATTTTCTATCTTGTTTCCCAACTAAAAGTAAAACTTCTGCTTTTTGCCAATGCTTTTTGGAAAATATTTTCTGTTGGAAAATGAAGAGAAATACTGAGTTATGCTCCAAAGTTGCGATGAGTTTATGCATTTGGGCCTCGTCTTTTTGGGGCTATCATATTGCCCAGTAGTCTTTATTAAAATCTATTGTTTCCTTGGGAACAGGGTGCTTGCAAGTGGAGAAGCAAGGATTATCCACTAAATTGGAGTCCTAAGGGTTTGAACTAAGACAATATAAATCTACAGAAAGGAGTTAAGGAGTTAAGGTTCTTTGCACTTCTGAATACAACAATCACATCACACACAAAAATACAGAATGTAACACAAAAATGATCTCCTACAACATGGAAGCTCAAAAAATAAATCCTTTCAGTGTTAAATACACGAAAAGGTTTTTTCATCATTGCAATTTAAGCATTTTAGATACAGAACTAATACGTAGAACTCTATAATTATTATGGTAATAACATAATGATTTTTACTTACCTTCTGATCACAGCAAGTGGGGAAAAATTTCATGGTAGTGAGTAATGAATTCATCGGAAAATCAAACTTTTAAAAATAAAGAATCTGAAACATGCAATTGTGAATGTAAATGGCACACAAACTAAATATCTACCAAATACAATGTGTTATAGCCATTGACCCATATACACCATTATCTGTTTAATCAAATTCAGAATGCATATACTTGTAATGTGTTTCCTATTTGTTTTTGACATGCAGGTCTTCATTTTCTGAGGTGCATTTAGTATCAGCTGGCACAATCACTGATTCCTAAGAACAAATGCCCCCAATGTATAATCTGTGATACATGGTAAGTTAATACTGCCTTGGTTTACTCTAGATTGACATAGCACTTGTGCTGCCATTTAAATTTGCAAATAAAATCACACACATATCAAACTAATCTTCTATTTTATAACACTTCAATGTAATTCAATTGTTTTTTATTTAAAATACCTTATCATATACTCACTTATACTTATCATATACCTATCATATACTCACACATATACTCACACATACATCTGAATCACAACATGTAGCATTTTATAAAATTGGGCAGCTTTCACCAGTTATTCTTTATTTTGGAATATTTTTCTTACTGATCTACTGATGTTCCTGCTTTGTTTCTATGGCAATGCCTCCAGCCATTATAGCTTCAAGTTTTCTGAAAAGATTTATTTGTTCATACCAGAGAAGTACAAGAGAGAAATGACTGCTATAAACTCTAGTCATCCTCATGCTCCTGAGTTGCCAACTGATAAACTCAAATGGCTTTCATTAGCTACACACGGTTATCAAGGACCATTCAGCCAGTCTACTTGTATTCCTCACTTAACTGCTAGAGCAGGAAGATTTCAAATGACAGGCATCTTCACAACTACAAATGGTGGGGAAACAGATTATAAAACAAATTACACTTCAGTTTTAGGCAAGTTAATGATATTAAAGATTCTTTGATTCTATTTGATAAACTGGTTCCAAGTGATTTTATCCATTTTAACTGTATTAAAAATCACTACTCCGGAACTTGTAACCAGCTGAATTTTTGTATTACAAATGAACAGAAACAAAAAGCCCAAATCCTCTCAACAAAAGAAGTAAACAAATATGGTACATATGTCACTTGTGAGGTGTGGACTTCAGTGGGACTCACATGAATGTCCTAGTAGATTTGGTTCTGAATGTAGTCATGTTTTTCATTCTTCAAATAAATGAAGTAATCAAAACAACATTCCCTGATTTTGGCATAAAATAAAAGTTCAGCAATTCAGACATGATTAATTTGAAGTTTAAAAATTATTTATTTAGTATTCAATCATGATTTACTTATTCATGTTCTGGGAGATAAAAGTTGACTAAGCAAAATGAGGAAAACGAAACAACCTATATGAGGGCTGTTTAAAAAAACATAGTAAGGAAAATAATTTCAAAAATAATTAATATATAAATTTCAACCCATCTTTACTTTTATTAGAGCAGATCTGGCATACCTCCACATGCAAGGTTCATCTTTTGTCCTTTTCCAGATTCATAGCTTTAATGTTTGTTGGTATACCGGCTATTTCCCTTCAGCTCTTCCTCCCGTTGGTCACTTCTACTTACTGCCCTGTCACTTTTTGCTCCCAGACAAGCTTCTTGAAAGCTAAGCCTACCCTCACCATTCGTCCCTTAGCTCTGCGACATAGCCTCATCTGCCATTTTTCCTCAATTAAGTCACAAACAATATTGTTATTGCCAAAACCAATGTATATATTTAAGACTTTTTATTAGAGTAGTTTATCCTTCCCTGTGGGGGATATGTTCCAAAATCCCACAAGGGGTGCCTGAAACTGCAGATAGTACTGAACCCTATATATACTATGTTTTTTTCCTATGTATACATAACTATGCGAAAGTTTAATTTATAAATTAGGCTTTAAGAGATTAACAACAATAATTATAATAAAATAGAACAGTTATAACAATATGTCAGCATTACTACTCCAGTGCTTTAAAGCTATTATTAAGGAAAATAAGGGTTATTTGAACACAAACACTGTGATACTGCAACAGTTGATCTGATAACTGAGAAAGTTGCTAAGAGATGAATAGGTGGGTAACAGAGGCACAGATACGGTGGACAAAGGAACGACTCACATACTGGACAGGATGGAGTGGGATGGCACAAGATTTCATGACACTACCCAGACTGGCGCACAATTTAAAACTGATGAATTGTTTATTTCTGGAATTTTCCATTTAATATGTTTCAACTGCAGTTTACCATGGGTAAGTGGGATGAAACCACAGATAAAGCAGGTCTACTGTATTGGACCTTTCTACTATAGCTCCCACACTGACTCATCAATCTTTCTTTAAACTTTCACCTTTTATGCGCTGTCATTCTTTGGCTTAAATCCTTTAATAAATTCTCATTATCTTTATAGAAAAGACTAAAGTTATTAACTTTTCATAGGGACAGCTTTCACATATAAGCTCGGTTGTCTTTTCAGTTTAATCTTTTGCTACTCTCCCTAACAACCTCCCACCCCCGCTCAATACTCAGTGTAACTTCTAAGCTGAGATCATCATAAGTCTTTCTGAATCTGTGCATCTATCATGTCTTCACTTGAGTATTTTCCTTTCCTGGAATACTCTTTCCTTAATCTTCTGGTTTCAGTTTAACCATCTTTTTTTTTTTTTATAGAGTCTTCTCTGATATCCACGTCCTAATGTGTGGTCCTATCTGTGTGGTTTGATAGGACCATGCATTATCCTTGCCATATCCCTTTCAGAGTGCACTGTAACTGCTGCCTTTATTTCTCGGCAAGTTTTAGTATAATATCAAAGAAGAATATCTACAGTTATGTGAAAAGCCTACTTAAATACTCCTCCCTTCTACAACTACTTATCTATATGAGGCCAGCATTACTTCATATACTGCAAGCAAAACAACATGTCACATCAATTAACTGTATCTCAGGCATATGAGAATATGCTGTCTTTTACTAAGCCAGACAGATTTTCAAAAGTTTAAAAACAGTTCCACTCTCCTAGATTACTTTTGTGTTAGAGAATGTAGATTTAAAAAATAAACATACTTAAGATAATGTAATAGATTTATAGCTATTTTTAAACAAATTACTAAATTAGTATTTAACATTTTTTCAGTTTTAATTTATAATACTGAATAATATTGATGTTGATGGATATAACTCACAAAAAGTAAAGTCCTTGGAGATTCTGTATAATTTCTAAGGTGTTTTGGGGATTCTGAAACAAAAATGCTTGCAGATTACTGCTGTAGATCTATTTGGGTGAAGTGAGAAGAATAGTGAGGCTTCTGTATGAGCATGTTTATATACTTATTTAGGTCTTAATTTCTTTCAGCATTGTTTTACAGTTTCTAGTGCAGCCATCTTGCAATGTTTGTTACTTTTTATCTTATCTTAGGTTTTCATATTATTGTAGTGGAATTTAAAATTTTCCTTTTTCCCACTGTTTTCTATTAGAATATAGAAATACGATCAGATTTTGTATTCTGTAATCGTGATATTGCTAAATTCACTTGTTAGTTCTAGAAATTGTTTTGTAGATTCCTTAAGATTTCGATAGCAAAGAATCATGTCACCTACAAATAAGAGAAAGTTTTGTCTTCCTTTCCAGTTTCCATGCCCTTTACTTCTTTTACTTTCTTTTACTTCTGAATCCACTAGTAAAATGTCTAATTGAAGCCGTGAGAACAGACATCATTTTCTTTTTTCTGAATATAAAGGGAAATTTTTTAGGCTTTTATCATTCAATATGTGTGTTTGCTTTTTATTGTTTTTAATAAACACACTTTACTTGATTAAAGAAGTTGCTTCCTATTCATAATTGGAAAAGAGTTTTTCTTTCTCTCTTTCTTTCTTTCTTCTTTCTCTCTTTCTTTCTTTTTCTTTCTTTCTTTTCATAAATGAGTGTTAAATTTTGCCAAATGCTTTTTCTATACCTTTAGATGTATGTGTCACTCACAGGAGTTAATCATTTGGTTCATCTATTTAATTCACTTAGTATAGAGAATTATATTGCCTGATGCACTTGAATGTTTCACCAATCTTTTCGTTTTGTTTTGTTTTGAGATAGTTTCACTCTGTCGGTCAGGCTGGAGTGCAGTGGCATGATCTTGGCTCACTGCAACCTCTGTCTCCCGAGCTCAAGCAATTCTCCTGCCTCAGCCTCCCAAGTAGCTGGGATTACAGGCATGTGCCACCATCCCCGGCTAATTTTTGTATTTTCAGGAGAGATGGGGTTTCACCATCTCTACTGGTCAGGCTGGTCTCGAATTGCTGACCTCAGGTAATCCACCAGCCTAGGCCTCCCAAAGTGCTGGGATTACAGGCATGAGCCACTGTGTCCAGCCTGTTTCACCAATCTTTACATTCCTGGTGTGGAGACTATTTGGTCCTAATATATCTACCTTTTAATATATTGTTGGATTAAATTTGCTAATGTGCATCTACATTAAATGATATTGGTCATTAATTTTAGGTCTTTGTACTGTATTCATCAAGTTTGTGTCAGAGTTTTCTATTCTGTTTAAAGAAGTTGTAAATGCCCCTTCCTTTTCTATGCCTTAAGAGAGTTCTGGTAATATTGGTATTATGTGCTCTTTAAATGTATTATTCAATTCACAGTGAAGCCATCTGAGCCTGAAGTTTTCTTTGTGAGAAAGTGTTTGATAAGCACTTTGACCTTTCTAATAAACATAACTATGAACTTTTAAAAATTTCATCTCGGGTTAGTCTTGGTAAGCTGTATACATCAAGAAAATTGTCTACTTAAATCATAAAGTAGTTCCTAATATTTTGCTATGTTTCTAAAATATGTGTAATAAAATATGTATTAGTTTATTTCTGATACTAGTTTTATCATAATTTTTTAAATTTATGTTTTATCTCTATTTTTAATTATTATAGCTTGGGTTTTATTGATTTCATTAATCTTTTCAGAGAACAAAGTTTTCACTTTGTCAATTATCTAGTTTTTATTATCTATTTCACTAACTTCTAATATCTTCATTTTATCCTTCCTTCTACATTCTACTTAAAGTTTACTTTTATTCCTCTGTTTCTAGCTTTTATATATAATATTGATTATATAAGTAGTTACAAATTTTTCTCTAAGGTCTGCTTTAGCTATGTATTAGGGTTTCTCCAGAGAAACAGACCTTATAATTAAAATATATTAAAAATAAATAAACTCATTAATTAATTTAACTAAACATCTATATGGGAATTTTCTCATAGAATTATGGAGGGCAGGAAGTCCCAAAACAAAAGGTCATGAGAACCAGTGAAGCCAATGGTGTAAGTCTTGGTCCAACTCTGAAAGTCTGGGAACTTGGTGGTGCTGATGATGAGGACATCCATAGTGTAAGTTCTGGTCTGAATCTGAAAACCAGGAATGCAATGTCTGAGGACAGAAGATGGATGTCCTGGTTCAGGGAGATGAATTAGCACTTCCTTCACTTTTGCATTGTACTCAGGCCCTTAATGGATTAGATGATGCCCATTCTCGTTGGTGAGGTTGAATCTTCTTTACTTAGTCTACTGATTCAAATGCTAATCTCTACCTGAAGTATCCTCACAGACACACCTGGAGTAATGTTTTACTAGCTATCTGGACATCCCTTAGCTCAGTCAAATTGGCACATAAATTAACCGTCTTATGGTACATCACATGTATTAAAATATGATGATTTCAGAACATTTTAAATTTTCTTGTAATTTCTTCTGATCCATTAGTAGAACTGTTATTTATTTCCAAATATTTGGGGCTTTTCTACATATCTTGTGATTTATTTATTTCTCATTTGTTATTACTAAAATACATATTCTGTAATATTTAATTATTGACATTTATTATGACTTGCTTTATGACACAGCATAACATTTTTTTGTGAATGTGTCTTGTGCATTTTAAAATAATTGTTTTATACATTTGTTGCATATAATGTTTTATAAATGTGAATTAGGTCAAAGTGGTTAATAGCATTGTTCCTGTCTTCTTCAGACATTCTTGCTGATTTTTCATCTAGATGTTCTATTAATTATAATCAATCACTATTATACCAATTAGTGAAAGAGGGATGTTAAAATTTCCAGCTATAATGAAGATTTGTTTACTTTTCTTTCTAGATATCTCAGTTTTTAATTCAAGTTTTGAAATTCTATATTCAGGCTCATACACATCTATACCCTTCTGATTATTTTATCATTATAAAATGATCCACTTTATCTCTGGCAATACTCCTTATCTGATGTCTATTTTGTCTGTTATACTGATTCTATTTTTGTTATTTTTACTATTCAAATAATATATAAATATATATTTTCCCATCTGTTCATTCCTTTGACTCCTACCTTTACCTTTATATTTAGCTTACATCTCTTTTTTACAACATATAATTAGGTCTTGCTTCTTATCCAGTCTTACAAACATTGCTTTTCAATATGAATATTTAGTTCATTTTACTTCCTTCTCTTAGTTAATAATTTTCTAAATATTTCATTTTGATTACTCTATTGTGCTTTAAGTTACACCTCTTAGCATTTTTCAGTGTTTGCTGTAGGGATTACAATATAAATCCTAACCTATCACATTCTACTAAGTGTTAGTATTGTACCACATAAAGTATAAGAATTGTGCCACTGTATAGTTCCATTTGCTGAACCCATTTTTTGTACTAGTGCCATATATTGTGTGCATATATGATATCTATATGTTATAAACTCCATAGTAGGGTATTACAACATTTTTCTTAAAGAGGCATATATCTTTTAAATAAATTATTTAAAAAGTGTATTTCCTTACATATTTACCATATCTGTTGCTCTTCTTTACCTCCTGTAGATTCACATATCTATCTGGTGTCATTTCTCTGCATCCTGATGTAATTTACTTAGCAGTAAATTCTCAGTTTTGCTATCTAATAAATACCTATATTTTGGCATCATTTCCAGAGGATATTTTTGCTGACTATAAAATTCTAGGTTGACAGTTATTTTTCCTTTTCTTTCAGCACTGTAAAGATGTTTTTAGTGTCTTATGGCTTTTATTCTTTCTGATAAGTCAGTCATTGGTGTTACCACCTTCTTCCTTTATGGAATAAGTCATTTTTCTGGCTGCTTTCAACATTTTGTTACTTTAACATAATTCTTCAGTTTTCAGGATTTTGTCTGTGATATGGCTCCTTGTTTTCTTTGTTTTTAACTTGCTTGGGGTTTACTGAAGTTTTTGGATCTATAAATTGTTGTTTATCATCAGATTGGGGATATTTTTAATGAACAGTATTCAGATATTTTTCTGTCCTATTATCTCTCTGTTTTTCCTTGTAAAATTTGAATTACATATATGTTTGTGAGCTTGTTTTATCAGATTGGACAATTCTTTCGATATGTCTTCAAATTTACTGACATTTTCATTTGAGATATTATAATTTTAACTCCTAGGATTTTTATTTGATTGTTTTTAAATAGTGCTCATTTATCTGCTGTGATTTCCCATCTGTTTATTCATTTTTATAATATTTTCTTTGTCCATCCTTGAATATATTTATAATAACTGCTTTAAAGTCCTCATCTATATATTCCAACCTGTTAGAGTCAGTTTTACTGACTACCGTTTCCTTTTTCTCTTTCTTTTTTTTTTTTGAGACGGAGTCTCGCTCTGTTGCCCAGGCTGGAGTGCAGTGGCACCATCTCTGCTCACTGCAAGCTCTGCCTCCAGGGTTCACCCCATTCTCCTGCCTCAGCCTACCGAGTAGCTGGGACTATGGGCGCCCACCACCATGCCTGGCTAATTTTTTGTATTTTTAGTAGAGATGGGGTTTCACCGTGTTAGCCAGGATGGTGTCGATCTCCTGATCTCGTGATCCACCCGCCTTGGCCTCCCAAAGTGCTGGGATTACAGGCGTGAGCCACCACGCCTGACCCTGACTGCTGTCTTCTTGAAATAATGGGCCACACTTTCTGCTTTTCACATATTTAGTGATTTTTTTATTATATGCTGAATATTATAAATAATATATTATAGATACTTTGTATTCTGAAATCTGCTGCTAAAGAATGATTATTTTGATTTTAACAAGAAATTATCTTTGACTGCAATCAAACTCTGAATTCTGTAATGCCTGCTGTAAGTATCGGTTGAAATCTTGGCTCATTTATCTTACCCTTCTAGCTATAGCCTTAATTTCTCTTTGATGTCTCCTTCATGCATATGGAGTTCAAGGTTCAGCTTAGGACCTCGGCAGATAATATACAGCATTAAAAGCTTTTCTTCATTTGTCCTTTGATTTTCTAGCCATTCTGGCAGTTCCAAATTCTGTCCTCTGACTCATCAAGCCAGTAACAATATGGTCTTTCCTTGAACTTCAGCCTTGCCACACAGTAAGGACTGAGGTGTGCCCACAAGAGAAAAACTCTGCAAATGCAAGCTCACCCAGTCGTCTCCTTGTTTTAAGAGTTGACTCTCCTTCAGTACTTGATCACTTTCAATTACTCTTTAATGCCTTCAAATATTGAAAGTGTAACTACTAATAACTTTAAGTTTCACCTCTCAGTGACTGAAATCACTCAGACTTGTTTGCTAAAAGGGCAACAGTTCCTTTTTGGAACAAACCACATATGTCATATTTTCATAACAAGATGATATGCTAGAGAGAAAAGTCATTCTCTATGTTTGTCCCTTATGGCAGATAAAATTTTCATGGCTATACTTACGTGGGGCTAATAGATAATCCAAGGTAACATTCAGAGTCGCTGCCATGTGCTTGACACTGTACTAGGTTCTTAATGCAGGTTATTTCATTTAATTCCTGCAATTATCCAATAGGTGTAAGTATTATTATTGTCTTTATTGTATAGATGAGGAAACTGAGACTAAGATAAGTTTAATGAAGAGCTGTTACACAACTGCTAATTGGCAGAGTTAGAATTTAAAACCAAGGAATTTGCTTTCAAAGTAACCCACAATCCCGTTAGTTTAGCCCTGTCACTGCTGAAGGGATGTCTAGAAATGTCCAGAAATTCGCTTTTGGGCAAAGCTGGCAGTATAAAGTCCTTTCCTAAACAGAGTAGTTAGGTAATTTCTAAATTTTCTGTGCCTTCTCTGTGGCAAACACTTAATTCTGCTTGTACATTTAATTTTGATAACATCCCTGTGAGGCTAATGTTATTATTATTTCATTTCACAGACAAGAACACACTGTTCCTGAGAGGTTATATAACAACCCCACGGTCTGACTTTGATGGGAGTAGGACTAAGAACACAAATATCCCAGGCCTTATTAATTTCGTACTACCTCCTACTCCACAATACTGCCTCCTTTGTCCCAGGCTCCTCTCCAGATTTCACTTAACTTCATTGTTACACTCCAGTTTAATTCATAGTCATAGAAATGATGGCAAAGGCAGTAAAATGAGCTCCCCTTTCCCCTTGCAAAAAAAAGAAAATCAAAATCTTGTTAGTTATCTCTACTATTTTTAAATGGTGCCTGATACATTCTTTAACATGCTCCCTTTTCTTCTTTTTAAATTAAGTACACATTTAGGCTTAAAAGATAATACTTGAGATATTTTCAAATGCAGATGCCTTTTTCTGCATCACAACATTGGTTTACTTTATCTGAAAACATGAGCAAAGTCTCAGTGGCTTCCAAGGACATGAATTATTTAATATTTTACATTAGTTCATCTCATTTACTGGAGTGTCCCTGGGACATATTCATTTACACAGGAAGGATGTCAGGGGAAACATTTTAAAAACTGTAATAATAATAATAGCTAAATAGAAATCTGAAATTATTGTAAACCACCCTCTATTCTCAGATTACATTAAAGTGCATAGCCTATTTACAAAATTTTCATGAGGCTTTTAACTTGGCAGAGCTCATTCAAAATGTCCAAATTACTTATTTGCATCCTGCTCTGAATAAACTGACTAGATTCAATTACCTGATACCTCACTCTGAATCACTGTAATCCAGGTCTCTAGTTAATATACTCCTTCTGTTGTTGATTATCTCATTTTTCAAAAGCAAAATTATAAAATCAAGTCTTGATATGCATAAATTGAGTTTCCTCATATGTGCAATAATGTAGAGTCAGGGAAATTAACTTGAAGTAGATGGGAGTTAATTAGGAACTTCCCACCTGCCTCTTATTTATCTTTCATAGTTGTTACTAGTTTGTGCTCTGACCGTCCAGTGCATAGCCGTTTTCAGTTAAACCAGGAGAGTTGATTTCCTGTGTGTGTCCTTCTCATCACCACCCCAGGAACAGAGAATTGAAACTCTAGTCTGTTCAGTCTGTCATGGCAGATGATTTCCAAACCATCTGCTATCTCAGAAAACAATTCATTCTGACAAACCTCCCAGACAAGTCACCACTCTGATATTATACTTGAAGTCAACACAAAGATTAATAACCTGCCACAGCTAGCTGTCAAGCTTTTTGACTGAACAAAAATAGAGACTCCAGATTGTACTATTTGGCAAGATGTTCCAAATGTTAAGGTGAACTCCTGTGTTAATTCTTCATTAAGATGGGAAATGCCTGGAGAAATTATTAATAATACCAGTATTATCTTATCTAAAGGGGGCTATTAAATGGGAATTATCCTTTATCTATTATCCCAGAAAATCTTGTCAGGCCTTAATTAAGTCATCCATTAGCCTCTGCAAATGGACTGACTATATATTTACCTGAGAGACATAACAGTTTCTAGTCAGGCTCTGTAGAAAATTGAGTTTTTAAATTTTTTTCTTTTTTTTTTCCCCGAAGTGTGTTTTTTTCTCTTTGATGGAATGGAACAGAGAATACTCTCGTATGTTTTCCTTTGCTGGGGTACTACATTATTTCCAGTCACTAGATGATTTTAATTCAATTTTAAGTTTTCTCTTCACCGTGGCCTCTCTCTTCCCTCAGGCACTCTTCACCTTCTTTATGACCTACTGAACCTCTTTACTGATCTCTTCCTCACTGGACTCTCCTTCCTCCAGTCCATCTTTCGTATTTCATTCCCATGTTATCTTTTATTAGGAAACAAATCTATCCTGCCATATTACCCCTTAAAAATCTCTGTTGACTCTCCATTACCTAGAAGAAACCCAAAATTTTTTTAAAAAAACATAAAAGAACATTTATAATTTGAAGCAGAAATGATTTTTGTGGCCTTCTTTCTTGGTGTCGAGTCGTCAATGTGCCCAGTGCGACAGCCCAGCCTAACTCCTCATTACCTGACATTAACTAGTTTTTCCTCTTTCTGTGCCTTCTCCATAGTTTTCCCTCCATCAGCATGTGTAGAGACTGACTCTACTTTAGCACACTCTTATTCATTAATTCTTCAGAACTCGGTTCATAGAGATCCTTGTAAAATCTTTCTTATTATTTCAGCGAGTTAGTAACTCCTTTTCTGAACACTATAGATCTTTCTTCATAATTTTATAAAAGTACTTACCAATTGTTTTCCTTGTGGTAAGACAAGTTACTATGAGTTCTACCTCTTAACAAATGTTTAAGTGTAAAATGCACTATCGTTGACTATAGATACAATGGAATATACTCAACCATAAAAATGAATGAATTAATGGCATTCACAACAACCTGAATGGAATTGGAGACTATTATTCTAAGTGAAGTAACTCAGGAATGGAAAACTAAACATTGTGTGTTCTCACTCATAAGCTATGAGGCTGCAAAGGCATAAGAATAACTCTGGGGACTCTGGCAAACGATAGGAAGGGAGTGAGGGATAAAAGACTACAAATTGCGTTCAGTGTATACTGCTCAGGTGATGGGTGCACCAAAATCTCACAAATCACCACTAAAGAACTTACTCACATAACTAAATACCACCTGTTCCCCAAAAACCTATGGAAATAAAGAATTTTAAAAAGTGAATTACCAAAACATACATTTCATTCCAAAGTGGTGAACTCTTTGCATTAAAATTTAATCTTGTAAATTCTGTTATAAAATGCAAATGAACGATTTATTAGAAGTAAGATGTTGATTACCAAATACTCAGTATTACTTTAAAGGGAGAGCAGGCCCTGGAGTAGTAGACTAGTAAATTTTAATAAAAGTCAGAATGGATCCCTACAGTGGGAGGTTGTGGGCAGCCTGGAAACAGTATGACTGGGAGAGTAGGGTCAGGAGAGGAGATTGGTATTTCTAGGAGACAGAAGAGCAAAGAAAAAAGGTATTAGAAGATATCAAATTCAAATATCAACTTATTTTTTACAGAATTTGTAGAATAGGCATTCTGATACTGTAACATTTCTCTTGGTAGCTGATGATGCATGTTTTAAGCACAAATACCTAAAGTACAAATTTATAGTTTGAAAACCATATATTGAAAAAATGAAACTCTTATAGCAGCAATAGCTGACCTCTCTTGAAAGACGAAATAAGCATCATGGCCCCTAATGTCAGAATTAAAGATCAGAATTATAATCAGTTTCAGAATAATCTTTTTTTTTTATTATACTTTAAGTTTTAGGGTACATGTGCACATTGTGCAGGTTAGTTACATATGTATACATGTGCCATGCTGGTGCGCTGCACCCACTAACTCGTCATCTAGCATTAGGTATATCTCCCGATGCTATCCCTCCCCCCTCCCCCAACCCCACCACAGTCCCCAGAGTGTGATATTCCCCTTCCTGTGTCCATGTGATCTCATTGTTCAATTCCCACCTATGAGTGAGAATATGCGGTGTTTGGTTTTTTGTTCTTGCGATAGTTTACTGAGAATGATGATTTCCAATTTCATCCATGTCCCTACAAAGGACATGAACTCATCATTTTTTATGGCTGCATAGTATTCCATGGTGTATATGTGCCACATTTTCTTAATCCAGTCTATCATTGTTGGACATTTGGGTTGGTTCCAAGTCTTTGCTATTGTGAATAATGCCGCAATAAACATACGTGTGCATGTGTCTTTATAGCAGCATGATTTATAGTCCTTTGGGTATATACCCAGTAATGGGATGGCTGGGTCAAATGGTATTTCCAGTTCTAGATCCCTGAGGAATCGCCACACTGACTTCAATTCAAGATGGATTAAAGACTTAAACTTTAGACCTAAAACCATAAAAACCCTAGAAGAAAACCTAGGCATTACCATTCAGGACATAGGCATGGGCAAGGACTTCATGTCTAAAACACCAAAAGCAATGGCAACAAAAGACAAAATTGACAAATGGGATCTAATTAAACTAAAGAGCTTCTGCACAGCAAAAGAAACTACCATCAGAGTGAACAGGCAACCTACAAAATGGGAGAAAATTTTCGCAACCTACTCATCTGACAAAGGGCTAATATCCAGAATCTACAATGAACTCAAACAAATTTACAAGAAAAAAACAAACAACCCCATCAAAAAGTGTGCGAAGGACATGAACAGACACTTCTCAAAAGAAGACATTTATGCAGCCAAAAAACACATGAAAAAATGCTCATCATCACTGGCCATCAGAGAAATGCAAATCAAAACCACAATGAGATACCATCTCACACCAGTTAGAATGGCAATCATTAAAATGTCAGGAAACAAAAGGTGCTGGAGAGGATGTGGAGAAATAGGAACACTTTTACACTGTTGGTGGGACTGTAAACTAGTTCAACCATTGTGGAAGTCAGTTTCAGAATAATCTTAAGATCCATAGCTAAAATGTTGACTGGAATTTTAATGACACTAACCAAAATCAAAGCTGCAATTATATCACTTTAATAAAAACTATTATCATAGTTGTCCTGAGAAGCTGTCACTGACCAGAGATAAAGCATTAAAGACATTATCATAATTGATACAACTGAAGAAAACGTTGCCCTAAATTAATAATTAATGCATTGCAGACATATCTTTCCTTTCTATAAATATAAATAGGATTAATTGATCTATACAAATAATTTCAGCTGGGTGTGGTGATACATGTCCACAGTTCCAACTACTCAGGAGGCTGAGGTGGGAGCAATGCTTGAGCCCAGGAGTTCCAGGTTGCAGTGTGCCATGACTGTGTCTGCGAATAGTAAAAACTTTCATAGGCAGACATTTCAGGAAATATTAGAAAAAAGGAAAACACACAAATGACATGAGGCTTTAATTTACTTCTCTCAGTCCAAAACATTTTAATTGAATAAAATTCAGGTAGTTGGCCGGGCACAGTGGCTCACGCCTGAAATCCCAGTACTTTGGGAGGCCGAGGTGGGCAGATCACAAGATCAGGAGATCAAGGCCATCCTGGCTAACAGGGTGAAACCCTGTCTCTACTAAAAAAAATACAACAACAACAACAAAAATCAGCTGCGCGTGGTGGCAGGCACCTGTAGTTCCAGCTACTCAGGAGGCTGAGGCAGGAGAATAGCTTGAAACTGGGAGGTAGAGGTTGCAGTGAGCTGAGATCGTGCCACTGCACTCCAGCCTCGGCAACAGAGCGAGACTCTGTCTCAAAAAAAAAAAAAAAAAAAAAAAAAAAAAAAAAAAAAAAAAAAATTCAGGTAGTCATCTCTGGGTGGTTCTAATATGCACACATTTTAGTTACCGCGGTTCAGACCGCCGGTTTCCTGAAAACATGCTTCAGATTTCTGTTACCAGGGTATGTTAACGGTAAGTATAGTAACAAACATTACTATTAGCCATTCATTTCATAAATTACTATGTAAATAATAGATGCACCTCATCATCAGTGACCAATTATGTTGCTTTTTTTCAAGGTTTGTTGGTGCTTGTTCACTAAGCACCTCTGATTCGGTTCATTTACAGATAGCGAAGTGTGTAGTTTTGTTGCCTCCAGCTGTGATAAATTCACGTGCTGTTTTAAAAAAATAAATAATCGAAAGAGGTAATTGGCCAAGAAAGATGAAAGTGCAGCAAAGAAGTAAAGAATGATAATGCTGGAAGTGAAATTTGAATTGATTACAAATGGAGCTATGGAAGAAATAGCTGACCAGGGAATGTTGACGTAGTTTGAGGGATTCTAGCTATGCAGCCAGGCAAGTTTAGTGATGTCGGACATCAACCTAAATGAGGAAAGTGGTTGTCATGAAAAGAATGAAGATGTCCTACAGGAAGTGATGCTAGAGAACATCTTCGCATTAAAGGAAACCTCAAAGATATTTTACAACACTGAAAGTAAAAGAGATTAAATGTTGAAAGCCAGTCCAAACTTGGGAGAGGAAAATGACAATGTGCTAAGATATAGAAAAAAAAGGCTTGCTCTGTATAGTAAGTTATATAATGAGAAAATGTAAGCGTTATTCAGACTTTTCTTAATAAGCTTTTTACAAAATGATGAAACACTTTAATTTTTAATGTTTCTGATGTTTTAAATAACAATATACTAAGTTAATATTTATTTTACAATTTTTCATTTCCCTACACATTTATAACTTATGGTAAGAAACTTCATAATGTTTTGACAAAAATTTTTAAGGTCATTCACTAATATAATTTGTCCAATTGATTATTAAAAAGGTTTTACACAGTTTAAGTTTGCATAGTCATTTATATGGACCCATACTGTTGGTGAAAGAGAGAACTGCCCGTAAAAGAAAGGATTCAGAAATGTTAAATGTCATAAGCAAGAAGATAAAGCTGATGACTATCAGACTCAATACCCTAATAACAGAGAACACTTATTTTCATGGGTCCAAGGTACATTCATAAATACTGTAAGTATTTTGGGCCTCAAAATGTAAAACTTCAATAAATTAAAAACATAAAAATATTATAAACAAGTTTTTAAATGCTGTAGAATGGGACAATATATCAGTTACAAAGTCAGAAAAATAGAAACTGTAAAATGTCTTTTTAAAATCAACAAGTTAAAAAAAATGGAGACAAACTGTAGGACACAATGATGCCTTGCTTAAAATAAAGCTGATAGTTATGAATTCTTTTATCAATAAAAATAAAAGCATGGAAGTATAAATTAATCATATAACTCCAAATTTAGAAAAATGAAAACAAAAAAATGAAAGTAGACCAAAAGAATTAAGAAATATAAAAACAAATTTTAATGAATTAAAAGATTTTTAAATGGTAGAACAAATATGTAAACAAGCAAATTTATTAATAGGTAATATGTAACAAACTAGTGTAATCACAAAGCAACAACAAACACATATATAGCATAAGAAATAACAGAATATAATAATTTTTTAAAATGCTATACAAATATTATATGAAATTGAATGAAAGGGATAATTTTCTAGGAAAATATAATTTACAAACTGACCCAGAAGAAAAAGAAAAGTGCAAACGCATTTTCACAAATACAGTTGTCAAAGTATTAATCTTACAAAAGCTTCATGTCCAGAGTTTAATTGTGGAATTCTATCAAACTTTAATGAGTAATTAATTTCAATGCTATTTAATCTTCTTCTAGATATAGAAAATGCAGAAAAACTTTCTAATACTTTTTTGTAATGAAGTGAATATAATTTGCCATTGAATCTGAAAAGAGATAGTTCAACATGAAAACTACAGAAAAACATTTCTTATGCATCTAAAATTTAAAAAGTCAATATAAAATACAAAATAGAATTTATCAGGTTACAAAAAGAGTAATACAACTTGAGCAAGAGTAGTTCATTTCACAGAAACAAGGATGTTTCAATATTAAGAAATCAATTAATGGAATATACTATGTTATTATAATACATGACCATCTTATAGATGCTGAAGACATTTGACAAAATGTAAGCTATTTTTGATAAGTAAGAATTATTACTTGCTAAATAGGCATTGAAAGATACTTAATTAACAGGGTTTTTTTGTATATGTGTGTGTCTATATATAATCATCCCCAAAGCCAGCATCATATATAATGGAGAAATTCCTGCTAAAATGAGGACAAACACAAAGATATTGACTATCCCTACTACTATTTAACATTGCACTGGAGTTATAAGCCAATGGAATTAGACAAGAAAAATATATTAGAAATATAAAAGTTGAAAATAAGATAAAATTATCACTATTTTAAGAAAAATAACTGTAAAACCAGAAATACAAGATAACTAAAAACATGAGACTTCAATAAGGTTGGGGATATTAAAAATATTCACAAGTGAATACCCTTCATGTATATATAAAAGCCTCTAAATAGAAGATCTGCTAGATCAGAAAACTGGCTATAGAACACCAATTAAAAATGTCTAGAAATTAACTTGATAAGACATATGCAAAAGGGAAGGGATGAAGATAAGTTGGCTAATGGGCACAAAAATTCAGTAGATAGAAGGAATTAGTTTTAGTACTCAATATTACAGTAGGAAAATTATAGTTAACAATAATTCATTGTATATTTCAATATATCTAGAAGAGCAGAATTGTAATGTTCCCAACACAAAGATAAATGTTTGAGATGATAGATATCCCAGTTACTCTGACTTGATCATTACACATTGTATACATATATCAAAATATCACATGTACCCCCAAAATATGTACAATTATGGTACAGCAATACAAAATACAAAATATATAGGAGAAAATATCTAAAACATTCTTGAAATACACAGAGATTGTATTAACAAACCGAAACACTTATGTGCCTGGTTTGGATTCGACATTATAAAGATGTTAGTTCTTTCTAAGTAATCAATGTATTTTATCTGATCACAGTAAAAAACTACTTTTTTGAATAGAAAGATTACACTAAATATCATAAATAAAAAGAAAATAAACCAAGTAAAATGAAGAACACACTTAAAAGAAGTAACTTAAATAAAAACTAGTCCTACCAAACGTTAAAACATAGTGTTATAATACAATGCATCAATAATGAAAAGAAAATACATGAAAACACAGACACTACAATAGGACAGAATAGAAAATCCAGAAAGAGAAGCAAATACATATAGGAATTTAGTATATATTAAAGGCTGCTTTTTAAAATCAGTAGGAAAATTACTTTTTATTAAATAAAATTAGGACATGAAACAACACATATTTGTATAAATTGCTAACATGCATAAAAACATTCCCCAATTCATAAAGATTTAAATGCAAAAATTATTTAAAAAATAAAAAAGAAATGATAAGCATCTAAGAAAAATCTATTACAGAAGAAAAATCTGGGAAAAATCTATTATAACCTTAGGACAGCCAAGGCCAATTAAAGTATTATTTAAAATCCAGGTTCTATAAAAGAAAAGACTGGTTGATGTTACTACATCAAAGTAGAAATATTCTGCATGGCAAAAAAAATAATAATGTTAAAAGACAACTGACAAATAAGAAAAAATTACAACCCATTCTACAGAAGAAGAACTAATATCCCCAATATTACAGTGTTCTTAAATCTTAATTTAAGAAAAAAAAAGTGAAAAGTAAGCTAAGAAAAAGAACAGATGATTCATTAAAAAATAAATGAAAATGGATCTTACTACATGTAGAGATGCTGAAGATCTTTAATAACAACAGAAGTGAAAATTAAAGCTTCTGGGATAACAATTCTCATCTCTCATATTCATATAATCTGAATGATGTTTTGTGTAAACACCATCAATTCCTTATCCCCTTCTCACCCACTATAAAAAAACCACTTAAGTTAGTTTCGTGTGTATGCGTCCATTATCTCATTAGGCAAATACATATATTTTTATGTTCTTGCAACTTTCTTTCACTAGTGATAGTATACTATAAACATTTTTCTGTACCTTGTCTAGTTCCTTGAAAATATATCATGGATATCTTTCCAAATATGTGGTTATTTCACTTTTTTACAGCTACACTAAATTTCCATGAGTGTATGCCCCACAGTTTATTTTACCAACCCCTATAGATGGCACCTTTTTTATATAGTGGGACCCATAGGAAGAGATGCTCAAGATTATTAATAATAACAAGAGTGAAAATTTAAAACTTCTTAGATAACAATTTTTACGTTCCAGTTTGGTAATACCCTAAATATGTTTTTCTATAAACACTTGTTGGCAAGATTGTGAGGAAACGGGCACTCAAATTGCTGATGGGATTACAAATTAAAGCAACCCCTATTGAAAACAATTTGACAATATCTACAAAATCACGTCTATACTAAACATTTTATTCGTTTGTCAGAAATTATCCAACAGATATCTTTGCACTCATAAAAATGGTTTATGTGAAAGATTTTTATTTTGCATTGTTTGAAACAGGAAAATATTAGAAATAACTCACATTTCAGACATATTTCCAGTTGGCATATGTATTAGTGCAACCAAGAAGGGACGCGCATTTGAACTTCTCTTTAAGAAGTAACTTGGTCAGGAGTTCAAGACCAGCCTCGTTAACGTGGTGAAACCTCGTCTCCACTAAAATACAAAACTATCTAAGCATGATGGCAGGTGCCTGTAATCTCAACTACTTGGGAGGCTGAGATGGGAGAATCTCTTGAACCTGAAAGACAGTCATTGCAGTGAGCCGAGATCACGCCACTGCACTCCAGCCTGAGCGGCTGAGTGAGACTCTGTCTCAAAAAAAAAAAAAAGAAAAAGAAAAAGAAAAAAGGAAAGAACTGCCTTTCAGCTGCAATAATGCAGTCAGTTGACAGCCTCCAGTTGTCTTTGGCTTCAGAATCCATCTCAGCAGTCAATCTGAGGCCACACTCTTTCCAGGAATTCTCCAGCCTTACTGGCCAGGCTATTAGGGCCCAGCTATTGCTGACCAACATAAGAATTCTCTAATGGGTGTTCTTTGCTTCAGAGCTCCTTGTTGGGTTGGCCCAGAATTTGTCATATCTGCATTGCATTCTGGGCCTTCCTGGTCCAACCTGCTTTATTCCCTCCTGAGATACCCTCCAATAAACTTCTTGCCCTCCTAACTGTCTCAGTCAGCTCCCTGAAGGACCCAATTGACCAACCATCAGCATGCTCCAGTAAACCCAGGATATCCTGAAAAACTTGCTAAATAAACTTATGGGACATTTGTAGCCAGAGTATAGAATTAAGCCACCCTCAGTCATTCTGATGCTGACTGCGTTAGAAATAATGGACAAATCTACTTGCAATTTAACAAGCTTGGAATGGTATAAGTTACAGACTAATTAAGTAACAACAAAAATAGGTTTCAGCTGAAAACAAAGAAAGTTAAAGAGGCCTAAAAGCACAATAATCTGGAATTCATTAGTATAGGGACAGATCCTAAAATATCCCCAAGCAGGTTTATGTGTAATGACTGATCTTAAGGAATCAGGGCACAAAATAACAATGTATGTTCATACTGATGACCCTGAAGCATTAAGCAAATTTCAATTAACTGATTTCTTTGTTACAGATATAGAAAACATAAAGTGCATTTCAGGAAGTTTTTTTCCCCTCTAAAATATTTTAAATGTTAAAAGCCATGATAGTTGCAGAACCATCTTTTATTAATGGGATATGAATTTATATAGACACATTCACCAAGAATCTTTGTTAAGTAAGATATTGTGTATCACATCTTCTTTTTAATCACATCTTAAAATGCATATCATGTAGTCTATGATGGAATAATTGGTCTTAAAATCTAGCAATGTCAAGACCAAGGGTGAAAATCCCTTGGTGGCCTAAATGAAATAAAGTCTGTGATCAAAAATTTGTTTTTAACAGGAGCAGAAAACCAAATACTGCATGTTCTCACTTATAAGTGGGAGCTAAACACTGGGTGCTCATGGACATAAAGATGGCAGCAACAAAAGAAACTGAGGACTATGGTGGGGGAAGGAGGAGATTAGGAGTTGAAAACCTAACTATTGGTATTCTGCTCAGTATCTAGGTGACGGAATCATTCATAACCCAAACATTGGCATCACGCGATATACCCATGTAACAAACCTGTACCTGTACCCTGTGAATCTAAAATAAAATTGGAAAACATTGTTTTTCTAGCAGAAAAAAAAATTTCTGGGATAAGTGAAAGAAAATATGGGTGAAAATAACAGAGTATGCCTCCTTGATATTTGAACAAGTCATGAAGCCTAGGGAAGCAAACTAGGGTATTAAGTATTGGGTTTTTATTGCAGCACTATTTAGTTAGCCATTAAGTCTGTTTATATTACCCTTCTCTGATGGCAGTTCCAGAGTGAAAGAAATTAAGTCATGAGATTTCTTGAGCTTTGAGGATTTAGTTTTGTGAACTAAAGTAATTAAATAATAGAAGTTTTATATTTTCATAAACTCTGGTGGAAATTGCATATATAAAACCTCCAGTTTAACAAAATATTTAAACTAGGCACCTACAGAGAAAACGTGTGTGTGTGTGTGTGTCTGTGTGCATACAATGATGTTTTAAAGTTATGTGTTCACTGCAACATACTGATGTTACACTGAAGGAGTTAACAGAGACCTAAAAGTTTTAATTCAACTCATATCAGCAAACAATTTCTTCTGTCAAGCTCTGTGGTAGAAACTTGGGATATAGACATGATTAAAACACCATACCTATTCTTGAGAAACCTATAATTTAATTAAGTGAAGATGAATACATAAATCAATTATTAAAATGAAGTATAAAATATGAAATAAAAGGAGCATGGTCAAGATGCAGAAGGGTTGAGTTGGTAGATGGAAGCGGAAAATGAGAGTGCTGCTTCAAAGATTTAAAGAGCATGGAGTGTGTTGAGGGTGGGGCTTTCATAGGAATTTGTCAGGTAAACAAATCCACAACACATTCTAATATGGCTGCCTCCGTCACAGACATGTGAAAAACCATGACATTTGGGGAACTGAACATTCCACATTGGCTGGACAATAACTTGGAAGGGAGATGGTTGGAGATAATCTGGAGTGGGGTGGGGGCCCCATCATAGAGGAACTTGTATGACTTGCTAAGAGGCAAAGGTGAGAAACTAAATTTTTAAAACATTAGTACTCTGATTATTAAAAACCTTGTTCATTTTTTTCTACTAGAAAATATTATTATTAAAATAATATTATGCACTCTTATTTTTAAAGCAATCTTTTTTTAATTTGGTAGGTAAAAGTGCATTAATTTGTATTCTTCTGATTAGAATACTCTTGAACTTTTTTGAAAAAGAGAAAGGTTGTGAGTTACACATATTTTCTACTTTGAGAATTATATATTTATATGATTTGCTCATTTCTGTGTCAGTGTTTAGCAATTTTCTTATTTCTAGAGGTATTTTATGCATTAACAAGTCAACACTGAGTGTCTGAAAATACATTCTTCATTTTTTAGTTGACCTTTATTTTATATGTAGGAAAAATTAAAGATATGTGTAGTTAAGTCTATTGTTCCTTCTTCTATTATTTAGGAGACCTCATCCATCCTCAAATTTATTATTCATGTCCAATTTCTTTTCTTGTTAATTATAGGGCTTTAAGCAAAGAAATAGCATGATCAAACTTGTGCTTTGGCAAGATAGCTGGCAGGAATACGTATGGTACCATTTTTATATGTACCTGCTTTCATCTTTCCAATTTTGCTCACTTTCTCATCATACATTCCTAATGACTGAGTGATTGACTCATCAGTCCAAACTATCGAAGTTTATTATAACCTCATACCATCTTATCCTTTTGGCTTTCTATCTCTTTTGCAATTCAGATTGCAACTGTCGACTACTCCCTCTATGTGGCTGGCTTTTCTTAATCATTATACAGGTCTCTGGTGCTTAGGAATCAATGTGACTAGAGTTCATTCTCTCCTACATATGTACGTATGTTGGCAAATGACTGAAGTATTACTTGCTTTGAATAGGCAACAAAATGCAAATGTCTCCTGACATCAGTTGTATATTTAACAAGGCATCAGGGGGAACGCCTACTAGATACCACCATCTGTTATTTTTAAGGCAGTTGGGTTTATTGCCTGTGTTCCTGAAGACACTTTCAGCCAGGCAGTTCGAAAACAAGTGTTTATTGAGGGCCCACAGGGTGCAATGTACTAGGTGCTTGTCAGTTGATTTTTTACCATAGTAAAGTCTCTAGAAATGAAGAATTTCTTCAGAATTGACAAAGATTGATAGAAGCAACAAAAGTTAAAAATATACATCAGCAATATGGCACAGTTAAAAGTAACAATCCTAAAAACTAACTGTACAGCAGAATAAAGCATGTTGAGACTCCAAAGCACAGCATCCTTGTCTTCTAAGCATTATTTATGTTTATACTTAAACCATCTTTGATAACATTGGTATTTTTACAGTATTTATTTATTTTTGTAGATATGGGATCTCACTACATTGCCCAGGCTGGTCTAGATGTCCTGGGCTCGAGAGATCCTGCCACCCTGATGTCTTGGTTACAGGAGTGAGCCATCACATCTGGTGAAAATTTACCATTTAAACCTAAAAGAAAAGAACTGGAAAGGGCTTAGAAAAAAATAACAAAATTATTTCAACTTGCCTCTCTTTGTAAACTAAGCAAACCATTACTGGCTAACCCATTTTCTCAAAAGTTATCTTTTTTTTTTTAATCAACTAGCAAGTCCTTTTTTATACCTCCTCCTATATCCAACTTGGTCCCAGCTGCTTGATTCTTCCCTTGAACAATCTTGAGGAGACCACGCTTTCACCTCCTTCCCTCCACACTTTCACCTCCTTCCCTCTAGCCACTTTTCCATTAGTCTCCAGCAATAGTAAATACCTTGCTGATAACTGAATCTCCTAATCTTCACAGCATTCTTCATAGACTGTCCTTTCTACAAATTCCACAAATACTTTTCCTTATTGCTCAAGAACTTAAAATATTTCTCCATAGCCTTCCAAATCAGGTGTTACAGTGTCAGTAAAAAACTGTTGAGATTTAGAAAAATCTTATAGATTCCAAGTCAGGCCTCATCTTCATATGGCTGCTACATTAGGGTAGCATAAGTATTCCAGCTAGTGTTTCTTTAAGTATAAGTGTATATGAAAATAACAGGAATATAACCCTCATTGCTATTTTACATATACCCATGTTAATGTATAAGTTTACTTTGACAAATGAACACATATGGAAACAATAAAGAATCTGTATCAGATATTTATTAAAGTCATTTGTAGTTGTTGTTTTAGAGATTGGGATGAGAAAATTAAGTAATTTTCAATCTCTGTTCCCTGGTTCAGAGAATGAATATGTTTTAACGATAAAATACACAACGGATCAGAAATAACATTAAACTGGTCAGTGAAAACTGACCAGAGAAATGTTGGATTTCCTACTGTAATGTCTATAACCCAGTACACCAACTTGGAATGCAAATGCAGATACAGCTTTTACATTTGTCTAATTAATTACTTTACTTGTGCATACTATGATTGCAGGAAGTCCAGCTTCTTCTCTTTTCACCTAAAATTGTCTGCACCTTAGCATTTTACAATAAAAGAAAATCTTCTTTGACAGTCCTTTGGAAACATAACTGGAATCTCATTGGTTCACCAATATTGTGCTTCCTTTATATTATCACTTTTGAAGTGATATTGCAGATTTAAAAGATAAAGCTTATAAGTGAGAAGACCTTCTTGGGTTCAGGTGACCATAGCATGCCTTATTGTGTGATTCAATTCTTTTTATCTTAAGTTTCCATACTCAGCCATTTTACTCAAGCCTAATCATTCTGCGAGAGTGACTGGGCACAAGGAATCTTCTATTAGATGCCATATGCTATGCCAAGACCAATCCTTCATGTATTTATTAATTCTTTCAATAAATGTTTACAGAGTGCCTACTTTGTATGTAATGTGTTTACTGTATTATTTATGAATATTCCATTCTGCTCAAAAAATAAGAGAAACAATTATATAAGAAGAATAGATGAAACTAACTACAGGAGCAAATAATTTGCATGCATTTTAAGACAAAAAGTAAGAAGAGTGAATATGTATGGGTAATTCATAAAATGGATATAAAGACCAAGTAGGCAGTATGTATACTTGAACCACTCAATGTTCTTAAACTATCCAATATTCATATGAAATTAAACTGGCCACCCATTGGTGATCCATGCTTGACTCTTCTGTTCTCCACCTGATACATGCAGATACAACCTATTGTTGCTCATTAGGTGATCAAGTAAGTTATAGCTATGTTCATGCAAATTTACCCCAGGTTTTTCTAATGTAGCAAGTTCTAGGCATTTTAAAGCTGCTTCCTCAACTCTGGTCCTCATAACCACACCATCAGTGGGAAAGACTGATGCAACATGTAATAGAAACAGATAGACATAATCAGACTCACTGTGTTCTCAGCAGCTACTATTGGATCAACGGAATTTCTCACCTCAACAACATATAAGTTGCTCCTCTAGGTTCTAGGGAGACAGCAATTAACAAAACCAACAAAAACTTCTGGCTTAATGGTGCTTGCATTCTAGTGGTGACAGAATTAAAACCTGAATATGACCATAAGTAATCAACCCTCATCATGAATGGAATATCTACTTTACATATATATATTTTTTAACTCAGTGATGTTTAATTTCAGGATTTTGTTGTTGCTGTTGTCATTCTCTTCCATGGGGCCTTCATTTGTACCACTCTGGCCCATTCCAATTCGTCTGTCTAATTTTTATTCTCCAAGGGTTTGGGGTGGGATTTCTTTCCTTGTACAGGCGCTGGGATTTTGAGGTAAATCAATTTACCAATTCCTTGGGCTTGAGAGTAAGAGGCCTCTTGGCTAATTCTCCTGAGTCTGTTATATCCTTACACCCAGCTTAGCCAATGGATGACCCTCACTTTACAATAGCAAAGAAAGAGAGGGTCATTTAAATGGCTCTTCTCTAAACAGAGACTTGTTCCAAGGTAACCTAGGAATTCACTCTGAGGCACTGAGGAGGCCAGATTGTATTGTTTTCCACTTAAGTGAGAGCTGTGGTCTGAATATTTGTGTCTTTCCCAAATACTCTTTTTTTTTTCTTTTTTTTGAGACAGGCTTTTACTCTGTCACCAAGGCTGAAGTGCAGTGGCACTGTCAGAGGCATTTGAATCAGAGCAACTCCATCTTGAATAGGGGCTGGGTAAAATAAGGTCGAGACCTACTGGGCTGCATTCCCAGGTGGTTAAGACATTCTAAGTCACAGGCTGAGATAGGAGGTTGGCACAAAATACAGGTCATAAAGACCTTGCTGATAAAACAGATTGCAGTAAAGAAGCTGGCTAAAACCCAACAAAGCCAAGATGGCAATGAGAGTGACCTCTGTTCATCCTCACTGCTACACTCGCATTAGAGCCATGACAGTTTACAAATGCCATGGCAATGTCAGGAAGTTACCGTATACGGTCTAAAAAGGAGAGGCATGAATAATCCACTCCTTATTTAGCATATCATCAAGAAATAACCATAAAAATGGGCAACCAGCAGCCTTCATGGCTGCTCTGTCTGTGGAGTAGCCATTCTTTCATTCCTCTGCTTTCTTAATAAACTTGCTTTCTCTTTACACATTCGCCCTGAATTCTTTCTTGCACGAGATCCAAGAACCCTCAATTGGGGTCTGGATAGGGACCCCTTTCCTGTAAAGCTCACTGCAACCTTTGCCTCCTGGGCTCAAGAAATCCTCCTGCCTCAGACTCCTGAGTAATTGGGATCACAGGCGCACATCACCATGCCTGGCTAATTTTTTTTTTTTTTTTTTTTTTAAATGTAGAGATGGGGTTTTGCTATGTTGCCCAGGCTGTTCTGGAACTCCTGGACTCAAATGATCTGCCCGCCTCGGCTCAAATTCAAATGTTGAAATCTAATCATCAGTGTGATGGTGTTAGGAAGCAAGGTCTTTAGGAGATAACTAGGTCATGAGGGCAGAGCCCTCATGTATGAGATTAGTGCTGTCATAAAAGAAGCCCAAGAGAGCTGCCTTTCCCCTTCCACCATGGGAGGAACAGTCAGAAGGCATCATCTATGAACTGGAAAATGGGCTGTCTGCAGATACTAACTGTACTAGCACCTCAATCTTGGACTACCAAGCCTCCAGAACTGTGAGAAATAAATTTCTGTCTTTTATAAGCTACCCAGTTTTTGGTATTTTGTTATAGCAGCCCCAAATGGATCAAGACAGTAAATTAAAACAATTAAACACATTTGTATTCACTTCTCATACCTTTGCCTAGGTCTTTCTGTAAATAAAAATCATTACTCCACCTTCAGACTTCTAAAATAAAAGCGTCAGAGCATATTGCTCAGTCGGGAACTGGGTAATTTCTATTGCAGAGAAGCCACAGTGTGAATGCTCTATAAAAGGGGTGGAGGCTAGTGGAATATATATCTTCTTTGCTCACATAATTCCATAGTACATAATACCCAACTTAACCTCCTTTAATTGCTACACTCAGAACAATCCAAGCAACAGAAAGAGATTTTGCACCACCTTATATATGTCAAAGAAAAGTTATTAACATCACCCCATACCTGTATCTTCTCTTAAGAAAAATGTTCCATTCTTAAACTCCTTTAACATGTGGGCTAGAGTAGAATACTAGTGGGATGAATTTGATCAGCACCACTTGTAATCTCTCTCCTTAATTTTATATTTATATAATTATATATATACAGGGCACTCTATTACCTGGGCCTCTTTCCAATTTATAGTGAACCTTGTGAGTAGTTAAGGATAACTTGCCAAAGGCTACTATAAATTATTCAAGATAGCTCAAAGGCCATTTAGCAGGAATACTCTAGAATACTAAATGGGTTTTAAAAATGCCTCTTAAGTCCTAATTAAAGGTCCTCATTTAATTTAATAAGTCTAAATTATTTTAGACTTCTGAATCTTGAAGTAATTGCCGTTTTTAAAAAACTTTCTCCCTTTATTGAAAGGCTTCTGTACCTTTTCAGTTTATTTATTGTAGTTTATATTAAGCATCTATTTAAAATTTCAGTGATAATTACATTCTCAAGCCTGATCTGCTACTTATTTCTAGTAGCATTATATAAGATATAATGGGCCAAGCAACTTTCTGCTTCCCAACACATAGAGGAAGCATTTTGTTGGTTTGTTCTTCCTTTTTCATTGATATTCTGAACTGCTTAAAAAATCAATTCACCCAGGAGAATAGTAATTACTTCAACTACACTTACATAATTTATTTAACAACTCTTTGAATGTATCATTTTTCCATTTAACTGCTTAAAGTAGCTTTGGACTTCTAATTTTCCTGATAGTTCAAAGCCAGAAAATATAGTGAAAATGGATTAAGCACATTTAGCAATGCTATTCCTAAATCTAACCTCCTCATTCAGGCATTCCAGACCTTCCTTGAGTGTGTCTTTAATTATCATACTGGTTTTCCCAGTTTAATTCTAGCCAGGGCAGTCTCTTGACAGTCCCCAACAAACACCATACTCATATTATAGCCACTAAGTCTTATATCACAAGTTGTTTGCTTTTCCCTGCAGACTTTTATTCAAATTCTACCAAATCTTCATGACTCCAAATATATATATATGACTTTATTTTCTATTACTTTGATATATATTGTTTGATGTATTAAAATACCATTTGATAATAAATTTTAGGGTAAATAGAATAAGGATTCATTTATATTCTCCAAAGTCATAGCATAGTGAGAGAGACATACAGTTAATATATAAATAGTTGCTTACATATGGAAGAACAAGATGCTTTAATGACACCTTTTAAGAATCAGATGAGTTACAGTTTGGGGAATTATGGTAGTGAAGAAAATAGCAAACTAAATTGTAGCTAGAGCAGAATTTAGGAAAGGTACAATCCAATAAAACTATAAAACACTTAAGCAGGTTATACAGCTAAAGAAACTTAGGTCTGGAGATCCTTAAGAAAATTGTAGAGGTCTGTGTTTTAAAACACTGTATGAGGTAGTAATAGTTGGGGTAGGATCGATGGTATTTTGATATCCCAATAGTGCTGTTATATCATAGAAATCCTGAGAAGTCATTGCTTCTTTTGCCAGCATAGCAAAAATGGGAAAACACATAACATTTCAACACACATAGCAAAGGCATCCTTGAGAACACATGATTTTAACTTTTAAGCAAGAAGGCAGCAAAAAAAATTTATAAAAAATCAACTAAAAATAGAAAAAGAGAAACAAACGTGTTCCTCAACTTCTTCAGGAGAATGAATTCATTCAAAACAAGTGACGGATTGCCTCAATCACACTTCTCTCCTCTGTTCAAATCTTCAGAAGTATGTAAGATTCTTTAGGAAAAAAATTGGAATTATTATGGTTTATGTTAACAAAAGAGAAAATAGTATGACCCTGAAAGTGTCGTTTTTCAGATTGAGGAGAAAGTTGAAAGACCATTCATGTGCCCTATTGTCCAAGTCAGCCTTCCTACCATGGACTAACATCCCAGCCATGGGTGATAGAAAGGGCCCACCCATGTTATAAATAAACCAGTACTCATGAAGCTGACTAGTTTGCTAGGTGTATTTTCACTAACTCACCTTTCACTTTTCCATTTTCTTTTTTTAATATGATACTTTAACATTCTCAGGAAGGCCTCCCCAGCTGATTGGCTGGTTGCTACAAGTTAGATTATATTAACAGTTAAAACCCAAATCATCTCCTTACTACCCTTTAATAGCCCATGCTAGTAGACCTCATTCTGTTTATCTATGATCTATGTCACTTCCTCTCTCTCTCTCTCTCTCTCTCTCTCTCTCTCTCTCTCTCGTGTGTGTGTGTGTGTGTGTGTGTGTGTGTGCGTTCAGGAGGCAGAGAATGGGCAGGTGGAAGTTAGGGGTGTCTCGTGTATGTTTCCTTATCTTTGCCCTTGGTGTTCCTCTGTGGCCATCTGGCTCTGCACTCCCCATTTCTCCCCCACCCAAGGGCTACCATTAATGCACTGAGTCATCTCCTGTAGGGCTCATGTTTTTGGTTCAAATATTTGTTATGCGCTAAGTTGACTTTCATTGTGAATGGTGGCAGGAGTCAACAGGTGGGGGGACAGAGGGGCTACTGTCTCCGATGGTTGTAAATACAGACTATTAATTCCCTACAGCACATTTGATACCACACTTTAACTTATTGGGGTTTTACTGAAAGCTCTAGGAAAACAGAAAGGAATCACAAAACAGAGTAACTTTCAAGTTGCATTTTTGCAAGTCACAGCCGTCAGACTGTGGCTCATACCCCGGGTGTTTCTTACAAGGTTCCTTCCTACCTAGTTACAAAGCACTTTCCCTACCTTCTCTAGCCAGCCCATTTGCTTGGGGCCTGCTTGTCCCACACCAGGAATGCCCTAAAGATCCTCTAAAATCAGTGTCCAAGCTTTAAGCATTCTAGACACAGAGAAAAGATGGTGTTTTCACCTTAACTCTGTCTTGAATTTGACTTCCTTATTTCTTCTTCTAGTATCTGTCTCTTTTCACAGTGAATGACTGGGAAAGTACAATCTTTTAAAGGAGATATCACTGTCTACCTGCAGAATATGACCTTACCCTTTAGTCATAATAAAATTTATTTATGTGAAAATAAAAGTTAGTAATAAATAAAACATACACATACACACACACATATATATGTATGTGTGTGTGTTTGTGTCTCTGTGTGTGGCTAGATTTCTTAAGATCTGAGTTATCCAACCTTAAAAATAGAAATTGTCTATTTCACTCAGCCTTTCACCCAGCCAAGTCAATCTCCTCTAGAATGAGGTAAAGTTCTAGAGCGCTCCTCTCGGTTTTAGGTCCTAATCTGTGAACCACCATCCAAATGTAAGCCTATCTCTGCAAGAATGAGCAAGAGTTCTGAGTCCCTGAGTGGCCCAGCAGCATATGTAGTAAAGGAACATTTCATATCAGCAGAGATGAGACTCTGCCTGTGTTAACACTTATATGTTAGCACACAGAGCAGCTTAACCTTAAAATACAGTTTATCAAAAGCTTTATTTCACAAGAGGGTCTTAGTTGTACACCAGCATAATCAAACGTGGAATTCAAGTGTGTGCTGGACTATCTCCTCAAAATCCATGTCTCCCCGAAACCAGTGAATGTGACCTTAGTTTAAAATAAGGTCCTTGTAGATATAATCAAGTTGGGAAGAGGTCATATTGGATTAGGACTTACCCTAATCCAATGCCTAGTATCCTTAAAAAGAGGGAAATTTGGGCCCAAGGACACATAAGGAGAATGTCATGTGACAATGGAGGCTGGGATTGGAATAATGTGTCCACAAGCTCAAGAAAGTCAAGGATTGCCAGCAACCACCAGAAGCTAGGAAAGACAAATGGAACAGAGTCTCCCTCAAGGCCTCTAGAAGGAATCAACCTTATCAACACCTTGATTTCAGACTTCTGGCCTCCAAAACTGTGAGAGAATAAATTCTTCTTGTTTTAAGGCACTGAGTTTGTGGTACTGTTATGGCAACCCCAGAAAGCTCTAATGCAGAATACATTCATTACATTATAATATGCTCTGCAGTTTAATTTAAATCTTCACCTTGTGAGACATTTCAGGTAGAGATTTCTGGGCTGGAGGAGGACAGATGGTATATTCTACCCACAGGAAGCCAAGACAGGAAGGAGAGAGAAGAAAGGAATTGTGAATGAATACTGTTAGCCACCACAGAAGCTCTTAAATTAACTCCAGTAATAAAAACAATTATATAAAATAACAGAAAACTTGTGGTAAAACATAGGAATAAAGGGAGGAATTCAACTCATTAGGCGTTTTTGAGTAATATGGCTACCTTGTGACAAACCAGTTGTGGGGTATATGTAAGATAGGAGAAAAAAAGAATAAATACATAAAAAAAAACTAGAAGAATAAAAGGAATTGAAATCCCATTCTACTTACAACATATTTTTTGAGATTTAATTGTCCTTTAATTGGGTCACATTTTACTTTTAGTGACTAATCATTCAGATTAAATCCTTGAAGCTGGAACACTGTCCTCAGCATCTCTGAAATTGCTCCCTTTCTTTCCATTCCTATTTCTGAATCCCTAGTGCTTACCTTTACTACCTCATGGCTGGATTTTTCAAGTCTTTTAGATTATTTCCCCACCTCCAATATCCCTTTTCTCCTACTTCTTCCCGTACATTGCTACTATTATGTCTTGACTATACTTAGAAGAAGAAAATAGTAGTATCCCATTACTTGCTTGATACACTAACTCCTTAGTCTGGCCTTCATTCAAAGTCTAAGATCTAACCCCAAGTCTGTTTCTGCCTAAATCTTATTTAATACATTTACATATACTCTCTTCTCCAGGAAAAGAGAGCCATTTCAGAGCTTCAAATCCTTCCTTAGGGATTCCAACTTCCACGTTTGTGCTCAGTCTGTTTTATTTGCAAGGAGTGATCCCTTTCCTCAAAACAAGCATCCACCAAATCAAGCTCAAGGCTTCTCAAGGGGTCTGGCTTCCATCCCATCTCTTCTGAGCTTTTCCTGCCCACCCATGCTAGATGTGAAGTCTTCCTACACTCAACTTCCTTAGTAAGCATTGATCAGGTTATGTAAATGACATCCTTTATGGGCTGGTAGTATTACTGTTGTTTTTTATTTATTTAAAATACATTTTTTATTTCTCTAACTTGACAGAATGTTCCTTGAATTCATAGATTGTGTATGTTCACGTAAATTTGGATTTAAATGTTGGTTCTAACATCTATGAATTATGTGTGACTTCATTCAACATTTTTAACCTCTGAAATTTCATAAACCTCAATTATCCCTTCTCTAAAATGGGTTTATTTGTACTGTCCATTAATTAATTCTTTGCTCATTACTCATTTATTCAACATTTATTAAATATGTTCCTACCACACATTGTATTATCTATTACATGTAAAGAAGAGAACAAAACAAAAACAGTTCCTGCCCTCATGAAGCTATAAAGACATAAATAAAATCCAGAAGGGCACACCATACATTTTCGTAGCCTTCTCTCCTTAATAGTATTAATAATGAAAGCTAATATTTATTGAATTCTGATTATGTGCCAGGCATGTAAAACACTGTTCTAAATGTTTTATCTATATTAACCACCCTGTGAAAAAGGTATTATTATCAATACTACTTTTGAGATTACAAAAAAGAGGCCCAAAGACATTGAATGTTTCACCCAAGATCACACACTCATGTATACTGCGGTTAGGAGTAAACACAGAAGTATGTACTCCAGATCTCATGAACTCAACTGCTATGTTATAATGCTTCATATCCTACAGAAAATCTCATGTAAAGTCTGTGATGGTTAATATTAAGTGTCAACTTGATTGGATTGAAGGATATAAAGTATTGATCCTGGGTGTGTCTGTGAGGGTGCTGCCAAAGGAGATTAACATTTGTGTCAGTGGACTGGGAAAGGCAGACTCACCCTCAATCTGGGTGGGCACCATCTAATCAGCTGCTAGCATGGCCAGAATAAAAGCAGGCAGAAGAATGTGCAAAGACTAGACTGGCTTATCCTCCCAGCCTACATCTTTCTCCCATGCTGGATGTTTCCTGCCCTTGAACATCAGACTCCAAATTCTTCAGCTTTTGGACTGTTGGACTTACACCAATGATTTGCCAGGGGCTCTCGGGCCTTCGGCCACAGACTGAAGGCTGCACGGTCAGCTTCCCTACTTTTGAGGTTTTGGGACTCAGACTGGCTTCCTTGCTCCTCAGCTTGCAAGCAGCCTATTGTGGGACTTCATCTTGTGATTGTGTGAGTCAATTATCTTTAATAAACTCCCCTTCATATATATATAATCGTATATATATAAAATCATATATGATTATATGTCTATATATGAAAATATCATATGTATATATATCCTATTAGTTCCATCCCTCTAGAGAATCCTAACTAGTACAACGTCCTTCTCACACAGGATGTGCAGTCATGGTTCATGGTTTGTTTCCATTATAAATTAGTATACCACTATCTAATAGAAATATAATTCATATAGTTCAAGCCACAAGTGCAAGCCACATATGTAACTTGAACTTTTTTAGTAGCCACACTAAAAAAAATAAAAAATAAACAGATGACTTTAATATTAATAATATATTTTATTTAACCCAATATAGTCAACATATTATCATTTCAACATGTACTTCATATACAAATTATTAATGTAATGTTTTGATTCCTTTTTTCTTTGTTACTGTCTTCAAAATTCTGTGTCTATGCCGTACTTGAAATTCATCTCCATTCACACCAGCCACACTTCAAGTATGGAATAGCCACACATGGTTGGTGGCTACTGTGTTGGACAGAGCAGTATTAATATTATGGCTGACCATGTCAAGACATAAAGCTTGTGAAACTGGAGCTATACGGTCTAATATTGGAGCACAAGTATGATAAAAGAAATACAGTCCTGAAAAATCAAGGTACATTTAAAATGATTCAAACTGTTTACTAGTATTTCATGAGAGCTGTGAAGGGGCTCTAAATATATAGGGGGCAGCACAGTTTCTTAAACTTTTCTTTTAAAACCTGGCTACTTCCATTATGTTCTGCAGCTCCTCCACCGCCTCCCTCAGATTCTTACTTCCTGCATTCTCTGTTATCTGCCCCCATCCCCTGCCTGTGGCTTTTCTCTCCTCTTCATTTTCCCAGCCTTCTCTGACCATTTGATCATATAAAACAACAATTTTGGCTAATTCTTCTCCTTTTCCTACTTACTATCTTTGTGATTCCCTTTCTTTGTTGTAACATTGCAAAAGCCCAAATACCCCATCAGTCAGAGAAAGAACTCTCCTCAGAACCCAGGGGGAATACGGAGGCGCTGATTTTTTTTTGCTTTGGCTGATTGTTTTGGGAAGTGAAAAGGTAGAAGGCTCTGATTATCTCACGGAAGAAAATAGCTCCTGTTTAATAGGTGTTTTTTCTTTTTCTCTGATGAAATGCAGGTAGGGTTATAGCAAAGTTGAGAGGCACAATTTCCATCAGGAAAAGAGCACGCATATTCTTCATTACTGTTAGGTAAAAGAAATAAACAATACGGTGCACCAGACTTACAGAGGAACCTCAGCCCAGACAACGGGCAACAGTGACTGTTTTTTTCCTCTGATAAAAAGTGGCTCAGTGTTTTTCCCATTATCTAATCGGCAGTGAGGAAGGAGGTCAGAGTCTTGCAATTTGTAAAAAATCAAAATATAACCCTTTGCTCCTCCTTCTCTTTTACTTCTCTTTACCAAAAAGCAGTCATCAAGTATTTACTTTTTTATGGTCCTTAAAAACAACAGCAAAAAACACCCTTGTTGAATTAAGGGTTCAAACTTAAATTCTGAAGGCAGAGAATATTGATGTGTAAGGACATGTGCGTAATGTTTAGATAATTGTTCAGTGAACATTTATTTAGCTACCCTCTTGTGTGCTGTGGTCCCTAAGGGACGAGAGCTTCTTTTTTCCTCTTCTACTTTTCCTCTCTTTGTCTTGTGTCCCTGACAAAGATTTACCTATCTTTCAATCTCAATTTTGGAAACTTTTAGGTAGGCTTTCCTGCTTCCCAAACCCCAAGAAAAAATTGAAACCTCCCTCTTTTGTGCCAAATGCTGCATACACGGCAACTATTAACACTGTTAGAGTACATATTATTTTATGGCTTAAATATGTCTTGTCTATTTTTCTATCTCTGGCACCCAGTGCAATGCTTGACACATAATGAGCCCTTCATAAATGTTTGTTGAATGAATAAATGGCTCTTTCTTTAAGCCCCAGGCACCCTTATCTCAGACTATCAAAGTTTTTCAAGTCTTTGTAAGTTAGTGCTACTTGATAGAAATAGTTCATTATTCTCTATTCCTTCTGGGTCTTTCCAGTATCTAGGATTAAGGATGTGGTCTAGAAAGAGATGAATAGGGATTTTATATTGTAATTATAAAAAATATTAAAAAGTTTAAAAGTCTGGCTTCTAGAAAATGTTTATCAAATAGAGAAAAATCATGACTTTTGGAAGGAAAAAAATCCTTTTTTTTCATTTTACATCAAAGAGGGTAATTAATGAAGGAAAGAAAGAGTAATATTCTCTATTTTAAGTATTATACATCCTCAAGGCCTAGTGATAGGCATTAATTTGCTGTGTAGTTTTTGCTTAATTTTTCTTAGAAGGAATTTAATGTCTGAAAAAAGGGAAATCTACAGACTTAGATGGAGATTACAGAGTTTAGCAGAGAATAAAAAAATTTTTTTATGACAATTAATAAAAGGGAGTTAGGCTACCAAAGAACTTTCTTTATATACATTTACATGAATTCTCCTTAGGAGGTTGTGGAAACATTATTCTTTACAAAGTCTACAAAGATAAGATGAAAAACAAATAAGCATATTACAATGAGCTGTCCCCCATGGCTGGAGTCGGTGACCTAATAGCAATATCAGTTTCTTTCTCATGGTCCTCTCCCAGAAAGATAAATCAACTTTGCACTTGGAAGACAGTCAAGATTGATATTAGTGTCAAAGCTGATTTCTACTTTTGTACCTCATAAATATTTTCAAAAGGATGCAGGGGCAAAGATATGCCTTAGTCAAAGACACCCCAGGAATGTTTACAGTGACCCAGTGAAGCATATAATAAAGCCCCTCGTTTGCAAGTATAACAGTCATTTCCTTGCTGCTGGTAACAATCTGCATCTCCTGATAAGGCTCCTGCATCAAGTAATCTTCCCCATCTATAAATTTTGTGACTCCCAAAGATGGACTACCGACATTCTGCCCTTGATCTATCAGAGAAGAATAAATTGATAACATTGCTGGTAGGTTTACATGCTGCATATTTTCTCAGAGCAATCGCTCAATTTATGTAAGGTTGCTAAGCCCGTCAACAAAAATGGGTCTTATTTCACAGCAGATTTTGTAACATAACTTTTTCCTTTTCAGTTCGTAGAAATATAAATGTAGGTATTGAGTGATAGAACGATGTGATTGATATGAAATGAGACTGTGCTTTATCAGAAACAACAGGTTATCCCAGCATGCAGTATTGTAGGAAAGAATGTGTGAGCAGAGGCTTTCTTATCTGATATCTTAATTGCAGCCAAAACTGGTCTCTGCAGATGTGGTCAGTTTTAGACAGGATGGACAAGGCATTCCATTTTGGATAGGATAGCTAATGCACTCCCTAGGGCCTGGATCTTAGGGAGTCACGGAGTGTACAAATATTGCCCAGATGCCAGCTAATGTAATCACCCTGTCCCTTAATACTCAGGTAAGGGTGTTCTGAACTCCCATTCCATACATTGTAGCAATCACATTCCAAAGATATCTTTGAAGTGTTTTCATTGTATCCATGTTTGAGTTTGTGTGCCCGCTGAAGTAGTTCAGTTTTAGGGTCCGTTTTTCCATACTACTCCATTTGTCCTTCTATTAAACTGTGTCAACCTTGAAATAGAATAAAATTTCATTTCTCAGTTTTTATAAAGTCAACTTACACAACATTTGCATGTGTAAAAGACCACTGAAAGTAGAGATGGAGAACCCTAGTATGAGAAATGTGAATAGAGAATTCAATGTTTGGCACTTGTCTTTCTAAAAATATTTCCACCAGTCCACCTCAATGTTGCTTGGCCCTGAAGTTAATTCCCACTGAGATTCTATCACTCTTTAGCTTCCCACCCCCACAAAACTCCCCCAAAGAATGGTGATTCACTCTTTGTTGAATCTCTAATGGCCTGAAAGGGTACCTAGAAAATGGTGGGTATTTAATAAATATTTTGTGAATTAACACATGAGGAATTTCCAATGGGCAATGTAATTGGCAGAAGCTTTCTAGAAAGCAATTTGGCAATATGAATTGAAAATGTTATACATTTGTTATTTTCTCATCCACTATTTCTACACTTTTAGGAAATTATCTTTTAAAAATAGTCAAAATGCTGGACAAAGATTTAAAAAGAGAAGGATGTAGTAATAGTCAGTATTCACGCTGCTGAGAAAGACAAACCTGAGACTGGGCAATTTACAAAGGAAAGAGGTTTATTGGACTTATAGTTCCACGTGGGTGGGGAGACCTCACAATTATGGCGGAAGGTGAAAGTTAGATCTCACATGGTGGCACTCAAGAGAAGAGAGCTTGTGCAGGGAAACTCCCCTTTTTAAAACCATCAGATCTCATGAGACTTATTCACTTTCACGAGAACAGTGTGGGAAAGACCAGCCCCCATGATTTAATCACCTCCCACTGGGTCCCTTCCACAACATGTGGGAATTCAAGATGAGATTTGGGTGGGGACACAGGCAAACCATATCATATGTATATCTATGAGTTTTAATATAATATATCAAAATGTGGAAATAACACAAAGCCCCAAAAATAGAGGAATAGTGAAATAAAGTATGGTACCTCCTTCCATAAGATGGAATATTATTTAGCTTATAAAACCATCATATGGGGGAAACATTGGTGGAAATCGGAACCATTACATCCATTCTGAAAATAAATCTTTCAGCGTATAGTTAAATTAAATATTCATATAACCTATTATCCAGCAATTTCACTCCGATAAATACCACAAGTCAATAAGTTACATGTGCACAAATATAGATTGGCAGTAAAACAGCGGCCCATTCATAGGGAAATACAATATATGAGCTCCTGAAATAAGCAACTCAACTGAAAACTTATGAAATAACAATAACAGGGCTCATGGGAGAAATAAGATTGAGACAGCTCACTCTGAAGCTTTACAATTTTATAAAAAGAACTCTAACACAGATAATAATAATTCTAATAAACACATGGCACCATTTAAAAAATGTTAAATTTATAATCAATACATTTAAAAAAGCACTATTGTAAAATATAGGTTCTTACACTGAAATAAGAAGAATATCGTTTGGTGTAAAGAATTTTGAAGAAGAGGAGAGGATGAGTTAAAGAGACAAGGACAGAGAAACATCTTCGTAAGCTGCAGATGGAGAAACAATTTATTCAGGTTTTGAACAAAATGTGGAAGTGCCAGAGAAAATTCCTTTGACTCGTTGTCTTGTGTTTGCTTCTTTTGCACAATGGTGGGGTAAAACCATGCAAAACATGTTCAAGACAGTGTCTGCAGTCAAAATGGGTCAAAGGAAAAACACTGGTAAATGGAGATTATGAATAATAATGTATTCCTGTGTGGCTTGCTTAGTTCAGTTTGTTAGTGTACTTTGTGGTGGTGTACATTGCTCTTTGCTAATACAATAAATTAACACATATGTGCCTACAAGCTAACATTATATGATTTGTAAGGATACATTATAATGTATATCCAGGGACATATGGCAAATGTATTGTGTATATAAGAAGAGTAGATGGGACCAAGAATTGATAACAAAGGTACAACTAAAACTAACCAAAAATTAACCTTGTATTGCCCAATAATAGAATGCTTTGAATGGAGAGATAGTGTTAAAACACTACATTTGTAGTAGAAAATAAACCAAAAGCTACAAACTTGTTCCAATGAAAGAAAAAAGGCTACTACATATCTGTATTTGTTAATATGGAAATGTAAGTACAAATACTTCTGAGTGAAAACAAAGTTACAAAAGTATATTGCAAATGATTTGTATATCTCTGAAATATCTGGAAGTAAGTTTTAAAAATGTTAATTGTGGTTATCTTTCAGTGTGATGGGTGATTTTTTATTTTCTGCATTTTAAAAAATATTTTAGGAGGACTATGTAGTTTTAAAAAGTTAAACAGGAATAAACTATTTTCATATTTTGAAAAGTTAAACATTTTAAATATTATATGAATATCATCACAACTCATGTTGTGAGTCAGCTGTTTTTGTTTGTATAAATATATCCAAACACAATAAGAGCCAGTGTGAGAAAAATCCATCTTCACTGAACAAATAAGCAGCACTTAAATACCCTAATTAAGGTGGCAGAGTGTTTCTTTTGTAAAATATTGACATTAATATATTTTAATCCATGAGGGAATGTTACATGGCATTTTTCTACCTCTAAAACTAAAAAATTATGAAAAATTACATAGTGACATGATATTTCATAGAGATGTTAACTGTGATTAAAACTTTGATTAAACATTTTCTGTGTCTTTTGACATTTGAGGAATTTGGCATAAGGTTGGTAAATGAGTGAGTGAGTCAGTACCCACATTACTTTGTGAACATATATGCAGGTAATATTTTATTTATTTATTTATTTATTTATTTATTTATTTATTTATTTATTTATTTTTTGAGATGGAGTCTCACTCTATCGCCCAGGCTGGAGTGCAGAGGCACGATCTCGGCTCACTGCAAACACCCCCGGCTAATTTTAGTAGAGACGGGGTTTCATTATGCTAGCCAGGATGGTGTTGATCTCCTGACTTCGTGATTCACCTGCCTCGGCCTCCCAAAGTGCTGGGATTACAGGCCTGAGCCTCCGCGCCCGGCATATTTTTTTTACTGAGAGAAATCAAGTCATAGAGTAAGATCTTGCTATTGAAAAATACAGTGTGAACTTAGCTGAGCAGAAAGATGGAAGAATTGCAAAGGCCTCCAGGTTTAAACTACCCACCTGGGTAAACTACCCAACTGGAAAAAAAAATGGAAGCAATAGCCCCAGATTGCCTCCTGAAACTTTAAAATCTTAGTTGTGGAACAAGAATGCTAAACTGTTGTAATCCCGAGCCTCCTCAATGAGCACTGGTGATTTTATGAGTAATAGTCACCATTCACCTGACTGAACAGTGCTGTAAATATGAAATAAGAAGCTTCTATGGAGTAGGAGATGATATGATTGTCCTGAGAGCAAGTGTGCTGAGGCAGCCTGGTGGAGAGGTAAGTGTACTGGCCCTACAGGTAGTCCTAGTCTACCTCTCACTAGCTGTGTGCCTTTGACTTGGAATCTCTTAGAGGACAGTGACATCACTTTGTTCACATAGCACTACCTACTCCACCACTTGTTAAAGTACCTGGGATAAGTTACATGAAAACAGTAAACTCTAAAGAACTATTCAAATGCAACTTTTTGATTATTATTTGAGAGAGGCACTTGTGGAATCATGGCCCACTGCAGCCTCGATTTCCTGGGCTCAGCTGATTCTGCCACCTCAGCCTCTGGAGTAGCTGAGACTACAGGTGTGTGCCACAAATGTCTGGCTATTTTTTATTTTTATTTTTATTTGAGATGGAGTCTCACTCTGTCACCCAGGCTGGAGTGCAGTGACATGATCTTGGCTCACTGCAACCTCCACCTCCTGGGTTCAAGCGATTCTCCTGCCTCAGCCTCCTGAGCAGCTTGGACTACAAGCATGCACCACCATGCCCAAGTAGTTTTGTATTTTTAGTAGAGATGAGGTTTTGCTATGTTGGCCAGGCTGGTCTCATACTCCTAGCCTCAAGTTATTTACCCGCCTCAGTGTCCTGAACTGCTGGGATTACAGGTGTGAGCCACCATGCCCAGCTGCAATTTATTATTTTTTATACTCAAAATTAACTCAGTAACATGGTAGGTGATGCAGTATATTTATTCATTCATCAGATCCTGCTCTAGTCCTGAGCCAGTCACTTCTTAATGGTATGAGCATAGGCAAGTCATCGACTGATATGTGCCTCATTTTCACATATGCTCATTATAATGTCACCTAATCAGCCTGCTTCACAGGGTCAATATTGAAGGCAGTTCTACTTCTGTCTACAAGTCTATGTGAAAAGGTTTTTATTAAAAATAAACATTACTTTATATATTTTGTCTACTTACTGTATCATAAGTATTATTCTAACTACTCTACATAAATTAACTCATTTAGCCTTCTCAACCCTTTGAACTAAGTACAGTTATTATCTGCATTTTAAAATGAGAAAAAAAAGCACAGAGAGGTTAAGTAAATTGTTGAAAATCACATACCTAATAAGTGGTATACAGAACCGGGATTTACATTTAGGCAATCTGATTTTAAAGCCGATTTCCTGTGCTCCTCTACTGTTCTGCATCTCTTACCTCACAAACCCTTTACCTCAAAGTTAACATAGATACAATTCTTAGAATTAATTAAAATATAAATACATACTTATATTTATTTATTGGGAGAATAGTTTGTGCCTAAAAAAAAATAAGTGAAAGAAGAGAGAAATCAGCAAGACGGCACAATAGGACTTTTCTACCATGATCTCCTCATAGAAACATCAATTTTGACAACTACCTATGGTTGAGAGTAACTTTATGGAGTCCAGGAGCCTAGCAGAGAAGTTCCAGCATACAGTTGGGGCAAAAAACATCTGAGAATAGATGTGTTGATAAGGGGAAGAAGAAGAATGTCACTTTATCCACAACACTCCTCTCCCAAGGTGGCACAGCTCAGTGCCAAGTGAGACCTTCCCCCTTGGGCTACGATTCCTCCCATGGGTACAAGTGGGGGAATAATGAGTACCTGGCATCCTGAACCCACTTGTTACTTGCCCCACCCAGAATACTGAGGTAATCAGCATGTCTGAATGGTTGAGAGGGGCTGGGAACAGGAAAGACAGGCAGGGATTCACAGCAAGCAGGACTTAGTCCTCAACAAATGGCCATGGAGCCTACAAACCACTTCATGGACTTCATAAGAAAGTCCACCTATGAGCTGCTTGGGACACCTCACCTAGAGATCCCCACCAATTGGCCCATGGGCACCCTCGATGCTCCATACAACTCACTCCCTATTTCTGAGGCCAGCATCCCACATGCATCCCCATGGATGGCAAGTGTTAGCCTCTTCAGATGTCTCTCTAGTGTGTGCAGACAGCTGGCCTGACTGCAGGATTGGGAGAAGGCATACAAAGTGCGCATTTCAGACGCTACTCAAGGAAAAATAAATGAGAGGTTCACAGAACTTGGCCTGGCTTATTGGGATCAAGAGAAGGCATACAATATTAAAAATTCTCCCTTCCCTCAAGAGGGAACAAGATGTGTAGAGCAGGTGCATGCATAGACTAGGTCTGAGAGAGCCTCAGCATATACCAATAATAGACAGATATGAACCCAATGTCAAAAAACCTAAATATTCTAAGCAACTATTAACAGAATGGAAGTGATAAATGCACAGTAAGACAATAATGCTAGTAATTTTAATATCCTACTTTTAACAATAGATAGGTCATCTTCACAAAAATCAATAAGAAATCACCGGAATTGAACTATGTTTTAGACCAAATGTATGTGACATATAGAACATCCCATCCAACAGTAGTAGAATATACATTCTTCTCAAGCAAACATAGATAGGATAGACCATATATTACGCAACAAAACAAGTCTAAACAAATTAGAAATGATGTAAATTATATCAAGTATATTTTCTGAAACCACAGCTGCTTGAAACTAGAAATCAGTAACAAGAGAAAACCTGGAAAACTCAAAAATATGTGGAAATTAAAAACACACTCCATAGCAACCAATGTCTTAAACAAGAAATCAAAATGGAAATCTAAAAATACTTTGAGATAAACAAAAATGGAAACAGAATGTACTAAAACTTATAGGGTGTGGCAAAAGCAGTTCAATAGGATGTTTACAGCAATAATTCCTACAGAAAAAAGAAGGCTCTCAAACAATTTAACTTTGCACCTCAAGCAACTAGACAAAGAAAAACAAACCAAGCCCAAAGTTATCAGAAGGAAGGAAATAACAAAGATCACAGCAGAAATAAATAGACAGTAGAAAACAACAGAAAAATTCACTGAAACTAAGTTTTTTTAAAGATAAATAAAATTGACAAACATCTAACTAGACTAAGGGAAAAAAAAGAGATAAAATTCAAGTAAATCAGAAATAGAAGACATTTTAACTGATAACACAGAAATACAAAAAAAGACTACCATGAAAAATTATATGCCAACACATTGGATAACCTAGAATAAATGAATAAATTCCTAGACATATATAATCTACCAAGACTGAATCATGAAGAAATAAAAAATCTAAACAGACCCATAGGGGTAAGGAGGCTGAATCAGTAGTCTAAAACCTTCCAATAAAGAATAGCCCAGGACCAGACTGCTTCACTGGTGCCTTCTACCAAACAGTTATAGAAGAATTCATAACCATTTTTCCTGAACTCTTCCAAAAATTTGAAGAGGATAAAACACTTCCGATCTTATTTTACAAGACCAGCACTATCCTGTTACCAAATCTAGATAAGGACACTATGAAAATTATAGGCAAATATCCCTGATAAACATAGAAGCAAAAAATCCTCAACAAAATACCAGCAAACTGAATCCTACAGCACATTAATGGATCATACATAACCATCAAATGGGATTTAATCTCTGCAATATAAGGATTATTTAACATATAGAAATAAAAAAATACAACACATTAACACAATAGAGAATAAAAATCATATAATTATCTCAGTAGATGTAAGAAAAGCATTTAACAATATTCAAACTCTTTTAATGACAAAAACTCTCAACAATTTAGGTAAAGAAGGAATTTACTTCAAAATAATGAAGGCCATATATGACAGACTCACAGCTAACATCATAATGGTGAAAGCTGAAAGCTTTTCCTTTACGATTAGGAAAGACAAAGATGTCTACTTTAACAATTTCTATTAAATATAGTGCTGGATATCCTAGCCAGAGGAATTAGGCAAGAAAGAAAAAAGGCATTCACATTAGAAAGGAAAAATTAAAATTATATCTTTTTGCATAGGACATGATCTTATATGTAGAAAACCCCTTAGAATCCACCAAAAACTTTTAGAACAATGAATTAATTCATTAAAGCTGTGTTAGAAAAAAATCAACACATAAAAATCAATTGCTATATTTGGTTTTCTGTTCCTCTGATAGTTTGCTAAGGATAATTCTTGGTGTTTACTAACAATGTTATTACCATTTGGTATTTGTTAATGAAAGAAACTCTTGAAAAGTTTCTCTTCTTGAAATATTCGCCAACACTTTGTCACATAAACTATGATTGGCACCCTGCTACTCATGGGATTTTTTGGCAGACTTGCAAAGACTTGCCTGAGGTTATGTTATTATGCTATATTGATGTGGAAGAAGATCAATCTTTTGCAATAAATGTTTTTTATAATTTGTTTTATTATATGCTTCACTAAATCATACTTCTCTGACTGCTGTACTCTTTATTTCAGAATAAAAAAGTTAATGTAATTGAAAATGCATTCCAGGAAATAAAAAAAAAAAACTCAATTGCTTTTCTGTATTGTAACAATGAATTCTCTGTAAAAGATGTCAAGAAAATGTTCCCATTACAATAGCATAACAAAAATATACAGAAATAAATGTAACCAAGGAGTAAAAGATGTTTACACTGACAACTATAAACTTTGATGAAAGAAATTGAAGAAGATGCAAATAAATGAAAAATGCAATCCTTAACAAATGCTATCAAAACATTATGATGTTGGCATAAAAATAGACATATAGATGAACGGAACAAAATAGAGAGCCCAAAAGCAACTATGATGATTATGTCCAAAGAACCAAGGGAAACCATGCTTACAGAATTAAAGGAAGATGGCAAGGATGATGCTTCATCAACTAGAAAATATCAGTACAGAGATAAAAATTATTAAAAAGAATCAGAGGGAATTTCTGGAGTCAAAAATTACAATAACCACCAGAGAACCTCAAAAGTAATTTTTTGGTATTTTTCTGTAATTATTTTAAAAAATTAACTGATTAAGATGTTTATTTATTTTTAAAATAATTTCATCCTTTATTTTAGATTCAGGGTATACATAAACAGTTTTTTTTTACATGGGTATATTGTGTGATGCTAAGGTTTAGGTTACAAATTATCCTATCATCGAAGTAGTGAGCACAGTATCCAATAGCTAGTTTTTCAGCTTTTGTCTTCTTCACTCCCTCCCACGCCCCTCTAGCAGTATCTACTGTTTCCATCTTTATGTTCATGAGTACTCAATATTTAGCTCCCACTTATAAGTGAGAACATGTGGTATTTGGTTTGCTCTACCTGCATTAATTTGCTTAGGATAATGACCTCCAGCTGCATCCAGGTTGCTGCAAAGGATATAATTTTGCTCTTTTTTATGGCTACATAGTATTCCGTTGTGTATATGTACCACATTTTCTATATCCAGTCCATGGTGATGGGCGCCTAGGTTGATATTATCTCTTTGCTATGGTGAACAGTGCTGCAATGAACATGTGAGTGCATGTGTCTTTTTGATAGAGTGACTTTTTTTGGATATATACATAGTAATGGGATTTCTGGGTTGAATGGTAGTTCTGTTTTAAGTTATTTGAGAAATCTCCAAATTATTTTCTGTAGGTGGTTGAACTAATTTATATTCCCACTAACAGTGTATCAACACGTCCTTTTCTCTGCAGCCTTGCCAGAGTACATTTTTTTTTTTACCTTTTAATAATAGCCATTCTGACTGGTGTGAGAGGATATCCCATTGTGGTTTTCATTGTGTCTGTCTGATAATTAGTGATGTTGAGCATTTTTTGATACATTTGTTGGCCACTTGTATGTCTTCTTTTGAAAAATGTCTGTTTATGTCTTTTATCCGCTTTTTAATGGGGTCATTTGTTTTTTGCTTGTTGAATTGTTTAACTTCCTTATAGATTCTGGATATGTGACCTTTGTAGGATGCATAATTTGCAAATATCTTCTCCCATTCTGTAGGTTGTCTTTTTATTCTGTTGATAGTTTCCTTTGCTGTTCAGGAACTCTTTAGTTTAATTAGGTTCCACTTGTAAATTTTTGGTTGTGTAGCAATTGCTTTTGAGGACTTAGTCATAAATTATTTGCCAAGGCTGATGTCCAGAATGGTGTTTACCAGGTTTTCTTCTAGGACTTTTATAGTTTGAGGTCTTACATTTGAATATTTAATCCTTCTTGAGTTGATGTTTGTGTACGGTGAAAAGTAGGGGTCCAGTTTCATTCTTTTGCCTATGACTAGCCAGCTATTCCAACACCATTTGTTGAATAGAGTTTCCTTTCCTCATTGCTTATTTTTGGCAACTTTGTCAAAGATCAGATGGCTTTAGATGTGCAGCTTTATTTCTGGGATCTATATTCTGTTCCACTGGTCTATATGTCTGTTTTTGTACCAGTGGTATACTGTTTTGTTTATTGTAGCCTTATAGGAGAGTTTGAAGTTAGGTAATGTGATATCACCAGCTTTGTTCTTTCTACTTAGGATTGCTTTGGTTATTAGGGCTCTCTCTTTTTTTTAACTTCCATTTGAATTTTAGAGTAGTTTTTTCTAATTTTGTGAAAAATGATGTTGGTAGTTTGACAGAAATAGCATTGAATCTGTAGATTGCTTTGGGCAGTATAGCCATTTTAACAATATTGATTCTTCCAATTTATGAGCATGGAATATTATTCATTTGTTTGTGTCATCTATGATGTCCTTCAGCAGTGTTTTATACTTTTCTTTATAGAAATCTTTTACTTCCTTGGTTAGATGTATTCCTAAGTACTTTTTTTGTAGGTATTTTAACATTATTGTTGTATACAAATGTTACTAACTTTTGTATATTGATTTTGTATCCTGAAACTTTACTGAAGTCCTTTATCAATTCCAGGAGCCTTTTGGCAGTCTAGGGTTTTCTAGGTATAGAATCATATCATCTATAAAAGAGAACTAGTTTGATTTCTTCTTTTCCTATTTGTATGCTTTTCATTTCTTTCTCTTGTCTGATTGCTCTGGCTAGGACTTCCAGTGCTATGTTGAACAGGAGTGATGAGAATTGGCACCCTTTCAACAGCAAATTTGAACTGGCAGAAGAAAGATTCAGCAATCTTGAAGACAGATTAATAAAGATTATGCAATCTGCAAGAACAGAGAGAAAAGAAGAAGAGAAATACAAAGAGATTCAGAGATATATAGAACACTATTAAGTGCATCAACATGTATGTAATTAGATTATCAGAAACAGAGGAGAGAGAGATAGGGATAGAAAAAATACTTGAAAAAATAATGAAAAAAACTCCCTAAATTTGGTGGTGAACATTAGCTATCCAAGAAGCTCAGCGATTTTCAAGTAGGGTAAACTGAGAGAGATACATACTCAGGCAAATCTTTGTAAAAAATGTTGGAAGCCAAAAATAAAGAGACAAATATTGAAAAAAGCAAGAGAAAAATGACCCATCACGTACAAGAGGATTCCGATAAGATTAATCACTGACTTATCATCAGAAATAATCATAGCCAGAAGGCAGTGGAATAACATATTTAAGTACTGAAAATAAAAACTGTCAATCAATAATCTTTTATTCAGAAAAACTCTTTCAAACATAAAGACAAAATAAAGACATTCCCAGATAAACAAAAGCTGAGAGAATTTGTTGGTAGTAGACCTACCTGAGGACATATTAAAGTAAATTATTTAAGCAGAAAGCTAGTGACCCTAGACAGTAATTTGAATCATGCAAAAATACAAATAAAACTAGTAAAGGTCATTATAAAGGTAAATTAAAAAGACAATATAATTGCATATATTCTCTCCTTTTTTCTCTTGTTTGCGAAAAGTTAATTGCTATGAGAATTGCCTTCTTGCTGTAAACAACTAGAATAATTGACAAAATTTATAAAATGTGTTTTCAGACATTGGCTAACAGACAATTTAAATTGTGATCTAGAAGAGAGGAGATACAATGTAGGTGAGTTCTATTAAAACGAGAAAGTTTCCCTTGTCCCCCTCGCAGGGCGTGGAATGGGAGTATGGTTCACTTCTTCAGTGCTCTGCTGCTCAGACCTCTAGGGGAGCATACAGACGGGCAGACTGTGGGGCTCTGACCCCATGGAAGTGTCTAGAGGTGAATGTTTACAGCTGAAGCCGCAGTGGGCGTGTGTTACAAGGTGTTATTTTAGTTTGCTGTCTATAGGTGGCTTGTGTTAACCAGCTCAATCAGACCCCCTTCCTTTTATCACAAGGACAGAGGGATTTCTGTATCCCAGGGTTTCTTGCCTCGGTGTACTGGAAGAATTGGATCACATGTGGACTTGGAGAATGAGTTCAAGGTTTATTGAGGAGAAGTAGTTCTCAGCAGACAGGGGAGCCAGAAGGGAGATGGTCTTCCCCTGGAGTGGGGTCCCTGGGCAGCCCTGGCTCTCCTCCAGCTGCCCCAGCCAAACTCCATGTCATTCTGCCAGTCAATGACCCGCTGGCCTGCAGGTTGGCATGCTCTTCCGCTGGCGTGCTCTTGATGACCAGCCGCTTATGTCTTCTTCTGATGATGTGTTCCTCATGATGTCCAGCACTTGTGTCTGCCTGCTAGGGTCTCAGGGGTTTCTATAGGCACACGGTGGGGGTGTGGCAGGCCAGGTGGTCTTGGGAAATGCAACATTTGGGCAAGAAGGCAGGAGTCCCTGTCCTCACATAGGTCCGTGGGAGTGGAGCCCTAGCCAGGGACCACGCCCTCCTCTGCCCAGCACTTCCCTTCGCCACTTCTGTATCATTTAAAGGGACCATGCTCTTCTCTTCCTAGCACTCCTGTATCACTATAATTGCATGAACTTACTTCCTACAGGAAGTAAGTGCCCATGCCACAGAGCAAAGAGTGGTAATTGTAACAGGGTGTAGTGTTCTCACTCTGAATTAAAGAGACAGAGATCAGAGTTTGGGGAACCAAGACAGATATAATTTGTGGGCAGAGTACAAAAAAAAAAGAAAAGAAAGAAAGAAAAAAGAAAAGAAAGCTGCTCTTTAAGGGAGTTCCCAGCATCTGCAGAGGGATACTTTTGACCCATTGTATTTATCTGTATGTGGTAGGATGAAACTCTCCAAAGCTTGAGTGAGGGAAACACACCAGAGAGCAGTAGGTAGTATAATTTTCTGAGTTTACCCTGGGAATAGTTTGTGTTCTCATCAGCAAGAGTAGAGAGACCTCATAATAAGCAAGTCATTAGGTATAATGTTCAAAAAGGCAGTACTTGAGTATTAATACTATATTATTCCCAGAAGAAAAAACTGTTCTGGGTTCATTGCAACAAAGATTAACATAGAAGTCTTGAAATTATCTAACTGATTCTCAGGGAATGTAATTCTTGCCAGAAAAAAATCTAATGCATAAAAAGGAAAAAAGGTCCCTGACAAAATCCAGTGTTCAACAAAGTAAAAGTCACAACATCTAGCACCCAGGTAAAAATTACCAGGTATGGACAAAAAGCAGGAAAATATGACCTATAAGCAGAAGAAAAAAAATCAAGCAAAAAACTAGAAAAGAATTATCTAAAATGAAGTACAGAGAGAAAAAAGACTGAAAATTACTGAACAGAGTCTCAAAGACTCAGGGTAACTGAAATAAGACAGGCACCAAAGCCGACATACTATGTACATACTGATTCCATTTATATGAAGATCTAAACAAAGCAAGCCTATAGTTCCAGAAAGCCTGAGTAGGAACAGAGTGTGACAGCACAGTTCCACTGGGGATTGTCTGGGTGACAAAGATATTCTCAATCTTGATCGTGGTGAGTTTCGTCAAACTGTCTACTAAAAATGGAAATTTTATTGAATGTAAATTAATAGAATTTATTTAAATTATCAAAAATGTTTAGTAGACATCCAAATGTTGGGGACGAAGCAACAATAGATCTTATGGCAAAAATAGTTTAGGAGAACTTTGAAGTTTCGTGTTTTTAAACAGAATTTTGTTACATTCTAAACTTGAAAAAGACAACTTCTCTCTCTAGCTTAAAAATAATAGTTAAAAACAGTTTAAAGTATCAATTTATTAATAAATTTCTAGTGTATTAATAAACCATTTATTACTTATATATTAATTGTAATTTCTATTATTAATTATTAAATTATTAATTTTAAGTGTTTTAACTATTTTAAAGCCACTTAAAATTATAGTTAAAATACTTAAAATTAATAATAATTAAATAATTTAAAAATATTTATTAAATTTTATTTAATAAATTAATATATTAAGCAATTAATATTTTAATTGTTCTTTTATTTTTAAATAATCTGCTAAATCAAGGAGATCTTATTTTTATTTATTTATTTATTTATTTATTTATTTATTTATTTATTTATTTTGAGACGGAGTCTTGCTCTGTCGCCCAGGCTGGAGTGCAGTGGCGCCATCTGGGCTCACTGCAAGCTCCGCCTCCCGGGTTCACGCCATTCCCCTGCCTCAGCCTTCCGATGAGCTGGGACTACAGGTGCCCGCCACCACGCCCAGCTAATTTTTGTATTTTTAGTAGAGACGGTGTTTCACCATGTTAGTCAGGATTGTCTCGATTTCCTGACCTCGTGATTCACCCGCCTCCGCCTCCCAAAGTGCTGGGATTACAGGCGTGAGCCACCGCACCCAGCCAGGAGATCTTACTTTTAATTCTAGAGACATTTATTCAGCAAGTCTTTTGATTTCCCTTAGGAAAGGGCTTCCCAACATGAATCAGAAACTACACAGATCTATCTTAGACATGCTTTTAATATCAATTTTAGCACAAAATTCACAAGGAGTATTAATCTATCTTGATTCCTGTCTGTCTTATATGCCTAAATTGATGTTGGCAAACAAGGGTAATTAACAGCTGGGAAAACCTGGCCAAACCTTGGCTTTATGCCATTAATAGCTTCTCATTGTCCATAGGGAAAAGCTCAAATTTCCCTAAATGGCCTACACGGTGTGAATGAACTAACTTCCTGTTGCCTATCAAGCTACACTTTTCCCCTTTCCTTTCTTCACACTATGCTCAGGTTTAACCAGGCCATAGCACTCTATCTGCACCATTGTCTAGAGTGTTTCCACAACTTTGCTGCAATAATTCCTATTCATGCTTCAGGCATTAGTTTAATGTGACTTTTTTCTTGATGACCTTTCTTGATCTCTTGATTAAATCATGTTTTTTTGTGTGTACTCCCACCATAACACCCAAACATAACAGTTTTCTATGTACTCCCACAACATGTCATTTTATTGACATATATAACATTCAGTTCTCATTATTCACCATAGTTATGCCCCAAACACTGAACTATCAAACAATGAATATTACTCCAAGGGGAAAAAGGCTGCCTCACTAATAGATGCCAGAGATGAGATTCAAGTCCACTATGACTGATTCCCAAGCCAGAGCTTCCTGAACTGCCCTACACTGCACTCTTCCCTACTTTCTCCATCCTCTGGTCATCTCTGCTAAACAAAAAGGCACAAACAAGAAGGCACAGCATCTTCTTGTTCAACTTCAGCTGGGAGCTTGTGCATTTGGTGACTCCAGCTTTTGGCAACTTTTGGTCTGTCTGGAAATGACCATGAAAGCAGCAGGTATTGATTTGAGAGCTACAAATACATTTTAGCAAGTAGGTGAATTCATAAATATAGGACCTGAGTAAAGAAGATCAACTATATGTTAAACTATTTGTTTAATGTCTGTCTTGCTCATTGGTAATTTTCTCTAGGATAGGTACCATGTTTATTTTGTTTACCATCACTCTTTTTTTATGCCTAACAAATGAGACTGGCTCACATCAGGTCTTCAGTAATGACAGATTGAGTAAATTAATTAATTAACACGTTAGAAGTCCTTCTAGACCTAGATCAAGTAGGTTCTGAAAATAGCTTCCCCCTAGTTTTGGTGGCACCTCAGGAATAAATTTCACCTGTTCAGGTATCTATTAATAGTTGAGCTACTATCTAACTTTCTCTCCCTGTAGTGATCCATGTTTACTCACAGGTCCAGGATCCAAGCTAGAAAACTCATCCATGCCAATATTTTCTTCCAAAGCTGAGGCTTTTTTCTATCGTACCCCTCTTCCCCATTGTTTGTGACCCAGCTTTCTGCCCATACTAGTAAAAGTTTGTGTGCATAAAATCAGAAAGTGACTCAGATTAACATAAACAGAAAAAGAATTTGTTAGAAGGTGTCATATCACAAAAGTTATGAGAAGGATGAAGAAAGAAGCTTGAATCAAAACCAAAAGACTCAAAGCACAGGTAAAATCCTTTTGCAGGGACTATCTGCTTAGGATACCACTGCTAGTGACATCACTCTGCACCACTAACTACTCATCACTCTGCATGCTACTAGAATCTTCACTCTATCGTAACTGCTTCAAAGACTTTCTCTCTGACTTTGCACCTTGGTATCTCTGAGTTGGGATTCATATGCCCAAGCTCTTACTGCCAAAGAGTAGGGAGAAGAAATACTTTCTCCAATTTGGCTTCTGTAGTGGAATGAAAGGTGGCCCTTACAGAAAGGGCACCTCAGATATGGGCAACAGAAACAACAAATGTCAAATACATAAGCTAACTCTGGAATCTCTCTGCTATGTTGTGAATATTTGTGACACTTCCCCATCTTCAATTTCCATATTGAAACCTAATCACCAGTGTGATAGTGTTAGAAAATGAAACATCCGGAGGTGGTTAGGTCATGAAGTGGAGCCCTTGTGAATGGAATTAGTGCCTTTATAAAAGAGGCTCCAGAGAGCTGCCTTGTCCTTTCTGCCATGTGAAAACACAACAAGAAGCTTCCATCTGGGAACAAGAAAGAGCACTCACCAGACTCCAAATCTGTTGGCACCGTGGCATCAGTCTTCCCAGCCCCCAGAAGTGTGAGAAATAAGCTTCTGTTATTTATAAGCTACCTGGTTTATGGTACTTTGTTATAGCAGGTCAAATGGACTAAGACACCTTCCCACCTAGAAATCTTGATGGTGAACCTCAAAGGAAACTTATCCTACAGTTCAAGACTATCATTGAGTTTGTACCAGGCCTCTTACATAGCTCCCTACCGCAGGGCCTCTTTTCTCCTCTCCCCATCCAAGATTGGGAAAGCTTGGGATCTTGATTTTGACAAAATTAAATCAGATTTTAGGTTATTTGGTTGGAGTAGCAGGTACTATCATCAGGAAGCTAGTCCTAGTCTAACTAAACATATAAAAGATCAATTTGTAGTATCCTGGCAAGGTCATTTTTTTTCCACGTCCTATTCCTTGTCCTTTATCCAGGAGAAAAACAGGTGTGGGGTGCAGAGAAACTGAGAGGGAAAAGAGAGATATCTTCTTTTCCTCTGTCCCAAAGTACTTCATACTTTTCCAATACTGTCAAAATAATTTAACCTTTTAAAAAAATTTTTTAATTCTTCTATTACATGTCTTTGATGGCTTTAGAAATACCATTTGACCCAGCCATCCCATTACTGGGTATATACCCAAATGACTATAAATCATGCTGCTATAAAGACACATGCACACGTATGTTTATTGCGGCATTATTCACAATAGCAAAGACTTGGAACCAACCCAAATGTCCAACAATGATAGACTGGATTAAGAAAATGTGGCACATATACACCATGGAATACTATGCAGCCATAAAAAATGATGAGTTCATGTCCTTTGTAGGGACATGGATGAAATTGGAAATCATCATTCTCAGTAAACTATCGCAAGAACAAAAAACCAAACACCGCATATTCTCACTCATAGGTGGGAATTGAACAATGAGATCACATGGACACAGGAAGGGGAATATCACACTCTGAGGACTGTGGTGGGGTGGGGGGAGGGGGGAGGGATAGCATTGGGAGATATACCTAATGCTAGATGACGAGTTAGTGGGTGCAGCGCACCAGCATGGCACATGTATACATATGTAACTAACCTGCACAATGTGCACATGTACCCTAAAACTTAAAGTATAAAAAAAAAAAAAAGAAAAGAAATGTAAGAATTACCAGCAAAAAATAAAAAAAATAAAAAAATAAAAAAAATAAAAACTTTTTACAATCAAGCTGTAAATAAACATACATAATATAAAGCAATTAACTTTTATTAGTATAATTAAAATCCAAAATAAAGTCTTTCAATACCTAAATTTTGCTTAAATTTTTAAACAACCGATCTTGATTGCAATTCTGTTGTGGATACACAGTAAACAATAAATGTTTGATGTTTGATGAAATTAGTTGAAAGGAAAGAGGAAGAGAAAATGAGTAAAATTATATATGTAAATAAATTAACAGAGAAGAAACTTGTTATTTAAAGGGATATTTTAGTGTGTCACATTTGATAGGTTTTGAAGGGAAGACGAGGGTTAAATAAAAATAGAAAGAGAGAGAGAGTGGTGGCTCAACAGCAAATTCAGGCATTTATGTCCAGCATAAACCTGCAGAGGTTGGGGACCAGCTTAATACCAGAGACCACAGCTGCTTACAGCCTGGGGTATTTATAATTATGGAGCGGGGAGAGGTCTGGGCAGTATGGCTTGCTGCCCGGAAGGATATTGATAAGATGTTCCTGTGATCAGATGGTTTAGCCCTTTTTTCAGTGAGATGTGAGAGGATGTTCCTTGTACCTTTGCCCAGCAAGATTTGATAGGGATGTTCCTTCAGTTGGGCCTTTGCTTGGCAGAGTATGATAAAGATGTTCCTGTGTGGCCGGGCGCAGTTGCTCACACCTGTAATCCCAGCACTTTGGGAGGCCAAGGTGGGCAGATCATGAGGTCAGGAGTTCAAGACCAGCCTGACCAACATGGTGAAACGCCATCTCTACTAAAAATACAAAAATTAGCCGGGCATGGTGGCGCACACCCGTAATTCCACCTACTCAGGAGGCTGAGGCAGGAGAATCTCTTGAACCCGGGAGGTGGAGGTGGCAGTGATCCAAGAGCATGCCACTGCACTCCAGTCTAGGTGACAGAGCGAGACTACGACTCAAAAAAAAAAAAAAAAAAAAAAAGAAGAAAAGAAAAGAAAAGAAAAAAGATGTTCCTGTGCCTTGTGGTCAGGTGGTTAGGCAGGCTGTTTCTCAGGCCCAAACACCTGTGGCATGTTCCACCTTGACCAAGGCCTGCAAAAATGGCAGGGGGTTTAAAAAATGGTGCAGTTTGGACTAACAACATTGACTGAAGGAAAACATGATAGGCCCTTTCCAAGCGCAAATTTTCTTATCCAGCAAAGAAAGATAATGGCCTTGAATGAAGGAATGGGACAGACACCATTAAGAGCACTTTCTATAGCAGGAAGTAATAGCTCTCAAGAATCACCAGGTCAGATTTGTTACATGCAAATCCTAGGACCCGCTTCTCTAGGACTCCGAATCGTGGAGTTGCAGCCCAGGAGTCGGCCTGCAGCTGTCTTTCAGACACTCTGTGAGAAACTAGGCAACAGGGAGCAGACCAGCACAGCTCGGATTTGATTTGCAGTTACAGCCAGTAGCTAAAAAAAGGGCAGGGTTCTGTAGTCTTGCTTCTTGAATTTTGTATTTCTAACTTATTTATTTGTTTGTTGGTTTGCAGGAGAAAATGTTTCACTTCCTTCTACCCCCAAAGTTGGGAGAAGGTTTTAACAAAAGAAGAGCCTGGAGATCAGGATGCCCTGAAATCTTTTTTTCAATTTTTTTTCTATTTTTTTTTAATTTTGTGGAGGAAAGTCTCCATAGTCATAAATAATTAACATAACTAGCATTTCGTATAGTGCCTTTCTTTCTTTCTTTTTTTTCTGTGCACTGTAGACCCTTGGCTATTGGTTATTGCTGGAACTCTAAATTGCTTATGGGGGAGTTGAACAATTCCTACCTTAACCTTATGTTACTGTAGCATTTTGCACAATATGTATATAATTTCTAGTGAAAGCTTTTCATAGAACTGAACACTCTACAGGTATTCCGCCTACATAGCCATTTAATTTCATATCCCTGATAGATTTCCCTATGATGTTGCTAGGAGACCAAGACACTTCCAAACAAAGGATACCGAATGTATCAACCACGTAGATAGCTGCTCCCCTGAATTCATTTGCTGTGGCAAATATGGCTTCCTTAAAATCTGCTGTTTATGAAAATACAGGTAATAATGGGGAAATTGCCCAGCATGCTGACTTAGGGGTGCAGTTCTCTTTTAAGTAAGATCACCAACTTTCTCTTTTCCCTATTTTATGACCATGGAATTGAAACAGGGCTATGGGGTTTTAATTTTCCCATGGGGCAAAGACTTGTGTTCTGCTGTTGTTCTACTACATTTTAGAACTACAGAATAGAGAGAAAGAACCAAAGAATCAAAAATTTTAGAGTCAAAAATTGTTGAGAAATCAATTTCCCTCAACATTCCCAAAAATTCCCACAAATTTTCATTACTTCATACCTTTGGAGGTACATTATGCCAGGCATGGTATGCCAAGATTCTCTATTGATGTTATAATTTATATTCTAGGGTGGCAATCTAATTAGCAAAAATCACATTAGCAATTTTTATATTATAGAAGTTTTGAGGAATAGGTCTTGTTTACCATCACATGAAACTCTGGGGAAGGTCAGTGAAACACCAGTGCAGCAGCCCTCTTATAGTCAGGTACAAATAGAAGCTGCCTCCGTGATCATTATCGATGGAATGTTTGTGACCTCCCCGCTTCCCAACCAAATTCATATGTTGAAGCCTTAACCCCAAATGTGATGGTATTTGGAGATACGGCCTTTGGGAGGTGATTAGGATTAGATGGCGTCATTAAGGATGGGGTCCCTGTGATGGGATTAGTGACATTATAAGAAGAGACTAGAGAGCTTATGCTTCTGCACTCTATCTCTCTCTGTCTGTCTGACTGACTGTCTCTCTCCCTTCTGTATGAGGACACAACAAAAAGACAGCTGTCTGCAAGTCATGAAGACAGCCATTACCAGGAACCAAACTGAATGGTACCTTGATCTTGTGCTTTTCGGTCTCGAGAGCTGTGAGAAACAAATGCCTGCTGTTCAAATTGTCCAGCCTATGGTATTTTGTTACGGCAGTCTGAGCTGACCAAGATAACCGGAAACCTAGAAAAAAAACTGAGAGACTAGATAACACATGCTCCAGAAAAAAAAGTACTTGATCCAGAAAAAGGTAGGTAACTGCTGGGACCCTAATGTGACAAAATATCTGCAGAAACTGCCTTTTTTAGTCTAACCCCTCCATTGCTAATTATCCCCAATCTCTGCTCCCTCTTGACACTCATCTTTTGAGTATGTTCCCGTTCTACTTAAACAGTCCCCTTTGGCCAGAGCGCTTTACACTTGTTGAACTTCCAGTGGACCTTTCAGATGTCAGCTCACTTGCTCCTTAGCTGGGGACATACTTGTTAAATAAATGACTTAGACAGCTTAGTACTTTCTTCTCTGGCACTCTCTCTGGTTCTGTCTTATTCTTGACCTGCCCCTCTCTACTTTCTGTCCCTCATTCTAGGTAACTTTCAGATTTTAGTTTTGTTTCCTTTTTTTCCTCCCATGTTCCTCAACCCTGAAGTGATGACCCACTTTCAAAGTTCAGCGAATCCTAATGACTTTCAAACCCAAATATTCAGTCCCTCATTCTAGCGCTAGTCGTCTGTTTTATGCCCTGTTTAAGATACAGTCACATGAAAGTTCAGCTGTCATTTCAAATTCTACTTGGGTAAAATAGATAAAACAACAAAGGTTTTTGGGAGTCATAAATATTTAGTGCTATGTGACTTTGGGAAAATTATTTAACCTCTTTGGCCTGTATTTTATTAGTTATAAAATTTAAATATTAATACTTGATTAATACTTGTCTTTCAATATGGTTTAAGGAATTGTGAAAAATATATGTATATATAATTAGTGTGTGTACACATTGCTTAGTAGTCAGTGTCTGAGACAGCAGCAAATAATAAGCTATTATTACTTTACATATTTATTAGAATAAATTATCTCCCCAAACTTGTACACTTTTCCATTTTATTTTTAAAACAATAAACCCCCATATAAAAAATCACTTAGGCTCAATATTTTAGAGTCACTTTTCTATTCCACAAAAAAGTTAAATTGGAAATCAAATCCTGTTACTTCTTCCTTCAAATTGTGTCTCTAGTTCAACATGTTGAATTCAAAATGTTGTTCTCTTTTTTACCACCATGATGCAGATCCACACTCTTGGTCCTGGGCCATATAACTAGTCTTTAATCAATTGTTCTGCTCCAAGTCTCTTACACTGTGCCTGCTACTCATTCAGTATTCCCAGTATGTGTGACTTTACCAACGCAATCCTCCTGGAGATGCCTAGTATGACTTCTGGCAGAATCAAGTCCAGGTGTCTCCTTCCACTTTCAGTTCTTCTCTCTAACCCATCTAACCTGTCCTGCTTGTGGATCACACGGACCCAGTGATCCAATCAGTTCTTTCTTTTTCTGGCCTATAACATTTTGTGCTTCATGACAGTCCCCAGTTGTTTGCTCTTTATCATGATCTTCCCTTCTGCCTAGAAGAGCTTCATGGCTCTGTTCTGTGAATTCTTTTTCTCAAAGCTCACATCCAAGTACTTATTAAAATTTCCGTAAATTTCTCCATCTACAACTCCATGATGATCTAACAATTAAATATTTGGCATGTTACTTTAACCCTGGTTGTTTTCAGTATGACATTATTCTATGTTCTTCGAATATAGGAGACTTACCTTCTGATTTTTCTTTCCCTTTGCTGGACCCTAAACAATTCTGAGTTTATATATAGAATTTTTAATTTGTACTGTTTACTGTTACCAGAAACAGAGAGCTACTAGGTTGAATCATTTGAAATTATCAATATTTGACCAGTTTTGACCTATAACACTAACAATTTCATTAGTGATTCAGCCTAATGGCTTGATGTCCTGACCTCAAATGACTTGCTAAAATATCAAATGGACTCTTTCTCATGTTAGAAAATTAATATTTGCATTTCAGAAACCAAGAATGGGTTACTCTCCTCATATCTCACTTCACATGATCTAAAAAAGACATTTCTCATTGTTCTTTTAAATGTCAGTTCAAACTTGTTTTCTAAATAAGTTGGTGGAAGAAATATTGAAGGTGATTAATATACTAAAGATCCATACTTGTTTTATAAAGAGGGATTTCTATGATATACAATGGAGTTATTAACATGTACAATAGAATCAGACAAACCAGGCCTCAGCTCTGCACTACCTTGGGTAACCTCGAGCAGCTTATGTAAACTTTCTGTTTGGTTCTTCATCTGTAAAAAGAGGTTGTAATTTTGTTAAAAATACCCTCTTCTCAGAGTCAAGGTGAGGATTAATCTAAACAAAGCCCTTAGTACAGAGATGGCACATAATAAGCAATCTGTGAATGTCAGTTGTTTTTATTACTTTTATTAATTTTAATAAAAGAGTACCTGATCTCTTACAGAGGTAACTTGATACCACTAAACGTAGTATCTTTCTGTTTATGTTATGGAGTAACATGTCATGTTTTCATGAAAAATATTTTTTTGGGTGAGATTTGAGGCTTCTCAAAACCAGAAAAGAAAATAAATAAATGACCTTATCCTATAGAGTAAATCATTATAATTTCACATTGTGTCTCTCACTTCTCCTGGGTAGATATGAGTTCAAAGAAGCAAAGTTAATTGAGACCTCTGCCACTCGTTTTTAGAAATATCCGGAGCTTTTTACAATAGATCATTTCTCCTTCGCATCTCTTCCATCTCCCACAAAAACAAAAGGCTCAGAAAACAAATTATCCCAGCAAAATCCAGTTCTTCTTAGACTACAAAATAATAGTAAATTGAAACCATAATACTGAGCATCAGTGTTTGTCATCATGATGTAAGAATTTGTCTGTTTGAAAAAATTTAACAAAGTGTTTGAAAATACACTTAAATTGCCCAATATTTTTATAACAACTCTGTATTTAGATAAGGTTTATCTATATACTGCCCAATGTATTTATAGATTTAACAAGTTACTGCCTAAGCCATTTGTTAGATACCCAATCAGGCTGACATCACTTCTCTTGATAAATCTATTTATTAATTCAACAAATATTTATGAAAGGATTATTATAGGCTAAGCACATGGTAATCGTAGCTTATCCAAATTAGGGCTGCCTCTCATCTCTGGGTAGGACTACTTTTATTCTTTTTTTTATTTTAATGCATCAGAATCACAAAAAAATTAAAGGGCAGACACTGAGCCAAAAATTTTCTTTTTTAATGATTTTTTCATTTCCTATATAAAATTGTGCCAGTGTACCCATTATTTGTGTGTTTCTCTTCCTTAAAGGTGATGTCCTGTAATTTAGGACATCACGGTCCTAATTGCATGGTCCCCAGAGCTGGGTTCCCTACCTTGTCTATGGGGTTGGAGACAATTTGCCCCTTACATCGTCAAAACTTTGTCAGCCCAACTGGGCAATTGTTCCTGGAGAGTGTTCTGACCCCTTTTATTATATCTTGGAAAAAAATACTTGGCAGATAATAATGTTTCTTGGTGATCTTCAGTCACAATATTCTTACCTCATCTGGTTTTGATTTTTCTTTACTAAAGAATCAAAATTTCTTAACAAAGAGGTATAAAACAGATTTAATATATATTGCATTTTCTTTTCCTTTATTAGAACTTTCCATCCTATCTTTTGGAAGGGGCCTAGAAATCCAGAAACCTTGCTTGAGAACAATAGTTAGTAGTCCTTTAATTCCATCTCTTCCTGAGACAAGGAAGAATTGTTACCTGGCAATGCCAAGGCTTTTAGGCTCCATAAATGGCAGTTTCTTTTTTTTTTTTTTTTTAATTATACTTTAAGTTTTAGGTGCATGTGCACAACGTGCAGGTTTGTTACATATGTATACATGTGCCATGTTGGTGTGCTGTATCCATTAACTCATCATTTAACATTAGGTATATCTCCTAATGCTATCCCGCCCCCTCCCCCACCCCACAACAGGCCCTGGTGTGTGACGTTCCCCTTCCTGTGTCCATGTGTTCTCACTGTTCAATTCCCACCTATGAGTGAGAACATGTGGTGTTTGGTTTTTTTCTTGCAATAGTTTGCTGAGAATGATGGTTTCCAGTTTCATCCATGTCCCTACAAAGGACATGAACTCATCATTTTTTATGGCTGCATAGTATTCCACGGTGTATATGTGCCACATTTTCTTAAGCCAGTCTGTCATTGTTGGACTTTTGGGTTGGTTCCAAGTCTTTGCTATTGTGAATAGTGCCACAATAAACATACGTGTGCATGTGTCTTTATAGCAGCATGTTTTATAATCCTTTGAGTATATACCAAGTGATGGGATAGCTGGGTCAAATGGTATTCCTAGTTCTAGATCCCTGAGGAATCACCACACTGACTTCCAAAATGGTTGAACTAGTTTACGGTCCCACCAACAGTGTAGAAGTGTTCCTATTTCTCCACATCCTCTCCAGCACCTGTTGTTTCCTGATTTTTTAATTATTGCCATTCTAACTGGTGTGAGATGGTATCTCATTGTGGTTTTGATTTGCATCTCTCTGATGGCCAGTGATGATGAGCATTTTTTCATGTGTCTTTTGGCTGCATAAATGTCTTCTTTTGAAGTGTCTGTTCATATCCTTTGCCCACTTTTTGATGAGGTTGTTTGTTTTTTTCTTGTAAATTTGTTTGAGTTCATTGTAGATTCTGGATATTAGCCCTTTGTCAGATGGGTAGATTGCAAAAATTTTCTCCCATTCTGTAGGTTGCCTGTTCACTCTGTTGGTAGTTTCTTTTGCTGTGCAGAAGCTCTTTAGAAAGCACTCCTCAGCAAATGTAAAAGGACAGAAATTATAACAAACTGTCTCTCAGACCACAGTGCAATCAAACTAGAACTCAGGATTAAGAAACTCACTCAAAACCGCACAACTACATGGAAACTGGACAATCTGCTCCTGAAGGACTACTGGGTATATAACAAAATGAAGGCAGAAATAAAGATGTTCTTTGAAACCAACAAGAACAAAGACACAACATATCAGAATCTCTGGGACACATTCAAAGCAGTGTGTAGAGGGAAATTTATAGCACTAAATGCCCACAAGAGAAAGCAGGAAAGATCTAAAATTGACACCCTAATATCACAATTAAAAGAACTAGAGAAGCAAGAGCAAACACATTCAAAAGCTAGCAGAAGGCAAGAAATAACTAAGATCAGAGCAGAACTGAAGGAGACAGAGACACAAAAAACCCTTCAAAAAATCAATGAATCCAGGAACTGGTTTTTTTGAAAAGATCAACAAAATTGATAGACTGCTAGCAAGACTAATAAAGAAGAAAAGAGAGAAGAATCAAATAGACTCAATAAAAAATGATAAAGGGGATATCACCACCAATCCCACAGAAATACAAACTACTAACAGAAAATACTATAAACACCTCTATGCAAACAAACTAGAAAATCTAGAAGAAATGGATAAATTCCTCAACACATACACCCTCCAAAGACTAAACCAGAAAGAAGTTGAATCTCTGAATTGACTAATAACAGGCTCTGAAATCGAGGCAATAATTAATAGCTAACCAACCAAAAAAAGTCCAGGACCAGATGGATTCACAGCCGAATTCTACCAGAGGTACAAGGAGGAGCTGGTACCATTCCTTCTGAAACTATTCCAATCAATAGAAAAAGAGGGAATCCTCCCTAACTCATTTTATGAGGCCAGCATCATCCTGATACCAAAGGCTGGCAGAGACACAACAAAAAAAGAGAATTTTAGACCGATATCCCTGATGAACATCGACGCAAAAATCCTCAATAAAATACTGGCAAACCAAATCCAGCAGCACATCAAAAAGCTTATCCACCATGATCAAGTAGGCTTCATCCCTGGGATGCAAGGCTGGTTCAACATACGCAAATCAATAAATGTAATCCAGCATATAAACAGAACCAACGACAAAAACCACATGATTATCTCAATAGATGCAGAAAAGGCCTTTGACAAAATTCAACAACGCTTCATGCTAAAAATTCTCAATAAATTAGGTATTGATGGGACATATCTCAAAATAATAAGAGCTATCTGTGACAAACCCACAGCCAATATCATACTGAATGTGCAAAAACTGGAAGCATTCCCTCTGAAAACTGGCACAACACAGGGATGCCCTCTCTCACCACTCCTATTCAACATAGTGTTGGAAGTTCTGGCCAGGGCAGTCAGGCAGAAGGAAACAAATGGTATTCAATTAGGAAAAGAGGAAGTCAAATTGTCCCTGTTTGCAGATGACATGATTGTATACCTAGAAAACCCCATCGTCTCAGCAGAAAATCTCCTTAAGCTGATAGGCAACTTCAGCAAAGTCTCAGGATACAAAATCGATGTGCAAAAATCACAAGCATTCTTATACACCAATAACAGACAAACAGAGAGCCAAATCATGAGTAAACTCCCATTCACAAGTGCTTCAAAGAGAATAAAATACCTAGGAATCCAACTTACAAGGGATGTGAAGGACCTCTTCAAGGAGAACTACAAACCACTGCTCAATGAAATAAAAGAGATCACAAACAAATGGAAGAACTTTCCATGCTCATGGGTAGGAAGAATCAATATCGGGAAAATGGCCCTACTGCCCAAGGTAATTTATAGATTCAGTGCCATCCCCATCAAGCTACCAATGATTTTCTTCACAGAATTGGAAAAAACTACTTTAAAGTTCATATGCAACCAAGAAACAGCCCATATTGCCAAGTCAATCCTAAGCCAAAAGAACAAAGCTGGAGGCATCACGCTGCCTGACTTCAAACTATACTACAAGGCTACAGTAACCAAAACAGCATGGTACTGGTACCAAAACAGAGATATAGACCAATGGAAAGGAACAGAGCCCTCAGAAATAATGCCACATATCTACAACTATCTGATTTTGACAAACCTGACAAAAATGAGAAATGGGGAAAGGATTCCCTATTTAATAAATGGTGCTGGGAAAACTGGCTAGCCATATGTAGAAAGCTGAAACTGGATCCCTTCCTTACACCTTATACAAAAATTAATTCACGATGGATTAAAGACTTAAATGTTAGACCTAAAACCATACAAACCCTAGAAGAAAACCTAGGCAATACCATTCAGGACATAGGTATGGGCAAGGACTTCATGTCTAAAACACCAAAAAGCAATGGCAACAAAAGCCAAAATTGACAAATGGGATCTAATTAAACATAAATGGCAGTTTCTAAAGGGTCTTTCATAGTGCATAGTTACATGTATTGGATGAAAAAATAAAAATCTGAGTCAGGTGGCTCTGGTAAATGCAGCAGATAAGACAAATATGTGATCACTGCCTTTAAGGAATTTAGAGTCTGAGAAAAAGAGGTTTCGAACAAGTGCACAGAAAGTAGGGAAAAGCATTTCTGGCAGAGGGGACAGTGTTCAACAGCACCTGAGGCTCAAAAGAGCATGGTGGTTTTAAGGAATTAAAATAGAGTCCCTATGGCTAAAATGTGAAGTGACAAAGGAAAGATGCCCTGATCCTGCAGGCTCGTGAGTTTTTTATTGGACTTTACCCTAAAGGATAATGCAGTCAGGGAAGGTTTTAAACAGAATAGTGAGATGTCAGACTTGAGTTTTTCAAGATTAGCCTGGCTGCCATGTAGAAGGATGGGGGGAGGGCAGAACAGATGTAAGGGAGTCTGTTTATACGTTTACTGAATTGATCTTTTGTTTGGCTGATATTTTGTTTGAGATTTTTGTTTGATTGATTTTTTAAAAATCAATTCTCAAGACTTTCTCTTTAATTTCTCACCTCTATTCATCTAATACCCCTTTCCGAAAGAGTGTCTATTCTGTTCTCCAATCCTGCTTCTCTTTCAAAGACCTTGTGGAAGAGCCCTCCCTTCAGAAAAACTTTCTTGATCTTACCATTCATATACAATCGTGTGCTGTTTGCTATTTTGTATTATTGTAGCACTTCGTTGGTGTAGCATTTAAGGCATTTATTTTAGATCATAGGTATAAAATGATGTTGTGAAGTGTTCATTGAAGCCAGACAGAATTAGGTTTTACTTTCTAACTGTATGATTTAGGGCATGCCAGTTATATGGAATTTCAGGTTATTTATAACAGAAAAAAAAAACCTCTTTCTCATGATTACAATAATTAAATGAGAGAATGTATATAAATAACCTAGCTTTTGAAATATATGTGTACATTGTGTACACCACTATATTTCAAAAACTGTATATATATATTTTGAAATATATATATGTATATATATGTGTGTGTATATATATAGTATATACGTGTGTGTGTGTATATATATATAGTATATACATAGTTTTTGAAATTAGTGGTTTTCTTACAAGTTGTTTTATTTCTTCTTCTTCCTTGCCTTTTTTAATTAGTTGAGGAAGGAGATATCTTTTTCAGTTGTGCGTCAATTTCAGTATGTTGCCTGCAATAACAAATAAATAATTGATGAACTAAATGGACGTTATGTCATATAAACTCTTAATAAGGTAAGTTGCTTCATCCAATAGAATGGTGACATAACTTGGAATTAGTAGTAGTCTTTTATCCCATTGTATCAGATATGGCTTTGCTGACATGAATTACTCTTAAAATTTGTATTTAGTGAATCTAGGAGAGCACTAAAAATTATGACCTTGAAATGTGGTCTCTGCCCTGATTTTGTATTCTTCAGTGATTCATTGTTCTAGAGGCTGGTCAGTTTTTTGCTTTTTGTTTTTCTTATATCTACTCTCTATAGATTTCAAGCATTAATTTATATTTTGCAGGTTCCTCATGGTTTCTGAGAGGTTTCAGGCGCACTGTTGAAGTGAGCTTCAAAGTGCAAGCCTTTCTCTGTGCCACCCCAGCTATGCTTACTATTTTCTCCTTTTGAACCCCTGAATAATGCATATAATTGAATTATAATGCACGATGAAAAATCCTGTGATAAAAAAATGATAATGCAACTTTTTATTTTTCCTGTGTGAAAGTGGATTTAGGCAGCTTCCAAATGTGAACTGAGTGAAAGATTACATGTAACTTTAGAATAACTAAATCGTAACATTTAAATTACATTTAACTTAAATGCAATTTAAACATTTGAAGTAAAACATTTAAATAATATCTATACCACAGATTGAAGAGCATAGGTTTTTTTTCCTTGTAATAAATAGCAATGAAAATACAGCCATCTTTAGTAATCAGGATAAATAATATCTCTTATCTGTGAACTGGCTTCAAGTACTGGTATTAAACAATGATAAAATATTAGTGTTATAAAGCTTAAAACTGACACAGCTTCCTTCAATGCCTAAAGGATGGTTTGCAACTTTTATGGCATCCAGAAAAAACATTAAGTCTTCTGAGAAAACATGCTATCATTTAATTGGGTATATAAATGAATAGAAAAAAGAACAAAAATTTCAAAACAAAGTTTATCTAGTTTATTGTGAAGGATCTTTAACATTTTAGATACAGAAATATATCTTACAATATAAATATTAACATCAATTTCTGGTAATGTGTACTAATTAATATTAGTATACATTTATTGGTTTAAACTTTTAAAATGTTAGCATACATTTATTGGTATAAACCAACACATGGTTTAAACTTTTAAAATATTAGTATACATTTATTGGTTTAAACCAATAAATGTTTTTTAAAATATTAGTATGCATTTATTGGTTTAAATCAAGTGTTAAACTCACTTGGTTTAACACTTAGTAGAGACTTTCTTTCGAATTCTAGTAGGAGACATTACTTCTTCTGAGCTAATAACTTATGTAAGAAAATAGAAACTTGAAAAATTGATTTATTTGTTAATGTCCATGCAAGCCATCATTCTTGATGGAAATCATCAAAGCATTTATGAGTTTTAAGTTGTATCTAGGGTTAATGTTGCTTAAATAAGGTCCTCCATCTGCAAAGATGACCAGGAACTTTCCTGATAATAGATATGCAGTGAGATTATCTACTCCCCAATTTTTCATCCTTAGAAAAAAAATGAAACTGAAGATATCCTACCAATATATATATTTTTCCATATACCAAATGGAAGACAAAAGTGCTGAAAGGGCAAAGTTTTTTCTAAAGTTTGAACATACCATGAATTCATAAATAATTCCTTAATTAATATGCCCAGAAACTAGTTCATGTTATGTAACACAAGTCAAACTGCAATGGCTCAGTATTAGACACATATCCAAATTCTTTCTGGGTTGTCAACATTAAGTATTTTGACCAATAATATGAGAACAATAATTTAAAAAAATTGGCAAGCTTATCTCATGGAAGACAGAATGAGAATTTGAAAAGCAGAATCCAAAGAAAAATATTGCTAAATTGAACAACACAAAAATTAAGAACTTCTGTTAATCAACAGACACCAGTAAGAGAATGAAAAGGAAAGCCACAGAGTGGGAGAAATACAGAGGACAATAGAACAATGAGCAAATATTTGAATAGGGCCTTCACCAAAGAGAACATCCCAATGGCTAGTAAACAAATAAGGAGGTGATAAAATTGATTATTCATCAGGAAAATGCAAATGAAGATCACATTGTGACACCACAACACCTTGAGCAGAATGGCTAAAATGAAGTAGGCTGAGCATACCCAGTGTTGGCAAGGGTGTAGGGTGACTACACAATGCTAGTAAGAAAAGAAATATTGGTACAACTTCTTTGGAAAATGTTTTGACATTTACTAAAGCTAAATTCATATACAGCTATGACCCAGAAATTTTACTTCCATGAATATACCCAACAGAGTGCACCCATATGCTCATCAAATCACAACTATAGGAATGTTCTATTCCTAATAGCCCTAATTGAAACAAACCAAATATCCATTAAGAATAGAATGGATAAATAGTGATATATATACCACAGAATATTATACAACAATGAGAATGAATTAAAACAGTGTACTGTTCAACGAATGGATCTCACAAACAAAATTTTGAGTGAAAAAATTCAGATGCAAGAGAACATGTATTTTTTATTTCATTTACACATGGAGGAAGCGAATCTTTTGTGTTAATAGTCAAGATAGTAGTTACGTATGAGGAACCGGTGTCTGGAGTGGCAAAGAGGGGGTGTTTTGAAGTGTTGGTAATTACCTATTTCTTAAACTTAGTGTCAGTAGCTTACTGTGTTCGATTTTTGTAAAGTTTTCACAATGTACATTTATGATGTGTGCACATTTTTGTTTGCATGTTATACTTCAATAAAAAGTATACGTAAAATAAAATTGCTGACAAGTCTTAACAAGCCACTGTGGGAGACTTACCTTCCAGTGCTAGTGTAGCAATTCATCTCCAGAGCTTAGTTGACATAACCCTTGGTACTAATGTGTGAACAAAGGTAGAAACAAAACAGAGTTATATGAGGGTCCACTGTTCTTAAGCAGATATTTTTTAAAATGTTGGGTGAATGAAAACAAATAAAAATCTTTCCATGCTAATTGTATGCAGATTTTAAGCTATACTAAGAAGCAATAACAGTTTAAAAAATATTTGAGTGGGAAAAAAATGTCCTCCTGTTTAGAGTTCTAAGACCAATCAAAACAATTTGGAGTTTGGAACAGAACATCAGAACATGTTGTAGTCTTTGAATAAACAATTGTTGAATGAAATATTACTAATGGCCTGATATGACTTGTCTCCTTTCTTCCATGTATCTTATTTTACTGCACTCTTGGTTGCTTTCAGTGACCTCTCCCCATCTACTTCCATCAGTCTTTTGCCTCCTTCTCACTATTCAGAAATCTGCAGATTTATCATTCATATTTCCTATCTCCCACCCTATACATATCTGAAAGCTTCAAGAAATAGATTTGGAATCACTACAAAATAATGGGGAGCCACTGTCTAGAATTGATTTGAGAATGTGCCTCTTTAAATATAGTTGTCAGAACTGGATATAATACTAATAGTTAGGATGTCATGTGAGTAGCACTAGTCTAGAATTAATCCTCCACCTCTCTTACATGAGACAAGCTACTATTTTAAAATAGAAATTATGAATTTAGATCTTCATCATCTAATTCAGTTTCCATCCACCAGTATCTACCTGGATATATTCAGCAGCAAGGAATCTAACTGCTTCATGAGATGATTCCTTCTATTGTGGGTAAGGACTAGTTGCTGACTCCCTTCAGCCTTCAGAGGTAATGGAAACAATATTTTTACATGAGAATCCTTCGGATATCTTAAGGGACCTATATTCTCTTTCCAAAGCTTTGTCTTCTTTAGTTTTTTTAACCATTCAGTTTATGACATGATTCCAAACAATTTCCTGTGTTGCGTCTTCTCTTCTAGACCAAATCTAGGTCAGCGTTTGTCTTAAAATATCATGCACAAAATTAAATATAATACCCATATGTGGTCTATTCTATACTGAATACAATGGCTGATTCTGTTCCATGAACTGGATTCTAAACTTTTTTTAAATTGCAGCTCAAATTGTCATTAGCTCAGCACTGTGCTTTGCTGTTAGAGCTGACTTTAGTGACTGGCTGTGGCAGTTGTTTTTCTCATATATTCCACCTTTAAACCACTCCTTCTGTATCTTCTTCACTGGGAAAGTCTCTTTTGTTTTGTGGAATAGCCTAAAAGTGCTCTTCATCCTCCATTCTTGCCTGTTTTTTTCTTCTGCTCTTTAAGAACTTTATGAAGTAATTGACTTTACTCCTGGGATTCTCCTATCCTGCTTTTCTCTCACTCTCCCTATAGTGTGGTTTTGTATGTTAAAGTATTAACAACAATTCAAAAGGACAAACTAAAGTATCTATTATTTTAGCCCAAAGCCAACTTCTCAGCATCAGCATCACAGTCAGTACCCACTCCTTGTTGCTGTAAACATGTAGAATGGCAGCCTCCTAAGCCATTTCTCAATGATCATATTGGCAGTTTGGCCTTTTCCCCCAATTTTCTATGCTGTGTTTGAACTAGAACCTAAACTTCTACTTGGACAAATCAAGCAGAATTAAACAGTCGCTTTGTGAAGAACACTGGTGTCAATACTTTTAAGAAATAATTAAGTCATAGAATCATGAATATTAGGAGAAAATATTGTCCAGTGTAACATTTTAATCAGAGTAGAATTTCCTCTTAACACATCCCTGCTATATAAGCTTCCAGCTGCTGCTTAAAGAAGAGTAATGTTAAGGATCTCACTGCTTTTTAGGGTGGCTCATTTAATTTTCAAGCGTTTCATGCTATGAGAATCTTCTTCAATATAAAGTAAATCGACTGCCTTTCCTGTAGCTTTCTACTTAACTTTCTAGTTATGCCTTCTGGTCCAAAAATGAATAAATCTCTTTCATAAGGACACCCCTAAAAATGCTTTAAAATTATGTATGATTTTACCATGAGTTTGTTTTTGGAGAAGCCATTTGGTAATATAATATAAAAATAATAATATTAGCTAGTATTAAATACCTTCCTAATTTTATTATGTGCATTTCCTTAACTATCACAGAACACCTATGAATATTTATGAAGAGCATAATTTTACAGAGGAACACCCAAGTAATGGTCACAGGAATTGAAGAGCTTGCAAGGGTCAAGCGCTAATCAGTGATGGAACTTGGTTTTAAACTCCATTATTTCCTGCAGCAGAGTCTACATCCTCAAATGTTTCACCATGCCATCTACAGTCTGATGTGCTTTCCAGATTTCTCACCATTCCACTTGATCTCCTTTAAATGACTTTGATTTGAGAGTGTGCATCTTCAAATATAGTGCTCAGAACTGGATGCAATGCTCACAATATCATGTGACCAGCACTAAGTCGATACAAGTTTATTCCTTTGAATTTGTCCTGGCGTTTGACAAGGATATTGTGGATATTAAAGATATTTATTTCACAAGCTTTACTGAATCAATGTTTCCTAGACCTACATTATCTATTTAATTTATCAGTTCCTAAATTATATTAATTTGGATAAATGGAAGTGACAATATAAACTATTTAATTTAGAAAGTAAATTGTGGAAAATATTTTGAATAAATTCATTTCCCATTATTTTCCAGTCCACCTATTGCTAAGAACTGCTGCAGATTAAAAGTCCTTTTAGACTTCCTCTAATATATTGAAATAATTTTGCAATATATGAAACCTATGAATTAATTGTATTTCATTTTATAATTTGTTAAAAGTAAGTTTACAGTCTTATTTGCATTATTAATTTGCTTTCAAATTCTATCTTCATATATGGTATGTCCTAAAAAGAAAACTATTGATCAAAGTTTGCAAAATTTCATGAGGATTAATGAAGCTGGTTAGGATGGAAGCACACAGAACTAATAGAAAGTCACTAAAGAAGTATTCGTAATGCCTGTCTTGCTATTTGACTTATTCTTTCTAGAGGAAATTTCTTGTTTTGTGTGATCTATATATGTATATATGCACACACAAATGTATACATAAACACACACATATGCATTGCTGGTTTATGCTCTGTGAGTAACTTTATGGTAGTGGAGCTTCATGGTAGCATATTGTAGTCATATCGAAATATAGTCCCAGGAGAACTTGAATTCACTTAAATTGGAGTTATGCACTGATGATTCCTGAGGAGGACATGACCTCTAGATTAGACAATCAAAGCTCTGTTATTTTTATCAGATCTGCCAGGAAAATCAATTACTTCCTTCAAAACAAATTAAACAACAAACCTTTCCCAAGGACGTTACACACAGTTGTTTATGGGTTTTGAGGCTGTTTTTATGTTCTAACATATCCACTTTCTTAAGAATACATCAAAAGAAATGAGCCCAAAAAATAAGATGTAATTTTATTAGACAGGTAGAAATTTAATATATAGCCAATAATTGATTAGGCATTTGTAATTAAGGGTAAGAAATTCAACAGGACCATGTTTAATATTCTCCTTTATTATTCCAAACCAGAAAATGTTGCATCACTTGTACTGTGGGCATTCATTCTATTAAAGAATTTTAGAGATCTACATAGTCAAAAAGTATTTTTCCCAACAGCAAGTATTATTTCCTTCGAATCCATAGCTTTATTGACATAATTATATATGTATATACCTACTCACTCTAAAATAATGCAATATCCCCTTCATAGCTCATCTGTAAGTTTATTTCATGTTGTTGGCCAAAACTCCACAGATAAAAGGAACTGACCCATGATTAAGAATTTTATTTAATAAAAAGAAAATAAAAACAACACAAATAATTATATTATCATAATTATATTATTAATATGTGGCTTACAAACATATCATTATAATTATAATATTGATAAACCATCATATGTTATTAATGGAAATTATATCTACATAAAATATGCTCTAAAGTGGGGCGTCTTAACTTCAAGCTGAGAGTTTGGAAACTACAGCATATACGTTATGTGTGGGAGAATGAAAAAAAAAAAACACCAGTCACATTATTTTGCTTAAAGAGATTCTTCATATCATTCTAGAAATCCCATGCTATATTTGGATGCTTTTTGTGGCAACATAATAAGCAAAATAACCTTGCTGCAAAACCTAAACCATTTTCTTTACATATCCGTAAGTACTAAACAGAAAAATTTGTAATGCTACTGCTGTTAGAGAATAGAGCAATGTGTATGTTCTGGTTGTGATATATTAAGGGACACAGACAACATGCAGCAAGACCATTTAAATGGAACAATAGAAAAGTGTCTATAAATCCATCTACACACACAAACACACATGTTTAGTTATATTTATGTTGTTATCTAAGTTCATTGTGTGCTGGTTAAGAACATACACTTTAGCACCAGAATGACCTGGATAGAAATCTTTGCTTAGGTTCTTAATGTCAAATTCTTTGTTCCTCATTTATAAAACTGGGGAAAGACTTCTTTATACTTGTAAAACACTTAAAAACATGTTTGCACATAGTAAAAATGGATGATGTTAGTTATATTATTAGAAACTCTGATATTAAGTGGGTTAATGCATCTGACATGATGAGCACAATGTTTGACCCACGGTTGATTTTTTTTGTTATCTTTACATCACTTGTGCCTAACATTGTCAGTGTGGAGTGTGGCTTCATTTTGCACTGGCTTCAACATTCGGTGACAATGGACACTGCTTGAAAATGAAGGTTCTCACGCTTATGATGTGATCTTGAACATAGCACTGATCATGATGATAAATACCTGTGTTTTGCTGTCTCAGAATATTCTAAAGTATGCACTGTCATATTTGACTTCAAAATATCCTCTGAGAAACCAGAGAAATTGTGTAAAATATGTGTTAGGTTAACACGTTTGTGGAATACCTGTTGAGTAAAAGCATCCCAAGGTACAGTACTTCCTCTGAAGGGATTTAAAATCAGGATGGAGATGCAAGGTATGAATACATAAACATAATGAAGTATTATTGAAATCTCAGACTTGACATGAGACATTAATGGAAAAAGCAATTATATCACTGAGGTCACATAAAGATTTATTCTTTGGTATTAAGTCCTAACTTCTCTTGCTAGCAAGCAAAGTTAATTTTTGTAGAAGTACTTGAACAGAAAGTTCTGTGATTCTGACTTCTGGGAAACTGTAGGTCTTGTATTTCTTTGTCATTGCTATTTTATTTCTATTCCTTCTTTTGAATAGTGAGTTGGTTGGGAGGAGGGGATTGCATTAGCTCCACACTGAGTATAAATTCAACACTTCCACTGGATTTCCAGAGCTCAGTGTTGCTCTGGCTTGTCCTATATCTTAAGGCTTATCAAGAAAGTCTTTGTTAACTGCCAGATGGTATGTTGACCTAAGGAAATAAGCCTTTAGCCACTGGAAATCCATTGTGCCAAGTACAACATTCCTAAATGAATATGGAACCAGAGATCATTGTTTTTGGTCACCTACTCACCCAGAAGAGTTGCTGAATCCTGGCATTCCAGTAGGGCTAAGGATGGTGAAATGAGAAGGGACTCAGGAGACCACTTGAAAGTATTTTTCCCTACTTAATTAAGTAATAAAGATTTTCCAGGAAACTCTACTTCCTTAGAGTGTGAAGTTTCTATAAAGTTGCTGACATAAGATATTGAGAAAGAATGTGCTTGGGACTTTATTTTCAAAATATATCCAAACCATATCACCACCTTTCCCACTTCATTCCTGACCCCAGCCATCTTGATCTCTCCTGAGCCACTTGAAATAGTCTCCTACTCGCTCTCTGTGTAGTCATTTCTACAACACTGAGCTCTGGAAATCCAGTGGAAGCATTGAATTTATACTCAGTGTGGAGCTAATTCAAGTCCTTCCTCCCAACCAACTCACTATTCAAAAGAAGGAATAGAAATGAAATAGCAATGATAATGAAATACAAGACTCACAGTTCCCCAGAAGTCAGATGACCCCAGAAGGCCGATGAATTGTTTTAAAATACAAGTCAGGTTGTGACACTCTTCTGCTGAAAACCCTGTAGTGGCTCTTCATCTCACTCTAAATAAAAGCCAGAATCCCTACAATGGCCCAGAATCACTAACTGACATTATTTCTCTATCTTATCACCACTTTGCCTTTCTGTTGCTCTGCTCCCACAATCCTGCCTTCCTTATTGAGCTTTGAATGTAGGACTTGCTTCCACTCAGGGCCTTCAAACATACTGGGGATTGCTGCGAATATATTGTGGAAACACTTTCATGGCATCCAGCATCCAGATATCCACGCAGCTCTGCTCTGCTCTTCCCCTCCTCTGGGCATTCGATAAAATGATACTTTCTCAGTGAGGCTTTCTTTGGACACTCTATATGAAATTAGAACACTCCCTAACACTAACAGTCCATGAACTCCCCTGTAATTTATTTTCTCCATTCTTATCAACAGATATTATCATACAGTTTATTTATTTATGTATTATCTGCCTCCTGCTATTGGAATATAAGCTCTATGAATATACGCATATTTTTCTGTTATGTTCATTGCTAACTCAAACCTAGAAGAATGTCTGGTCCAGAGAAGAAACTCAATAAATATTTATGTTTAAACTGAAGGCAGATAGAAATATTTATTAAGTTTAATAAATAGAATGAATTGTGCTGCGGACTGATGTTTTTCTAAACTCTAACATCAAGGTGTCACCAGTGACTTTAACCTTGAAGTCTTATAGAAACATCTGACGAAGCTCCTTTCCTCCAGCCAGTGAGATCCAAATAGACCATAGCCTAGAGGTCCAACTTGGCATGGCATTTTGGTTCTAATTCTGTGTTTCCTGGCTATTACTTTTTTTCTAATATTGAAACCAGCTACCTTGGGCTGGCTTTAAGGAGCATTCTTATGTGTGTTGCCAGAAGGCAGATTAGAATAAATAAATTTTCATTTCACTCTAAGCATTTGGTAGAACTTTTAAGTATACCAAATTAATAAGGATAATTTATTGATTTATTTGCCTTATATATATGTAACAGTCAAATTGATTTACCATAAAACTTCAAGAGAAAAGGAAATAAAAGAATGTAATTTCTATTTAAGGTATATGTAACTGGTCTGATTTAAAAAAAGGTTGCAAACTAGCTGTCAAAGTTAAAGTCTCATATAAATAAAGACAAAAATCCTTATGTACTTTTAATTTCTTATGAAACACTGCCATATTTGTAGTTGGTCTGAAGAGAAAAAAATTATTTCCCTCAAGTAAGAAATAACAAATGAGGAATAGAATGCATATGATGTGTATTTTTGTTTCAAAAACAGAAAAATCAAGTGACGGAAAGCAATGTGATGTATTTTACATTCCAATTAGTATAGAATCTTATTAAATTAGGAAAAAGTTCCTATTTTCATTATGAATGACAATCATTTATCATCAAAAATTATATTTACATACTTTCATCACAATTTTTGAATTTCTAATCTGCTTGTTTTTATTTCTCACACTCCATTCATGACTAATCTCTTTCTAGCATGGCTTTGGATAATACTGACTTTGTCTTCTTTAAAACAAAATTAAGACAGTAAAATGTGTCAGTGACCATTCACTGGTGCTCTATCAAGTGACAGGGACTATGCTACGTACTTTACACAGTGGATCACTGAAAATTCTATAAGGTAGATATTTCTATTCTCATTTCACAAATGCAAAAATTAAGATTTGGAGATTACAAATTTATGAAAGAGAGGGTATAGCTGCAACTTTAATCAATCTATGGTTCTAAAGCCTATAGTAGTTTCCTCAAACAAACATATTGTTTGGATGAAAATTGTACCACACGTACATGAGAGGAAAGGGTAAATGAAAATAATATGTATTAAATGTTTACTACATGCAAGCTTGCGTTCAATGCTTTTGTTATTTCAAAAATCCTTTGTCAAAGCACTAAGAGTGCATCATTCCATTTTACAGATGAAAACACTGAGTTAGAAAGAGGTTACGTATAAGCAACTATCAAGGAGTTTAACTGGAAGTCCTACTCAGATCTGCTGCCTCCAAATGGCATACCAGTTACACCACACTAAAGTTGGGTGAAGTATGGAATAACAAGTATGCCTAAGATATGAGTATAAATCACTTTCATTGAATTAAGGCTACCTTTGTTCTGTCTCAGAGAGAAATGATGAAGATGAAAATATAAGTGAAATCAGAATCTTTTGTAATTATTTTTCTAATACTTTTTCTATAAATGATGATTCAGTCTTTATTGATACACTTAGAAACTGATTATCTCTCTTATGTTTTTTACTATTCTTGAGTATGTTCTCAATTCAAATCATTTACAAATGAGAAATTAATGAGAAAATATTTTCTGTCCTTATTTGTCTTAATTTAATTATATTTAAATTGGAATCTTATCCCAAAACATGTAAAGGCTACATTTATAGAGAAGAAAGAAGAGGAAAGAGAAAAAATCTTTAAGTTGAAAAGTCTTTATGCGTGTTGAAAATAAACTTATGATACTTATTTTTTTGTCTTTCAAATAGAAGAAAGTGTACAATTAAAGTCAGATATAGAGATTCAAAATGGCTGCCATTGTAACTGAGTATTTTCAGAGTGACTGAGATGCTGTATTTCATAACCCTGTAATGAAAGACCCTGTGCCTAGAATAATCCTTATGCATGGGAGAGCAGAGCTAAGGTTGCTGTGGGAGTATTCACTCTGGAATTTATGATTTATTTGGGATTAAAATCAGATATTTAACATTTCTGCAAATACAGCAATCAGGTTGAATTCACTTGGAAACGGGAGTGAATTAGAAATACCCTCTGAACTTCTGTCTTCCAGTTAAAAACAATGAAACTGACATGGCTTTAATGACCCTAGCTTTGTCTGGATCCCACACAAACTACCCATGTCCTGTTCCACATAGTCACTCACTTCAACCATGTCCTGGACCTTCTATTTTCAAGAGAAATAAGTATAAAGGAGAGAAAAACAATCAAGATTTCCTGAGAGGCTTTTATAATTCCTGCAGATTCTGTGAGGTGGAGGAGATAACTTTTTCTTTCCTCAGAATTTTTATTTACAGACCAAGGATGAAGAGTCAACTGACATTTCTGTATTATAGCTAGTTCCAAAGGAAAACCTAACTGTCACAAATTTTTACGCATGCATCAAAAATATTAAATACAAGAAAATTGATAAATGGATAAAAATGTGACTACCTACAGCCTCTCTGCAGTTTTATAACTTCTTTACAAAGTAAATATTGTTTTCAGAACATTCAACAATATTAGTGAAAACTCAGTGTATGTGGACCTAGTTCAAATGCACTAATTGGTAAAGCTAATTTTTTTTAATGTTGTAAAACCCAGTGTTGGCTCACACTGCATTCATCTGCCTTTGTTCAGTCACCACATCACATTTTCTATGTGGAACTTTAAAGCAAAAACTTCTCAGCTAGGGAACTGCTGAATGAGCTCCTTACTTATCCATAAAAGACTGTGCCTCACTTAATGACTACATTTTGTGAGGGCAAAGGGGGTTATTGTTAATTTTTCCCCACTAAGTTCTATGGACATTTTTGGAGTTTTAAAGAGCAGAAAACAGTATAGATGTGTATTTACATCAATAATAGAAGCTGAATCACATACTGAACTCTATCCTAAAGTTTTCAAATTGTGGCTTTTGATTTCTCCTAAATAAAAGACGAATGTACCAAGTGAAAGAGGGACTAGGAATTGTGACAGAGCCGAGGAATATCTTAATGTACATATTAACATACTATCATGTTATCTTACATATAGAATATGTATTTAAAATAAGTCTTGACTTGGCATATTATCCAAGAACTAAACTTCAGGCTTGGCTTTTAGAAATATACAAGTTTAGGGCCAGGTGCGGTGGCTCACGCCTGTAATCCCAGCACTTTGGGAGGCCAAGGTGGGCAGATCACAAGGTCAAGAGCTCGAGACCATCCTGGCCAACATGGTGAAACCCCGTCTCTACTAAAAATACAAAAATTAGCTGGACGTGGTGGTGCGCGGCTGTAGTCCCAACTACTCGGGAGGCTGAGGCAGGAGAATCGCTTGAACCTGGGAGGTGGAGTTTGCAGTGGGCCGAGATTGCACCACTGCACTCCAGCCTGGCAACACAGCGAGACTCCATCTCTTAAAAAAAAAAAAAAAAATACAAGTTTAGATGCAGAAAGGATGCTTTTTCCTGGGTCACTGGGTCACTTATGCAGATACTGGCAAATGCTGAGATTACAAGATAAGCCTTCTAATTTTCATTTAAATAGTGGCAGATGCAAAGATTACAAGCTAGGTCTTCTAATTTTCATTCAATCTTGGATTTACTTTCTATGCAAAGCCATACTTTTCATGTTAGATGCAAAATAAGCTATGGACGTGTGACATGTTTGACTATTTTTGTTCTTGGAACATTCTTTTAAATTTTGTGTAGTCCTCTTTTCTTACATTTTTTTCTCTCCCAGAAAGACAATAATTGAGTTCGGATTCTCATACATTACTCTGCCCAAGGGGCAAAAAGTCAATAAAGACATTACTATAATTCCAGCCTTAAGAACAGTAGTCACATGCTATACAGTGTGCACTGCTAGCCAGGTATCCTAAGGTTCACAGATTAAAAGAGTGATAAGCTGCAAGCATATCAGGGAACCAACCACAAGACATAAGATTGGGAAATGGCGAAGGGAAGCTGACATTTCCAAAGAAAAATTGATGTGTCCAAACTTCTCTTTTTACAAAGAAAAAGTTAATGTTTCACAATATGAATAGGAGAAGTAGCCAAGCTGCTGCTACACAGTGGCACTGTGCTCTCTCCAGGACCTCACCTGACTGCAATCCTGCCACTGCGTGCCATTTTGTGACATGTAACATGGCAGATGTTTTATTTTTCTTAATACTTTGCTTCTAGTTATTGCTGCCAGTTTGATTTGTTAGGCCTGCTAGTTTGGGTTTAGAAACAAGAATGAAAGAAAATAATTCATATCTCTGTAATGGCCCATTTGGTTTCTTTCCTTCAGGACTGTCAACCCTGGGAACTGAGTCCTTTACAATCACCTGCAGTCTCAGGTCCACCCCAACCTTGGTAACAAATCTTATTTATTGATAAGCAGGCTGGCAAATCTTTCCAACTTATAAGGAAGAATACAACAGCCACATTTATGTTATTGTATTATGCATTCTCTCTGGTTGAAACGTTTGTTTGTGAAACCAAATTAAGATCAGAAGATTGTGAATGCCTCTTCACAGTGAAAGTAATTAGATGATTAATTAAAAGATAGTGACAAATAATATATAACAATCATCATTAAATACTCATATGTAAAAGAGAAATTATATTTAATTGTAAAAGAAAATAGAGCATATGGGATCAGTGCTCACCAACCTACTAATGGGATGTTGGTGAGATCTTCTGGCTGGAGATTTAGGGCATTAAAGAACCATTCCAACTATCAAAAGATCTTACCAGGTAGAGTCTTTTCTTTGTGAAGACAAGCTGACTCTCCAAGGAAAAGACTTGTCATCACAGAGGCAGGAAAGGGAATCAGACTTGACTTCCCTTTACCCACAACCTCTAATTGCCAAGTGTCCTATAATCTTTTCATGAAGTAAAACCTAGCTTAGGCAGTTGAATTTCAGAAGACATGTTTGGTTCTTTAATTAAAATATGAATGACATTCAACCTCAGAGTACTTCATCAGGGAATGCTTTACTTTTGCAAGCATTTCTTAGTTGTCTTTTCTTTTTACATTTGCTTATAAAGTAATCATCTTCCAAATCCTTTTGGATTTTGATTATAAATGCAAATTTAATGATATTTCTATTTGTGTCATCTTCCAAAGAGATCAAAAAAGTTTATGAATACATCCTGATATGCATTCCTCTTGTCTCTAATAAATAACTTTGCAGACACATGGCCGCTCTGCCTTCATCAAAAGCAGAAGATAGAGAACAAAGGATCAGATGACATCCCAAGGTCACAGTGTATCCAAAAGGTCACAGATTGATTAACTGCAGGTTCCTTAGGCATTTCAATTTGGGAGTTGGGGTGCTGTTTGTAGTCATGTTAGTTTCAAAGTAACATATAGGTATTAAGTAATATTTTAAAGTTTACTTCTAGAACTCAAACATGAGAGAATATGGGCAGCAATTACTTTTTAAGCAAGTAGGGAATGCAAGAGAACTCTTAACAAGGTTTTTAAAACTGAAGGATTTGTCTGTAACAGCATTTTTTTAAACCACCATTATAATCCCAGCTCTTTATTTGTTTCTAATTTCTTATTCTTTTTGTATAGATCCTGAGACAAATATTGAAGTTACATGATTTCTACAATCTAGTAAAGCAAATTCCCAGAATCCCAAGTTAATCACTAGTTTCCCCAAGAGGCAATTCTTCTGGAATGAGATGATGGCATGAAACTGGTGAGAAAAGTGAAAATTGCTTTTTCTCATTTACAGAGTGAAAAGCCTAGCCATCCACAGACCAATGCAAATGCAGCAAAGCTTTCTCAAGTCTTTTGGCCCTGGAAATAGTTAAGCCGTTAATCCTTATTATTTTATTTGTACCTTACCCCTATAAGAAATGTAAACGCTTAGTGTACAAGTTTCTTTCCACCCTCCATGACAGATGTTTGTATCTTAAGCTGAGTATTATTTTTTATGTATCCTTTTTATATTATAATGAATAGAAAATTTCCAAATTGCCTCATTACATAGACAATAATTCAAATTACAGGCCCAATGTTGCAAAGTTGATAATGTCATCTTCATACTTGAAGGAAAGGAGATTATTCCTATTACACTATTATTAAACATTTAATGTAAATTTTACCATAGAAAAGAAGATAATCATGATAGAAAAAATTCATATTTGCATGATACACTTCGAACCTATTTATAGTTTCTCTTTGCTCAGTTAGAGAAATTTCAGGTATGTTTGAATTGGTGACACAGATTTTTTCCCTCTAGCCCTTTATCATTGCTATCTAGAGAGGATAATGTCTCACACACAAAAATTAAGTGGGTGGTTGCTATCTCTGAATGATTCCCGCCTGTCAGCCCATGGGCAAGAAAGGAGTTGAATTTAACCTTAGTCTCCAAGGATAGAGATAGATTAGATAAATGGGAAACAGCCACTCCTCCCATTTCCTGTTCATGGGATGTAGGAAATGACTAAAATAGGGACCAAAGGAAATTTATTGCTTAAACATATCAAGGATTAGTTCCTCAGTACTTTAAAAATGAGTCCCAAACTCTATTGTAAGAAAGAACTCTAGTTTCAAAGATAGATTAAATAATTCTGCAATTTTTGAAAAACAATTTCTCCCAATTTATTTTTGTCATTGAATAAACATAAAATGATATTTATTCAATGAAAACCTGTTATTTTGTTTTCTCAGAGTAAATAAAATTATTAAAATGCTGCTGACTCATTCCCCTGGCTGCTGGGCAATTTGCTGTTTGCAGTTAATAAAAAACACTTCTAACACTGACTCCAAAATTTTGTTACAGGACAGTGTTGTTTTAAATTATAAACTGAGAATACATACATGTGGATTTGTGTAGATTTTTGCATACCTAGCATGTCATACTGCATTAAACATAGATACTTGATATTTTGATTTTTTAAAAATAGTAATAGTAAAGAAAGAATAAAGGAGGATATAGTAGAATAATTCTTAAATGTACAAACCAGTGAGGTTGAAGCTCTTCTTGCATATTCATAAGTCCACGGGTTTCTTATGGGCATTCAAATAGCAATAATGTCAAAAAATGGATACACACTTCTAGGACACATGGACAATTGAAGGAGGGCCAGCATCTTCACTCATTACTAATCAGGAGACCTTGCATTTGCCTCAAGAGCGACAGAGCTGACAGTGGTTCCTTGCCTAGAACCTGCCTCCTTGTACCAGATCTATAAATAATTTTTCTACAGCAAAAGAGGGAGAATTTGAGCCCCTTCTTTATTTAAAAAAAGATTAAGTACTGATTTTTTATCATTTTTAGGATTCTTTATATTCCCCCTCCCATATTATCATCATTACTCTTTTGTGTATCAATCCCTTCTCTTAAGTATTTTTATTTTCAGCACAGGCCAGTAAGCAGCACATGAAGCAAGAAATGATATGATAATGACTGATAAATCATAATGGATGAAAAAGTTAGATTTGTTCTCAGTTATGTATTTATTTTTAGAAAACAAGAAAGGTGAATGGAAAGCCCTATCTGTATGGTGGCAATGAAGTGAAGAGATTAATTTTACTGTGTGATTTTTCAATCTTATCACTCTATAGTCCTCACACATACATAAGGTGAGGGGATGTCATTTAATGTGTTGTAAGTGAAAGCAGTCACAGTCATATTAGAGTAACTCATGCTTAGAAATAAAAACAAATTTTATGAAAACACCATATCTGCCTGTCATGTTTCACTCACAGTTTACAGAAGCAAGGTGGGAGAGTCCAGTGATTGAAATCATTCTCCTAGGTGTATGATTTCCACAAGGGTAAACAGAGAAGTGAGAGGATTGTACTTGCATATATTTTCCTTATTTATTTACAAGTATGCTGTTAAAGTAGGTCACTGAGTAATATGTTTACCTTTAGTTTAAAATCCAATGCAGTACTATGATGCTTCTGTAGAGTTCTTGACTCCTTACCCATCCAAACAACTACTGTCTGGGCGAAGAGGGTTGGTGAGAGCCAGAGAAAATTCTGGAATTACTGTCAGTCTCTTACACTGATGGACAGGAGCATTTAAAAAAATCTCTTTTCAGCAGGTGTGGAGTTCAAAGTGACAATACTCAGAAGTCTGGGCCCTCTCGTTGTCCCTTCTTTTTCTCTCCCCAGTTCCCCATCTTTCTCTGTTTCCTATAATTTTTTCTGAATGCGGTACTGTTGTTCTGATTCTGGACTGTTGGCCAGGAGTGGTGAAGGGGCATGTAACTTATTTTAAGAATCTTTCGTTGCTAGCTGGGAAAGAAACTTGGCAGAAACTAAGAGGACTCATTGAGGGTCCACAAATTAAAAATGTATTCACATTATGAATCTGCCAGGAAATAAATAGAAATATCATTAATCACATGAAAATGTGTGCCACTTCATTCATAAGATGGAATGTAAATCAATGTGAGATTCAAGTTCTTATCATTCAGATAGGAAAAGATTAAGTGTGCAATATTGCCCAATATTGAAGTGGATGGGGAAATGTCTATAGGTACATTCCCTTTGAATAACCATTTGGCACCATTCATCAAAATTTAAAGTGCACAAACTCTTGGTCCAAAAATTCCATTTGTAAGAACATTTTAAAAATAAGCATACTCATTCAAGCAGGCAAAGATGAATGCAAAAGTGTTTAATACAACATTTTTATATTAATAAAAAATTTGAAAAAACTTTATTGTCCGTCAACAAGGGGCTAGATAAATGAAGTATACCATAACCATTCAATGGGTTTTATGACAGATTGTAATATAACAGACCAATAGTTTTCATTATGAAAAAATGTCAAAGCATAATGAGTGAAAGCAAGATCTATACACACATAAAGAGAGCTATATAAGCACAAGAAAATGTTGACAGAAGCTGCCTCTGGTGAGTTAAGAGTGAAGGTCAGGAGTATTTGATTTTTTTTATCCTGAGCACATATAAATTTTCCATTAAAATCATGTTTTTAAATAAAGAAAATTGGAAACAAGGAAATAGTAATTTTTTTTCTTATGGTCAAAGCTTATTTTTTTAAAAAATAGTTTTTGAATTGGATTATTGTCATAAAACTTTTTTTAACCAAGAAATTCATAATTTCAGTTTGCGTAATACATTTCATACTAAACTTTTTTGCAGCCATAATAAGTAGTGAAATAATGCAACCTACAGGAGCTCCAGGCCAGGCTGGTGAGCCTCCTGGAGACAGCGGCTTTGCTGAAGCCTCAGGCACTGCTCATAACTACCTCCCCAAAGAGAGCTGGACTTCTTGTAAAAAAAAAAAAAAAAAAAAAAAAAAAAAACTCTCTCAGCCACCATGACACAATGTTTCAAAACCCCACTTTCTTCAGTGCATAACCAAGGCCATATTATATGCTTACAAAATGCCATATACACTTTATTCCATACTTCAGTGTCTTTCAGTTATTTGCCTACTGAGGAAAAAAAAATATTGAGTAAACACTTTTATTAAATGGGAATATCTGTTTTTTCTCCCTGTTCAGGAAAATATAAACATCATTAATGAAAGTGATATCAAACATTTATAAAAGGCTCTCAGGTTCAAGGTAGTGACATACAATTGACAAAATATTTCTAGGGATCACTTGATCCACTAATGATAGAAAACTCCTTTGAAGTGGAAACATTAGCAACTTCTAACATTATTCAGCTACTTAAGTCAGAAACTAAATATCTCTTGAGTACACATGAACACAAAGAGGGAAACAATAGACACTGGGACTTACTTCAAGGTGGAGGGTGAGAGGAGGATGAGGATAAAAAAAACTACCCATTGGGTACTACCTGGGTGATGAAATCATTTGTATACCAAACCTGAGCCACATGCAACTTACCCATGTAACAAACCTGCACATGTACCCCCTGAACCTAAAATAATGATTGGAAGAAAAAAAAAAATAAAGTAAATATCCCATACTTCTGTAACCTCACTAAGGTATCTATAGTTTATATAGTTGATATTTTTTAAAAGATGAGATCTCTCTATATAGATATTATATGTTTATGTCTCATATATATTTATAGATCTATAAATATATATAAGTTATATATATATTACTTATATCTATAAATATATATATATTACTTATATATATAAGTATATATATAAATATATATACTTATATATAAATATATATCTAAATATATATACTTATATATATAAATATATATAAATATATATACTTATATATATAAATATATATAAATATATATACTTATATATAAATATATATAAATATATATACTTATATATAAATATATATATTTATATATATTTAAATATAATTAAATATAAATATAAATAAATATTAAATATATATATTTAAATATAATTAAATATAAATATATATATCTATAAATATATAGGTATAACATATATATTTATAGATATCAATATATAGATCTATATATTGATATCTATAAATATATATAAGTATATATATTTATAGATCTATAAATATATATAAGTATATATATTTCTATAGAGAGAGATATGTAAATATATACCTATATCTATATCTATATATATATAGAGAGAGAGAGAGAGAGAAAGAGAAAGGGAGAGAAAGAAAGAGATTCTGTGATTTGTCAGGCAGAAGAACCAGAGAAAGAGAGTGACAGAAAGGAAAAGAGAAGAACCAGAGAAAGAGAGTGACAGAAAGGAAAAGAGAAGAACAAGAGAAAGAGAAAGAAAGGGGAGAGAAAAGGAGAAACAGAGAGGGGAATCCAGAGGAAAAATGATATATTTAAATAAATAAAGAGAAGAAAAGAGGGAATCAATCCTTGCGAAAAAGAAAGCAGAGCTATATTGACAATGTTTACTGGATTTTTAAAAAATCATTTGCTCAGAGGCCTTAATGTTATAACTTTAAAAAGGGAAACCTAGCAGAGTTTCTCTGAGAGTATATGGAGTCAGGATGACATTGACAATGTCAAGAGGTCCTCCATTTACCTTCCCCACCTTTTATTGAATACTAATTATGTCATCTTAATCGTTAAATATCAAAGAGTGAAATTAAAAGACAGAAACTCAACCTTGTTTAAGTAGCAAGAGTAGCCAAGGCTCAGAGTGTGCTGGTAGGTATACATTGTGTAACCTACACACCCAAACTTGCAATGAATATTTTGGGTGTCTCCTACATACAAGACATTGTGCTGTGTTCTGGGCACACAGTGGTTAAAAGAAGAAATAAAGCTCCTGTGCTCAAGGTTCTTTAGTACTACAATTTCTTAGCTGCTAGGCAAAGGCAATGTTTCCTCCTAAACAATAATCAGGGAAATCTTACAGGCAGTCTTTCTTCTGTCAACCATTTTTTATTATCCTGGCAAAGTTAGAGAATCCTTACCTGTGCTGATTTGTTGCCCTGATTTCAAGTTGCTTCTCTCCAACACTAAAATTTCCAGAATAGACCAGGATAGACGATAGACCTATCCTTCTTTACATTTTCTTCATGTATGACTGTAAAGTATTAAACATTTTGCCGAAGTGTAATACACATGTTTTATTTTATTTTTATTTAGACATATCTAAACCCAGAACATTCAGTGAGCCTTTGGCAGCAATAGCACACTACCCCGTTTCCAGATGGACAAAGCCATATGCTTCAAGGGCCCCCTATGGTGTCAATCTTCCTCTGCTCTACAATGCAAACCAATTCAACACTAAAATCCAACACTAAAATTTGTGTTGGTAAAATCAGTGTTGATTCTAAATCTGGTTGCTTTGAAGTAGCGGGGAACATTACATTCTTTCTAGGGTTGATAAGTGCAACTTCACATCCAGCACACTAGCAGTCTAAAAATATGCTTATCTGGATTTAGATAATTTTAGGATTTTTCCCCAAGAAATTTTGGAGGCTGTTGACAGTTTAGAGAAAATGGAGTAGGAGAAGCTTTCCAAAGTCAAAAAATGTGTACCATGAAAAGTTACCAATTCACCTGGTTGAAATTCTTTACTCACACTCTATCACCTCTTATTCCTTTAACTACTTACTGTCTGCCATCACACGTTTATAATAACTTTTATTTCAAAATGACTTTACTTTTATATTATTTATAAATGTTTGTAAATACTATTTTTTGGCCACTATTGGCCAACTACTTGTTTAATAGACTCAATTCTCTTCTGGAAGAAACTGCTCAAGGAGAAAAAAGTGGTTTATTCTGTAAGGTGTGGTAAAATCATTACTCTCACTGTACCAAGAATGCAATTAAGAATAGTAATAAAGTTTCCACACTCTACAGTATTTTTCTTTCTGCACAGGTTGACTCAGGTTGCAAATGTGGGTCTTTTTGTGTGAGATAAACCATATGTGGGAGAAGGGACCATTTGCTAGAGTTCTCCAGAGGACTGCAATTTAGAATATTCAGTCAGGAAATTGCTGTATGTGTGTGAAATTGAAATGTAGGATTGGGACTGAGCCTTTAATGTAAAAAGTATGTGTCCAAAATTCTAACTAAGAGAGCTTTAAATATGATCCACTATTCATCTTGGTAAACTCTTCCGTTTTTAAAATAGGAGATTAGTTTACTTTAAAAAATTTTTTTTCACCTCAATAAACATTTGTTGAACATTTAGCAGAAACAAGATTGTCCACTTCATTCAGCAGGGGATTAAAATTAACAATGTTTGGAAATGATTATTTTTGGGACATATTAAATTAAATATATGATTAAGATTTTTAAAATTAAACAACTTTTTGGTACTGGAAGCTAAGGTACTCACTGGGAGAAACAGACAATATACCGACATTTCTGTGTCTCTTCCAAAAGACAAGCTGTGTTGATTGCTAAAAGAGGAGCATATAAATGTTACAGGAGAAAAGAAGTGTAAGGTATTGATTTGATTAGAAATATGCAGGATGAATTGAATAGAGGGTACAATTTCAACAACTGTAAAGATATTCTAGGCAGTGACCTCCAAAGAAAGACTTGTGAAAATTTTTAATTAAGTAAAACTGAGATAAATTAGAAAGAAAATATTAAAATAACAATATTTTTGGCCTAATGATTTTAAGTTTTCATTTTTTCTAATGTGCCAAGTATTTGTGTTCAGTAACATGTCATGTTTAATTTTGTGTCAACTTGACTGAATCACAGGATGCCCAGATATTTCATCAAGCTTTATTCCAACTGTGTCTGTGAGAATGATTTTGGATGAGATTAACTTTTGAATCAGTAAACTGAGTAAGCAGATTTCCTTCCCCAATGTGAGTGGACCTCCTCTAATCAGCTGAAGACCTAAATACAACAAAAAGGCTGACACACTTAGGAATAAAAGGGAATTCCTTCTGCCTGACTGCATGAGCTAGAATATTGGCATTTTCTAGCCTTTGAACTTGGGCTGCAACATTGGTTCTTGGGTCTTCAGCCTACCAGCTTTCAGACTGGAACTTATACCTTTGGGTTCTCAAGCATTTGTCTTCAAACTGGATCTATACTATAGGTTCTCCTTGGTATCCAGCTTGCTGATTGCAGATCTTGGAACATCTCAGCCATCATAATTGCAATGGCATGAGCCAATTTCTTATAATAAATTTATTTCTCATGTTCTATCCCTATATGTATATATATATGGATAGAAAGAAAGATAAATGTAAAATGTAAAATACTTTTTTACTTTTACTTTACATATATGTATATATAGATAAACTTATATATACCCATATATAAATTTATATAAATTTTATTACATTTATTTATTATATAGATATATGAAATCTTCTTTATTTTGTTTATATAGAGAACCCTAATACAGATTGTGATGCTAGGAATGGTTCTAGAGGGACAGAACTTTAAGAATGTGTTTTTCTGAATTGGTCCTGGGTTTTCTAGAATTGGCTCTATAATTAGATTAGATTTAAAAATACTAAAGACTCTATTTCCAGTAACAAAGAGAGCTCTGATGATAGTCCAACATGTTACCATTGGTCACTCTTAATCAACCACTTAAAAAAGGCAAGAACCTGTTTGACTGCGTATATAATACTTTCAAACATTTTTGGCAAACTAATGAGTATAACAAGATTAGCTTGTTGCTACTATCGTCTCTGAATAAGGCGGGAAAAGAAAAGGATGGGCTCATAAATGGCCTGAAAGCTTCTATATCTGCCCTCAAGGAGACCCTTATTTACCGTAGCTACAAGGCTAATATTGCTGAAAATCAACTATAGAATCTCATCCTGCAATTGGCTGAATTACAACTTAAGTGTAATTCTCAGCCTCTTTGAGTGTCTACTGTTAATGCAAAGGTTCTTATGGGAGAAAAGGCCAAGAAAAAGTCTCTAGAACTGCCTATGCCTGGGAAAATAGTAAACTGTAACAATATTGCATTTCTGGGGTGATTATAGAGATTAGTGCCATGATCAAGGACTTGGAAGATGCAGAGCTGATGATTCCCATCATATCCCCATTTGATTAGCCTATTTGACATGCATAAAACAGATGGATCTTGGAGAATGTCAGTGAATTATTGTAAGCTTCACTAAGTGGTGACTCCAATTACAACTGTGGTAGCAGCTGTGGTTTTATTGCTTGAGGAAATTAACACATCCTCTGGAACCTGGTATGCAATTATTAATCTGGCAAATGCTTTTTTCCCATCACTGCCAATAAGACCCATCAGAACTACTTTGCTTTTATTGTTTTATTTTATTTTTACATTTTATTTTTGTGGATACATAGTAGATGTACATATTGGATATACGAGATATTTTGATGTAGGCATGCAATGTGAAATAAGTATATCATGGAGAATATGGTACACATCCCTCCAATCATTGATTATTTCAGTTACGAACAATCCAATTACACTCTTTAAGTTATTTTTAAATGTACAATTAAGTTATTATTGACTATAGTCACGCTGTTGTGCTATCAAGTACTAGGTCTTTTCATTCTTTCTATTTATATTTTTTAGTACCCATTAACCATCCCTGCCTGACCATGCACCCTCCACCTTCCCACTATGTTTCTCAGCCTCTGATAACCATCTTTCTACTCTCTATGTCCATGAGTTCAATTGTTTTGATTTTTATATCCCACAGATAAGTAAGAATATGGGAGCAGATATCTCTTTGATATACTGATTTCTTTTCTTTTGGATATATAACCAGAAGTAGGATTGCTGGATAATATGGTACCTCTCTTTTTATTTTTTTGAGGATCCCTCAAACTGTTCTCCACAGTGGTTGTACTAATTTACATTCCCAACAATAGTGTATAAGGGTTCCCTTTTCACCAAATCCTTGCCAGCATTTCTTATTGCCTGTCTTTTCAGTATAAACTATTTTAACTGGTATGAGAAGATATCTCACTGTAGTTTTGATTTGCATTTCTCTGATGATCAGTGATGTTGAGCTGATTTTCATATGCTTTTTTGCAATTTGTGTGACTACTTTTGAGAAATATCTCCTCAAATATTTTGTCCTTTTGGGATTGGATTTTTAGATTTTTTTTCTGCAGAGTTGTTTGAGCTCCTTATGTATTCTGGTTATTAATCTCTTGTCAGATGGGTAGTTTGGAAGTATTTTGTCCCATTCTGTGGGTTGTCTCTTAGCTTTGTTGATTGTATGCTTTGCTGTGCAGGAGGTTTTTAACTTGATATGATCTCATTTGTCTATTTTTGCTTTGGTTGTTTATGCTTGTGGGTTGTTGCTCAAGAAATTTTTGCACAGACCAATGTCCTGGAGAAATTCCCCAATGTTTTCTTGTAGTAGTAACATACTTTTAGATCTTAGATTTAAGTCTTATACCATTTTGATTTGATTTTTGTATCTGGTGATAGATAGGGGTCTAATTCCATTCTTCTGCATATGGATATTCAGTTTTCCCACCATCATTTATTCAAGAAACTGCCTTTTCTGAAGCGTATGTTCTTGGCAACTTTGTCAAAAATGAGTTCACTATAGGTATGTGGATTTGTTTCTGGGTTCTCTATTCTGTTTCATTGGTCTATGTGTTTGTTTTTATGCCAGTATCATGCTGTTTTGGTCACTATAGCTCTGCAGCATAATTTGAAGTCAGGTAATGCAGTTCCTCCAGCTTTATTTATTTATTTATTTAGGCTTAGGATAGCTTTGGCTATTCTGGGTCATTTGTGATTCCTTATAAATTTTAGATTTCTTTTTCTATTTCTGTGAAGAAGGTCATTGGTATTTTTATAGAGATTTCATTGGATCTGTAGATTACTTCAGGTAGTATGGGCATTTTAACATGAACATGGAATATTTTTCTATGTTTGGGTGTGTCCTCTTCAACATCTTTCATCAGTGTTTTATAGTTTTCATTATAGAGATCTTTCACTGTTTTAGTTAATTCCTAGGTATTTAATTTCATGTGCAGCTATTGCAAATGGGATTATGTTTTATTTCTTTTTCACATTGTTCACTGTTGGCATATAGAAATGCTACTAATTTTTGGATGTTGATTTTGTATCCTGCAACTTTCCTGAGTTTGCTTATCAGTTTTAATAGTTTCCTTGTGGAGGCTTTAAGTTTTTTCAAATATAAGATCATATCATCTGCAGACAAGGAGAATTCAACTTCTTCCTTTCTGATTTGTATGTCCTTTATATGCTTCTCTTCTCTGATTGCTCTAGCTGGGACTTCCAGTACTATGTTGAATAACAGTGGTGACAATGGGCATCCTTGTTGTGTTTCCAATCTTAGAGGAAAGGATTTCCTTTCCTTTCTCTTCTTTTTGTTTCTTTTTCTTTTCTTTTCGTTTCTTTCTTTTCTTTCCTTTTCTTTTTTTTGAATGGAGTCTTGCTCTGTCGCCCAGGCTGGAGTGCAGTGGCAGGATCTCAGCTCACTGCAACCTCCGCCTCCTAGGATCAAGCGATACTCTCTCTTTTTTAGTTTGTTTGGCTCAAAGTTTGTCAATTTTGCTTAATTTTTCAAAAAGACAACTTTTTGTTTCATTGAACTTTTATATATATATTTTCCATTTCAATTTCTTTTATTTCTGCTCTGATTGTTATTATTTCTTTTCTTCTACTACTTTTGGATTTTGTTTGCTCTTGCTTTTCTACCTCTTTAAGATGCACCATTAGATTGTTTATTGGAAGTTTTTCCTTGTTTTTAATATACACACTTATAGCTATAAAATTCCATCTGAGCACTGCTTTTGCTGTATCCCATATGTTTTGGCATATTGTGTTTTTATTATCATTTGTTCCAACAAATTTTTCAATATCCCTCTTAGTTTGTTCAGTGACGCACTGGTCTTTCAGGAGCATATTGTTTAACTTCTAGGTATTCGTATAGCTTCCAAAGTTCTTGTTATTAATTTCTAGTTTTATTCCATTGTAGTCAGAAAAGATGCTTGATATTATTTCAATTTTTGTATGTTTTAATACTTGTTTTGTGACCTAACATATGGTCAATTTTTGGGAATGCTCTATGTGCTGAGGAAAAGAGTGTGTATACTGCAGCCATTGGATAAAATGCTCCGTAAATATTTATTAGGTGCATTTGGTATATAGTGAAGATTAAGTCTGATAGATTATATATATGTGTGTACGTATATACATATGTATGTATATATAAAATCTGTCCAATGCTGAAGTTGGGGTGTTGAAAACTGCAGATATTATTGTATTAGGGCCTGTTTCTCTCTTTAGCACTAATAATGTTTGCTTTACATATCTGGTTGCTCCAGTGTTGGTGCATATGTATTTAAACTTGTTATATCCTCTTGCTGAATTGACTCCTTTATTATTATATAGTGATCTTCTTTATCTCTTATAGTTTTTGTCTTGAAATCTATTTTGACTGATATAAGTATAGTAACTCCTCCTCTTTTTTGGTTTCCATTGGCATAGAATATCTCATTCCAATCCTTTATTTTCAGTCTTTGTGTTTATTTAGAGGTGAATTGTGTTTCTTATAAAGAACAAATTAATTGGTATTTTTTAAATCCATTCAGCCAGTCTATGTCTTTTGATTGGAGAGTTTATTTCATTTATATTTAATGTTATTATTGATAAGCAAAATCTTACTCCTGCCATTTGTTAAGTGTTTACTGGCTGTTTTGTGGTCTTCTCTTTCTTCTTTTCTTTCTTCCTGTCTTCATTTAGTGAAGGTCATTTCTCTCTGGTGAAATAATTTAGTTTCCTGCTTTTTATTTTTTGTGTATCCATTGTATGTTTTTTGGTTGGATGTTACCATGAGGCTTTCAAATACTGTCTTCTAACCCATTACTTTAACCTGATAACAACTTAACACTATTTGAATAAACAAAAAAGCAAGCAAGCAAAAAGAAAACCAAAAAAAGCTCTATTCCTTAACTTCGTCCTGTTACTTTTCATCTTTTTGCTTTTTCTATTTATATATAATTGTCCCACCTATGTCTTGAAAATTTGTTGTAGTTTTTATTTTTGACTGGTGTGTGGTTTAGTCTTTTTGCTTAGGATAAGAGTAGTTTTAGGATAAGAGTAGTTTTACACCACAGTGACAATGTTATAATATTCTGTGTTTTTCTGTGTACTTACTATTACTGGTGAGTTTTGTATATTCAGGTGATTATTTATGGTTCATGAATGTCCTTTTATTTCTAATTGAAGTACTCCCTTTAGCTTTTCTTTTAGGACAGGTCTGGTGTTGAAGTAATCCCTGTGCTTTTGTTTGTCTGGGAAAGTCTTTGTTTCTCATGTTTGAAGGGTATTTTCACCAGATATACTACTCTAGAGTAAAGATTTTTTTCCTTCGGCACTTTAAATATGTCATGCTATTCTCTTGGCCTGTAAGGTTTCCATTGAAAAGTCTGCTGCCAGACATATTGGAGCTCCATTTGTGTTATTTGGTTTTATTTTTTTTCCCCCTTGCTGCTTTTAGGATCCTTTCTTTATCTTTGACCTTTGAGAGTTTGATTATTAAATGTCTTGAGGTAGTCCTCTTTGGGTTAAATCTCCTTGATGTTATATAATCTTCTTCTACTTGGTTATTGATACCTTTTTCTAGATTTGGGAAGTTCTTTGTTATTATCTTTTTGAATAAACTTTCTACACCTATTTCTTTCTGTACCTCCTCTTAGAAGCCAGTAACTCTTAGATTCGCCCTTTTGAGGCACTTTTCTAGATCCTGTAGGCATGCTTGTTTTTTATTCGTTTTGTTTTGTTTTGTTTTGTCTCCTCTGACTGTGTATTTTCAAATAACCTGTCTTCAGTCTCACTAATTCTTTCTTCTGTTTGGTCAATTCTTCTACTAAAGTACTCAGATGCATTCTTCAGTATGACAATTGCATTTTTTTTCCAATTCCAGAATTCCTTCTTGATTCTTTTTAATTATTTCAATCTTTTTGTTAAGTTTTTCTGATAGGATTCTGATTTCCTTTCCTGTGTTATCTTGAATTTCTTTGAGTTTTTTCAACAGAGCTATTTGAATTCTCCATCCGAAAGGTCACATATCTGCTTTTCAGGATTGGTACCTGCTTTTTTAGTTAGTTCATTTGTTGAGATCTTGTTTTCCTGGATGGTGTTGATGCTAGTAGATGTTCTTGAGTGTCTGAGCATTGAAGAGTTAGGTATTTATTGTAGCCTTCACTGTCTCAGCTTATTTGTAGCCATCCTTTTTGTAAAGGCTTTCTAGATATTTGAAAGAACCTGGGTGTTGTAATCTAAGCTGTATCTACTTTAGGGGGCACCCTAAACCCAGTAATCCTGTGCTTCTTGCAGACTCATAGAGGTATTACCTTGATGGCCTTAAAGAAGATCGAGGAGAATTCTCTGGGTTACCAGGCAGATACTCTTGTTCACTTCCCTTACTTTATCACAAATATACAGAGTCTCTTTCTCTGTCTCTTCTGAGCCACCTGAAGCTGGGGGTAGAGTGACACTAGCAGCCCTGTGGCCACCACTATGACTGTGCTGGGTCTGACTTAAAGCCAGCACAGTGTTGGGTCTTGCCCAAGGCCTGTTGTAACCATTCCCTGGCTACTGCCTATGTTTGCTTAAGGCCCTGGGGCTCTACAACCAGAAGGTGACAAAGCCAGTCAAGCCTGTAGCCTTCTCTTCAGGATGGTGAGATCACCTAGCCCCCAGGTGAGTCCAGAGGTATTGTTTGGGAGTCAGGGAGTAGAGTGGAAAGAAAACCTGAGAAGTCTACCTGGTGTTCTAGTGTATTGTGGCTGAGCTGGCACTCAAACTACAAGATGCAGTCCTTCTCACTCTTCCCTCCTCTTCCCAAGGCAGAGGAGCCTCCCCTTTTAGCCACCACCACCCTAGGCCATGAGAGTACTGCCAGACTACCAGCTAATGTTCCATTAAGGTGCAAGGACTGTTAAGTCAGCTTACGGTGAATGCTACCTCATCTGGGACTCACCCTTCAGGGCAATGGGCTCTCCTCTGAGCTGGGGCAGGTCCAGAAATGCAGTCCAAGAGTCAAGTCCTGGAATCTGGGACTCAAAACTCACTTGGTGCTCTGCACTGCCTGTGTCCATGCTAGTACCTGAAACCAGCAAGTCTCAGAGTCTCACCCAAGGCCCTCGATGTAGTACCTGGGTATTGCTGCTGGTTACTGAGGGCCCAAGGACTCTTCAGTTAGCAGGTGATGAATGCTGCCAGGACTAGCTTTGTTCCTTCAAGGCAGCATGTTCCCTTCTGGTCCAGGTTGTGTCTAAAAATGTCATCTGGGAGCTAAGTCCTCTAAAATGGGGGCCTCATGATTCTAGCTAGTGCTCTATTCTACCGTGGCTGAGCTGGTATCCAAGATGCAGGGCAAAATCCTTTCCACTCCTTCTTCTCTGCTCCTCAAGTGGAGGGAAAGGGTCTCTTTTGGAGTCATGGGCTATGCAGCCTGTGGTTAGGGAAGTGGTAATTTCAACACTCTCTTGGCTGACCCAGCTGTCATCTCAATATGTCACATGCCCCCGGTAATCCATTGTCTCTGGGCCCAGTTTAACACTAGGTCTTGCCTAAGTGTTGAAGTCAATATGGCCTAGACTGCCTTTCAAATTTATTTGGAGACACAGTGCGCTGTACCTCTCTGTGACAAGGTTTACAGGCACTCAAATTCCTACTGCTAGGGTCGGTGATTTCCATGTGGCTAGGACTGATTTAAATACTCCCTCCATGGGTGCGAGCCAGCTGAGTTTGATCTGATTTTGCTTTCTGCTCTAACCAAACAGCACTGAGTTCACTCCTTCACAATTACTGTGTCCTCCCTCCTCCAGCATCTAGAGAAGCTCTAGGCACCATACTGCTGCTGCGAGGGGTAGCGGAGAGGTGGTGTTTGCAATTCATTACTTTTTTCTAACTCTTCAGTGCCTTTTTCAGTGATAGGAAGTTAAAACCAGGTACTATGAGTGCTCACTTGAATTTTGGTCCTTTTGAAGGTGTGTGTGTGTGTGTGTGTGTGTGTGTAGATAGTTGTTAATTTGGTGTCCTTGCAGGCAGGACTATTGGTGGGGCCTTCTATTCCACCATCTTGCTCTGCCTCCTTCCAGTTTGCTTTTAGCTAGTAAGGCCAGCTATACATTTTCACGATCCTGCTTCAGGTGTATATAAGCTCTCCAGCCTTATGTCATAATTTAGTTGCAGAGATTTTTTTCCTCAGCTTTATTGGGGCATAATTAAAGTTTACAAGAATCCTGAACACCTTTTCATTTCACAAGGTATCACACTGGCCCATTACATTGGTTACATTATGCTGACTGGACCTAATGAGCAAGAAGTGGTGACTACTCTAGACTTATTAGTGAGAAATTTGTTTGTGAAAATGTGGGAAATAAATTCAACCAAGCTTCAGGGGCCTCCTACCTCAGTGAAATTTCTAGGGGCCCATTGGTGTGGGGAATTTAGAGATATCCCATCTAAAGTGAAAGATAAGTTGTTGCATTTGGCTCCTCCCACAACCAAAAGTGAGGCACAATGCCCAGTGAGCCTCTTTGGATTTTGGAAGTGTGATAGTCAATTTTATATGTCAACTTGACCAGCATAAGGAATACTAAATAGCTGCTAAGGTATTATTTCTGAGTGTAACTATGAGGGTGTTTACAGAAGCGATTAGCATTTAAATTGGTAGACTGAATAAAAAATATTGCCCTCACCAATGTGAGAAGGTATCATCTAATATATCAATAAACAGCATAGAAAAGTAAGGTAGACAAAGGATAAATTTGCCCTCTCTGCTTCAGCTGTGACATTCATCTTCTCTGGCCCTTGTATGTCAGCACTCCTTGTTCTCAGTCCTTCGGACTCAGCCTGAGATGTACCTCATTGGCTCCCTTGGTTCTCAGGCTGTCTGGTTAGGACTGGAACTGCACCATCAGGTTTCCAGGTCCTCCAGCTCACAGATGGAAGATCATGGGACTTCTCAGCCTCCAAGAACCCAATTCATTATAAATCTTTCTTCATATCTCTCTGTATTTTATTGATTCTGTTTCTCTGGAGAACCCTGAATAATATAGGAGACAGCATATTCCTCATTTGGGTGTGTTACTCCAGCCCACTTGCTTAATGATGTAAAAAGCTGCTAGTTTTGAGTGGGACCCAGAATAAGAGAAGGCTTTGCAACATATCCAGCCTTCTATGCAAGCTGCTTTGTCACTTGAGCCATATGATGCAATAGATCCAATAGTGCTTGAAGTGTCGGTGGCAGATGCACTTTGAAGCTTTGGCAGACCCCTACAGGTCAATCGCAGTGCAGAATCTTAGGATTTTGAAGGAAAGTACTGACATTCTTTGCAGATAACTACTCCCATTTTGAGTAACAGCTCTTATCCTACTAGTGGGCCTTAGTAGAGACTGAACACTCAACTATGGGCCAGCAAGTTTCCATGTGACCTGAGCTGTACATCATGGAATGGATATTATCTCACTTACTGAACCACAATATTGGACTTGCATGGAAGCACTCCATCATCAAATGGTAGTGGTATGTACATGACTGCGTTTGAGCACGCCCTAAAAGTACAAGTAAATTACATGAAGAAGTGGCACAAATACCCATGTTTCTCACTCCTGCTGCACTATATCCTCTCTCCTGGCCTGCACCTATGGCCTCATGGAAAGTTCCCCATGACCAGTTGACAGAGAAAGAAAAGACTTGAGCTGAGTTTACAAATGGTTCTGTACAATATGCAGTACCACCCAAAAGTAGATAGCTGCCGAACCGAAGGACAGCAATGAAGGAAAATTTCCCCAGAGTTCAGAACTTCAAGCAGTGCACCCAGTTCTTCACTTTGCTTGGAAGAAGAAATGGTCAGATATGTAATTATATACTTATTTGTGGCTGCGGCAATGATTTGTCTGTAGAGTTAGGAAATTTAAAGGAACATGATTGGAAAATTGATGACAAATAATTTTAAGAAAGAGATATGTGGCCAGACCTCTCCGAATGGGCAAAAACCTTGTATCCCATATCAATGCTTACCAAAGGGGGACTTCAGCAAAGGAGGATTTTAATACTCAAATAAATAAGATGACCTGTTCTGCTGTTCTGTGGATGTCATTCAGCCTCTTTTCATAGCCACTGCTGACATCACCCAGTGGTCTGATGAATAAAGTAGCTATGCTGTCAGAGGTGGAGGTTGTGCATAGGATTAGCAATGCAGACTTCTATTCACCAAATCCAAGCTGGATATGGCCACCACTGAGTGCCCAATCTGCGGCAGCAGAGACCAATGCCAAGTCTCTGATATGGCACCATTCCCCAAGGTTACCAGCCAGCTACCCAGTGGCAGGTTGATTACATTGGAACACTTCCATCATGCAAGCACAGTGTTTTGTTCTTATGGGAATAGACACTTCGGATACAGATTTGCCTTCCCTGCTTCTGCCAAAACTACCATTCATGGATTTACAGAATGCTTTATCCACCATCATGATATTGCACAGAGTATTGATTGTGGTCAAGGAACTCACTTCAAAGTAAAAGAAGTGTGGTGATGGACCCATACTTATGGAATTCACCGGTCTTACCATATCCCCCACCATCCTGAAGCAGCTGGCTTGATAGAAACATAAAATGGCCTTTTAAACACTCAGTTATAGCTTCATCTAGGTGGCAATATCTTACAAAAATGGGACAAAGTTCTCCAGAAATCTGTGTATGCTCTGCATCAGCATCTAATATAAGGTACTCTTTCTACCACAGTCAAAATTTATGGGTCCTGGAATCAAGGAGTGGAAATGGGAGAAGCATCACTCACTATTACTCTAATGGCCCACTTGCAATTTTTTTGCTTCCTGTTCCTGCAACCTTATACTACACTTGCCTAAAATCCTAGCTCCAAAGGGAGAAATACATTTGCCAAAGCACACAAAAATGATTCAATGGAATTGAAAGATAAGTCTGCCACCCTGCCACTCTGGGCTTTTAATGCCTCTAAATCAACAGGCAAAGAAGGGAGTTAGTGTGCTGGCTGGGGTTATTGATCCTGACTAGCAAGGGGAAATTAGACAACTATTCCACAATTTAAGTAAGGAAGAGTATATATAAAACCCCTCAGGGTGTCTCTAGTGTTACCATGCGTTTAATTAAGGTCAATGAAAAACTATGACAACCCAATCTGGGAAAGACTAGTAATAACACAGACCTTTCAAGAATGAAGGATTGTGTAACCCTACCAGGTAAAGAACCATGGCCAGCTCAAGTGCTTGCAGAGGCAGAGGGAATACAGAATGGGTAGTAGAAGAAAGTAGTTATAAATACCATCTACAGCCACATAACCAGTAAGAGAAATGAGGACTAAAATTTCCACGAGTATCTCCTTCTTACTGCGTTAAAAATGTTGTGTGTGTGTATGTGTGTAGTGAATCTCTGTTTTCTTTCCTCTCTTATTCCTTTATCATAAGGAATAAGATACATATAATACAATAAGATGTGTTCATTTTATGTCATAGTATTTTTAAATCATTGTTAATTTATATTATAGTATTTACATTGCAGAATATCAAAAAGAGTAAATATTATTGTATTAGTCTGTTCTCACACTGCTATGAAGAAATACCCAAGACTGAGTAATTTATAAAGGAAAGAGGCTTAATTGACTCACAGTTCCACAGGGCAGAAAAGCCTCAGGAAACTTACAATCATGGCAGAAGGGGAAGCAAACTCGTCCTTTTCACTGGTGGCAGCAAGGAGAAGTGCAGGTGAAGTGGGAGAAAAGCCCTTTATAAAACCATCAGGTCTTGTGAGAACGCACTCACTATCACGAGAAGAGCATGGAGGTTACCACTCCCATGATTCAATTACCTCCCACCGGGTCCTTCCCATGACACATGGAGATTATGGGAACTACAATTCAAGATGAGATTTGGATGGGGACACAGCCAAACTATATCAATTACTCAAGAAATTTATTCCTTTTTCTGGGGCATGTTTGCATTTTCTGTTGTATACATAATGATTGTATCATGTTAGGTAGAAATAAGTTTTTAATCTATATTTGGGGAGTAAATATGATTTAAGAAGATGAGTATGAGTATCAGGTTGACAAAAGGGCAAACTTTTTATGGTTAATTTTATGTGTCAACTTGACTAGGCCATGAAATCCCCAAATATTTGGAAGAACTTTTTTCATTAACATGAAAATGAACATTTAAGTTGTTTACAATTTGGCTATTACAAATAATGCTGCTATGAACATTCATGTGTAAGTCTTTGAATGAAACTCATGCTTTTTTTTTTCTCTTGGGTAAATACCTGAGGACACATTGTACTTTGTAAGTACAAATGAAAAATTAAAAAGAACTAATTGAACACATGCAATCCCTTATACATACCACCACCACAACAACAAACATAAAAACAAAGCAAGGATTTAAATGCCAGATTTCTGGTATGATCATAGATGATGTGCCTGTAAAAATCTAGACATTGTGCTGTCTACACTTCACCTTATGAAATAATTACAATCCTCTACAAAACACTTATAAAATTGCCAAGTAGTCTACTTCAAGTTTCTTTGATATATCCACATTGTACGCTTATCTTAAATCCTGGTGTACAGGGGCTAGCGATACCCAAGTTGTCGTTTCTACAGTTAATGCTAAAAGAAATTCTTGTCTTTTTTACTTGCTAACTACCTGCAGATGGGTTCCGGTTCCTTGTCTGAACAAACGTAATTAGAAAGATTTTGCTGTTGACACACAATCACGGTGGGTGACAGTGGTTGAGATTTCACTGTGTATAGGGCAACAAATGACATTGTCTCCATTATTGAGCCACCTTATAGTAATGCTTTAACAATAAGCATAACAGTCATAAAAGATTTATATGTAGAAGTAAGAGAAGATGTATTTATGTTGTTGAGATAAGAGATGTGATAACGTATTCCAGGTAAAACAAAAAAAAGCAATCATGAAGCAAAAAGCAAAAGGAAAGGATATGTTTGGAAACCTGAGTACTTGGATCTTTCTGTAACATGTGATAATCAGATGGAATAGTGGGAAAGAAGGCTGATCATATGTAGAGAATACATTGAAGAGATTCTTACTAATTCTGTCAAGGAATTGTGATGGTATTTTTTTATGCTGAGGGATCTATCCAGTACAGGTATTGATGAACTGATGGCAAACAAGCCTTATCTGGTCCCATGTGCTCATGCCCACATATCTTCAATTACCGTTAAGTGTTTAATTTATGGTTCAGAAATAAAATTCAGAAAAAAATTATATTTTTTTGTTTTGAGTGTGACTGTTAAAATTAAAATATGTAAGATTGGTTTCACACAATTGAAGTAGATGGGGGAGTTTTGCTATACATTTAATCTGCTTTTGTGACTCAGAAGTCCTTGAAATCATTCTTCACTCAGGAATTAGTTTTATCTTTTTATATAATGTCACTTTTATGTCAAAAACTGTCTGACGGATGCCCAGATTCTAACAATTTTCATGATGCATAATACCCTGCAAAAGTTGTCCTCGTACCTTTCTTTCTAAGGGTTTCACATACCTACACGTTATGGGCTCAATTTATTTTCCACCACATTTGTGGAAAGAAGTGGAAAACCACTTCCTTCTATTTATTAAACATGCCAAACTTTTTCCATTCAGACATTTTGCTTTACTCTTCTGAAAATAGTTCTCCCTTAGATTTTCACATGACTGGCTACTTCTAGACATTCAGAGAGGCTTTCCTTAATCACTCCATCAAATGTAGCACAACTTTGTCATTCTCCATCAAATCACATTATGAGATTTTCCACAGTACTTATAATTTATGAAATCATTTATTCCTTTATTTTTAGCTCTATGAAAACAGGAACCATATACTTTATGTAAATTGACTAGACCATTGAAGCATAATTTTGAATAAATGAGCTAGTGAATGACTGATTGGGAAGGAATTAAATAAAGGTTTAGAAAGTAAAAATTCCAGTATGTGAGTGCAGTAGTTTCTAAATTAAAGTCTGTATTAATTATTTAATGCAGGTAAATGAATAGGATTCAATTAAAATTAAAGAAATGCTACATAATTTATTTAACATTTAAACAACTCAAAATTATTTGGGATAAACTAAGATGTTGTCAGGAAAATAGAATTTAGAAGCAAAAATAATTTTTAAAAAGTAATTAATACATAATAGATAATGCAGGGGAAGAATCATAAACAGAGTAAATTTAAAAATAGTCTTTGAGTCCTCAATTCTGGATAACAGGGGAGATAATTATGTCATTAAAAGAGAGTGGGAAAATCAAGAGGGTGCATGTTTGGATGAGAAAATGCAGACAGTATCGAACATATTGAGTGTGATGGCTCAGTGGGATACTCAGGTGAAGATGCCTCATGTGCAGCTGAAAATATGGGCTTGATGGTTGGGGACATAGATTTGGAGGCACAGATCTGAAAATCACCCTCGCAGAGGTGATAATTGAAGCTGTGGGAGCTCATAAGTTCATGTAGAGTATTTTATCTTTACTCCTCCTAGACAGTCACAGAAGTAATCCCCGTGGAAAGACTTTCCTTGAGAATTTATAGCTTTTTATGTGCATCGATAACAAAGTTTTTATTTAAAATGTGAAATTCCTGACCTATTGACATGGGAATTTGACAGTGATTTTTTTCCCAGATATTTCACAAGTGTTTGGCCTTTTATGGGGAGGCGGGGCAGGTCAGGGGAGTTGTTTCACCTTCGGCTTTTGTTTTTTACTTTCATTCTAATTTCTGGGGTGCATGTGCAGGTTTGTTATAAAGGTAAACTCATGTGATGGGGGTTTGTTGTACAGATTATTTCATCACCCAGATATTAAGCCTAGTATCCATTAATTATTTTTCCTGATCCTCTTCTTCCTCCCACCCTCCACACTCTGATAGGTCCCAGTGTCTGTTGTTCCCCTCTATGTGTCCATGTATTCTCATCATTTAGCTCCTACTTATAAGTGAGAATAGGAGGCATTCGGTTTTCTGTTCCTGTGTTAGTGTGTAAAGGATAATGGCCTCCAGTTCCATCCATGTCCCTGCAAAGGACATGATCTCATTCTTTTTTATGGCTGCATAGAGTTCCATGGTATATATGTATCACATTTTCTTTACTGAGTCTATTATTAATGAGTATTTAGGTTGATTCCATGTCTTCGCTATTGTGAATAGGTCTGCAATGAACATACATGTGCATGTGTCTTTATAATAGAATGATTTATATTCCTTTGGGTATATACCCAGTAATGGGATTGCTGGGTTGAACGGCAGTTCTGTTTTTAGGTCTTTGAAGAATCGCCACACTGTTTTCCACAATGGTTGAACTAATTTACACCCTAACCAACAGTGTATAAGCATTTCTTTTTCTCCACAATCTCACCAGCATCTGTTACTTTTTATTTATTTATTCATTTATATTTTTTGAGACGGAGTCTTGCTCTGTCTCCAGGCTGGAGTGCAGTGGCGCGCAATCTCGGCACAGTGCAATCTCTGCCTCCCGGGTTCAAGTGATTCCCCTGCCTCAGCCTCCTGAGTAGCTGGGATTACAGGCATGCACCACCACACCTGGCTATTTTTGGATTTTTAGTAGAGATGGGGTTTCACCATGTTGGCAAGGCTGTTCTCAAACTCCTGACCTCAAGTGATGGGCCCACCTTGGCCTCCTAAAGTGCTGGGATTACAGACGTGAACCACTGTACCCAGCCAATTTTTGACTTTTTAATAATAGCCATTCTGACTGCTGTGAGATGATATCTCATTGTGTTTTTCATAATTATTTATTATTTTGTTTGGGTTTTTTTTTGAGACAGAGTCTCATTCTGTTACCCAGGCTGGAGTGCAGTGGCCCAATCTTGGCTCAATGCAACCTCCTGGGCTCAAGCGATTCTCATACCTCAGACTCCCGAGTAGCTGGGATTACAGGCATGCACCACCACACCAGCTAATTTTTTTTGTTTTGTACTTTTAGTAAAGATAGGGTTTCATCATCTTTGCCAGGCTCGTCTCAAACTCCTGGCCTCAAGTGATTTGCTCGCCTCAGCCTCCCAAAGTGCTGGGATTACAGGCATGAGCCACCGTGCCCTCATTGTGATTTTGATTTGCACTTGTCTAATGATCTGTGATGCTGAGTTGCTTTTTTTTAAATGATTGTTGGTTGCATGTATGTCTTCTTTTGAAAAGTGTCTGTTCATGTCTTTTGCCCACTTTTTAATGAGATTGTTTATTTTTTTTCTTGTAAATTTACTTCTTATAGATGCTGGAAATTAGATCTTTGTCAGATAGTTTGCAAAAATTTTCTCCCGTTCTGGAGGTTTTCTGTTCACTCTGTTGATAGTTTTCTTTGTTGTGCAGAGGCTTCTTAGTTTAATGAGATCTCATTTGTCACTTTTTGCTTTTGCTGCAATTGCTTTTGGCATCTTCATCACAAACTCTTTGCCCATTCCTGTGTCTGAAATGATATTGTCTAGGCCGTCTTCCAGGGTTTTAATGGTTTTGAGTTTTACATTTAAGTCTTTAATGCATCTTGAGTTAATTTTTAAATATGGTGTAAGGAAGGGATCCAGTTTCAATCTTCTGCATATGGCTAGCCAGTTATCCTAGCACCATTTATTGAATAGGGAATCCTTTCCCCATTGGCTGTTTTTATTAGGTTTGTCAAAGATCAGATATTTGTAGGTGTGTGGCCTTGTTTCTGGGTTCTCTATTCTGTTCCACTGGCCTATGTGCCTGTTTTTGTACCAGTACCATACCATTTTCATTACTATAGCTCTGTAGGATAGTTCAAAGTCTGGTAGTGGGATGACTTCAGCTTTGTTCTTTTGCTTAGGATTACCTTGGCAATTCAAACACTTTTTTAGTTCCATACGAATTTTAAAATAGTTTTTTGCTAGTTCTGTGAAGAATCTCAATGGTAGTTTCATAGGAATAGCATTGAATTTATAAACTGTCTTGGGCAGTATGGCCATTTTAACAATATTGATTCTTCCTATCCATGTACATGGAATGTTTTTTCATTTGTTTGTGTCAGTGTTTTGTAATTCTCATTGTAGAGATCTTTCACCTACCTGATTAGCTGTATTCCAAGGTATTTTATTCTTTTGTGGTAATTGTGAATGGGATTGTGTTCCTGATTTGACTTTTGGCTTGATTGTTATTAGTGTATAGGAATCTTGGTGATTTTTGCGCATTGATTTTGTATCTTGAGATTTTGCTGAAGTTGTTTATCAGCTTAAGAAGCTTTTGGGTGGAGACTATGCGGTTTTCTTGATATTGAATCATGTCGTCTACACACACAGATAGTTTGACTTCCCCTCTTCCTATTTGGGTGCCTTTATTTCTTTCTCTTGCCTGATTGCTCTGGCCAGGACTTCCAATCCTATGTTGAATAAGAGTGGGGAGAGAGGGCATCTTTGTCTTGTGCTGGTTTTCTAGGGAAATGCTTCCAACTTTTGCCCATTCAGTATGATGTCAGTTATTGGTTTGTCATAGATGGCTGTTATTATTTTGAGGTATGTTCCTTCAATGCCTAGTTTATTGAGAGTTTTTAACAGGCAAGGGTGTTGAATTTTAACAAAAGCCTTTTCTGCATCTATTGAGATAATCATGCTTGTGATTTTTGTCTTTAGTTTTGTTTATGTAATTATGGGTAATCGCTAGGGATTTACCTACTCCATAACATTTCACAACACTTCAAAAAGAAATCTACAACACAATTGCGTTTCTGCATGACTTCACTGTCTTCCTGATGTGTCACCTCAATGTTACCCTCCTGCATCTGATCATCTGCAGTTTCACTAAAGTCTCCTATCATTATACATATGGCTTATGTAAATCACATTTATGGATTTGCTTTTGTGAACCACATTTATTGATTTGCTTATGTTGAACCAACCTTGCATCCCAGGGATAGGCCTACTTGATTGTGGTGGATAAGCTTTTTGATGTGCTGCTGATGTGATGAACTTAAACAAATTCACAAGAAAAAACAAAGAACTCCATCAAAAAGTGGGTGAAGGATATGAACAGACACCTCTCAAAAGAAGATATTTATGCAGCCAACAAACATATGAAAAAAAGCTTATTACCACTGGTCATTAGAGAAATGCAAATCCAACCCACAATGAGATACCACCTCACACCAGTTAGAATGGCAGTCACTAAAAAGTCAGGAAACAACAGATGCTGGAGAGGATATGGAGAAATAGGAATGCTTTTGCACTGTTGGTGGGAGTGTAAATTAGTTCAACCATTGTGGAAGACAGTGTGGTGATTCCTCAAGGATCGAGAACCAGAAATACCGTTTGACCCAGCAATCTCATTACTGGGTATATGCCCAAAGGATTATAAATTGTTTTACTGTAAAGACACATGCACACATATGTTTATTGTGGCACTATTCACAATAGCATAGACTTGGAACCAACCCACATGTCCATCAATAATAGACTGGATTAAGAAAATGTGGCATATATACACCATGGAATACTATGCAGCAATAAAAAAAGAATGAGTTCACGTCCTTTGCAGGGACAAGGATGCAGCTGGAAACCATCATTCTCAGCAAACTAACACAAGAACAGAAAACCAAACACCGCATGTTCTCACTTATAAGTGGGGGCTGAACAATGAGAACACAAGGACACAGGGAAGAGAACATCATAAACCGGGGCTTGTCGGGGGGTGGGGGGCTAAGGGAGGAATAGCATTAGGAGAAATACCTAATGTAGATGACAGGTTGATGGGTGCAGCAAACCACCACAGCACATGTATACCTATGTAACAAACCTGCACGTTCTGCACATGTACCCCAGAATGAAATGCATGTAGAAGCACTACACTGTCTATGCCCATAGTATCTATATGGTCTTTTCTTAAATTAAGCATTTGAAATAAAAGCATAGCAAGGAGGTCTTAAAACACTAATCTATCTTTTAGTAAAAGGGTTATTAAAGGTTTGTAGAAATTTCACCTCATGGTCAACTTGGTTAGGATTAGATGGAATGATCTATAAGGTTTCATTTAAACAAATTAGGATTAATATTAACAAACTAATACAAGGGCAAAATTTGGCTTTAAACAGGATTTTCATGTCATAGTAAAGGCTAATAAAAGATTTTTGCCTTTTAAGTCATCATTTTGGCTAAATAATTTATGGCAATCTGGGAATTGTTCTTCCTAATGCCTGCCTTTTTGGATAGTTCAGAGGGCCCCTGAAACATTCAAAAAAGAGATAAACAGGATTATTTGACATGTTTAGTCATATGAGATTGCCAAAATGATGTCCAATCCTCTTTAAGTTATATTTTGGTGAATAATACTAATATATGTTCAAAAATTGTATGGGATTTCTAAAATTCTAATCTCTAAGTATATGCTATCAATTATAATAACTAAAGGTAAAGTTATTGTAAACCTCAGATATAAACAAACTTCTTGGTCAGTCATGTTTTAACTGTAAATATCTTGGAAATGTTGCAATTCACAGACAATTGTTGTCTTGCTTTGTTCCTTCTCAAAAGATGGTTTATAATCAAGCTACATTAAGGACTTTAATATAGGTGTTCTCTATATTGAGAACACCTTTAATAAGGTGTTCTCTATATTGAGAACACCTTTAATAAGGTGTTCTCAAATGCACGTTTTTAATAGCTTTGAAGATTGTAACATTGGAATACAGAAAGAATGTATGAAACTTCTAAAGAACTGACATGTTCACAAATACCAAGCAAAACAAGAGTTAACTAAATGGACTGCACTCAGAAAGAAAAGCAAGCCTTTTAACTTTTGCTCAGAATACTGCTGATCCTGGTTTTGTTTTGAGTCAAGGAAACTTATTTTTAACTATTTATGGCCTTTAATAAGGTGTACTCCTATGAACAAAATTTGGAGCATGTTTATTTCTCTGCCTGGTTCCTCTAGAATTTGGAAACTATCTGTGAGTACTCTTAACTTATGGCAATATAGTTGTTTGCATCAGTGCAATAAGAATCCATTTTTCTTTGTCAATGGGACACAATTGGAAAAACTGGTTATTTTGCCAAGGCTTTAACTGAGGTGTGTTTCCCTTTAAGGAATCAAGTTGGACATGCAGAGCCAATAAAAGCCCCTTGGGGAGAACTGGCCTCATACCTTGTCTACACAGTCTCTGCACAGGGTTCTTCACCTGTGATCAGTAAAGAATTTCACTTTCTAACAGGTCTAGGAGCTCTGAGTTTATCTTGGGACCTCAAGAGGAGAGGATCACCCAATTCATAGGTATTTGAGGATGTAAACCCATGGCTGGGCTCGGCTTTAATAGTCTTACCTGAAATTCCTTATGAAATAGAGTTTCATCAAAGCCAATCCAAAAGGCCTATGTAGAAATAACCATTCTTGCTGCACTTTATGCAAATAATCAGGCTAAGTATAAGACTACAGTTTATTCATAATTTGTTTTTACCAAAAATGACGACTAGAGAGAAAAATTGTGCTCCAAAGCTTATCATACATTTGTTATTAAGCCTTAGTCTCACTAATTATTTTCAGGCTTTTCATCTACATTTTAGACTAACCCTGATTATTCCTGTCAATCAAGAAGTGATCTCCTGCAGCTTAGAAGAAAAAATAAGGGATGGGTGATGTAAAAGTTTGGATCAATATACTTGTTCTGGACAATTATCCTGCAAATTTTGCCAGGTAATAAAACTGAGTAGGGTGCCCATAACCTGGAGGTTTCTTTATTTAGGAAAATAAAATCAAGGAATTTCATAGACCCCCCCAAAGGGGAATTCTATATCTTGACAAGTAAAATTTTAGATAGAAATTATCTACCACACCACACTTATGGAAATAGCTATACTCACTCGATTATTTGCAATAGGGTTATACATGTTAGCACCTTCTAACTGAAATATTAAACAAACAGTTTCCATCGCTGTCGTATTTTGCTTAATTATTATCTTTATAGCAGGGATAATAGTTACAAAAAGGAAGTATGAAAGTTTTGCTATCATTGAGTCGGCTAGGGCTTTTTATTGGGTTTAGTGATACAGTTTTAAATGAAACATGCTGCTTTTGGATTAACACCTCTAGTAAAGTAAAGGAAAATCTACAGGTACTTAAAAATCAAATCAAAATTATTGACAGGCTCAGGAAAAATACCAGCTTCAGCCCCGAGTGGCTACAATCCCTCTTTAATAAATTCCAGTCTTCTTTATGGATTGGTTAAACCCTTTATTAAGTCCTCTCTTGCTTATATGTCTTGTATTGATATTTGGACCCTGTATACACAATACTATAACTTGATTGTTTCTGCTCACCTAGAAGCAATCAAACTCCAATGGTGCTGTAAACTGAACCACAAATGGACACTCCATTCTTCTGAGGACCCTTAGATCAACCCCAGGAGAAGCCCTAGTTGTTGTTCCCGATTCGACGCCCCTTTTCAGCAGGAAGCAGCCAGAAGAAGTCATCACCCAAAACCCCCTAACAGCAGTTAGTGTGGCATCTCCACAGGGGGGAATGTTGTGGGAGTTATTAAGAAATTATTTTAGGCTGGGCACAGTGGCTCGCGCCTGTAATCCCAGAACTTTGGGAGGCAGAGGCGGGTAGATCATGAGGTCAGGAGATCAAGACCATCCTGGCTAACACAGTGAAACCCCGTCTCCACTAAAAATACAAAAAATTAGCTGGGCATGGTGGTGGGCACCTGCAGTCCCAGCTACTCAGGAGGCTGAGGCAGGAGAATGGCGTGAACCCAGGAGGCAGAGATTGCAGTGAGCTGAGATCATGCCACTGCACTCTAACCTGGGTGACAGAGCGAGACTCCGTCTCAAAAAAAAAAAAAAAAAAAAAAAGAAATTATTTTAGATTAGACAGATAGAGAGGAAAAGGGGGTCCTTGGGAAGTTTTCGTTTTTAAAAGCATCTCCAGGAAAGTTTCTTGTAAAGCCCCAGCTCTTAGAGCCAGGCCAGCAACCGTCGATATGCAAATGCCAGCAACTAGAAATTGAGTTTACCCAAACATGGCATTCCAGTGGCCTTCTTGCCCTTTCCCCACTTGTTCCTGTCAACATGGCCAACCCCATGTATTCCCATGTGTGTAGAACATCATGGTGCCCTGCATTTGCATATTAAAAGGCTAGGGTGGGAGGGCCAGCATTTTCCTAGGGCTACGTGAATGACATGCCTAGTCAAACCAATACCCTGAGCCCTGTGCAAATCAGACACCACCCTCTCCAACCTCTGTATATATACCTAGCTGGTATCTGTGGCAGGTGGGACTCTCTCTCTAGACTTTAGAGCCCTGCTCCCTCTGTCTCTGTACAGGTGAGCTTCTTCCTTCTCCCTTCCTTCCTGCCCCTTCTTGCCTATTAAACTCTCCACTCCTTAAAAAAAAAAAAAAAAAAAAAAGAGTGCACTCTGAAAAAGTATACATTCTTTCAGTTAATATCCATAATCACTTCACATGATAAACAGACTTGAGAAAAGTAAGCTTCCGTTCCAAATCCCAGTTTATGACCTGTTAAAGTTATGTTGCTGTGGGCATTTCAAATCATTGAAGCTATGTCAGTACTTTGGAAAGTAGCTGAAGTCGTTAGGTTTTTATATTCATAGAAAAGAATGTTGCTTTCATAGTTTTGTAGGTATAAACCATATCTGATGTTGCAGGTACTTAGAAAAATGTTTTAAGAAAATTAAGAAAATGAAGCTGAAAGTCAAGTTAGGTTTTTATAGGCATAGAGAAAAATGTTGCTTTCATGGTTTTGTAGGTATAAACCATATCTGATATTTCAGATACTTAGGATGTTTTTAAGAAAATGAAAGAGAATGGGTACATGTAATTTATTTAGACTTTCCAAGGGATTTTTCTAAAGCACCATACGAGGGGATTGAAGAGTTTTGACAAGTACAACATGAGAAACAGATCACTATTATGTATTTTTAAAGTGGTTATTAAAAATAATTGTAAAGTTTTAAAAAAAATAGTCAATATTTCATCCAAAAAGTTGCAGGCCATTTAAAGATGTGCCTTGAGGGTAGTACTAATAACTTGTAAGGAAAAGTGAAACTATTAAAACTGCCACCTTGACACCCTGATCAACTCACCAAGAGTGGAATCTGATTTTGGTTAAACAGAAAACAGCATAAAAATTTTAGGTTATAATTTTTAAATGAGTAAGAAAACAAGAAACAATATATGACACTTTACAGCTTCTTATTTTGAGATTATTATAGATTCAGAAAAGAAATAATGCAGAGAATCTCTATGATATACACACTTTTAATGATTCAAATGTCTGATAAATACTTAAATAGAATTCATCTTTGATGGCAGATATTCAAATGAAACAAAATATTGATGAAGATATCGTATATAATAGGCCATACAGTGCTACTGTACGATGATGTATTGTTGTAGATCTCCCTTTCCTTGGTAACTTCACTCTGATTTCATTTTGCGGATTCTCTCTTCTGAATAAGTGTCTATCTTAATGGAACTGTCAGCCAAAATGTCCCCCCAACCACCAAAACTGAGCGTAAAACTCAAGTCAGCCAAATTCAGTTCCCTTCCTAGGACTCTAAATCTGGAACAGAATGGCATGTCATGATCGAAAATTCAATCAGAAATCAGTCATCTCAGCTGTAACTCATTGGCAAAATTGCCAGTCAGCTCCTGTTAGCAAGTTCCCCAGGGCTGCCCTAACTCCAGACCTTTGTATAACTTGGTAGTTTAGCAGCTTCTATAATTTTAAAGCACCAGAATAGCCTTCTTACAAGTTCTTTTCTTGCCTAAATCATACAAAGTTGTTTTCTGTTGATTGCAACCAAAGATTCATACTGATAGAAATCTCTCTCTCTTTAATAATTATATATAAATATATATATTTAAATACATAAGTGATATGTCTCAGTGAGATAATTCCAAAAAACATGAAAAATATAAGGGAGAATAAAAAAGTACTCTGTCATTTCATCAATTTGTGATAATCACTGTTATTTTCATATTTTCTGTTACTTTGTACATAAAAATATGTGTCTAAGTATGTTAAAGAAAATTGAGAATGTAGTTTAGTTATCGTTTTCTATTCTTGTCATTTGGTTTAAATCATGAGAATTTTCCAAAGAGCTAGTTTTAAATTTTCCTTATATATTTTTTTGAACATATAAAATCTATTAAAATATATCTGAAAAGCTGTTGGGAATACAAGTATTTATTTAAAGTTTTTTTGTATATCAAATTTACCTTTGTTATAGGCTGAATTGTGTGTTCCCAAAATTCACATATTAAAGCTCTAACCCTTAGTACCACAAAATGTGACTTTTGGGGATAGGGCTTTTGAAGAGGTGATTAAGCTAAAATTAGGCCATTAGGGAGGGCCCTAATCCAATTTGACTGGTATTCTTAAGAGAAGGGAAAGTCTGGACACACAAAAGACACCAGGGATGTATACACCCAGAGGAAAGAATATGTGAGGAAACAGCAAGGAGATCCTCTGCAAGCCAAAGAGAGGGGCCTCTGAAGAAACCAAGCACGCCAACCCCTTGATCTCAGCCTCCAGGACAGTGCAAAAATAAATTTCTGTTGTCACACCTGTGACAGGTGTCTGTGATCCTCTGCTATGGCAGCCCTAGCAAATTAATATAGATTTTGGTACCGGAAAGTGTGGTGCTGCTGTAACAAATACCTAAAAATGTGAAAGTGGCTTTGGAACTGGGTAACAGATGAAGGCTGGAAGAGTTTTTTAGGTGCATATTAGAAAAAGCCCAGATTGCCTTGGGGAAATTATTAGTAGAACTATGAATGCTAAAGGTGCCTCTGGTGAGCCTCAAATGGAAATGAGGAAGTTATTGGATACCAGAGGAAAGAAAACTGTTGTTATAGAGTGAGTGGCAAAGAACTTCGCTGTAATGTGTTCTAGTGTTTTATGGAAGCTAGAATTTATAAGTGTTGAACTAGGGTATTTAGCTAAAAAGATTTCTAGGCAAAGTATTGAAGGTGTAAAGTAATGAGGGTACTGATTTCTTCTTACAGCATATTGTAAATACAAGAGGAGAGACATAAATTGAAAACAAAATCATTAAGCAAAAAGTAATCAAAACTAAAAGACGTGGAAAATTATCACCCTATCCATATTACAAAGTTAAGCATGATCTGGACCGAACACCAAGGATGTGGCTGAATAATCATTTGATAAAAAGATTAGAGGTCTCACTCGTGGATCTAATCAGCTGTCTCAGCCAAAATGAGGAATAGAGGTGGGTTAATAACAGAAAAAACACTACCAGCTGGAACTAAAAGGGATAGAGTTGGAACAAAATGAAGAAAAGCTAATGGACTTCCTGGATTCTATAGGATGGGATAATAGAGCTATCTGGCTGCAGATAGGCATTATCCTTTAGGAAGAGGAAAGAATGACCTTGAAGACAATGTTGAGATCAGCAAGGCTGCCACTCCTACTTTAGTACTGTGTGGTGAGCTGTCTCCTCCTGGGTTTCAGAGGGCACAGCTGCTACCCAGTGCCATGGAGGCGCTGTTGTCACCTCAGTGGGCCCAATAGGTAAGGTTACTACCCTGGTGAGCCTGGAGGACAGATCGAGCTAAAGAGGATTATTCTTGGGCCTGAAAATTTGATGGAATTTGCCTTGCTAGTTTTGAGTTTGCTTGGAACTAGTGACCTCTTCCTTTTTCCTGATTTTTCCCTTTCAGAATGTGAATACTTATCTTATGCCTGTCCCACCCACTGAATTTTGGATGCAGGTAAGTTGTCTAGTTTTACAGGTTCACAGCCAGAGAGGAATTTTTTCTCAGAATAAATAATATCTGCAGTTTCATACACAAGTAATTTAGATAATATTTAGATAAGATTTGGGATTTAGCATTGATGTTGGAATGGTTTGAGACTTTTGGGCTGTTGGAATTGGCAGTGGGGGGGAGAATGTATTTTTCACGTGAGAAGGATGTTAATTGTGGAGGTCCAGAAGGTGAATGTTATGGGCTTGTGTCCCCTTTCCCAAATTCATATGTTGAAACCCTAATCTTTAATATCTTAGAGTGTGACAGTATTTAAAGATAAGATTTTCAAAGAGGTCATTAAGTTAAAATGAGAGTGTTAAGACTGGTCCTAGGAGTGTCCTTAAAAGAAGAGTAAATTTGGACACACAAAGAGATAACTGGGATGCACACACACAGAGGTAGGACCATGTGAAGACAAAGGGAGAAGGCAGCCATCTACAAGCCAAAGAGAGAGGCTGCAGAAGAAACCACACCCAACTGACACCTTGATCTTGGCTTTCCAGCCTCTAGAACTGTGAAAAAATAAAGTTCTGTTGTTTAAGCCACCCAGTCTGTGGTACTTTGTTATAACAGCCCTAGCAAATGAATTCAACTATTTGTGTAAAATAGGGGTTCTGGTTAATGAATTCTTTCCACCTGGAAATAGTAAACAACTTAAAAAATAAATAGTATTCAAAGTGTGGTCTAGTCACAACCCTTCCAATCTGCCTCAACTTTTCATATTCCTATCTTAGAATGGCCATCCTATCCTCAAGCCGCCTTAGAATTTTAATCCCTCTTCCTATTTAAATTTAAGAATTTGTCATGTGTTGCTAAAGCTATCTTTACCCTGCATCTTGTATCTGAACTTCCTTTTCAATGCAGCAGTCACACAGTACCTTTGGCAATCAATACTTCTGAAATAAAATAATGTCACAGTTTTGAAAGATTATCTGAGGTAACTCCTTCCCATGCCCTTGTAAATTAAAGAAAATTTCCTAAAGCACAATTGTAAATATATTGTTATTGTACATATAGCTCTGTATGTATTTTTGGTTAGTTATTATTGTAAATTAAAGGAGTAATAAGTGCATTTAGACAAATCTGGAAACATGAAAGTATTTAAATATGCACTACTATTCCCACAATGTAGAGTTAAGCAGTGGTAATATTTGTAGTTTTTGTTTTCCAAATTTTATTTTCTGCTTACATAGTTGTGGTCATGGTAATATAGTTGTGTACAAAGCCAATACACTTAAAATAAAGTTGCTTATAAAAGTAATACAAATTCAATGAAGAAAATTAGAAAAATATTTAAAAATCTACAAAGATGGAAAGCAAAACACTGAGAATTCTGCAAAGCTATATAACAAATACTAATATGATTTTAATGCTTTATCTAGCACTCTGACATTTTTCACATTTGAAGTGACAGATACAAATATGAATTAGCATTAAATAGAAATAGTCATAGTTTTTCAATAAAAAATATTACAGAGAGAAATGTATTAACAAATAATAGCAACCATTGGATTTTTTTTCAGCTACTACCGATTAAATAGCAAAACACATGCACAAAAATACTTAGAGTTCAATATGAATTTTCAAATGTACTGAAAATCATTACTGAGTTTTTTAGCCAGAAAAATGGGCATTGCTTTTTCCTTCAAACTGTGTTCTTAAGGAAAGAAAAAGGATCCTTTTGTTTGTAATCCCCATATTAAGTTCTAAGAATATAAATAACGAGTCTTTGAGGAGAAAATCGATCCAATAGAACAAATAATTACTTAAATGTCTTTAAATTTGGTAAATGATTCTTTGTCAACTATAGCGTAAAAGAGATTTCACCTTGGTAATAGTAAGCTGGGCAATTAGAACCAAATCCTCCTGCTGAAGATAGCTGAAAGAGCTGAAGGAAATGTTAATATGAAAGCCAAAATAAGCAAATAAAAACCCTGAAAACAAACAAAAAACTGTTGATAAGTTACATTTGGCCATCCAAAATTAAGAAAAACATGTATCCACCCTCGGCCAGGCACAGTGGCTCACGCCTGTAATCCCAGCACTTTGGGAGGCCGAGGCGGGCAGATCACCTGAGGTCAGGAGTTCAAGACCAATCTGGCCAACATAGGGAAATCCCATCTCTACAAAAATACAAAAATTAGCCGGGCATGATGGCAGGTGACTATAATCCCAGCTACTTGGGAGGCTGAGGTGGGAGAATCGCTTGAACCCGGGAGGTGGAGGTTGCAGTGAGTTGAGATCTCTCCCACTGCACTCCAGCCTGGGAAACAGAGCAAGACTGTGTCTCAGAAAAAAAAAAAAAAAAAAAATTACTCACCCCAAACCTAAGAAAAGTCAAGAAATTAGAGAGGGAAGCCAAGAGTTCAAATGTGTTTTGCCCTGAAGTTGGAAGTATCAGCTGTGAAACTCAACTATGGTTTTACTAGCTTGGTAAGCTTCTGGGGGTGTAGTGGGGTTGGGGGGGTGGGTGGAAGATATGGAGTTGGAGGGTGGGTGGGTATTGGGGGAAGCCTAGGGGTTACCAAGATAAAGATTTTGAAACACCCCTATACAACTACTCTGAGATGAGACTGTAAAGAACTATATTCTCAGAGTAAGGGCAAACCAGAAGTAAATCAATCTTTGTTCCAGGCAACTTCCATCATTTGGTTACCACAGCATAAGATTTGAACATAAGTTGATCCTGAATCGGTACCCTCCTAAAGGCCTGGAAGAAGCCACAAAGATCCTCTCTAGCAGCATGTATAATTATCCGGAACCTCAAATTATACTTCCAAATAATTTTACAAATAATTTTCTGTCAAAGCAAACAAAGCACACATGGAGAAACAAGGTATCCGCTGTGAATGAAAAACAAAAAAACAAGGAATAAAAATAAACTCACAAACACTTCTATTGAAATTATCTGACACAGAGTATAAAACAACTATGAAGGAATGATGTCAACAAGGTGGTGGAAGAGGAGTTTTCAGAGCTCATTTCCTTACAAAAACATCAATTTGAACAACTATCCACACATAAAAATACTTTCACAAAGGCTAAGTAATCCAAGTGAGAGTTTACAGCACCTGGGTGGAGCACAGAAATAAGAAAAGACACATTGAAAAGGTAGGAAGGACAGTTTCACATTACCTGTTACACCACTCCCCCACGTCCTGGCATCACAGTATGGAGAGAGATGCCCTTTGTATATGAGAAGAAGAGTGAAGTGAAGACCCAACTTCACTGCAGACCCCAGCCCCAGGCCTGTCCCAGTGAACCCTGGCACTGTGAGCATTCACAGACAGGCTCCAGTCCAGCCCCTGAGACACCAGGATCCAGGTCTGCCTCAAAAGGCAGTCTCTCTGAAACTGCATCAAAATAAAATAAAAGACCCAACTATATGCTGCCTACAAAAGATTTGCTTCAGCTTTAACAGCACACATAGGTTGAGGATGAAGGAATGGGAAAAGATATTTCATGCAAATGGAAACCAAAAGAGTACACGGGTAGCTATACTTAAGGTCTGTTTTGTCAAAAAGAGACAAAAAAGGTCATTATGTAATGATAAAGGGGTCAATTCATCAAGAGAATAGAATAATTATAAATATGCATGTGCCCAACATTGGAGTACTTAAATATATAAAATAAATATCTGAAGAAAAAAATTGCTAGTAATGCAATAATAGTAGGGGACTTCAATACCCTACTTTCAACAAAAGATTGATTATCCGGACCAAAAATTAATAAGGAAATAGGAAAGTTGAACAATACTATACACCAACTGAACCTAATGGACATAAACAGAACATTTATTCCACAACAGAAAAATATACATTTTTTTCAAGCCCACATGAAATATTTTCCAGGATAGATTATATATTAGGCCAGAAAATAAGTCTTAACAATTTTAATATGATTGAAATTTTACCAAGTATCTTTTCTGAACACAATGGTTTGAAACTTGAAATCAGTAACAGGAGAGGAAAAACAGAAAATTTACAAATATGTGGAAATTGAATAACACTTTTTTTTTTTTTTTTGAGACAAATCTTGCTCTGTTGCCCAGGCTGGAGTGCAGTGGCATGATTTCGGCTCACTGCAAGCTCCCCACCTCCCAGGTTCATGCCATTCTCCTGCCTCAGCCTCCCAAGTAGGTGGGATTACAGGCGCCCGCCACCACGCCCTGCTATTTTTTTCTATTTTTAGTGAGATGAGGTTTCACCGTGTTAGCCAGGATGGTCTCGATCTCCTGACCTCGTGATCCGCCCGCCTCGGCCTCCCAAAGTGCTGGGATTATAGGCGTGAGCCACTGTGCCCGGCCAAATAACACATTTTTAACCGTCGAAGGATAAAATAAAAAATTCAAAAGGAAATTTAGAAAATGTTGAGACAAATAAAAATATAAACACAACATACCATAACTTATGGAATGTAGAAAAAGCAATTCTAAAAGGGAAGTTTAAACAGTTACATTAAGAAAGAAGAATAATCTCATATAAGCAACTTAAGTTTACACATCAAGGAACTAGAAAAAAGAAAAAACTAAGCTCAAAGTTTTCGGAAGGAAGAAAATAATAAAGATCAGAGTAGAAACAAATGAAATAAAGTCTAGAAAATAATAGAAAGGATAAATAAAGCTAACATTTGGGTTTTTGAAAAAGTAAGGAAAATGGACAAACTTTAAACCCGACTAAGAAAAAATGAGAAAATACTCAAATAAAATTAAAAATGAAAAAGGAGGCATAACAACTAATACCACAGAAATACAAGAGGTCATAAGAGACCCTTTGAATAATTATACTCCAACAATTGAATAACATTGAAGAAAGGAATAAATTCCTTGAAACATGCAACATACCAAGATTGAATCATGAAAAAATAAAAAATCTGAACGGAACTATTTAAGTAACAAGATTGAATCAATGAAAATCTTTTCAACAAAGAAAAATCCAAGGCCAAATGGCTTCACTGTGCACTGCACCAAACATCTAAAGAAGAATTAACACCAGTCCTTTTCACACTCTTCCTAGAAATTGGAGAGAACACTTCCAAACAAATTTTAAAAGGCCAGCATTACCCTAATATAAAAGCCAAACAAGGAAACTATGAGAAAAGAAAATTACATTGCAATATCCCTGATGAATAGAGATTCAAACATTCCCAGTAAAACACTAGCAAACCAACTTCAACAGCACATTAAAAGGATCATACACTGTGATCAAGTGGGAGTTACCCTTGGATTTCAAGTATGGTTCAACATATTCAAATCAGTAGACATGATATACAACATTAAGAAATAAAAAATAAAAATCATATGATCATAGCAATAGATGCAGAAAAAAAGCATTCGACAAAATTCAACATCCTTACATGATATAAATCCTCAATAAATTAGGTATAAAAAGAAGGTGCCTCAGCAAAATAAAGGCCATAGGTGACAACCCTAGAGCTAACATCATATTCAGTGAAAGCTTCTCCTCTATGATCAGGAACATAAGAATAGCCCACTTTCACTATTTCTATTCAGTACAGTATTGGAAGTCTACGCCAGAGCAATTGGATGAGAAAAGTAATAAAATGCATTAAAATAAGAAAGAAAAAAGTAAAACCATGTCTGTTTGCAGGTGACATAATCTTATATATAAAAAACTCTAAATACTTAACCCCAAAACTGGTAGAATAAACCAATTCTATAAGGTTGCAAGATACAAAATCAACACAAAAAAATCAGTACCATTTCTATACATCAATAACCAAGTGTCTGAAAATAAAGTTATGAAAACAATCCCACTTATAATAGTATCAATAAGAACAAAATACTAAGGAATAAGTTTAACCAAGGAGGTGAAAGATCTGTAGATTCAAAACTATAAAACATTAGTGAAGGGAATTGAAAAAGACACAAACAAATGTAAAGATATCTAGTGTTCATGAATTTAAAGAGTTAATTCAAAATTCCAATGGCATTTTTAATAGAAACAGAAAAAACAGTTATAAAATTAATATGTAACCACAAAAGACCCTGAGTAGCCAAAGCAATCTTGAGAAAAACAAAACCTGGAAACATCATGATATATGATTTCAAAGTATACTGTTAGGTTGGTGCAAAAGTAATTGTGGCTTTTGCCATTAAAAGTAATAACACAAAGCTATAGTAATCAAAATGTTTTACTTGCATAAAAACAGACATACATATTAATGGAACGGAATAGAGAACCTAGAAATAAATACACACATTTATGGTCCATTGATCTTTGAAAAGGTGCCAAGAACATACAATGGAGAAAGTACAATCTCTTCAATAAAAATGACATTTGAAAAGCTGGATATTCACATTTAAAAGAATAAAATTGAACCCTTATCTCACACTATGTACAATAGGCAACCCAAAATGGAATCGAGAATTAAATATAAGACCTGAAATTGTAAAACTACTTGAAGAAAACATAGAGAAATATCTCCAGGACATTGGCCTGGGCAAGTAATTCTTTGGTTATGACACCAAAAACTCAGACAACAGAAGCAAAAATAAACAAGTGAGACTAAGTCAAACTGAAAACCTTCTACACAGCAAAGGAAACAATCACTAAAGAGATAATTTATGAGATGGGAGAAAATGTATGCAAATATATCTAATAAGGTGTTAATATTGAAAATACATAAGTAACTCGAACAACTTAAGAGAAAAAACAAACAACCTAATTAAAATGGGCAAAGGAACTAATATACATTTTTTTCAAAGCAGTCACATAAATGGTGGCTAACAAGTATATGAAAAAATTGCTCAGCATTACTAATCTCCAGGGAAATGCAAATCTAAACCACAATGAGGTACCTCACACCTGGTGAAATGGCTATTATCAATAATAATAGATTAAATCACCTGTGGTGATTTAATTAGGAGGCCTATACTTTCTATGCTGAAATGAAACACCTTGAGTTTCCTTTTCATTTATCTCTTGAAGAGTGGGGTTTTTACCCTCACAGAAGCAGGAAGTGATAGTGAGGAAAGAGAATGATACGTGGAAGAAGATATCTTTCAAAAAGCCTTTGAAGAAAAAGGCATCTACTAGATAGTTTCCAGATTGTTAAACACTCATGTTTCTAACCTTGAAGATAGATAGGGAGTAGGAATAGCTACTTTCAGGTAGGTGGGCCAGATGTTTCCAGAAGAACAACAGATTTTTCCAATTATTGTGCTTTCCGATTTCAATCCATCTCCTTTATCATTACTGGAAATTTGTCCTCCCATATTCTGAAACGTACTCTCAGTCTTTGTTTTTAACAGAAATATGATTGCTAACTTTTTATTTCTATAGGTGTCCATAGGTTGTGTTGAGACTGCTGGATAAATTCTTTAAAGGGAAAGCATTTTAAATTTAAATTACTAACTTTTGCTTACCAAATTAAATCACAGCTCTTTAGTAGTATGTGATGAGAGATACTTTCTGACGTGGCTTCAAATTTCTTTTCTACTCATGTTATCTAGTATCACTACATTAACCTGACAGGAGAAATTGCCTCTGAAATCAAGGGAGTGGAGGAATCCTGAATAATGTATAACTTTTTTCATTGCTATTGAGAGGTGACAGCGTGCTGGCAGTCCTCACAGCCCTCGCTCGCTGCCTCCTCTGCCTGGGCTCCCACTTTGGCGGTACTTGAGGAGCCCTTCGCTGCTGCACTGTCGGAGCCCCTTTCTGGGCTGGCCAAGGCTGGAGCCCACTCCCTCAGCTTGCAGGGAGGTGTGGAGGGAGAGGCGCGAGCGGGAACCGGGGCTGCGTGCGGCGCTTGCGGGCCAGCTGGAGTTCTGGGTGGGCGTGGGCTTGGCGGGCCCCGCACTCGGAGCCGCCGGCCAGCCCTGCTGGCCCCGGGCAATGAGGGACTTAGCACCCGAGCCAGTGGCTGCGGAGGGTGTACTGGGTCCCCCAGCAGTGCCAGCCCACCGGCGCTGCGCTCGATTTCTCACCGAGCCTTAGCTGCCTTCCCGCGGGGCAGGACTTAGGACCTGCAGCCCGCCATGCCTCAGCCTCCCACCCACTCCATGGGCTCCTGTGCGGCCGGGGCCTCCCCGACGAGCACCACCCCCTGCTCCATGGAGTCCAGTCCCATCCACCACCCAAGGGCTGAAGAATGCAAGCACAGGGCCCTGGACTGGCAGGCAGCTCCACCTGCAGCCCCGGTGCGGGATCCACTAGGTGAAGCCAGCTGGGTTCCTGAGTCTGGTGGGGACGTGGAGAGTCTTTATATCTAGCTCAGGGATTGTAAACACACCAATCAGCACCCTGTGTCTAGCTCAAGGTTTATGAGTGCACCAATCAACACTCTGTATCTAGCTGCTCTGGTGGGGCCTTGGAGAACCTTTATGTCTATCTCAGGGATTGTAAACACACCAATCAGCACCCTGTGTTTAGCTCAAGGTTTGTGAATGCACCAATCCACACTCTGTATCTAGCTGCTCTGGTGGGGCCTTGGAGAACCTGTGTGTCCAAACTCTGTATCTAACTAATCTGATGGGGACGTGGAGAACCTTTGCATCTAGCTCAGGGATTGTAAACGCACCAATCAGCGCCCTGACAAAACAGGCCACTCGGCTTTACCAATCAGCAGGATGTGGCTGGGGCCAGATAAGAGAATAAAAGCAAGCTGCCCGAGCTAGCTTTGGCAACCCGCTGGGGTTCCCTTCCACACTGTGGAAGCTTTGTTCTTTCGCTCTTTGCACTATATCTTGCTACTGCTCACTCTTTGGGTCCACGCTGCTTTTACGAGCTGTAACACTCACCGCGAAGACCTGCAGCTTCACTCTTGAGCCCAGCAAGACCACGAGCCCACCGGGAAGAACGAACAACTCCGGACGCGCTACCTTAAGAGCCATAACACTCACCGCGAAGGTCTGCAGCTTCACTCCTGAGCCAGCGAGACCATGAACCCACCAGAAGGAAGAAACTCCGAACACATCTGAACATCAGAAGGGGCAGACTCCAGACGCTCTACCTTAAGAGCTGTAACACTCACTGCAAAGGTCTGCAGCTTCACTCTTGAGCCAGCGAGACCACGAACCCACCAGAAGGAAGAAACTCCGAACACATCTGAACATCAGAAGGGACAGACTCCAGAAGCGTCACCTTAAGGGCTATAACACTCACCGTGAGGGTCCGCAGCTTCATTCTTGAAGTCAGTGAGACCAAGAACCCACCAATTCCGGACACACTATGAACTGAGCTAAATAAGTACTTTACATACATTATTTCAGTTAATCTTCAAATGAACCAGATCGGAGAAGTAGAATCCTCCTTAAACAGCTAACAAAGCTGAGCACAGAGAAATTCAATCATTTGTTAGGAGGCACACAGATAGTTCTTTGTTGGATTCCAAAGCCAATGATATTAACTACAAGTTATACTTTTTCCCTATTTCAGGAAATGAAGAGAACCTAATGAAGTCACACTAAAACAATCTTTGATATTCTAAGGTCTGTTTTCTGGAAGGCAAGTGGATTAGTTTCCTCTTACTGCTGCAACAAATTAACACAGGCATGGTGTCTTAAAACAATTAAAAAAATGTCAGCACCATAGGAAAGGTAAAAAAGAAAAAAACAACAACAACAAATTATTACAGTTTTTGAGGTCAGAAGTCTGAAATGGACTTGCCTGGGGTCTGGAGGCTGTAGGGTAGAATCTGTTTCCTTGCTTTTCCCAGCTTCCAGAGGCCACCTGCATTCTTTGGTTTGTCTCCACTTCGTCTTCAAATTTAGCAGTGATCTGTCAAGTCTTTCCCATGCTGCATCACTCTGACGCTAACTTGCCTACCTACTTCTTCACTTAAAATTACCTTTATAATTACACTGGGCTCACCTGGATTATCCATTATCTCAAGGCCAAATGATCAGCCATCTTATTTGTATTTTAAGAACTCCCCTTGCAACGTAATAGAACATATTCATAGATTCTGATGTTGAGGACGTGGATATCTTTGACTGGGGTTGGGGGGAAAGGGGAGATTATTCTTCCTATCACAGGCAGGGTAAGTGTCTTTATAATGGTGATGCTCAGAGTTAGGCACTAATCTGATTTGGAGTACAGCTCTTCTAACAAACGTGAATTTTACAAAGGGGGTCCAGTCTCTAATTTAAAAAGCAAGCAAAAATGATATAAGGTGTATTGTGTGTCAGATAAGCTAGCTAGGATTCAGGGAGGGAGTCTAATCTTCTCAATGGAGATGAATTTCAAATCTGGAGACCAAGACAGAAGTTCTATTATAGGATCAAGTCAAAAGATGAGAAAAACCTGCTCTAGAAAGCTTAAGAATTTAACAAGAGCTCACAGGTTGTTCCAAGCAACTTGGCCCAATGCAGACAGATCAATTTTTCTCTCCCCCACCTTCTTCTAGAAATTGCCTCTGTTTTCATATGGTTGTCTTCCCTCTATGTATGTCTAAGTCCAAATTTCACTCTTCTTATAAGGACACTGGTCAGATAAATTTGATAGGACTAATTGGATTAAATAGCACTGAGAACATAGAAGAAATACATACACATGCAAGCAAACATATACATATTGGCAGTGTGCCTTCATGAATTATTCATATATTTATGAATATTTTCATTAAGAGGGTATATCAGAAATAGCTTTATATTCTGACAGCATATACCAAGTAATATTAAATGAGAAATGTATATACCTAACTTATTTATTAGACTATAAGTTCCCTGCAGTCATTAGACAAATGCTTTGTACATGACTTGCACAATGTAAGGCTTTCAGTGAATGAATGAATACTTCTTAAACATATGCCTTACACTGAAAGAGGTATTTTACAACTACAAAATTTTAAATAAAGAAAATTTTAATTTATCAGATGTTTTGTGGGATATATATATATATGTGTGTGTATATATATGTGAATGTGCCCTATGAAATATATATACATTTCATATATATTTACATATACATACATATATATATTTAGATGTATGTATATACACACACATATATACATACAATAACACATTCTGTATAGGAAAACAGTAAAGATGCCAGTTTTTCTATTACATTGCTAATTGCTTGAAAACAAAGCAGGCTGTGAGCAGTGTCTGTGAAATAAATAACTCGTGAAACATGTAGAATTTTATCTCTACCCACCATATATAATGTTTTTTAATAAAGATTATTAATCTTGAAAATTTTAGTTTTTATCGTTTTTTACATAATCCATCATCTATTCTATATAATGCATGTATGTATTTTCAAGACTGAGGCACAGCCAAACCCAACGGGCCTCCCTTAGCATTAGAAAAGGTGAAGAGACATTGCCTCTATTTTAGTTGCTGTAGAGATGACAGCATTGCAAAGCCAAACTCAAGGGCTAGCTTACCAAGATAGCCAACCTAGTTCTGAATTCAGGATCTTTTCTTTTCCTCTTGCTTTGCACCTCCTGTTGCCTCATTTGCCTTTGGTTAGGACGTTTGCTTTACCTTTGCCAAAGTACTGTCACTTCTGGTATAAATCAGAGGATGGAGGATGTGGTTACACAAATGCTCAGGACTTTCATAGTGGCAGCTACCCATGATGTCCTTTCACAGGTAAGTCAGCATTGGAGAATAAATGGGTTGTTGTGTCTTGGCACCCATGGCTACATCCTTGGCTTGCCAAATCAAAATCTCATTGGGTAATTAAGGGATTCTCATAATGCTCCTTAAGTCCCTTCTTTGGCAGACATCATAAAGGTTATGCCATTTTGCATGACATAAATGGAAAAATGTAGGTAAGCCAGAAGCAATAATAGCAGGTGAGCTCTGCCAGGTAGTGAAGAAGATAAATGAAATGATCAAAACAGCAGTTGAGAAGTCCATTTGAAATAAAATGTTCAAAAGCTGCAATCAGTAGCCCTCTGAGGAATGTTAATACAGGCTTAATGATAGTGAACTAAGACCAGGGTATTGAACTAGTGGTTTTGATGGTTCTCAAATGTTCATGGCTAGACAGTCTAGGTGGTTATATGTATCATATATCCATAGAGATAGAGCAAGGACTGTATCCCAAATAGGAAAAAGGTTGAAATATCATGCCACTGGGATGGAGTGGATAGAAAGGAGATGACAAGTTATCTACAGGAGCTCAGGTATTTATGTTGATGGAAACAGGAAGATGATTAATTTGGGACAGATATTTGTGCCTCTGTATGTTTACCTCAAAGAGATAATTCAGCTGCACAGATATGTTTAACTAGCTTTATATATTTACATCTGTAGTTCTTATCTTCTTTAAAGTTTATTACATGATATTTAAAATACTGGTTTTATTATATGACAAATTATTGGGCTGCCATTTAAGCTGATGTTGATTTATTTTGTTACTTATGTTCTTGGTCCAGTTCTTAGTGATTACAGAAGCCATTCTTAAAGACATTCTCAAAACACAATTGATTCTGATTTAAAAAACCAACAACAACAAGAAGGCAACTGTTCATCAACTATTTTTAAGTACCTAAGAATCATCATTACATTTTTTAAAGACAAGCAAATGTCTAAGAGGGGAGATGTTTGATTTAGTGGCTCTATCACCCTGAGCAATGTTATTGGGCTACTGAAGTTATGAATCTCAAAGGATAGTTCAGAGTAAACTTTGGTTAGTAAACAAAGCAGTTGATTTTATTCAGGTGCTATGTGAGCAGTTTAAAAAGGATAATATTTACATAGTTGTTATGCTTATAGTCTCCTAAAACAGAAATATTTCAACTCACAATACATTACACCAGATATTAGCAATTGTCATCAATTGATGATGGATGGCTATAATGAGTCATTCTAATTCCTTCCTTTTTCCTTTCTTCTCTTTTTCCTTCCTTCCTTCTAACAAATGTTTCCTGAGTGCTATATATATAAATGCCAGGCACTATTGCTAGATGTTAGATGCTATAAAAAGAATATTTTTTTAAGAAAAGCAAGGTCCTTACCCTCAAAGAGTTTACAATCAAATAGAGAACAAGATATAGTAGAGGAGACAGAAATCAGAAATTACAGTAGTGTGTGAATAGGGACATGATAGAAAGTTGTGCCAAGTGCTAAAGGTGCCAGGGGTAGGTTGCTTCTGGCAGCAGAGTGGTAAGAGAAGAGGTATTCATAAAAGACCTTCAAAAGACCCCACCTGAATTACAACTGGAAGGTAGGCGAGGGGCTTACAATGCAAGGAAGAGAGATAAAAAGCATTATCCAAGGAGAGAGTGAAAGGGGAAAAGACTGCAAAGCACGAGAAATCCCATTGTGATCTAAAATCCAAAAGATATTTAATATTACTGAAGAGAAAAATGAAGGTGGAATGGAGGAGAGACACAGCTGGAGAGAGAAGCGGTGGCCAGATAACAAAGGGCTTTGCATTTTACTCTAAGAAATGTAGACATATCCTGAATGCTACAAAGATGGGAAAATGAAAAATCTTTAGCAGAGAAGTGGCACTGTAGCTGATCTTATCTGAGTTGTATTTCTTCCTTAGGACAATCTGTTTTCAAAGAACTACACTCCTTGTTTACTACCTGATTCTGCCCACCCTCAACCCTTCTGCGATTTGATTATGTGTTTCCTGTTTGGAGTTGAATAACTTATCTCTATTAAAGATTTGGGTTTCAGGCTAAGATACTATGTTTTAGGCAAGCTAAAAGATGAAAGCTATGGGGGTGGTTATGTGCCTGGAAAAGGAGAGGAAGTCAGGATGCATAGAGACAATGAATCAAATGGCAGAACTGCCGCTAAGAAAATGAAGCCTCTGGCTGGGCGTGGTGGCTCACGCCTGTAATCCTAGCACTTTGGGAGGCCAACGTGGGCAGATCACCTGAGGTTGGGAGTTCGAGACCAGCCTGACCAACATGGAGAAACCGGGTCTCTACTAAAAATACAAAATTAGCTGGGTGTGGTGATGCATGCCTGTGATCCTAGCTACTTGGGAGGCTGAGGCAGGAGAATTGCTTGAACCTGGGAGGCGGAGGTTGCGGTGAGCTGAGATCGTGCCATTGCACTCCAGCCTGGGCAACGAGAGTGAAACTCCATCTCAAAAAAGAAAAGAAAAGGAAAGAAAAGAAAAGGAAGCCTGTGTTATGACCAGGTTATGAAAAACCTAGAAAGCTCCCCACTCCCCGCCCCCACCAAAAAAAAAAAAGCTGTATCTTAATACATAGAAAATATCAAGGATGAAGGTAGGGTTTGGGCTGAAAAACAAAACTGTGAGCCAAATTCAACAAATTCAAAGTATAGATATAGCCAGCAGATGGTTGAGTAGAAATAACTAAGGTGAGATAGAGATTGGTAGAGCCAAGTATCAGCCTTAAAAAATAGTTTTTAGTAGAATTTAGGAGCATACATTGTATATAGGCAGTAATGAAAGAAAAGGTAATTATGAGATGTAAGAAAATATGAGAAAGTAAGGGGCTGAAAAATGTGCTATGTTCATGGGAAGAGCCAGGGTTTTTAAGGTTTAGTGTTGCAGAAAATAATTGTAAAAATAAAATAAATTATGAAAATATATAAAATAATTTGACCTGAAACGAGGTTTCAGAAAGCATGGTGTAAATGTTTGAGGAGACGGTAAAAACAAAAATTGGGTTAGAGAGAGGAGTTATATTGCATTAAATTTGTCTTTAGGTGGATCTCACCTTTGTGTAATAAGGAAAAGAGCAAGTATCAAGGTTGCTTATAAACTACATTTAAGTTGACAGCAAAGCATAAGTAGCTACGAAGTATTTATAGGCAAGTGTTGACCTAGAGCATGTTTTAGTTTTAATGTTGTAAAACTTGTCTCACAATGTATGAAAAGCTATTGAGGCAATAAGAATTCAGCCTTCTTATGAGCAGGTCTATTAAGGAAATGAATAAATGAATATTATATCTCTAATAGTCTTGAAGAAGATGGACCATTTTAGAGCAGTCTTGATTCTGGTGAGAAAACTGACCTCCAATCATTGGGTAGAAATGCTCCAGTGGAAATCTTACTGCTGCTGTTGATAAGCTGAGATGTGCTTTGAATCATTAGCTTTCCCCTTTGAAGAATAAATTGAATCAGGGGACTCACACAAGTAACCATCATTATATTCCTTCCAGAATGGTGGATTCTGTCTAACTAAATATTAACATCACTGCTGTTCAAAAGCTCTTGTGTAAATGCATGGTAAGATTTTTGATGGTAAAAGAAAATGGTAATTGACATTTACTGAACCCTTTCTGTAATGGAATTGTGCAACGTGTTTACGACACAATCTTATTCATTTCTCCTATCAAAACTATGGAGGCAGTTGTGGTTATGCCCATTTTATTAGTTAAGAAGTAGAGGACTAAAAGACTATGTGATTTGTCCATGGTCAGCCTGTTGAGTCAGAACTGAAGAGTTTTCACAGTTCATGACTTTTTGCAAACTGTCAGTGAGTCAATGAGAGAAGATGTGTTTTCAGCCCATGTGCAATTATATATATTTGATAATTTAGGGTTCATTTTCCAGAAGCTATCCTATATTTTTCCAGACATATACCTGAAATTTTATTAAGCTACCACCTCCATGTATGTAAGGAATATGGCCTGGATTATAAGATACTATTCTATGGTATAAATGGTCAGAATTTCCTATAGATGGGGTTCACCATGTTAAAAGTCAGCTCTTTCCCCAAATTTAAATAATAAATAATAAAAATATGTTAAAATCCTTATACTTACTAACATATTATATTATTTCACTTTGAAAAAAATTTAGAGGTTTTATGAAATAGATTGTAGGTGAAATAAATTGTCTTTCTTACCAATTTTTACCTGTGCACCATCTCCTTTTAATTAAATTATGGTTTCAAACAGAACACTGTAATGTCAATCTAAAATTTTTCTTTTTTTTTTTTTTTTTTTTGAGATGGGGTCTCGCTGTCTCCCAGGCTGGAGTGCAGTGGCGCTATCTCGGCTCACTGCAGGCTCCGCCCCTCAGGGTTCACGCCATTCTCCTGCCTCAGCCTCCCGCGTAGCTGGGATTACCGGCGCCCGCCACCTTGCCCGGCTAATTTTTTGTATTTTTAGTAGAGACGGGGTTTCACCGTGTTAGCCAGGATGGTCTCGATCTCCTGACCTCGTGATCCACCCGCCTCGGCCTCCCAAAGTGCTGGAATTACAGGCGTGAGCCACTGCGCCTGGCCTAAAATTTTTCTTAAGGTCAAAATTTCATCTAGGACACTAAAATGCCTCAAGCTTCAACTTGACTCTTCTGTCAATTTGATATCAAAAGGCGTGGAGATAGTTCTCAATTTAAAATTTCACTTTCTTTTTAATGCAAAATATTTAATCTTTTTCATCATAAGAAGAAAAGTAAATGTGCTAATTGGGTTTCTTAGAATTACTTTCAGCTTTTAAATTCTCATATCTTTCCCTACTTTTTAGAGGAGAGGGGAAAAAGTTGCAATATATCTATGCATAATGCTCAAAAGAGTAGTCTTTTCCCTATTAAGAGTAGATTTTCCAGGCAGTTTCTAGGATTGTTCAAATATCTATGATGTTTTCTGTCTACCTTCAACTGTTTTTTGTTGTTGTTGTTGCTGTCTACTAGTCTGAAGTGATTTTACTTCGTGATTTCTGACTGTGTTCATTTTTATAGAAGTAAGTCGCATTTTTCTCAGACTATTGCAAGACCTAACTTTTAAAAATATTGAAGCAAAACAATTTCAAAATAGTTCTTCAATAACATAATTTGTCTATAATGCCTAATGAATGCTTTACAAAACCATGATTCTAAACTTAAACTCTTAGAGGCTGTTTTAAAAATTACCTAAAATTATTTTCTTTTACCAACATGGAGTTTCAGTTCTCATATGTTGGTTTTAAGTGTATCCTTTGTATTCCAAGGGTTTTCCACATATCTCCTGGAGACAATGGACATTTTTTGGTAACCTGTGTTGAGTCTTTTGTTCTTTTCTCAATTAAATGCAATATTAGGATGTTATACACGAGATAATCTTATTTGTTTTCTTGACTTGAACCAACTTAAAAAATATAAATCTAAATGATTCCCTTATTACACTATGAATCTATTCTCCTTTTTCTTGATCTGTTCTCTTTTCCTCTACTTTTGACTCCTACATTTTTAAACATCTTGCACATTCATATTCTTTAAAATAGATTAGATAAATGATAAATTGCATAAATCATTTCCTTCTTATAGAGATATTTGAGAATAATGTAACCACAGCTATTATTTAAATTGTAACATTTCCTTAATGCACATATAAAGTGGTGGGGGCATATTCCTGTCAAATACAAGAAGATTTTTATTCATCTGCACAGAGAAATAATCTCGAAGAGGGAGGGCATGAAAAATCTATAGCAGCATAGAATTCTATAGCTTCCCCTGAACCCCCCAAATTGAACAAAAATTATGTAATGGAATATACATGCTTGAATATTTGTTCCTGTGGTCATTTAATAGTCACTGCAAAGTCATTTTAATGCCCTCTGGAGATTTAGCCCACTTCTACAACCTTCAATCAATAAAAAAAGATAAATAAAAGGACCCCAAGTTTCATCAGCTTTGCTATTGCCTTACTCAGACTGCGCCAGCCTTCATGTAGCTTACTTACAGTCCAATAGGGGAGACAGATAAGTAAATAGTCTCTATCTTGTTATTGGTCTTAGTTTGTTAGACTGCTGTAACAAAATGCCTTGATAATTTATAAACAATAGAAATGGATCGTTTGCAGTTCTAGAGGCTGGGAAGTACAAGATCAAGGTACGAGTAGATTCCAGTGTCTAGTAAGCATGTGTTCCTCATAGATGATGCCATCTGTGTGTGCTGACATGGCAGAAGGGGGAAAACAGGCTTCCTCGGGCCTCTTTTATGAGGGGACTAATCCCATTCATGGAGTGTGTGTGTTGGGGGTCCACTTTCATGACCTAATCACTTCCCAAAGGCCTCACCTTTTAATACCATTGCATTAGAAATTAGGTGTCAACACATGAATTTGGAAAGGACACAAACATTTAGACCAGAGCATTGTTTATTCCCAATTTCTTGATTGTTTCCCTTCTAGTATCCCAGCTCCAAGAGGCTAGGTTCTTGCCTTATTCTCTAATCTTTCCAGAGGCTAAGGCATTGTCTATCAGACCTGCCTAAATGTCTTTTTCTATACATGCCATTCTGCTGATGGAACACGTCCCTGAGGTCTTGCTCTGTTTAACTCTTTAGATCTTTGCCTGAATCCAATGCTTCCTGAAAATGACATTCTGGCTATCCAGACCCACCTCACTACCTGTGCTGTCCTTTAACATCAGACTGGTCATCCAGGCCTCTTCATCCTTTCTCTGATTATATTGTCTTTTTCACAGGATATTTTTAAAATGGTGCAAGAATGGCTTTGAAATTTGTTGCAACATATGTTGCTCATCATTTGACCAATGAGTAGTTGTTTCTTCTAAGCAAGAGAATTAAAGAAAGATGATACATAAAGTAAAAATTATAAACTCCAAATGGAATTGCTGTAAGAGCAAAATGAAGTAGTTCACAAAAAGGTGCTACAATGTAGCACCTTTGCAAAATATAATAGTTTTACATTATTTTTGTTAACATTTAAATTTTTCATAATGATAACATAGTAAGGGTAAACATTGGCAAGTATAGAGAAATGAAATAAAACCTAAATATGTAAATGGTTACAATGTGAATTTAACTTGAGAATGAACAATTTGGAAAAAGAATAAAATATAACATAGTTGTCACTTATCAAAAATTATTTTATAAAGTTAATTGAACAGGGACTCGAACAGATATTTATACACCTATGTTCATAGAAGCATCATTCATAACAGCCAAAAGATGGAAGCAATGCAAGTGTCCATAGGTGGATAAAAAGATAAAAAATATGGTACAAACTTGCAATGAAATATTATTTATCCTTAAAGAGGAGGGAAATTCTGACACATGCTACAACATGAATATACCTTGAAGATACTATGCTAAGTGAAATAAGCCAGTCACTATAGGGCAAATATCTGATTCCACTTATAGGAGGTACCTAGAATAGCCAAATTTATAAAGACAGAAAATAGAATGGTGGTTGCCGTGGGCCAGTGGGAAGAAATGGAGAGTTATTTTTGAATGAATACAGAGTTTCAGTTTGGAAAAGTGAAAAAGCTCTGGTGTGATGGTGGCACAATAATATGAATGGATTTAATGCAACTGAACTATAGGCTTAAAAATGATTAAAATGCCAAGAAAATGATGGCAAGCCATAGACTGGGAGGAAATATTTGCAAAAGATATGTAATAAAAGATTTTTGTCCAAAACATACAAAGAACTCTGAAAATTTAACAAGAAGAAAATTAATAATGCAAAAAAATGGTAAAGACCTGAACAGACGCCCCACCAAAGAAGATATACAGATGACAAATCAGCATATGAAAAGATGTTCAACATCACATGTCACTAGGGAATTGCAAATTAAAGCAAGAATGAGCTACCACTCCACACCTATTAGAATAGCCCAATCCAAAACACTATTGCGGAGAATGTGGAGGAACAGAAACTCCCATTCACTGCTGGTGGGAATCAAAATGGTACAGCTACTTTGGAAGATGGTTTGGCAGTTTCTTGCGAAACTCCTTGCAAAGTCTTCAAAATGATCCATAGAGAAGAAAAATACATTAAAAATACAGGAAGCAGTATAAGTAGGAAACATTCGGCATGTGATAAAATCTAACATGTATAATTGGAGAGAGAAAATGGAAGAGAGTGAGTTTTTAAAGAAACTCTGACTCAGAATTTCTCAAACTGATGTAACACATCGAATAACATGATCCAAGAAGCTCTCTGTTCCCCTACCTTCCAGTGTATTAAAAAAATTGAAATGAATGCTTTACCTCAAACGAAATGCAATAAATAAGACATCTAAAAGAAAATTTAGGAGATGATATTCTTCACCTTAGAGTTGGCAAAGATGCTTTAGATGGAACACAAAATCCTAACAATTAAAATAATTGGTAAATTGGACTTCATTAATATCAAGTGCTTCTGTTCACTAAAAGTTGCCTTAAAGAGAGTAAAAGACAAGCTGCGCACCAGAAGATATTAGCAATGCATTACTGTAACAATAAACTCATATTCCAAAATTTTAAAATGCCACAAAAACTCCACAAGGCACTCATTGAAAAACAAAACATTGCAATTAAAAATGTTTTAAAGAAACAAAGGACTGGCTGGGCGCAGTGGCTCACGCCTGATAATCCCAGCACTTGGGTTGCATGTGCATAAATGCTAAGTGAACCTTGGGGTAACTCATACCTCAGTGGCACCAGGGCAGTGCCAGAATATGAGATAAAGGTGCATGGCATGATGTGATGTAGGAACTGTTGGAGAATTCATGTGAACAATAGGAGTAACTAGGAGTAATCTGCAAGGCAGGCTATAGGTCTGTAGTGAAGATGGTGGCAGCAAGTGGAAATCTGGCTGCAGGACCATGGAACTGATGTAAACAGCTGCTAATGCTCACTCTGGCCCAAAAGCAAAGCAAGTGCATGAATTTGGGTGTCACATAAACAAAAACTGCCTTTCAGATCCATTCATTCTTCTAATGACATATATCCATGTCTTTCCTAAGGTAAAGATGCTCTCATTTCTCCCTGGGATGTAATGTACAAATCTAATTTATCAACATTTCAACCTTCAAAAAAAGCCTTTAAAAGGGTCAGCAAAGCAAGCTCTGGTACCCACTGTTGCAGTTGGTTCCTGGTCTGTAAGTGATACTCATCATCTTTCTCCACTGTCTCCCTCTTTAGATTTCTTTCATCCTCAGCTAACATTCTTGCTTGGTGGACTGCCAGCCTAGTGGGAAAACCCAGATCTTCATCCCCAAGAGGTCTCAGCCCATAGTTGTCTTGCCCTTGTCAAGCTGTTATTGTTACAACTGCCCATTTATAGTTTTCAACTGATGTAGGAGTCCCAAGAGACAACACAGTTAATCCCTTGAATTCTAGATACTCATCCCTAAGTCCAATGTGTAGCAACCACCCTAGCTTCTTCATGGTGATTGGGCTTGATTACTCCCACTAGTATAGTAACTCCTGTCTTTGCCTTAAAAAAGGCCAGATGGTGGCTGCAACCTCTAATTTGGTGTAACTTATTTTGCATTGGCAAAAGTTTTCTTTCAAGTAAGGTGGCTCGGTAGATAATTGTGCATTCCAGAAGTTAGTATCCCAACCCCACAGGAGTTGTATAAAATAATTTCTATAAGAATGTATTACTGCCCTTTTAAAAGTGAAAAGACACAAAATTGATCTGTTACCAAATGGCTAACTGGACTCCCTGAGGAGTGCAACCACAGTGCTCAATCTTGGTCTCTGCTGCCAGCAGGTTGAGCATTCAGCAGGAGTAAGGTTAGCTCAGCCTTGGTAAGGGAAGGCCCATCTTGTCAGGTTCATGCACAAGTTATAATCCTGTCTCACATTGTTTCAAGTGTGACACATAAGTTATGCATGTGTGGACACTGAGTAGTTTCCACAACATCTCCTGCCTCCGACAGGAACCCCTGGGCATAAAGTGAGAAACACATGATATATATTTAAAATCAATGTGAGAAAGAAGTTGCCAATTGAGTCCCAGATTTACAGTCATGATGGAACAGTTTGTGCTGGTGCTACGACACTTTCTGGCCTACATGCAGAACAAGTATATAGATCATAGTGACATACAAACTCAATCTGCTCTGTCCTGATTTTCTGGTGCCTTAAGCAGCTATTTAGTGTGCTTACTGGGCAAGTCAGCCTTGAAAACATAATAAAAGGCAGACTATGTGATATACTAAAGTTAGGACAAACATTCAACCAGTATGTCTTGGTGTGGCTTACTGACTGGTGGGTTTAGTGGGTCATACTTCTATTTGATAAAATTTTAGAAAGCACAAATGAGAGTAAAGAAAGATTTCCAGACTGGCATGGCTGAAAGAAAGGCAGAAAGGCAAGAAATAGAATGACTTCCATTAGAATTACTAATCAACTCATTGTCTTAAAATAAATGAATAAGTTAGAAGCAGGATCTTGAGGTTTTTGTTGGATGAAAAACCAATAAAGGTTGCTGCGACTTAATAGACAAAATAGGGTTATAGAGGGTTTTTAAGAGGAGTAACGGCACAACCAGACTGTTGCTATATGAAACACAAGTTAATAATAGTGTTTAGGAAATCAAATTTAAGGTTAGGAAACTCAATGACTTTAGCCTTACTTGAAGCATAATGAGGCTTGGATTTCCCTAACATCAATGTGAATGAGTAAAAATGAGGACTGAAGTAAGATATTACTAGGCTTAGTAATAGTCATTGATGGGTGAAGGCAAGGAGGAAAGACATGACGATGATTTGAGAGGTCAATCCTAAATTATCTTCATGAGTGGAACCATCTTTTAATTTTGATCCCATTGAATCTGAGGTATTTGAATGTCAGAGTAACGATACATTTGGTAGGTGTGTGTGTGTATATATATGTATTTATGTATGTGAATACATACGCATGTATGCATATAGCTGATGTGAACACAAAGATACCCAGATCAGACTTCAAGGAAGGGCTTGCTGTTTAGCTGCAGAACATGTGGTCAGAAGCCAGCGTCCTGCTATCTTGCCCATCAGATCTGCCTTAGATTCAGATAAATCCTTTGCTTGAGGTCACATCTCTACCAGAGCAGCCTGCCCCCAGTGACTGAGCATGGCAGGGGTATAAAGTTCTAGCCATCATGACCTGTTGCACAACATCTAGTAAGCAACACTTGCTACAGAGCTCCCTGCCACTTCCACTTCTTCCTTTGCCCAGTTGTACTTCTTCCCCATCCTTTCTGCAGCTGTTCGTCCCTAGTAAACACAATGCACTTAAACTGTGTCTCAGCATTTGCTTCTGGAAACCCAATCTGTGATGGTAACAATGTATCATTTTGGATTCTTGTAGATGCAAACTATGAAATAGCCCACTAAATGTGTCTTAAAAATTTATTATCTCATAAAAAGTTCTGAAGCAGGAAAGTAGCAGAGTTAACTAATGAGTAATTCAGTGATATCATAACAACTTTGAATTCTGTTCATCTCTCCATTTTCTCTTCCTGAAGATTGTCTTTTTTTCTTATACTTGTTTCCTCATAATCAAAAGATGATTGTCACAAATTCAGGGGGCATACCCTAACAACCAAGTCCAAAGGCAAAATGATAGTTTCTTTTCCACATAATTTTTTTTTCTTTAATTAGAAAAAGAAAAATTTCCAGGTCCCAGTGGCTTGGGTCGGGATACCTTCTTATCACTGATAAGGACACAGCAAAGATAAATTTGGAGAACAAGGAGGTTTTTGAGTAAGTAACCATCATTGTCTGCCACAGAAAAGGTTCTAAATTTGATTTCACAGATGAAGTATGGAAGAAATATCCCACTTCATTTTTCCCTCTAAATCAACTTGCATTACATTATAAGACTCGTACTTCTTTGCATAGAAGGAAATTCAATCACAGTCTATAATCTAGGTTTCCCTGGTGCAAATGTTCTGTGATATTATTTGATCCCAAAGCATTAATGAAAACCCAGCAATTCACCAGCCAACACTTGTTTTCACTGAATCATTCCTTGTTGCAATGCACGCAGTACCTTCAAGTCTGATGTTTTCACTGCTTCTGTATTATTGGTCAAGCATGTGAGTTGATGCTGAGGCTGGGAACCTTGGTGGCATGGATACTACCTCCTTAGGTGCACCATTCCTCCAAACCATCCTGTTCAAAGTCTTGCCATTGCCCTGCTCTGTTTCCAAGCAATGTCCTGGCCCCTGATAAATGTAAAATCTGCCAATCTCTGACCACTCTTCATCTAGGGGAAATCCTTCCTGTAGGTCAGTCTCCTTTTAATTTTTTTTTTTCTCTCCTCCTCTCTTTAAACAAGGAGCACACTCTTTTCATCAAGTTACAGTGTAGGCTTTCTGCTCTGTACAAATCCATAAGATAAGGAAGTTCTTAGAGCTTGATTACTGCTCAGAATCAGGAGAATGGGAAATGCAGAGATCAAAACACAAAAGAACAAAATGTATCTTGACCCCCATCCCCAGGGTTTCCAAAATCAGCAAATTAAAACACAAGAAGCCTAGTTAAATTTAAATGGCAGATAAGCAATGAACCTGTTTTAGTATTTCTTGCAGGATAAATTATTGGGCATCATGCATTTTATTGGTAACTTTAGACATCCTCCCCTACCTCCTTCAAAGTATGTAATATTGGTTTGAAGCTTGGAAGAGAAGTTGCTACTGAAAATATAGATTTCAGAGACTTGTAGATTTCGGCTGAAGCTATGTAAGGGATGAAAACTCTAAGCGACCTTAGGATGTCCGGAGAGAAAGACAGACTCTTAAATTATCCTTAGTGTCTGGAATAGTGCTTAACATATAGGAGATCGCAATAAAAAAGAACAAAATGAAAAAAAATCAAACAAGAAATAACTAAGTTGAAGTGAGAGAAAGCCACTCAAAAATAAGCCAATTTCTTTTTAAAATTTTGTTTTTCTCCTGAAGTAATGTATTTTTTTCCTACCATTTTCATTATTTTTTTAGTAGATTATGTCACACAGACATAATTACTGTGGCACTTTTTATGAATTCTCAAGTGAAGACAGATCCATGTTTATATTATACTCTCATGGTTATTCAAATTGACCACATATGTGACCTGGACATTATATTGGTAAACGATTCTCCACTGATGAATAATTAGAAGAATTAATTCGAGAAATCAATGTCTAGTTCGAGATACTCTCAGATAATTCTTGATGTAATAAAGCCTTAAACCTCAAAACAACTTTAAAATCTACACAATAGAGGTGTTGTTCATCATATTTATGGGTATCTTAACTTTGTCACACTTTCATACGGTGCAGATTCAGAGCTTAGGTAGAGTCACAGCTGTTGTCTAGAAATCAACATTAAGTACCCTAACATACCAGATTCTAGAAAGTATGATTCTAATTGTGTTGATCTAAAATTCTCTTCAATATAACTGATTTTTCCCCATGGAATAATCAAGAATAGAATTAACCTGCTATATAGAGAATGGGGAAGGACAGCTTCAAGCAGTCATGACTAGAATCCCAACCGTGGAGATAGAGCCCAGGCGGCCAGGACATAATGTCGCAGAGTGGCAGACCTCACAGTCACTGCTGCAAGTCACCAAAGAAATGTCACGTCCCATGTAGCACTCGGAAATGCCCAGCCTTTGCTCAACCTCCCTGCACACATGTGGCTCCCTCCACAGTACTATATTCAAATGCAGGGCTTATACTGTTCAGTTACCTTAAAATCACCTTAACTTGTAACATTTCCAGAAAATAAGAATGCCTATGTCTAAGTTGCCAGCAGAAATAATTTTGAATTGAATCAGAAGGAAGTTTCCTTGGATCAGAAAGATTGTGCAGCAACTTCAGCAGTGATTATTATTCCATCTGTTGATGTGATTATGGAAATTCTGGCTGAGACTGTAAGTCTTGTGCACTCTGCTGTCCCTCTACTCTCCAAAGGATGGAGGGCTGCCAGCTATGCAAAGTGCTGGAAACGGATGAAAGCAAACTGCTGACCTTGAAGTACTGTTCAGGAGCTCTTAACTCTTTCAGATACAGGTAGTGTGAACGTGTTTATGCATATTTACTCAGCTTTGCAAAGCAGATTGTTGGGTTTTTTTAATTTTTTTAAGCTGGCCTCTGAACTCCATTGCATGGTACCCAAAGAAGCTTATGAAGCTCAGAGGGGATAAAATGAAAAGCAGTGGTAAGTTTAATTGAAAAAACAGGATATTCCATGCACTTGGCAACTTGAGCAACTGAGGAAAATGTGAGAGGACCAATGTTGCAGTTACACAGTTGAAACCAAAAGGATTTCTTATTAAGAGAAGCAACAATATAAAAGAATTAGTCCTCTTAGCTCTTACAATGTATATTTTATTTTTGGCAGTAAAGGTGGCTAGGAGTTGCAAGAAATGCTACTATTTACAATAGAAACAATTTGGCTTTTAATCATTGATTCCTTTTTAACAGAAGGGACTAAGACTGAAACTATCACTTTATGACATCAAATTTATCAAGGAGAGTAAAAAAATGCAATGACATGTGGATGCTGCTAACTCCTGAGAACTTTTGGTACCACATGGATTCCGTGTGGGTTTCTGAAATGCTCCTATCTGATTTGGCTCCCTTAGATACGCTCTTCCACCACCTGCATGTTTTGAAGAAGTAAGATATTTTCTCTCAGAAAATAACAGGATGAGCAATTTTGTATGCCTCTTTAAGATACTGGCCATGAGCTTCTATGTCATTTTTGTGATTCAGCTTCTCCAGTGAGCCATGAGACTCAACTTGATATTGTTAAAAAGGAAAAGGAATCCTCTGTGCATCTGATGTTGTTGTAATATCTTCAAATGTAAAGTGACTCATTTCAGCCTTTGAGATGATCCTGAGTAGAATCATTCATGTTATTCTCTACTGAAGCTATTTATTACCTAGAAGTTTTCCTTTACAGTTCTCACTTAAGATTCTCTCCACCTCCTCAGAAGAGCAAGCCTGAGGATAGAGACGTGTCCAGTTGAAAGTGAATGGTGGACACCAGTGTGCATTGTCAAAGTCCATTGGGATCAGCTTTCAGATAACACACAACCATCGCTGAAGGTCTTCAGTGCACTACGCATTCTCTATTCAAAATAAGAAGAAGGAAAGTTTTTTCTCTTTTAACCAAGTCATTTCTTTGTACCATGGAAATTTTAATCCTAGTCAAGGTTTGAGAAATTAGAATGGTCTCACTAATCCAGGGCCTAAATAAAGTCACAGTGGAGTCACAAAGAGTTAGTCTGGAAGCAAGTAAGCCTGGTTTTTTAACCCCAAATTTTGAATATGAATAAATTCATATCATTAACACTAATATTTTTTAATGCCAGATGTGTTTTTTCCATTACATCGAATGTCATTGTGACTTGGAAATATGGACATTACTGTTGAAACTTTAATGAATTTAGGAAAATGCTGTTGGTTAATTTCTGGTAAACCATTTTTTAAAATGGTTTTTTTCCTTCCTAAATATTTGCTCCCAAATTGATGTCCCCAGTGCACTGAGTACACCAAACCTCTCTGGATGGCCAGTTTCCTCAGAATTTCCTCTTCCCTTTTTTGTTATAAGTCATCATTGTCCCAGAGCTGCAAGCATGGTCTGCGTTCTCCTGGGAATCTTCAGATCTGTTTTTTTGTTTGTTTGTTTGTTTGTTTTTAAATATCCATAGGGACTAAAGCAGGGCTGGTTTTATAAGTAGCACAATTAGCATTGTTTGAAAGTCTTTTTAACATTTTAATGACTATTTCTTGAGGCCCTACCTGCCTTGCCCTGCTATTCTAATTACTCTGGAAAATGGCCATACAAAAAGAAACAAACATCCCTAGTGGAAGAAAGCAGATTAAAAAAAATTAGAACAAATAAAATATGTAGTTTGTAAGAGATAACGACTACTATAGTAGAAGATAAAGAACGGTAGGGGCCAGGGAATCCTGGGAGTGAGGGAAGAAACTAGTTTTAAATAGGGTGGTCATGAAATGTTTTACTTTTTAAAGTAAAATTTTAAACCAAAGACGCATAAATAGATGAGGAAGAAAACTTTTCAGATATCTAAGGGAAGAGTATTTCAGGCAGAAGGGTTAGCAAATTCAAATGTCCTGAGGCTGAAGCATGTTCAGCAGGTGTGAAGTACAAGGAGGCCAATGTTGTTGCAATGAAGTGAGCAAGAAGCAGTTAGGTGCAGTGGGGTCAGGGAAGACATCATACAAGTAGAGAAGGCCTGATGAAGTAGGGTTTTTCAGGTTACTGTAAAGAATTTGGATTTCATTCTAAGAGACATGGGTAGTCATCGATAGAGTTTAGCTTAAATTCCAACAGTATCACTCCACTTGCCTGGTTGAAAATAGACTACAGAGGGGTAAGTGTGGGATGAAGGTAGAACAATTTATAAGCTACAACCATAGCAAAACTCGCAGGACAATGACTGACACTTGGACCAGGGTGGTGGCAGTGCTGCTGGAATTTGTGACTTACTTAGATATAAAATAGGAGACAAAGAGCAGAGTCAACGATGACTCCAAGTTTCTGGTCATTTATTGAGATGGAGAAGAATGTCAGTTGTTAAACTCCTTGATATTTGCTCTTTAGCCTTGATCTTGTCCTTTGATCTGTTGCAGTCCATTCAGAGAAATAATCCTTTATTTCAATCCCTCTCTCCATTTCATAACCATTTGGATTTTTGAAAAACCTAAATCTTCTGATATTATAAAGTCCCTGGTATTGTAAAGTCTTATAACTCAGAACGTGGACAACCCAATAGTTTCATATTTTATCAACGTGATTATTTTACAACATTTGACAAGTAGAATAAAACGATGTGTGTTGCGTTCCTGTGGTAATTTAAATATCTTAATGTCTTAAAGGGACAATCATCAGATTCTGCCCTCAGAATTTTGCTTTGTCCCCGGCAGAAGGCATTTTGGGTGCTTGACTCACTTATGTGGATGATTTTAACTACACCATTGTTTCCATCTTGGACACTTGTTTATTTTAGGCCTCATGACAGATGAGCTCACCCAGACCTTAAAATGCAGACTTTAAGGTTGCATCAGACTATAACTTGATGCTAACTTTGTTTATTCCCCTCTTCAGTTACTGAAGTTACACCCTAACCTCTGGAAAACAACTGGAGACAATGTTTATTTGATAACAAATTAGAAGCTGGCGTCCCAGTTCTCTCTGAGTGTGACTATGTGTATGCAATTTAATGATACTGCAACTGCGTATTATGGTGTATCAACTCGCTTTCCTTTATTCTTTGAGATTTGTTTTATGTTTGGGAGAAGCAAAGGAAAGTGGTAAATGTCTTCTAAAGTGGGAAATTTCAAACCCTGAGATACAGAGACAGAATGCACATCCATAATATTTACATAAAGCAGAATCATTTCTCTGTCCTACCAGGAGAGATGAGAGTAGCAAGGAGAGAAGGTCCAAACTACTGTCTTTAATTGCGTTAAGGGAGTGAATGCTCTGGGGCCTCTATCTTTGGGCTATGCAATAAACCATTATTATGACTGTGGCTGGGAAAACATTTTAAATGTAGAATAAGGTAAGACAGAAGACCAAGAATGTCTACATTATGGACTCTGTGAGTTTTATTTTCAGCATCTGTAAATCTGTAGTCCTTTATAAACAGAACAAAGTGGTCAATTTTCACAGGGGCTGTGCTGGCACAAAGGTACCAAGGGCTTAGATTGGGAACAAAGTCATTAAAAATAACTACACACAAAGAACTCAGTCATAAATAATGTGCCACAGAGGATCCAAAGAACTCAAAGGCTGATTACTTCAGTACATCTAAAAATCTGCTTCAGGCTACCTGGCCTTGAATATGATGAATTCCTTAAAGGACTCCTCCAATTCTCTCCTCTCTTTCTCTTCCTTCTTGCTTTTACCTTTCTTCTTCCCCTCCAACCCCACCATTTCCTCCCCAAAAGCTGCTGGTTTGTCAGTCATTCTGGCAATCAGCCAGAGAATTAGAGAATGAGAAAAAACAAAAACAAAAAATTTCCTAAGGTCCCTTTACCTTTCCACTTGGGCTCCATATTGTAATACAGCTTTTCTATGCTCCCCTTCTCAAACCTCCAGCATCAATGCTGACTTAAAAACTTAGTTTTTATCAGATTTCACCAGGATAAAAATGTTAAGGAAAAAGAGGGAAATTAACATTGCTGGGACACCAGAAATATAAAGCCATTTAAATCCTTCACTCATTTCTCATGTTATCTTTTTCTCTTTCTGAAATTTTGTCACTTTTAATTATTGTGGCTTCCTCTTTGACTGCTCTCTTACTTTCATTGCATCCAATAATGAAGTAAATTTTGTTGTCTCATTCAGATTATATATGGTGACCTTTTCTTACCACCTCCACAGGCTTAATTTTTTTCACACTTCCAAGGCTTAACTTATCTGGGTTCTGTGGATAAAAGTTCTCCTCTGTGGAGCCTTTCCTGATTCTGCCCTTCTCAAGTGTAATTAACTCCCCCCTTCCTTGGGCTCCAACTTAATGTTATCATGACAAATATGACATTTGATTAAACACACACATATACACACCGGCTTGTCTTCACTTGCTAGATGAGGTCCATGAAAAGATGATCTACTCTTTTTCTACCAGTGCTTGCCACATAGTAGGTACTTAACTGGTCCTTGAATGAATGTGTATATCGTATGCCAGAGACACTTCTAGTTGCTGTCACGAGTTATACCATTTAATCTTTACGACAGTATAATGTTGGTTTGCTGATTCTGTTTTTTTATAGACATGAGAAAATTGAAGCTTAGAGGATATAATGGGTAGGAAGTTCAATTGCTAATTACTAGTAGTTACAGGATTCAACTGTCATGAAAGGAGAGCTCGCTTTCACTGGTACTCCAATTTCAGTGTGCATCAGAATCACCAGGATATCTTGATAAAACAGAATTCAACAGCACATTCTTAAAGCTTCTGATTCAGTAGGTCATGGATGGGGGCCAATGATTAGTATTTCAAACAAATTTGCAGATGATGCTGATGAAGTCGGCCCTGAGAGCATACTCTAAGGACCATTGCCTTACCTAACCTGTACATCCTAATCTGTGAGTAGCTGCATGTTTATGGGAGAGAGGATGGCTAAAATTTTACAAAGAGTCTAAGAGCTTGTGTTTCAAGCATGTTCTTAAATTGAATAATCTTTACATCCTATTATCTATCAATCTCTCTATCGGTAAACTAACTAATTTTTCAAATGTGTATACATATTGTTCTGGTTATTGATCTACAAACTCATTGAACGTATCACTGAATTAATGGAACATTTTTATTATTATGTGTTCTCTCCTTTCATGGATATCGGAAGCACAATTGCTGTCATATGAAGAGAAAGAATGTTTAAACATTATGAAGAGAGGTTATCATAAGGTTACAATCATTGGGTAAATTATGGCTCAACTTTATTAAGAATAAGTACACATAGCTAATAAAAAGATATGTTTAAAACGATCTAAAAATTTATGTACAGGTTTATAGAGCTTATAGAAGTTTGCCAAAAAGGAACAAATAAAACAACTGTACTTATGTTTGGGTGGCAGCTTAACAGATGATTTCTTTCTCCTCTTTCTCCCTTCATTCTTTTTCTTTTCTACTCTTCTTTATGTTTGTGCCTTTAAAATTTTCTATGATAAGTATCTTTTACTCATTGCTATGGTTTGAATGTTTGTGTTCTCTCCAAAATTCACTATGAGGTGTAATCCCTGTCTTAGTCCAGTTTGTGCAATACCACAGACTGGGTAATTTGTAAAGAATAGAAATTTATTTGTCACAGTTCTGAAAACTGGGAAGTCCAAGATTAAGATGTCAGCATTTGATAAGTGCCTTTTTGTTGTGTTCTCACATGGTGGAAGGGTGAGAGAGAATGAAATTGTGCCTTCACGTGGCAAAAGAGCAAAAAAGAGGGCATACTTACTCCCATAAGCCCTTTTTATAACTCACTAATCTGCTCATGAAGGCAGAATCCTTATGAGCTAATCAACTCCAAAAAGGACACACCACCCAACACTGTTGCATTGGGGATTAAATACCCAACGAAAAATTTTGGGGGAATATATTGAGAGCCCAGTGCAAAATATTAAGAGATGACACCTTTAGGAGTAATTAGGCCATGAGGTCTCTGCCCTCATAGATGGAATTAGTGCCTTATAAAAGGGATGGAGATAACTAACAAGACCCTTTTTCCCTTTCACCTTCTGCCGTGTAAGGTTACAACAACAAGGCACCATCTTGGAAGCAGAGAGCAGTCCTCACCAGACACTCAATGTTGGCATCGTAATCTTGGACTTTCCAGGCTCTAGACCTGTGAGCAAAAAATATCTGTTCTTTATAAATAATGCAGTCTATGGTTATTTCTCATTATAGCATGAATAGACTAAGACATTTACGTAGTAAATACATACATACTCCAGATGATAAGATGCCCCCTTCCACACTACATTCTATATGTAGAATATAATTTGTTTTTGGCCTGGAATCCTTAAGAAGGACTCCAGCTTTGAGAACTCTTATGCAGTACAGCTCTCCCCACTCAACCCTGGCTTTGTCTTCTTGAGGCCATTAAATCTAGACAGCTCAAATTTGGAAAAGCACAATATAAATTCATCCAACTTCTTGATCATGGTAATAAGATTCCCAACACAGCATTCTTATAATTATTCTTTCTTCTGTCTAGAACCTTCAGACCCAAGTATTTGCATGACATACTTCCTCACTTCATTCAAATCTTTCCTCAAATATAATCTTCCTAGAGCAGATTTCTCTGACAGTTATATCTGAAGTAGCACCCCGTCGTTCTCTTTTCCCTCATCTTGCATTGTTTTTCTTCATAGTTCTTATCATAGTAGGTGCTCAATAAATATTGCTAAACATATGAATGGATTTATTCCTCATCATAACTTTATGAGGTAGTTACTAGCACGTTCCCTATTGCCAAGGCTTAGAGACATTAAATAAATTGCCCATTTAAACCAAGTTATCTTATGCTAGAGTACATATTCTTTAATCACCACATATTGCGATGTTCTTTTATTAACTGATTAAAGTCTATACAGGCACTTGAAAGAGCAGAGATAGATAGTAAAGTATCATTGATAATAAGATATTCAGACACATGGCAGATTACTAAGGATATGAGTATGAGTATGCAAAATGACGTGTACTTCCAAGATATGAGCAAGCAATTGAAAATACCTTATTTTATGAGAGGGTCAACATGGTTTTAAGATCTGTGCTTACTGGCAAAATTGATTGCCATATGTGCAGGGATAAATATTTCCATTTTCCCCTATCTTTGACAGAAAGTGGAAAAAGGAAACACTAAAAACAGGAAAATATGTGTAATATCTGCAGAATGGAAGATATGTAATTCACTGAGCAGCTGAAGAATTAAATCAGAGGTATGTTTTGGCACTCTTTACACTCCCGACTCACTTCCCGTAGATTTTTCCCCTTTTTTATCATGCAGGACCTGGATCTGGTTCCCTTTTTTTGTCCCTATGCCTAGGAGTTACAGAATGTCACCAGTCACATTCCTCTTAGTAACAGCAGAAAGTAGGATGGCCACCCAAAGTAGCCAAAAATTGGGGAACCAGGCACAGGGCTGTCAGCTGCCCTGACAGTAGCTTTGGACCTGGTCTGAACCAATAACATTAGGGACTTCTTGGCCAACATGATTATTTCTCTGGTGTCTTCAGATTTTTTAGAACATTTCATAAAATTACAGGAGATAAACAGGTAAAGCTTTAAACACTTATATTTCAAAACATGTAAAGTAAGTATCACTTTGTTTTGGATAGGTGGCATAATTTGTGGAGTTTCAGGTTCTCTCCAATCACACTATCATTTGATATTCTCGACCAAGACTCTACTTCAAGTTCCAACAGAAACAAAACCTATACTGCCTTCAACAATCTGAGACCACCCACTTTGCATATCCCAGTGAAACTTCAAACAAGACCTGGAAAATATCATTGGTTAAATTTCATGCAGATGTCTGACCACAATCTAGGCACAAGTATTGAAGGAATATTTATTTGCATCTCAGGGACAAACTTCCTTTTTGGTTTCTCTTCTTCACAAAGGGGAAAATAAATTAAAAACTAATGATATTGCATTACATCTTCATAGATGCAAAAGATAAACCAAGAAGGACCAATATAGCATACTAGGAGTTATAGAGAAATAAATTAAAATAAAAAGAGACACAAAAGCATTTAAATATATAATTTATTAAGACTTTGCTAAAATAAAAGAATATTTCAGCCTATACATTTCAAGGAATACCAAATGCAAGAATTCACAAGAATTATTCTCATCTGTTCTTGAGGAATCTCATGGTGAGCAAGATTTCGCCAATCAAGAAATGAGTGGAAAAGCCACAGCAAAGAAATTTGTGGTGATCATTGAATCTATTCAACTATAGAACAAAGACTAAACAAATGTTAAGGCTACAAGTTCAGGCCCAAATGTAAACATTATAATCCGCAATAATTTAAAAAATGAGCAAAATTAGAAGAGTAAATATTGTGATACTGTCTTTAAAAATAAGATTATATTTAACAACACAGAAAGCAGAGGCAAAGATGGTATGTTTAAAGCCTTGAAAAGAGAAAGTCTAAAATAATATAACACAAAAAAATCAGTCCTATCAATAAACATAATTAAGCCCAACTCACATAGTAGCCTGAAAAGATTATTTATTTGGATTATAAAGTGAAATGATATGCTAAAACAAAATAAGTCAGGCATGGTGGCTCAAGCCTGTAATCTCAGTGACTTGGATGGTTCAGGTAGGAGGATCGCTTGGGGTGAGGAATTTGAGATCAGCCTGGGCTAAAAACTAAACATATAAAAAAAGAATTAGCCAGGCATGGTGGCGTGTGGCTGGAGTCCCAGCTACTCAGCAGGCTCATGTGGGAGGATCACTTGAGCTCAAGAGTTTAAGGTTACATTGAGCTATCATCACATCACTGCAGTCTAGCCTGGGTGACAGAGTGAAAGTCTCTTGGAGAGAGAGAGAGAGAAAGAAAGAAAGAAGAAAGACAGAAAGAAAGAAAGAAAAGGGAAGGGAAGGGAGGAAGGGAGGAAGAGAAACAAAGAGAGAGACAGAAAGAAAGAAAGAAACAAGTCATACCAGGTGCAAGTTTACACCCAAGATGATATAGAGTGTCACTGTGAAAGAAATAAAGATGTCACAGAACTTTCTTTTTGCCCAACTCTCTCACAAGCATGGTCCTCAGATCATTTGGCCAGAGAATTCTAACTAATTATGAAATAACAGAGAACAAATGTGCTATATAAAATATTCTAGTACAGTAAAAAAAGAAAGAATTTAACATCAAAACCCACACACACACTTGTTTATATTTGCAAAATATATTTCTGTAAGGCTGCCCAAGAAAAGATATCATTAAGGAGGAATACTGAGTAACAGGAGGAGACGAGTGTTAGGTTGGAGGGAACCCTTCATTGCATATCTTTTACTACTGATAGGAAAAATAAATACAAACGAATATAATTAAAATGGTGTATGGTAGTCTCATTTTGTCAATGGGCACCTTCACTACATAAAGATGAAAGAAAGTCACATCTTCTTTCACAGCACAAAAATCTACTGTAGCCTGCATTTAACTGGCAGGAGTTCACTGGCAAGGCAGCGAGGACAGGATGTGATAGTCTGATTTGGCCAAATCTTTGAGTGCCACCCAGACTTCAACAGGTGGGGACAATCTGAGTGATGACTGTGCATGAATCATCCAGACTAGATAGGGCCAAAACAGGTTCTGACAGAGCCCCAGGCAATCAGCAGTACAGCAGAGGTGAATTTACTGAAGCTAATAGAGCTTCAGTTTCAGGGACTCTTCCTCACCCAGATTCCTTGGAGTGTGCGGGAGTTGGGAGTTTAGAGTGTTCTATGAGAAGAGGGAAAGCCAAACTGAATTTAGGGAGCATTTCTGGCAAACTGCCTAAAGAGACTCTCAAAAAGAAACAGATCTGAATCTCTAAGGATTCTGCAACACATGATATGTTTCCTCATTCTACATAAATAAAAAATTCACTTTTGCACTTTGTCTTAGTCTGTCAGGCTGCTATAATAGAATACTATAAACTGGGTGACTTATAAACAATAGAAATTTATTTCTCATGTTCTGGAGGCTAGAAGTCTGAGGTAAGGGTGCCAGCATGGTCAGGTTCTGGTTAGGGCCCTTCTCCATGTTCATAGATGGCCATTTGCTGTGTCCTCACATGGCAGAAGGAGCAAGGAAATTCTCCAAAACCTCTTTTATAGGGACACTAATTCCATTCATAATGTTCTGCCCTCATGCCCTAATCAGCTACCAAAGACCTCACCTCCAACTACCATTATATTGGGGGTTAGGATTCAACATACAAATTTTGGGAGGACACAAACACTTAGTCTGTAAGTCTACCTCTTGCTTCCAAAATTCATGTTCTCACATGCAAAATACATTCATTCCATCTCAACAGCTCCAAAAGTCTTAACTCATTCCAGCATCAACTCAAAAGTCTAAAGTCCAAAATCTCACCTAAATATCGTCTACATCGGATATGGGTGAGATTCAAGGTATCATTCATTCTGAGGCAAATTCTCCTTTAGCTGTGAACCTGTGAAAGCAAATGTGTTATGTGCTTCAAAATACAAGAGTGGAACAGATAAAGGAGAGGCATTGCCATTCCAAAGGGAGAAACAGGAAAGAAGAAAGGAGCGATAGGTTAGGAGTTAGTCCAAAACCCAACAATACAAATTCCATTAGACCTTAAGGCTTAAGAGTAATCCTCCTTGGCTTAATGCTCTGCCCTCCAGGTCTACTGGGGTAGAGGTCCTGCCTTCAGAACCCACAGGGAAATCCTTTCCCTGCAGCTTTACCCAGCTGGGGTCTCATCCTTAGTGTTCTTTTGAGCAGAGGCCATCTGGCCTTTTGAAAGCAAGACTATGGTTCACCCTTCTGAAACCAAGGAGGCAACCCTGATGATCTCTGAATTGTCTTCAGAGTCATTCTTCCTTGTCTAGAAGAATAATATGCTACCAGCCAATTAACTCGATGGTACCATCCTGTAAAATCCAAGAAGTCCAACAGCCTTCCTTCATTCCTTCCTGTCTCTTTCCCCTTCAGATCAAACTGGCAGTTTTCCAGCAAAGGTGGTTAAGTCTGATTTTCTTAGTTTGCTAGGGCTGCTATAACAAAAATGCCATAGACTCCATGGCTTATAAATAACAAAAATTTATTTCTCACAGCCTGGAGCCTGGAAAGTCCTAGATCAAGGTACCAGTGGATACACACTAAATCCCTGTGTATCCGTGTCTCAGTGTGCCGGATGAGTGTCCACTTCCAGGTTCATTGATGACTGTCTTCTCACTGTGTCCTCACATGGCAGAAGGGGCAAGGAAGCTCTTTGGGATCTCTTTTCTGGGGACATTAATCCCATCCCAATGGCCCCACCTTGAAGTATCATCACACTGATGATTATGTTTCAATGTAAGAATTTGAGAACATAAACTTTCCGTCTATAGCACTTGCAAGTACAAGTAGGCCTACACTTTGCTGACATCATAGATCTGGTTTAGGGCTCATCTTTCCCTCCTGCCCTCTTAGCCAAGTATAACAAAAGTAGCTCTGAGATCACAGAGAATACCCAGATACAGTAGGGGACATTCTGAATTCAGCAACGGTGGACTCCGTGATTTCCTGCCCTTTGAGCAGCAGGAGGTTCTCTTGTGTGCTGGCAGCCTGAGAGCTGCCATTGCCCACCCGGGCAAGGACTCCTCGAGCCTCTAGGATGAGTTGGGATTTCTGTTCTATTAACAAGCAGCTGGGAAGTTGGGATCCATAGGGACTTTTTGACATATCAGATGGGTCTTCCTGCTGATTTCACCAAGTGGGAGCATTGAGTCTGGACACTGAAATATCAATTAAAGAATGACATTTTACTCTGGGCTGGTGGGAATTAGCCAAACTAATTATAGTGACTTCTGAAGTTCCATTAAGCATGTTCAATTGAATCGAGGTGCCCTGTTGCTGCCTCTCAGATTACTAAACATATGGAAGGAAAATTGGGCTAAATGGGGTTCTTAAACATCCCAGAAACCACTTTTTAATACCATGTTCTTGCCTTTTTATTCTTTTAATTCTCATACTATTTCTCTTTCTTTAAATTTCTTACATTTTCCCTACCACAACAGTCACTCTTCTGTAATGATTATTCCAGTTGTCATCTATCTTTCAAGCCCAAGAATACAAAAAATTGAACCAACTTATTCTCATTTCACAGCTTCTATACAACATCAGAGTCTTGAACATGTAATTATTTCAACTGAAGGAAAATTATTTGAGAGAATAAGGAAAACCATGTACAATTCAAGTTCAATCACTGTTTTACAACAGTGTGCCTCAGTAGGAGAACAGCCACGGCAAGTCTTTCAAATATTGATTAGTTAATTATAAAGAAAAATTTTAAATTTCTACCTACACTTGGACTTCAAAAGAAAATATTTTAAAATAATAGAAAGCTGAGCAAAATAGATATTTAGTATGTTATTTTATTGACTCATTGAGAGATAAGAAAAATGTAATGCCAGTTTTATTATGTTTATGAAACAGTTGTTAAGAAATTTGTGAGAAAAGGTCATTTTCTCCAGTCTTGTCCTTTTTCACCTCCTGGCTCTCACCTCACAGTTGAAGAGCTGTGAGTTCCATCATCTGAGGAGACAACCAATTTCCTCAATGACTACTCAGGAAAGATAACTCTTATGTTACACCACATGGGATTAATGTCCTCATGGGCCTCCTCGCCCTGCTTTGGTGTCCCCAACTACCTGGAGAGAAGCCAGTTTAAGAGGTGAATTCATGGTGAGGTGAATGAAACTGAAGCTCCTGGTCCTTGCCTTACATGGCTACTTTGGAATACCTAGGGAGAGGTTCTAACGAGGTATCGCTTTATTATACATTGTGGCAAAACTTGAATGTTTTCTTAGATGTCATCAATAAATTCCCAACATTCATAAACCTTTATGTAGTATTACTATTAATAAATTGTGAACCTGAAATGTTCCTAGACTATCAATAATTAGAAATTGATCAATTTTAATCATAGAAGATGGACTACTAATTTATCTTTATAGAAAATGGCATTACAAAAATTTGTCACAGGAAGAGATGGTCAACAATGATGGAGACAAAAAAGTGGGGAAATATTATAAAACTTCATCCATTTGCTAACATTTAAGGAATGTTAATTTTCTAGATACTTTAATGCTTAAAATATTTGCCAGTTTTTAAAAGTACACAGTTTATGATGATTTCCTTTCTCATTTGTAGTTGTAAATTTGTGATCTTTCTCTTAAAGAGTCCTCCCAAATTACATGTGCATTCGACATCACAAAACATGGATCCACTTGATCAGAAGGATTTTAAGTTGTATAGAACAGTGATTGCGAGTTCTTTAGTCAGATAGCCTTGGTTCAAATCTTGCCACTGTGGCTTTCTCACTATATGAGTTTGGATGGGTTATTCATTCTCTAAAGCTGATCCATGAATTTGGAATAATATTAGTACAAACCTCATAGGATCAGTAGGATAATATAACAAATGGTATAGTGTATATGAAAGCAGTTGACACAGTTCCCAACACATCTATAAATGTCCAAGTAGCTGTCAAGTTCTTTAAACTTGCAAAATCCAAGAAAACTCTTCCTTTTCTCCTTCAAACTGACTCATTCCTTTGTCTTTTCCACCTAGTATTAACATTAATTCAGTTGTTCAGATCAAATATCAAGGGGCTTCATGTCCTACATCTGATTCCAGCAGCCAACTCTGGTGGTTTTACCTTCACAAAATGTCCCTCAAATGACAATTCCTCACCACCTCCACCTTTACTGCCTGGTCTAAACCACAAATGCATCTCTCTGTACAGCAGCAATAGCCTCCAACTGGTCATCTTACTCCTGGTTTGACCCCCATTATGAATTGAATGTTTGTGTCCTTCCAAAATTAATATGTTAAAATCCTAACCACACAACATGATGGTATTTAGAAGTAGAACCCTATGGGAGGTGATTAGGGCATGGGGTTAGAGCCTTCATAGATGATATTAGTGCTCTTACAAAAAGACTCTAGAGACCTCCGTGGTTCCTTCTGCTTACATGAGGTTACAGCAGGAAGACAGCCACCTATGAACCAGGAGGTAGACTCTTACCAGAACTGAATCTGCCAGCACGCTGATCTAAGACTTCCCAGCCTCTAGAAATATAGTTCCACAAGTCAATGTGAGAAATAAATGTTGTTTAAAGTACCCAGTCTGCGGCATTTTTGTTACAGCCATCCAAGTTAAGACAACCCCATCTCACCCCAACCCTATTCTCTCTTAGCCAACTATCACCTTTTTAAAGACATTAACTGACCACTCCCTTTCTCTTCTGAAGCTTCCATTGTCTGTCTATACTACCCCAACCCCACTCCTCCTGTCTACTGCCACCTATAGGTGTCTCTGTCACTTTTTCGTTCATTTGAGATATCGAACATGACTCAACCCAAGTCTGGAAGACTCAACCTAGAAACTAGTTCTCTACTGCTTGGACTTCTCCACTCCTATCCCCTGCTACCAAACTTCAAACAAACTTAATTCTACTCATGCTAACATTTTACCTTGGCCTCAGGCTGAATATTATTACCTAAAAACTGAAATGCTTCCTAAAAACAAGTTCCAATATCCCATTCTGTGACTAAATTGCTAATATCTTCAGTCTTTCACCACTTCCACTATTCCTCTTCTTTGACTCTACTGTCTTCTAATCTTTATACCTTTTATCACAGTATTTCTGTCCACTGTGGAGCCACTTTTATTACTGTGCAATCTAAATCCCAAGACACATCATGGTGATTTTTATTTAGATAGGAGTTTTGTTTGGCAGGCAGGGTGGGGGTGGTAGGTAGGAAAGGGTGGAGAGGTGTCATTAAGTCAATACAACTATCAGCTTGTCTTTGACAGCTGAGCGATGCTGAAGGAAATTATAGATTCACATAGGTTAGAGCCCACTACAAATACAGAGTTTCTTCATCTTTAAAATCCTTTGGTGAGTGGGAGAGTTGGTGTCTCTGACTGGCTATTTTTATGATTGCTCACAATAATTATTACAAACTTTCAGCATTTCTTTCAAACCACCAGCACCCCAATTTCTTTCACTATCCAGTAGTTAACATTGTCTTCTTCACAAAAAATGGTTGAAGAATCGATATGTAATTTATTCAATAAACATTCATTGAGAATCTACTATTTGCTGGGCACTATTGTTGGCATTCCGGATAAATCACTGAATAAGTCAGGCTAAGTCCCTACCCTCATCTTTAACTTTCCACTGCCTATCCAAAACATATTCACAAAATATCCAGCAAATATATTGAAGTTCCTACTTCATGCCAGGAATTTTTCTTGGTGAAAGAAATAAAACAGTGAAGAGAATACATATAAAATAGTCTTCTCTCATAAAGTTTTCATTTCAGTGAGAGGATGAAGAGAAGTAGTAAAAATAAATAAATTTTGAGGTGTATATATTATAAATACATATCCACACATCTTTAATTGTATAGATATATGTGTGTATATATGTGTGTGTGTGTGTGTGTGTGCATATACATATATGTCAAGTGAGCAGGGTAAGGGGGATAGGAATGGTAAGACAAAATGCAAAGTCAATAAAGTGTTTTGTTTAACTTAAATAACTTTCAGAAATCACCATTTAGTTTTTAATGAACAGAAACAGGACCAGTTAACCAAACTTTAGATTTCATCCCCATAAACCGTGTTCAAGGAACATAAGCAGCTAAAAAATGTTTTGAGGTGGGTATGATGGCTCATGCCCATACTCTCAGGATTGGGGGAGGCTAAGGTGGAAGGATCACTTGAGCCTAGGAGTTCAAGGTTGCAGTGAGCTATGATTGTGCCACTGAACTTCAGCCTGGGCAACAGGGTGAGAACCCTGCCCCCCACCAAAAAATAATAAATAAATAATAAATAAATAGAAGGATATTTTGGTTTGTACCAGACATTTCCATGCTTATATAATCAATCTAGCCTGTGACCTACTTAGCATGTTGGGCACCTGGAGGGGATCATTTTATGACATCTCTCCACTATACAATAGAGTTATTTTCAATAATATTCACAAAATGAAATAAATAACAATGCAAAGAAGAATCATAGTTGAAAATTTGTTCTTTTATTTAGCTTTGTATACATGGCTATGCAAGCAGAAATGATCCAGCTCTCCTTCCTTCTGTGCCCAAAGGCCAAGGTTGAATAGTAACAATAATGTTCCTAGGTTCTAGACTATAAGTTGTCAGATCAACAAATATTCCAAAAGTTTTAGGTCTTCATAAATGCTATGATTCCTAAAATTAGTATTGGCCTCACACACATTTCTAAAGCCTCCCCCGTCTGGCCATCTGTACCTCCTTCAGCTTTCTATGCCACCAAGCAAGAGAACACAACCATCTGCCTTTAGCAAGTACACTCAGTTGCCTTACAGATTTCCATGAATTTTGAACAAAAAAGAAACAGAAAGGAATGGACTTAATCTGTTTTTCTCAACACCTACCCATCAGTTTCTTCACTATGCGTCCTGAGCATATGTTTATTAGTTGCTGTGTTTCATTGTACTGTTCTTCCAACCAAAACTAGACTTTTCTTTAATTATGCACTTCTGAGTTTAAAAAGCTGTTATTTCTAGGAGTTATCTATACATAATGGAAATATATAGGAGAATCAGGTTGATCTTTGGCCTCCTGGAATCATTCAACTTTCTCTAACAGTTTCCTAGTTTCCCCCTGAGAAAAGGCTGCCTCCTCAACCCTCAGCCTGTGGCTTATAGTGGACCAGAATCAAATATCAGATACAAGATAGATCCATGGTGCAGACCTGAGCAAACAGAAACCACAATTGTTGTTTTGGGAAGGTTGTGTCACCTGGTTAGCTTCAATAAAGTTCATAAGACCTTTACTTGGGCTACTGGGAAGGAGTGATCTACTCCCTCTAATCAAATGTTGGTGAGGATGAGGTGCAACTAGAACGTTCCTGCACTGCTGGTTGGGTTGAAAAATGATGAATCCACTTTAGAAAAATGTCCTCTTTTAAGAGTTAATCATAAACCTATCATATAACCCAGACATTCTTCTCCTAATAATATATACCCTGAAATAGAAACATATGTCCTGAAGAAGATGTGAACACAAATCTTACCACCTTTATTCACAAGAGCCCACAGACTGGAAACAAGGTAAATGTCCACCAATATATGAATAGATAAACCAAATATTATACATTCAATGGGAAACCACTCAGCAATGAAAAGAATAAATTATTGATAAATGTAACACAAAGAATGACTCTTTTTAAAAAAATCATTATGTTCAATGAAATAAAATGAAACACAAAAGAATGCATAGTATACAATTCAATTTATTTAAAATTTTGGAAAATGCAAATTCATCCATAATGACAAAACTGTATCAGTTGTTGCCTGGGCTTGTGCAACGGGAGCTACGCACTGCAGAGGGGCAAGAGGAGTCTATTGTTAGTTCTAGAAATGCTTGCTTATTTATAATGATAGTGGATTCAAAGTTTATACAACTGTCAACATTCATCAAATTGTGAAAATCTGCCAACAAATTATGTCAATAAAATTGATTTCACAAATAAAACTTAAACCAATACAAAAACCAATTTGAAATCAGTCTGTTTTTCATTATCACCATGAAACAACAATTCTGAATGACTTTTCATCTATCTAAGTTCTAAACAAATTCTCTAAATATGTTGTGTTCATGTGAAAGTTAATTCAGAGAACTACCAGTTAGTTATACAGTTGGCTCCCAATTGTTATAGACTCACTACAGTTTATTGATTTGAGAGTAATTTCTCAACTGAAATTGTTTGGGCTCACTCTGAGTACAGTTTGGTTTGTGATGTACTGGTAAGTGTTTAACAATTGGCTAACCAAAGAAAAAAAATCTTGATTTGTTGCTCTTGCTGATTTCCTTGGTATTATTGCATCCTCCATGATTTATCTGAATTAATAATCAAATCACTAATGTGATGTCACTGAGCTAGAATTTAGGAAGAGATGTCCATAATAGCTACCTGTGAGCTAATGTGAACCTGCACCAAGATGATGTTGGATAATCTTACATTGAGTTGGATTATCCAAGTCCTATGGTACTACAGATTTCTGCATTTACAAATTATACTTAAATAAATGTGACCGCAGTGATTATAAAGTCAAGGAAGCAGGACTTTAATCCACTCTAGTTTGTCTTTTAGTTTTCAAGTTATTATCTAAAACTTTCAGAGTTTACTCTTTGGAAACCCTTCTTTCTGTGTTAGTTTTCTGTTAACAAAATTAATGAAATTAAAAAGTATTAACTACTGTTTTCTTTTGATATTATCACACTTAGTTTCCATTTGCATAGCTATATGAAGTTCAATAAAAGAACATTTTTACATATATGCTTCTTTTTGCATTGCTATTTATTTCATTTTGTGAATATTGTGGAAAATAGTTTTGTTGTATAGTAGAGAGGTGTCATTAAATGAACCCCTTCTTGTGCCCAATATGCTAAGTAGACCACTCACTAGATTAGTTATACAGGTAGGGAAATGTCAGATACAAACCAAAACATATTTTATTTATTAATTATTTATTCTTCTGTGAGGAGGGGCAGAGTTCTCACTCTGTTGCTCAAACTGGAGTGCAGTGGCATGATCATAGCTCCCTGCATCCTCGAACTCCTGGGTTCAAGTGATCCTTCCACATTGGCCTGCCAAAGTGCCGAGATTATGGGTGTGAGCCACCACAGCCAGCCCAACACATTATTTTAAAAGAAGATTTCAAATGTGGATGGAGAGTTTACTGTAAAAATGAAAGCTAGATGTGAGATTATGGGTGTGAGCCACCACAGCCAGCCCAACACATTATTTTAAAAGAAGATTTCAAATGTGGATGGAGAGTTTACTGTAAAAATGAAAGCTAGATGTGGTATTAGCTGCTGTATTATTTCTAATTCATGCACAATTTATTCTTCTACCAAAAACACAAACTGGAAGGAGAGTTGTTGCTAGTTTTTAATTCATATAGTCACAAAAAATTCTTTAGATTTTATTTTTCAGTCTCTTTTCTAATAAAATAAATAAATTGCAATCAATCATGCCTATGATCTTTTCTAGATTCAAAATCCTAAGGTTCGAATGGATAGTATTATTTCCTTTTTGGTGCTGACAAATTTGTAGCAAATAAGGTGAGATGTTTTAAGAAACAAAACTAGGAAAGGCAAAATTGGGTCTTGTACCTTAATCACTACTGAAGCCCCAGATAATTATTTAACCCACTGAATCACCTGATCCTTCCAAAATGTTTACAAACAAAAGAATCTTGTCTTCAAAACTTTTTTCTGGAATCCCATAACAATAGATAATATTTATTAAGCCTTTAACATGTTAATCACTATGCTAATCACTTTACATATATTACCTCACATATTATATATCACTCTAAAATTTTAACGTCTCCATTTTACAGACGATAAAACTGAGGCACAGAAATTTTAAATAACTTGTTTTTAGTCACAACGTTAATGAGTGGAAGCAGAAACCTAAAACCCATGTTTATATTACTTTAAAGCTCATGTTAAGACCACTGCTAATAATGCTAGTTAATGTAAAGCATTAAACATTAAAGTGCATAAATAATTTCCACTTCAATTTTATTTCTGTTTATAAACTCAAAGCCTTCCTAGTAAGAAATTCAAAAGCTCAGAAGTATAAATTATAATATGAAAGAGGGTTTGGAGTTTGCTATAATTCTAGTAAAAATTTTCATCCTACCGCAAATATTCCTCTGAACTCAGAAGCAAGTATGTTTATAATGATTATTATTATCTTCTTATCTCTGCTCAGGTAATCAGTATATGACAGCAACTTACCTTGAAAGTGTCATTATTTTTTAGTGTAAAAAACAGATCTGTCATGGCCATCAATTCAGAATACCATCACTATGATGAAAACAAACTAAGCCATTCATCTACACAGTTCATTTTTTTAAAAGAAAGAAAACAACATTGCAGATAGGTTTTCTTGTTAATGCTAACAGAGGCTGTGTGCTTCCAACTTGAGCAATGTTCCTAAGTTATTTCACAGGTAGATAAGGAAAAGGATGGGGAAGGCAGAGGAGTATGCTTTTGTATTAAATTAATGTGATCATGTAAAATTTATGTCACATTTAGGTAGTACTTTTATGCATAAAATCCTTGAATTCAAATAATTTTACAGAAATGAGATACATGCATGGAATATTTATTTTAGTGTGTTAAGCAGGTCTGAAGATCTTTTCTCATGTAAGAGTGAAAAACACTTGGTATTAGATGCTGGGCTACAGTTCTAGTTTTATCATTTACTGGCTAAGAGATCTGGGCTAACTCTTAACTTCTCTTAGCTTCAGAGTTTAATCTATAAAATGGTGATAATATAGGGTTTTGTGAGCTTAGTGGTCAGCAAAGCACTATACAAATGTTAGTGATGATTACAGCTTTCATTCATAATTTCAACACATGCTCCCCCGACACCCAGCAAGATCAATAGTTTACATGCATGGTTTTGAGATACACGATAAAAATTCTCTGTTTCTCTCCTCTTCAACCATTATTTGAATCAATTAGTTCCTCCTTGTATGTATTTGAGATATCCTGATATATCTCTCTTGCATTATTACCTATTTTAGAGATGCCCCTTAACTGTACCAACGTTGTTCGTACATTGTTATTATGGTATGCACATCTATTTACACATTGTCTCTACTACTGTACTGAGAGCTTCTAAAAGCAGAGACAGTGTCCTACTCATTTTTCTTTTTTTCTTTTCTTTTTTTTTTTCAGATGGAGTCTCACTTTGTCACCCAGGCTGGAATGCAGTGGCACAATCTTGGCTCACCACAACCTCCAGCTCCCAGGTTCAAGCGATTCTCCTGCCTCGGCCTCCTGCATAGCTGGGATTACAGGTGTGCACCACCACACCCAGCTAACTTTTTTTTATTTTAGTAGAGATGGCATTTCACTATGTTGGCCAGGCTGGTCTCCAACTCCTGACCTCATGATCCGCCTGCCTCGGCCTCCCAAAGTGCTGGGATTACAGGTGTGAGCCACCAAGCCCGGCCTGTGTCCTACTAATTTTTCTATCCTTATTACCTTAGAGGAGTGTCTGTCAGAATCATTGATAGAGGATTTCTTTTGTTTCATATAGTGGTCATTCCTCTATGCTAGGAGGTAGTCAAACACTTCTTTTGTTGATAGCAAAATGAAAGCTAAAAATAATAAGTTTGAATGATAGGTATATAATATTATTGTAATAGAGAATATTCTAATTGACAAAAGTAACTTTTAAGATCAAGAGATCAGATCTTTAAATGACTTCACTACCAGTGAGATAAATTTTTCAGCATCCTTGTAGTAAAGTTGTCATCACTGCACTCCAGAAATAAGGATGCTACATCTAAAATATAATTTTGATATAGTAAAGATTCCGTTATCTATTTGTGCTCTTACTTAAGAAATATTTATTGAGTCTAATGTGTTAAGCACTCTGTTTGTTGTTAGAGATCTAATGGTTAGTCAGATAGAAAGTGTCTTTGCCCCACAGAGCTCACAGCCTACTGAGGAAGAGGGTCCATAAGGAAAAGTTGTTGCTGATGAAAACATGTGATGAGGGCTACGCCAGGGCAAGCAGAGGGAGATGGGCAGCACCAAGAAGGCCACATGGTGCCTTCTGCAAGCTCTAGCAGTCATCGTAGTTCATGTGACAATTCACTCCTCACAAAGCTGGGATTTCACCTGCTGTAACTTCCATTTTCAGTCAGATCTATCCATCTTAGATCTGAATTTATCTTCTAAAATTGAAGGCAGTTTCATTGTTCTTCTAATTTGTTTCAGTTTCATTTTTCTACTGAAAAAGTAGGCTTTTTTTTTTTATCTTAAGATGGTCTAAACACTAAATTCAATATTCTTTAGATGGAACGTTTTAGAGCTAAACCTGAAACACTTTCAGGACTAGTAAACTGAGGAAATAAGAAACTTCAAAAGACAATAAAGAAAAAAATGCAACCACAATTATACATAGAATCAGAGATTTTTCCATTAGAAGTGTTTGCAGCAGAGACTTATCCAGCGTCTCCCTTAAATCTGATAATCCTTTATCTTTTTAACATATAAAGTATCAAGGAGCTCACACTTGGAAAGACTACCATTCCATTTTTAGATACCTGTAAACATTTTAAAGATTTATTTCTACTGCAGAAAAAATATGTTTAACTTTCCCCAGGACTACCAGAAAAAATTTTCACCCATCTTTTATATGATAGGCTGTTCTTTACTTAAGGGCCACTACCATCACCCTGTTAAACCACTTTTCTTTAGACCTTTCCTTAACTATATTCCGTGATATATGTTGTCTATCATTTATTAATTCAACAAATATTTACTAAATGAAAATTTTGTTCCAGACCCACAGCTAGGCACTGGAGATACAGAAGTGGTTAAAATAGTCATTGATCTTACATGTCTTTGTACCTCTCTTTTGGGTGGACTTTATTATGACAATGTCCCATTTAAAATATATTTTGTGTGGTTGCGTAAATGAATATAAATGAGGCTGAGATTACATTATTTTCTTTTTTTCTTTCTTTCTTAGACGGAGTCTCGCTCTGTCGCCCAGGCTGGAGTGCAGTGGCATGATCTCGGCTCACTGCCAGCTCCGCCTCCTAGGTTCACGCCATTCTCCTGCCTCAGCCTCACGAGTAGCTGGGACTACAGGCGCCCACTAGCATGCCCGGCTAATTTTTTTTTTTGTATTTTTAGTAGAGAGAGGTTTTCACCGTGTTTAGCCAGGATGGTCTCGATCTCCGGACCTCGTGTCGTGATCCACCCACCTCGGCCTCCCAAAGTGCTGGGATTACCGGCTTGAGCCACCGCACACGGCCTATTATTTTCTTATGGAAAGCTATTGTATACTGTTGCCTGTAATTGGATTTGTGGTACCGAAAACCCTTTGGGACTTTTTTTTACATGAAGAAATCATGAGCTGCAAATCCTCCCTTCTTTGTTAATATTCAATTTTGGAAACTCAGTGTAAAATTTTATATGTCCCCTGTCAAATTTCATGTTGTTTATTTGACTTCTCAAAATTAGGTTTCATTTTTACTCAGAAGTCCAGTGTATTAGCTACTCTTCACAATTTTCTGTTCCTAAAATTTTTCTAAATAGGTCTCTATGTCTTTGTTAATGATGTAGTTTAAAATGTATAAAAGTAGGCCCAACATCAGAGCTTTATGGCTCCAAGTCTTCCTTCCAGTAATTTTTCTTTTTCTTTTCTTTTTTTCTTTTTTGAGGCAGAGTCTCACTCTGTTGCTCAGGCTGTAGTGAAGTGGTACAATAACGGCTCACTGCAGCCTTGACTTCCTAGGCTCAAGTGATCCTCTCACTTCAGCCTCCCAAGTAACTAGGACCACAAGCACACACCACCAAATCCATTAATTTTTTTTTTGTTTTTTTTTTTGGTAGATATGGAGTTTTGCCATGTTGTGCAGGCTGGTCTTGAACTCCTGAGCTCAAGCAACCTGTCAATCTCAGCCTCCCAAAGTGCTGGGATTACAGGCGTGAGCTGCCATGCCTGGCTCAGTAATTTTTGAAATAATTTTCAAACAGCAGTAACACATAAATCTACCTGTATCACTAAGCATTAAGACACCAGAAATACTACTGTGAAAATGTTTGAGCTAAATGGTTAAATAATTTCTTGAAATCACAATGTTTTTCAAACTAAGTCTAGCACGTATTTCTAGAAACCACATAGCCTGCTATTTGATTACTTATAGCAGTGGTTATTACTTATTTTTAAGTATTAGTATGTTACTGGTGAAAATCTATTTTTAAATACACACTAGATTTGCCTATTTGTAATTTCTGAAATACATATATATTTTCCATCTTTGAATAGTAAAATGTTTATATTTTTGTAGTAGACTTTTTCATATTTCTAATTTTGTAAAATGCCAACAGTTATTTACAATTACACCTGCAATTACTGCAAGCTCTAGGATGCAATTCATATAAACTTCTACTTTCTACTTTGGAAAAAGCTACATACTAGAAAATAGAAAATATAGAGTTTGGGAGTTAATCAGCATTAGGTTACCATTCCAGTGTCTATCCTAAATATGCTTTATGTCCTTGGGCAACTTAATGACCCTCTCTTAGCTTTGATTTCTATTTCTGTAAAAGAATGGATATCTTTTAAATTCCTAGTAATGCATGAGATGTATTATACAATTTCACAGGAAATGAAAGCTTTTTGAATGCAGGGACTCATTTAACTTATTAATTGCTATATATCTGGAGACTAGAAAAGTACATATATAGAAAATTTCCAAAGAGTAATTGTTGAATAAATACATGGCACGTAGTAGATGTCAATAAATGTTGGTTTAATTTTTCCTTCCTTGCCTACCTTAAGCCCAATTTCTTCTTGGCAAAGTATTACCTTGTACACTTTGAAGATCGTTGTCTTTCATATGGAAAGTGGAAGTAAAATAAATACTCACTTCTTCTCATTTCTCCCTTTCAACATCACATCATCTGGGCCAAGACTAATCTTTCTTTATGGTCTTTTTCCATACACAGTAGAGTAACGAGGACATTTTTGTTTTCATCAGTGTGTTTCAAAACTCTAACTTATTCTGGGTTTTAATATTTTTGTAATGAATTTTCTGGTTAGAATACTTCTTTATTTTCTTCCTTTGAAATGTGCCTCTTCCATCATTCGTGCATTCTCAGATAACCCCTGGTATAGCTACACTGATTTCTTTATGTCTCCCCCCTTTTCTTCTTTTATGGGATTATTTATAATTGAATTGTCAGAATTTATTTTCTTGCAGATTCCTATCCTTTTTTTTCTTTTGAGATTGTTTTCCTTTTTGAATTACCCTCTTCTTTTAAGTTCATGAACATAGAGTCATGCTTTTTGTGAATATTTTAAAGCTGTTTTCCAGTGCACATGACTACACCCTGTGTATATCCTTCCTTTGATTTTATGTCAATGTTTATACACCAAAAATCAGCCCTTCTTTTTTTTTCAATGTTGTTCAAAGTAGAAATCCCCATAGTAGCTTCCAAAAAATGAACTTATTAGTGAAAAAATTCAATCATGTATCAGATGTTCTACTTTAAGAGGAATGAGACTTCCAGAGGACTTCATTATATATGAGGGCTTCAATACGCTTTTGTGTCTTTTATATATTATTTACACCCCTGTGTCCCTGTATGTTGATTGCAATATCCAAATGTGCCAACTGGTCTAATATGCTAACTCCTGTAACAGCAATTGCTATTGCTTTTCTCTTATTTTACCCTCTTTATTCTCACTCAGATAACTTCCAAATGCATACTACCTCAATAATCTCATGACTTCTGCCAATTAGTACTTTAATAACTAAGATAAGACATGGTGGTCAGCTATGTGGAATTCTTATTCAAAGTAGTGAGAAGAAGATCAGGCTGGGTCAGACTGAAGTGACAATGCTATAGGGTGATCCACCCACATTTTAGGGTGGCCCTGGAGTAGAGTTGAGATGACCAGAGTCCATTATATAATTTTCTTTTTATCAAAACTAAGCTTGAGTCCAGTCTGGTGCAGAAAATACAGAAGTATTAGCTCAGACTGTAGGATGATATTTGAAGTCAGATGGACAGAAGTGACCCCTCAAGTCTAGAATATTGACAACTATTGATGAGCAAGAATGGTAAAAGCAGGAGAGTACTGTCTTGCACACACAATTTTGCCACCCTTTCTAATCAGCTCAGTTCTTTAAATAAAGATTTCTATTGCATTGTCATAGTGTAGCCAAGAGCTCTATCTACAAAGTCTCAGTAATACATGAGACATTGTACACCTCCTTCTACTATAATGTCAAGTTCATCATGTTGGACACCCTTACCTTGATGGACAAACATCTCATAAAACAAATGTTACTCATGGTTTTTCTTACTATTATTTTATCCTGAAAATTAGTGGGGACCATTTTTAACACTGTTCTGCCATACTTCTTATAACTCACTGGACCCAGTTTTTTTCAGTGCATTATCTTTCTGGAATTAAAAATTCAGCTTAAAACAGTGATTAGCTTAGGTGTTTTTGTTGTTGCTGTTGTAAGAATAAAGCATACACCATCTACTGGAAGACACGTCAGAGTAGACAGACTGTAGTAACAATATCAGTGGCTAAACATGATAAAAGTTTATTTTCTTTTCATAGCACAAAGTCAGCAGACAGAGATCTCTATTTCCTGCAATCATTCAGGGATCCAGGCTACTTGGATCAAGAGGACTCTCCATTCCTAAGGGCCTTGGAGTCCTCAACTGGATCATCCAGTTGAGGTCAATAGACAGGTGAATATGCCAGGTCAATAGACAAGTGAAAAGAAAGAGCTTTCGAAGCTCTGCTTTTAATCATATCAGCCCAGACACATATTAATTCTCATATTCCATTGGAGAGAATGCATCACAAGGTCCCAAATGAAAGGGGGGTCTGTTGTAATTTAGCAGTGTGCCAAGACAAATAAAACCTGGATATTAATGAAAATACTGGGCAGTCTCTGCTACAGCAGAATCCCATATTTCTACTACCATAAACTACTATTTTGTGAGCTAAGTAGTTCTCTCACTTTCTGTATTTTTTGCTACCATCCACATAATCCATCGTATGTATCATTTCTTCTTCTTTTCCCTTTCAAATAGAAGGTATTTTTAAAAATCTTAGCTCAGAAATCTTTTATTTTTTTATTTTTCCATAAGTTATTGGGGTACAGGTGGTATTTGGTTACATGAGTAAGTTCTTTAGTGCTGATAGAGATTTTGGTGCACCCATCATCCATGTATACACTGCACCATATTTATAGTCTTTTATCCCTTGCCCCCCTCCCACTCTTTCCTCCGAGTCCCCAAAGTCCATTGTATCATTCTTATGCCTTTGCGTCCTCATAGGTTAGTTCCCACATATCAGTAAGAACATATGATGTTTGGTTTTCCATTCCTGACTTATTTCACTTAGAATAATGTTCTCCAATCTCATCCAGGTCACTGCAAATGCTGTTAATTCATTCCTTTTTATGGCTGTGTAGTATTCTACCATATATACTCAGAGTTTCTTTATCTACTCGTTGATTGATGGGCATTTGGGTTGGTTCCACGATTCTGCAATTGTGAATTGTGCTGCTATATACATGCATGTGCAAGTATCTTTTTCGAATAATGACTTATTTTCCTCTGGGTAGATACCCAGTAGTGAGGTTGCTGGATCTAACTGTAGTTCTACTTTTAGTTCTTTAAGGAATCTCCACACTGTTTTCCATAGTGGCTGTACTAGTTCACATTCCCACCAGCAGTGTAGAAGTGTTCCCTGATCACCGTGTCCAAGACAATGTGTACTGTTTTTGATTTTTTTGATTATGGCCATTCTTGCAGGAGTAAGGTGGTATCACATTGTTGATTTGATTTGCATTTCCTGGTCATTAGTGATGTTGAGCATTTTTTCATATGTTTGTTGGCCACTTGTATATCTTCTTTTAAAAATTGTCTATTCATGTCCTTAGCCCACTTTTTTACAGGATTATGTCTTTTTATCTTACTGATTTGTTTGAGTTCATTGTAGAGATTCTGGATATTAGTCATTTGTCAGAAGTATAGATTGTGAAGATTTTCTCCCACTCTGTGGGTTGTCTGTTTACTCTGCTGACTGTTCATTTTGCCATGCAAAAGCTCTTTAGTTTACATCCCAGCTATTTATTTATTTTTTTTAATTGCATTTGGTTTTGGGTTCTTGGTCATGAAATTCTTGCCTAAGCCAATGTCTAGAATGGTTTTTCCAATGTTATCTTCTAGAATTTTTATAGTTTCAGGTCTTAGGTTTAAGTCCTTAATCCATCTTGAGTTTATTTTTGTATAAGGTGAGAGATGGGGATCCAGTTCATTCTCCTACATGTGGTTAGCCAATTCACCTTTTGTTGAAAAGGGTGTCCACTCCCCATTTTATGTTTTTGTTTGCTTTGTTGAAGATTCATTGGCTATAAGTATTAGGGTTTATTTCTGGGTTCCCTATTTTGTTCCATTGTCTGCATGCCTACTTTTATACCAGTAACATGCTGTTTCAGTGACTATGGCCTTATAGTATAGTTTGAAATTAGGTCGTGTGATGCCTCCAGATTTGTTCTTGATTTGGCTATGTGGGCTTTTTTTTGGTTTCATATGAATTTTAGAATTGTTTTTTCTAATTCCATGAAGAATGGTGATGGTATTCTGATGGGGATTGTGTTGAATTTATAGATTGCTTTTGGCAGTTGGTTATTTTTACAATATTGATTCTACCCATCCATGAGCATGGGATGTGTTTCCATTTGTTTGTGTTGTCTATGATTTCTTTCAGCAGTGTTTTCTACTTTTCCTTGCAGAGGTCTTTCAACTCCTTTGTTAGGTATATTCCTAAGTATTTTTATTTTTATTTTTATTTTTGCAGCTATTGTAAAAGGAGTTGAGTTCTTGATTTGATTCTTTGTTTAGTCGCTGCTGGTGTATAGAAGAACTACTGATTTGTGTACATTAATCTGGAAACTTTGCTGAATTCTTTTATCAGTTCTAGGAGCTTTCTGGAGGAGTCCTTAGGGTTTTCAAGGTAAACAATCATATTGTTAGCAAACAGTGATAGTTTGACTTCCTCCTTACCGATTTAGATGCCCTTTATTTCTTTCTCCTTTTTGATTGCTTTGGCTAGGACTTCCAGTCTATGTCGAAGAGGAGTGGTAAGAGTGGGCATCCTTGTCTTGTTCCGGTTCTTAGAGGGAATGCTTTCAACTTTTCCCTATTCAGTATTACATTGGCTGTGGGTTTGTCATAGATGGCTTTTATTACATTAAGGTATATCCCTTGTATGCCGATTTTTGCTGAGAGTTTTAATCATAAAGCGATGCTGGATTTTGTCAGATGCTTTTTCTGCATCTATTGAGATGATCATGTGATTTTGTTTTTAATTCTGTTTATGTGGTGTATCACATTTATTGACTTGCATATGTTAAACTATCCCTGCATCCCTTGTATTAAATGATCATGGTGGATTATCTTTTTGATATGTTGCTGGATTCGGTTAGCTAGTATTTTGTTAAGGATTTTACCATCAAGGATGTCGGTCTATGGTTTTCTTTTTTTGTTATGTTCTTTCCTGGTTTTTGTATTAGAATGATGTAAAATTCATAAAATGAGTTAGGAAGGGTTCCTTCTTTCTCTATCTTTTGAAATAGTGTTAAAAGGATTGGTACCAATTCTTCTTTGAATGTCTGGTAGGATTCTGCTGTGATTCTGCCTGTTACTGGACTTTTTTTGTTGGTAATATTTATTTACATCTTGCTGCTTGTTATTGGTCTGTTCAGGGTATCTAATTCTTCCTGATTTAAGCTAGAAAGGTTATATTTTTCCAGGAACTTATCCATCTTTTCTAGGTTTTCCAGTTTATGTGAAAAAGGTGTTCATAGTAGCCTTGAATGATCTTTTGTATTTCATTAGTGTCAGTTGTAACATTTCGTGTTTTATTTCTTAGTGAGGTTATTTGGATTTTCTCTCTTCTTTTCTTGGTTAGTCTTGCTAATGGTCTATCAATTTTATTTATCTTTTCAAAGAACCAGCTTTTTGTTTCATTTATCTATTATATTTTTGTTGTTGTTGTTGTTGTTATTTCAATTTCATTTAGTTCTGCTGTGATCTTGGTTATTTCCTTTCTTCTGCTGGGTTTCGGTTTGGTTTGTTCTTTTTTCTCTAGTTCCATGAGGTGTGACCTTAGATTGTCTGTTTGTTCTCTTTCAGACTTTTCGATGTAGTCATTTGAGGCTATGAGATTTCCTCTTAGCACGGCATTTGCTGTATCCCAGATGTTTTGATAGGTTGTGTCATTATTGTCATTCAGTTCAAAGAATTTTTTAATTTCCACCTTGATTTTGTTCTTGACCCAATGCTCACTCAAGAGCTGTTTATTTAATTTCCATGTATTTGAGTGGTTTTGAAAGTTCTTTTTGGAGTTGATTTCCAGTTTTATTCCACTGTGGTCTGAGATAGTGCTTGAAATAATTTCAATTTTCTTAAATTTATGGAGGCTCATTTTATGGCCTACATATGGTCTCTCTTGGAGAAAGTTCTATGCGCTGTTGAATAGAATGTGTATTCTGTGGTTGTTGAATGTAACGTTCTGCATATATCTGTTAAGTCCATTTGTTCCAAGGTATAGTTTAAATCCATTGTTTCTTTGTTGACTGTCTATCTTGATGACCTGTCCAGTGCTGTCAGTGGAGTATTGAAGGCCCGCACTATTATTGTGTTGCTGTCTATCTCATTTCTTAGGCCTATTAGTAAATATGTTTTATAAATTTAGGAGCTCCAGTGTTAGGTGCATATATGTTTAGGATTGTGATATTTTCTTGTTGGACAAGGCCCTTTACCATTATATACTGGCCCTCTTTGTCTCTTTTAACCACTGTTACTTTAAAGTTTCTTTTGTCTAATATAAGAATAGCTACCCCTGCTTGTTTTTGATGTCCATTTGCCTGAAATGCCTTTTTCCACTCCTTTACTTTAAGTTCTTGTGAGTCTTTATGTGCTAGGTGAGTCTCCTGAAGGCAGAAGATACTTGGTTGGTGAGTTTTTATCCATTCTGTAGTTCTATATCTTTTAAGTGGAGTATTTAGGCCATTTACATTCAATGTTAGTATTGAAATGTGAGGTACTGTTGCTTTCATCATGCTGTTTGTTGCCTGTTTGGTTTCTTTTTGTTTTGCTTCTAAACTTTTATTTTTGTTTTATATGTCCTGTGTGATTTATGCTTTAAAGAGGTTCTGTTTTGATGTGTTACCAGGATTTGTTTCAAGACTTAGAGAGCTCCTTTTAGCAGTTCTTGTAGTGGTGGTTTGGTAATGGCGAATTCTCTCAGCATTTGTTTATCTGAAAACAACTGTGTCTTTCCTTCATATATGATGTTTAGTTTCACTGGAGACAAAATTCTTGGCTGATAATTGTTTTGTTTGAGGAGGCTGAAGATAGGTTCCCAATCCCTTCTAGCTTGTAGGGTTTCTGCTGAGAAATCTGCTGTTAATCTGATAGGTTTTCCTTTATAGTTCACCTGGTGTTTCTCTCTCACAGCTCCTAAGATCCTTTCCTTAATCTTGACTTTGGATAACCTGATGACAATGTCCCTAGGTGAAGACCTTTTTGTGATTAATTTCCCAAGTGTTCTTTGTGCTTCTTATATTTGACTGTCTAGGTCTCTCACAAGGCTGGGGAAGATTTCCTTGGTTATTCCCCCAAATATATCTTCCAGGCTTTGAGAATTCTCCTCTGCCTCAGGTACACTGATTATTCTTAGGCTTGGTTATTTAACATAATCCCAGACTTCTTGGAGGCTTTGTTCATATTTTCTTATTCTTTTTTCTTTGTCTTTGTTGGATTGGGTTAATTCAAAAACCTTGTTTTTTAAGCTCTGAATTTCTTTTTTCTACTTGTTCAATTCTATTGCTGAGACTTTCCAGAGCATTTTGCATTTCTAAAAGTGTGTCCAAAGTTTCCTGAATTTTTGATTGTTTTCCCTTTAAGCTGTCTACTTCCATGAATATTTCTTATTTTCTCTTTTTGTATCACTTTTTGGATTTCCTTGCATTCAGCTTCACCTTTCTCTGGTCCCTCCCTGATTCGCTAAATAACTAACCTCCTGAATTCCTTTTCAGATAAATCAGAGATTTCTTCTTGATTTGGATCCATTGCCGGTGAACTAGTGTGAATTTTTGGGGGTGTTGAAGAGCCTTGTTTTTTCATATTACCAGTGTTGGTTTTCTGGTTCCTTCTCATTTGGGTAGGCTCTGTCAGAGGGAAGGTCTAGAGGTGAAGACTGTTGTTCCAATTCTTTTGTCTCATGGGGTGTTCCCTTGATATAGTACTCTCCCCCTTTTCCTATGGATGTGGCTTCCTGTGAGCCAAACTGCAGTGATTATTGTCTCTCTTCTGGGTCTAGCCACTCAGCAAGTCTACCCAGCACTGGGCTGGTACTGGGGGTTGTCTCCGCAGAGTCTTGTGATGTGAACCATCTATGAGTCTCTCAGCCGTGGATACCAGTGCCTGTTCCAGTGGAGGTGGCAGAGGGTGTAATGGACTCTATGAGGGTCCTTAGCTTTGGTGGTTTAATGCTGTATTTTTGTGCTGGTTGGCCTCCTGCAGGAGGCGGCGCTTTCCAGAAAGCATCAGCTGTAGTAGTAGTGTGGAGAGAGACTGGCAGTGGGCAGGGCCCTAGAAGTCCCAAGATTATATGTCCTTTTTCTTCCACTACCAGGGTGGACAGGGAAGGACCATAAGGTGGGGGTGTGACTAGGTGTGTCTAAGCTCAGACACTCCTTGGGCTGGTATTGCTGCGGCTACTGTGGGTGATGGGTTGAGATTCCCAGGTCACTGGAGTTATGTACCTAGGAGAATTATGGCTGCCTCTGCTGAGTCATGCAGGTTTTCAGAGAAGTTGGGGAAAGCCAGCAGTCACAGCCTCACCCAGCTCCCATGCAAACTGAAAAGCTGGTCTCACTCCCACCGTGCCCCCCACCAACAGCCTGTTTCCAGGTAGAGGGTGAAACGGGCTTGAAAATTTGCCCGAGGCTATCTGCCTCTCAGTTGCAAGAAAAAAGAGCTTTAATTCTTCCCTGCCTGTGAAGTCTGCACACCTAATTCATGTCCTCCCTTGAGTTCTGGCTAGGAGGCTTCTTGCCCCTGTTCAAATTGTTACAAAATTCAGCTACAGAATTCCTTCTCCCTGTGGAGTTTTACCCCCTGCTCCTCTGGCTGCCCTCCCGATGGATCCCTGTGGTGCCAGGCAGGAATGGGCGCTTGGAGACCCAGTGAGCTCCCGGGGCCTTTCTGCTGCTTCCTCTACCCCTGTATTTCGGTGAGCTCTCTAATTTGACTAAGCACCAGGTGAAGTCAGAAACTTCTCCTGCAAACAGACCTTCATCTTCTCCAGTGGGGGTGTGTGTTCAGAAAAGGAGGGTCTCCCTTTCCCACTTCTGCACTTGTTGGGGCACTCACAGTATTTGGGGTGTCTCCCAGGTCCTGCAGGAGAAGTCTGCTTCCTTCAGAGGGTCTGTGGGTGCTCTTGTGATTACTGGAGCTAAAATTCACAACGTAATCCTCTGCATGCTGCTTTGTCCAGAGCTGCAATCTAGTCCTGCCTTCTGGCTGCCATGATCCCAGAAGTATTTTATTATCCGCCCTAATTTTGAAGTCATTAAATATGCTTCTGATTTCTTAAGCACTCTCATTTATATGAAGCTTTGTATATCAGGGAAAGCAAGGAGTGATCAAGGAGTTTGAGTTGTGTAATTTTTCTTTCCATTATCTCTTTAATATAGTAAAGTTAACTACATTATAAAAGTCCATGTTAGGTGGCTCCCTCTGAATGTTTTAGGACGGGAATCACCAGCCACCACAGCAAATTTTTTAATATCAGGATAAAAGCAGATTTTTTTTTCTGATTATTATATAGATTATGAAATATTGGTTCTTTCGCAAGAACCAAGATTTTTTACTGTACAAACAATCACTTTACACCTGCAATGTGCTTTGGAACCAGACATGTGTGGGCTTGAATTCTAACTCTGCCACTCACTAGTCACCTAGCATTGGGGAAGTTACTAAAACTCTCTGAATCTCAATATCTTCATCAGTAAAATGGAGAAAATAGACCAGATTTTCTGGGTTTGTTTAGAAGGATTTGAAAGTATGTGTATAACAACCTGATATCCTGTCAAGGAACAGTGTATATTCTATTTCTCTTTTGGACTGCCTTCTTCTGAACAACTTCTTAATTCCAATTTTGACTGCTTTCTCAGTCCTCTGAGTTTTTCTCCTTTATTATTTACTCCAGCCTGCGCATTGAAAAGTTAGGATAAAAATATCTCACTTTCTCCTTCTATAGCTTGATGTTTACATTAGTGGTCTTCAATCTGAGGACACTTTCTAGAACATGTTTCCTGGATGCTGCTGAAGAATTCAGAAGATTCTCAATTACCCTTGGTCTCCAGTTTCCTGCAGCCTTTTGAATTTCTCTCTTTTATTAACACAGTAAATTGTTTTATTTCTGGATAGTTAGTGGGTTCTAAGGACACTGCTTATAAGCGCATTTTTTCTTATGTGTAATTTCAGCTACTCTCAACTATTATCAATTACCTTGATTTAGATCCCCATTACCCAAAGCCCAGTGTCCTTTGCTAATAATGAAAAAATAATCATCTCCTTTTTTTGCTACTATGAAAGCTATAGAATATAATGATTGATATGTAGAAATATCTATTTTTTTATTGAGAAGTGTACATTGGATATAAACTCAGATTTGTAATGTGCACTACATTGAACATAACTCTAATCAAAATATTAAAATATATTTTCTCTTCCCCTACATTTTTGTAGTTGAAAAGGTGGAAAATCTTTTGGTCATCACAGAACAAATTTTAAACCATTTTTAAAAGACTTGTCTATTGCTAATGGTTCTTTAGCATTTATATGTCAACTTTTGAAAATGATTATATTATCAAAACTGTGTACAATAAGTCATTTCAGTTATGCAAATACTTATTTTAAATATGACTTTTTAACATTTAAACACTAAAGCTTTAACATTATGTTGCTATTTATTTTACATTCACATTCATGTATCCAGTTTTTTGGAGTAAGTCTTCTGTGTTCGTTATGATTTTTCACAGTATACTTTGTAATTTTCACTTGCAGTCACAGACATTATATTTATATATCTCACTTAATACATCATTATTTTTTACTCACTATTAATACATAAGGAAACCAAGTTAGAGAAATTTAAACAATCATCTCTACCATGAACTTAAGCTGATACAGAGAAGGAGAGGATAAATGTGGAGCAAGTGCTCAAATACTCTTGAGATAGCACCGTCCCATACTGCCCATTACTTTCATCTAGTCCCAGAAGAACAAACTTCTGATCAAAGAAAAATAAGACAAGACTTGTGTCTGGGTAGACAGTGATTTAATTTTTCAGTCTGGAAAATTAAAGCCTGACCCAAACATACATTTCTGTTTTGTTTCCTTTGAGACAGCCAAGAGTATGAGATAATAATTCCAAGCATCTCAAATATCAGGAGATGCCAAGACTGATGTTTTGTTTCCTATTTCATGAGCTCAGGACAGGATGCTCAGCTCATAAACACATTTAGAGAGCTTTATAGCACACAAAACCACTTACACAGCACTATGAGTCTCTATTTTTTAATTCCCCTCCAAATTAATTTTTATGACTTCTCAGGGTACTTTCTCAATTCCCTGCACAAATCATGAAATTTTGATTAAACATTTAATGAGGTTCTTTGCATTGAACTCTCGTATTTACCAAATCCCTTCATGCCACCATGTCTACTGAACTCAGTGGCCCATCTCTAAAATAAACTATTAAATGAAACACATTATCCTTTTATAGTTTTATAGCATGTAGCTGTTTTAGTCTTGGCTTCCATAGTTATGGGATTTTGAAAATCTCTATTTATAAGACCATTTCTGAGAGCCTACTATGGGATAGTAACTGTGCCAGGTGATATGAAAAATAGAGAGATGAATAAAAAATGATGATTTCTTCTCTCACATAATTCATAGTATAGTTGAAGACATCAAAAATGTTACAGTGTATAGGTGAGATTAAAACAAATTGCTGTGAGGTAACTTGTACACTGCTGCTTTTTAGCACATTATTTGTTTCAGATGGTATAGACATAGATTCACTCCAAAAATTAATCTAGATTTATTTATTCAGTGGAAACCATAAAATTAGTCGAGTGCATGGTGTGGCCCACCTGACCCTTCTACCAGTAAATATACAGCAGATCACATAAATACCTATATAAAAAGTAAATTTTGTTTTATATTATTATGGTGATAGTTATTAATGTATCTGACATTCAATATCATAAGCCACAGTTTGCAATGTTAAAATAGAACAAAATAACGATAAAAAATTTTTTAAGCATCTATCATGTAAGGATAGAGAACAATCGTAGTGAGGAGGGAGCATCTAACTGCCTCGGGCTGAGGAGTTAAGGAAGTTTTGACAAGAAAGTCACATTTATATTGAGACTCAAAGAATAGATAGATAGATAGACAGACAGGAAGACAGAGAGATAGATAGAAGGTCATGGCCAAGCAGAGAGTAGAGAGAAAATACCTCAGTTAGTAGAAAGCGTAAATGCATGAAAGTGTAATAAATGCCATTGCAAAGAGAATTGATATCTGCTAAATTTAGAGATCTTTACTTTTTTCATTTTTAATTTTTGTGGGTATAAAATAGGCATATAATATATATTGGGTACATGAGATGTTTTGGTAGAGGCATGCAATGTAAAATAATCACGTCATGGAGAATGAGGTATTCATCCCCTCAAGCATTTATCCTTTGTGTTACAAACAACTATTTACAATCTTTTAGTTATTTTTAAATGTACAATTAAGTTGTTATTGGCTATGGTCACCCTGTTCTGCTATAAAATTAGTACAACCACTGTGGAGAACAGTTTGGAGGTTCCTCAAAAAAACAAAAAATGGAGCTACCATACAATCCGTCAATCTCATTATTGGGTATATACCCAAACGAAAGAAAATCAGTATATCGAAGAGACACCTGCACTCTCATGTTTGTTGCAGCATTATTTACAATAGCCAATATTTGGAAGCAACCTAAATGTCTGTCAACAGATGACTGGATAAAGAAAATGTGTTAAATAGAGATCCTTTATCCTGCAAACCATAAAGCGTAGAAATCATGAACTGTTTTTCTCTTTTTTCGGCATAGCTACAAAAAGATTTACAGATTTGGTTGAATATTGTTGAATGATTCTGATTGTCACTGTGATTTTGGTGGAGAAAACGGCTGGATGTAGGAGACCAATTAAGACACTCTTGCAATACTTTACAACTGAGAAGATGAAGTCTAACTGGAGAAGCAGGAATGTGTTAAAGAACTATCTTAAATAGAAGGAAAGAAAAGCAAACTGGTTGACTTATTAGATAGGAGTAATAAATAAGAAACAAAAAGTAAAAGATGACTTGATCAGTGAAGTTTTAATGGTTTAATTAACCAAAATGCTGAATAAAAAAAGACAGATCTTATGGACAAAGTGAGATGAAAAAATAGAATTATTTATTTGCGTTGCCTACAGTTTATCTAAACAAAAATTTCTAAAAAGTTATTGTAAATATAAAATGGAGCTCAGAAGATAGATTGAGGTTAGATATAATTGTTATATCTTCCTATGATTATAGTAAGATTTGCAACTGAAGCTGAAGATATCAGGCAAATAGATCACGACACGTTTAACTAACCTATGCTATATTTATTGTTTTGGGTCAAATTCAGTTTTGATAAATCAAATGGTTTATGTTATCTTGTTCAGATAATACAATGTTGTAAGCTAGAAGACCATAGTTTGAGGAGTAGGCCAGATTTTTAAATTTTCTTTACATCAGTTCCCCACTTTATAAAAGTACGTATAACAGTATTTGTTTTACTGAGTTACTAAAATTTTCAAGAATGGTTAAATTAAAAAAAATAAGTAAAATGTATGGAAGAGATGCATTGTAAATTTAAAATACAAGTATACTAAAAATGAAAAGATGAAAAATGATATACTATACAATCCATAAACATGCAAAAACTGGAAAGTCTATGTAAATATTAGCCAAAATAAATTAAAGAGAAAAAGTTTACCATAAATAAGAATGTTGCATAATAATAAAATGATCAATTATTCATGCAGACATTACAATCCTATATACACACAAAAACTTAAAGAGAAATTTAGATAGATCCACAATCATAGATGAAGATTTTAATAATTCTCATCAATTACTAGAACAAGAAAATATTAATATATCAGGAAGGACACAGAAAACATGACCACATTATCAATTACCTTGAATTATTTGACATTTAGAGAACAATACTTTGCCCCAAAATGGCAGAACACACATTATGTTTAAATACACATATACTGATCACCAAATTAAATCATATGTTGGGCCATAAAGTAAGTATCAATAATTTTAAAAGAATAAAATCATTCAGAATATGTTCTTGGAAAAATTAAACTAAAATTAAGTAATAAAATTATTAAAATTCAGTACTATATCTAACACCCCTCATGATTATTTCAAAATTAAGTAACACACTTCTAAATGACCCATAAGTGAAAGAAGAAATCACAAAAGATGTAATAATATTGTGAATTGGATAATAATAAAATACAATATATCAAAATATGTAGTACGTGGTTTTAGAAAATAAGGAAGATTTAAAATCAGTGTAATGAGTGTTCATCTTAAGAAGTGAGAAAAGAAAGAGTGGATAAAACCAAAAGGAAAGAGAAAAAAGTAATAAAGAGAATGAATTAATGAAATATGAATAAGAAAAAATAAAGTTAACAAAGTTTAAAATTAGTTATTTGAAATGATAAATAAATTTGAAAACACACTAGTGGGATTAATCAAGAGGGGAAATGTGCACACAACAAATTAGCAGTAGTAGGAATGAAAGACAGCTTATCCCTACAGATCCTATAGATACTAAGTAGATAACAAAAAAATGTTAGGAAGATCTTAGGTCAAGAAATTCAACAACATAGATGAACAAATTCATCAAAAAGCACCTTTCAAGACTGACAAGAAATAGAAAATGTAAAGAGTTTTATATACCTATTAAAGAGATCAATTTTATTTATTATAAAAAATAATATTCCCCTAAATAAAATCTAGATTCAGATGGGTTCACTGGTATTTTCTACCAAACACTTAAGAAAGAAATAATAACAAATGTATACAAACTCTTTTGGAAAACATAGGAAGGGGAAACATATCCAAAACTGTTTTATGAGACCTACTTAGCCCTGTTATCAAAACTTGACAAAGATGCTAGAGGTATTAAAAAAATAGAGTCCATTACCCCTCATACACATAGTGACAAAAATTCTTAACAGTAGTAAATATAATTCAGCAATATATAGATGGGAATATTTATTATGAGCAAGTAGGGTTTATCCCAGCATGCAAGGTTTGTTTAATAGGCATGAATCACCAGTGTAATTTACCATGTTAAGAGAATAAAGGAAAACATATCTCAATAAATGCAGTAACACACATTAATCAAACCTGAAACCAAAATACATTTCCTCAACCTGACAGAAAGCATTTACAAAAAGAAACCTATAGCAAATTATACTTAATAGTAAACTAATGTATGTGTTTCCCCTAAGATTGAGAATAAGAGAAAAATGTTGATTTTCAGCTGGAGAAAAATGGAGAGAGGAACTATGGTTGGAGATTGGAAAACTATTATTAAGGTAAGAGTTCCATGCTTGATCTATAGATTTAACTTAACACCAATCAATATTCTAATAGGCTGTTTTGTAAAAATTTAACAGTTGATTTTAAGTTAGTATGGAAAAGCAAAGGATCTTGAATAAGCAAAACAATTTTTAAAACTAAGGACCAAATTGGAAGAACTTCACTACCTGATTTCAATACTTTCTGTAAGTCTGTATTAATCATGCAAGCATGAAAAACAGACAAAGTGATTAGTGGAACAGAAGGGAGAGTTATAAGTTTTTTTTTTTTTTTTTTAAAACGGAGTTTCACTCTTGTTGCCCAGGCTGGAGTGTAATGGCGCAGTCTCTGCTCATGGCAACCTCCGCCTCCCGGGTTCAAGTGATTCTCCTGCCTCAGCCTCCCAGTAGCTGGGATTACAGGCATATGCCACCACGCCAGGCTAATTTTGTATTTTTTAGTAGAGACGGGGTTTCTTCATGTTGGTCAGGCTGGTCGCAAACTCCCAACCTCAGGTGATCTGCCCGCCTCGGCCTCCCAAAGTGCTGGGATTACAGGCATGAGCCACCGCTCCTGGCCAGAATTTTTTAGCAAAGGTAGCAAAACAATTCAATTGGGGAAAAATCGTATTTTCAACAAAGCATGCTGGAATGTCTAGCTAACATATAGAAAAATACAGATTTCAACACTTATTGTACACCATACTGAAAAAAAAATTCAGATTGATTACAGACCTAAATTTAAAAGCAAAAATTTCTAAACCTCTTGAAAAAAAACATAAAAATGCTTCATCAACTTCGAGTAGGTGCAGTGTCATTCAAAAATGGAACAGAAATCAGTAACCATAAAAGAAAAAAAGTAAGTCATATTACATCAAAACTAAAACTCCTGCTAGAGAAAACTAATCATTAAGTACAGGAAAAGGCAAGTCATAGACTGGTAAGAAATATTTTCAGTGCCTATATCTGACAAAGTCTTGTATCTTGAATATAGAGAAGACTTCTACAAACTATTTAAAAAAAATTTAAAAATGAGCAAAAAACTTTGTTCCAGTTGTCTATCCCTAAGTGATGAACCATCTCAAACTTAATGACTGAAAACAAAAACAATCATTTATTTTGCTCACAAATTTGCAATTTGGGCAAGGCTCCAAGGGTGCAGCATGTATCTGCTTAATGCAGCAATGGCTCAGATAACATGAAAGCATTAATAGAAGATAACTCAATGCCTGGGGGTATTGCTTATTTACACGTCTGGAAATTGTTTCTGGATAGAGACGGGAACCTCATCAGAGGCTATGGTCCATAACACATCATACATGGCCAGTCCACATGGGTGCTTGGTTCCTTGCAGCAGAGTAGTTGGGTTCTAAGGGTAAGCATTGAAAGAGAAAATAGAAGTGGAAGCTGCAGGCTATTAAGTCCAGGCTCAGGAACTGGCTCAATATTTCTTCTGCTGTAATGGATTAGTAAAGCAATTACAAAGATTTTGGAATGGGCTGTAGAACCTGTACCTTAATGGAACAAGTGTAGAATAATTTGGGGGCTGTGTTTTAAAAGTGCCACAGTTCACCCTCTGGCCATATATTACTTATATTCTTTTTCCATCTAAAATACACTTACCTCCTTCTAAAACCCTCAAATGTCTCATCCATTACCTCATCAGTCTGAATTTTGAAGTCCAGGATCTTGTCATCTAAACCAGATACCAATGCAGACAAGATGGATTGTTTTATATTCTTAACATGGTTCCTTTCAATATAAAGCTATATGAACTAAAGAAACAAGGTATACGCCCCCCCTCCCCGCACATATCCAGCAAGTGCTAGTGAAAAAGACATAATTAACTGCTTTGGACAGATTCAAAAGGAGGGAAGCAGGGAATAGGTCACAGACATCAGTCAGTGGTCAATATCAATTCTGAAAACCATCTCAGTACATGTTGTCACTTTCTTGATCAGGGTCAAGTACTGCTTCCTTAAAATAATACTCTGTAGCTCATGAATTCATACCTTTTTTTTTTTGGAAGATTCTATGGGCCAGGTGTGGTGGCTCATGCTTGTAATCCCAGAACTTTGAGAGGCTGAGGTGGGAGAATTGCTTGAGCCCAGGAGTTCAAGACCAGCCTGGACAACATAGTGAGATTCCATCTCCACAAAAAAATAAAAATAAAAATAAAAATAAAATATTAACCAGGCATGGTAGTGTGCACCTGTAGTCCCAGCTACTCAGGAAGCTGAAGTGGCAAGATCACTTCATCTCAGGAAATCACAGTGAGTCATATTCATGCCACTGCACTCCAGCCTGGGTGACAGAGTGAGACACTATTGAAAAAATAAACAAACAAAAACAAAAAAAGAGAAAGTTTCTATAAACTGTCATCTTCCTGAGATCTTAACAATAGCTCTTAAATTACTGCACTGGATTTGATCTTTTCCCTAAAAATTTTGTTACTTTGAGAATCTTCTGCCATCTGGAGAGACAGGGAATAAGGAACAGTTTTCTTTCCAAATCTAGCAAGTCTTGGTTCCTATACATTTCATCTTTGATTCCTCTCTCTCTTTTTGAGTTTTATCATCAACGACAAGAATATATCAAGTGGCCCTTTCAATATTCCGCCTGGAAATCTCTTTAGCTATATGGTGAATCAGCAGACCATGCTCTGTGGGACAGTGTCTGTCAGAGTTTGTTTTGTGTTGCTATGAAAGAATACCTAAGACTGGGTAATTTATAAGGAAAAGAGGTTTATTTATTTCGTAGTTCTACAGGCTGAGAAGTTCAAGGGCATGGCTTTGGCTTTTGGCGAGGGCTTTTGTGCTGTGTCACAATAGGGTGGGTAAGATCAAAGGGGAAGTGGAATCATGCAAAAAGGAGAAAACCTGAGGGGTATCCTGGCTTTACAACAACCCATTCCCAAGAGCAAGAACTTACTAGCTACCAAGAGAACAGCACCCAGCTATTTACTCATAAGGGATCTGCCCCCATAACACAAACACCCCTTACTAGGATCCACCTCCCAATACTGCCACACTGGGCATAAAATTTCAACATGAGTTTTCCCAGGGACAAACAAGTCATATCTAAACCATAGTTGTATCCATTCTTGTAAAAAAGTTTTATTATAACATATTCATGCCAATTTATTTATTTTCTATAGCTTTTTCACACTACAGTGGCATAGTTCAGAAGTTGTAACAGAAGCCCTGTGATCTCCAAGCTCAAAATATGTACTATCCAGCCCGTCAAGAAAAAGCTTGCTGACTCTTGATGAACTGATATGGAGTTCATTTAGTAGTTTGATAAATTTGACAAATTTCCTGTTTTTCTCATTACCTCAGATGCCAGTGTGGTCACACATCTCACAGTTACAAAAGTTCCCTTTGCTGCAGGTTCCAATTTCATTACATTAGAGGCTTCATTGGCAGCCTTCTAGGTTTTCTTAGGCTGCTGCTTGAAGGCCTTGGAATTTCACTAACATTGTCTTTTTCTCATCATTTAGTCACAAAGCCAATTTTTGTTATGAAACAACCAAAATCTGTCCTGGTTACTGATGCTGTATAAAAAAAATCACCCCATAAATAAGTAGCTTGATACAACAACAATCATTTATTTTGCTCATGAATCTGCAATCTGGATAAAGCTCAGTGGGGAAAACTTGTCTCTGCTTCACTTGGTATCAGCTAAGGCAGTTCAGATGGGGCTAAAGGATCCACTTCTAGGATAGTGCACTCACATCTTGCAAGTTGGTGTTGGCTGTAGGTTCCTATCCAGTTGGACCCCTGCACAAAATGGCTCAGGTTTTCAAACTGCATAATAGCTGGCTCTAAAGAGAGACATTCCCACAGAACTAGGTGAAGCACATCACCTTTTATAATCTAGCCTCTGAAGTCATATAGCAAAACTTCCACCATAAGCTATCATCCAAGGCAGTAGCAAGGTTTCACTCCTTTTTTCAGATAAAGTGACACGCTCCCAACCACCTAATGGTAGGAATGTCAGGAATGCATTATAGGTCGGGCCAGTGGCTCACGCTCGTAATCCCAGGACTTTGGGAGGCTAAGACAGGTGGATCACGAGGTCAGGAGTCCGAGACCAGCTTGGCCAACACAGTGAAACCCTGTCTCTACTAAAAATACAAAAAAAAAAAAAAAAAAAAAAAATTAGCTGGGCATGGTAGTGTGCACCTGTAATCCCAGCTACTCAGGAGGCTGAGGCAAGAGAATCACTTGAACCTGGGAGGTGCAGGTGGCAGTGAGTCGAGATTGTGCTACTGCACTCCAGCCTGGGTGACAGAGCTAGACTCTGTCTCCAAAAAAAAAAAAAAAAAAGCGTTGTAAGAGAAATATGTGTTATGGGAGATTGGGAGATATTGTTGTACCTATTTTCATTATCATTATTTTGGCAAATACGTCTGCCACAAACTTGAACAGATTCTTCACTAAAGAAGATATATAGAGGAATAAGCACACACACACACACACACACACACACACAAAGGTGTTTGGCATTATTCTTAAGCAGGGAAATGCATCATTTCACAAGCATACCATTTCATAGCCATTTCACATAGTTAAAATTAAAAAGACTGATAACACCACACTAAATGCTAGCAAGGATGTGGAGCAAATGAAATTCTAGCAAACACATGCAGCTGGTGAGACCATAACATGGTACAACTGCTTTGGAAAACTACTAATTTCTCAGAAAGTTAACAGCAATTCTAAACCTAGATATTTAGCTAAGAGAAATGAAGCACTGCCCACAAAAGGCTTGTATAAGAATATTCTTTTTATAGCTGCCTTATTCATAATAGCAAAAAACTATGAACAACCCAAACGTCCATCAACAGGAGAATGAACAAATTGTGGTATATTCATACCACACTAGTCACTAGTAAAAGGCAGCAAATTATTGATATGTACAATAGTATAAGGTTAATCTCAAAAGCATTATGTCAAGGAAAAGGATCTAGATGCAAAAAAAGTATATAATGTTTGCTTCTATTTGTATTAAGTTCAGGAATAAGCAAAACTATCTATAGTGATAGAAATTAAAACAGCAGTTGCCTAGGGGCTAAAAATTAATTTGAGAGGATAAGAGAGAGATTTCTGGGGTGATGAACATGTTTTATATTTCAATCAGAGTAGCAATTATCTGATATACACAACACATTCTTCAAAAGTTATGCATTTTATTACATGTAAATTTTACCTCAGTAAAACAGTATTAAAATGCATTAATTTGTACACATATTTGTGTTTCAATATTTGTGTTATAGTAAAAAACACTTTAAAGAAAATTTGAGATTGATAATCGAGATTTCTTAAGAAAAAAATGTGCAAGGTATCTGTCCTGCCTGTGACCCTGACAACCTCTAACCCTGTTTACAGAGATATGTGGAAGCTCTTGGGTTATTCTTGGCTCTTTTGTATGACTTGAACTTGCTTTTGAACACCTGCTCTCTGAACTCTGAACTCAGCTCTTCAACACCAAGTACATCCCTTGACATAGAAATCTCAGTTCACTAACATGCCACTTTTCGAACTTTAATGTACCTGAGAATCTTATCAAATTACAGATTCCAACTCAGGAATCTGGGGTGGGATCTGAGAGTCTGTACTTCTAACAGCTCCTAGGTGATGCTGCAGTTGTTGGTCCATGATGGACTGCGTGTGGAGTTGCAAAACTCTGGCGCACACTGATGTTGCCTTCATCTCTCACTGTCGCTGCCCTGTGCTGTCTCAGGCAGTAATCTTCCCCAATTTCTGACACCTAAAGGAAAAATGATGTTACCACCCATGAGACCACAAGTCCAACAGAAGTGGGTTATTTAACCACTGTCCACACAGAAAGTATGTATTTCATTTCCCTGTGGAATAAACTTTTCCACTTCTGTTAATTTTCCAAGTAACTGAAATTAACTCTAATATATATTTAATATTATTTTTCTGCATCTAAGTCTTTGGAAGACTCACTGTGCCTCCCTGAAATCTTAAACAGAGAGTACTAAGAATGATGGAATCTTTTGTTATTAACTCAGGGACATTATAAGGCAGTAATGCAGGAATGCCCTCTGGAGAGATTGAGATCTGTGTATCCCTGCCTAAGCAGGTCCTAGACTGCAGTGCTTTCTGCACTCTTGTGTGCTTTTGGAAATTATTGTTTTCTTTATTCCCTGACAGACTCTCAGCTGTTAGCTTTTATTAGACCTCAGCCTGCCCGGCTTTACCGGGCATCATTCGCTCTTCTAATTGCCATTTCAATTCAATTAAACAAATTTAAAATGAATAACCAAGCAACGGTTCATACCTTTGTTTACAACAAAAGCGAAAAGACTGAAAGAGTCCATAGAGTTTCCTGCTTTAGTAACATGTAGGAGCTTTAGTGTCTACCTTTCACTAATTTGGTTAACTTAGTGGCCAATGTTTTTTTTTTTTATTACAGGATATGTTATACAATAATCTTTGTCCATGTTTGGTTTATCAACGGCTTACAATGGAATCAGCTGTGGTGCTTATTAAAATGTAAAATTCTAGGGCTTTAGCTTTACAGATGCTCGTACATTAAACCTGGGGGATTCTGCATTTAGCAAACACTTCAGGAATTCCTGTGCTCAGAAAATTCGAAAAAAAAAAAAAAGAGAGAAAAAAACCCAACACTGTTCCTGTGTGAATGCCATTAACCTGTTGAAGATCATGTGACTTTCCTTAAGTTCTCATAAGAATTTCTCCTTTATCTTTGGTCTTCTCAATTATAGCTAGGTCTAACTTTCTATGCTGCAATAGAAAACTTGTTTGTCTCAATTAGGAAGCTTCTTATCACTTAATGACTCAAACTTTTCCATTTCTTGGGAGTGGAAAATTAGATGGAAATGTACTAACTTACATATCAGGACTCCAAGTCTGATCTGTTGACCCTCCAAACTTAAATGCTGCCTGAATAGAACATCTAAAGCTGCAAATTCACATGTCTCTCAACAAATAACAAGTTTTTCCTAAGTGAAAAAAAAAACAGATATATAAGTTAAGGTCTGAATTTACGTTCATGTTGTTGATACAAAAACAATTTCTTTTGTTCAAAATATATCTCATATATATAACAATAATGCCCATGTGAATTTTTTAAATCCCTCTAAAAGTGGCTTATCATTAGTTTTTGTCTGTCTAAAGATTCATAAGACATAAAAAGAAGTCCAAGCTTTTGTCTAAGGTAGAACACAAGACAGAAAATACATGTCTAGAAAAAATTCTGGTGTAAAAAACACCCCACCTCATATCTGTACTCTAGCAAATGAGAAATGTGAAAGCAGAAAACTACATATTCCTGGTCACTACCCTCAACCTAATGTCTTGTGTTGCCTAAATATCTTAGCACATATTACCAGGCACCTGGCTGTCCCACTCTCCACAATTATTCATTCATTCAACAAGTATTTACTAAGGTAGTATGAGCCAGGCATTATGCTAGCTGCTAAGGACATCTTACTGAAAAAAAAAAAATAGATTAGAAGCTCTTTCCTTGAGGAGCTTTACATTCTAGTGGGAAAGACAGACAATAAGACAAAAAATTAAAGTATATATGATAGGTAATTATAAGTGCTAAGAAGAAAATAGTATAGAAGAGAAGGAGATAGAAAATATTGGTAGGGCAGTTGAGTGTGGCCAGAAAAGGCTTCTCTAAGAGGCAACTTTTGAGCAAACCTGAAAGAGCTGTAGAAACCAGCCTCCTGGGTGTCTTGAGAAAGAGTCCTCTATCCCAGGCAGAGGAAGTAGTAGGTGCAACAGCACTGAGATCATGAGCGGTGTTTTCATGGAAGTTTGGAGCTGAGTAAACAAGGGGAAGAGAAGTAGACGAGCTCAAAGAGGAGGCAGATAGGGACAGAATTGAATAGTGTAGTGCCATGCAGGTCTTAATAAGAATTGTTTGGTTCTTACTGAGCAAGATGTGAAGTCATTGGTGTGTCTGAGCACAGTGATATGATCTGACTCGAATTTAATGGAATCAGTCTACTACTGTGTTGAGAATAGATTGGAGAAAGACAAGGGCAGAAGCAATATGAATGGGTGGCAGGATATTACAAGAACTTAGGCTATACATGAAATGATTTCCAATTTTTCTTACTGTTGCCAAATTCCCAAAATGCCCTTCTTCCAATTACTCTTCACTGCTAGTACAGTCCACCGCAAACTGAACATCTTCAAATCTGCAACTGCATTCAACCTCTCTTCCTTTCCTCTTATCACGATAGAATAAATTATCCTCTTTAATGAAAGATAGACAGTAAAATATACTGAGTGAGAATATTTGCTCTAGAAACAGAAGCTTGATGTATAATAATTTCTCTTCCACCTAAATTGTGTGACTTGGGAAAATTCCTTAGAAGTTTTGTGTCTCAGTTTCTTCATCTGCAACATGAAGACAACGGTAAGAATTACTTCAGAAGATGGTGTGAGGACCAAAATGAAGAAAAAATTTCCATCATTGTGAAGAGATCCTGGCACATAATTAAAGCTCAGAAAAACTAGTTTTACTTTCCACGCATGCTAGGGAGCCTCTGCCTCCTCCTTACTTGAAAACCTTACCCCAGTGATAATTCTCCCCTTCTCCTGCATCCTAACTAGATTCCTCCTAACATTTCCTCCTAACTAGATTCTTCTCATCAGTAATTGGACATGCTCACCTCTTCCCCGCTTTAAGAAAAAGAAAAAAGGGCTCCCTGAATCCACCTTTTTTTACCTCAGGTTTACTATAAACTAGAAAGCCTCATACCAAGATGAAAGTGTTGATGTCTTGTTTAAGAGGGAAAAAATGAGAAAAGGAAGAATGTAAAGCAATACTAAATGAGATGTTACCAAATAGCTACCCCTTCTCATGAAAGCTCTAAGGTGTACATCAGTTGCTCAACAGATGTAATTGCTTGACATTTGCAATTTTTTCCAGGCAGGCTGCAAGAAGAAAATGTGACCCTAGTAGTCCCAGGCAGAAAGAAAGGTGAGGAAATTGATTTGCCTAACTCCCTGCTAGCTCTTGTTTTCTATTGAGCAGTGTGTAGCCCTCGAGGAGTTCACTTCTCCCCTGTTTCGAATTTTGTGGTCTGGTACTGTTGGATGTCAGATTCCACACTGGACTCTGTCAGTGTGGTTATGATTCCTCCAAGCTCAGAAATGGCAAGAGAAGCCAAAAAATTGAGGGGTGCAGCTTGTCAGCTTGGCTGCATAAAAAGTAGACACAATGGAGGGCTCGGTGTTCCCAGGGCAAGTTGAACCCAGATGTGAACCTGTGTTGGCCAAACACAATTGGTTGTCCTGCACTGGGGCCAATGGTCTGGGAGGCAGGTGGTGCCACAGGAATATGAAGAGCCACATAATATGTACAACTAACTGATAGTACCTACAGCTGCTACAGCCCTATAGCCTTCTCAGTTTTACTACTACCTCTTCAACTCTTTTCAAGCTTCTTGAAAGGATTGTCTACATAATGTTTCTTCATCTTTATATCCTGTTAACTCTAAAATTTGCTTCCCACACTAACTCTAACCCTTTATTCCATAGCTTCCAGTACAGTGATCAATGATCTTCATGGCCCTACATCCAATAACACTTTTTAATCCTCATCTTATTTGACTTTTCAGAATCATTTGATGTAAATTGACAATTTTCTTCCCTAGGCAATTTCTGTCTTTGTCTTTCAAGACAGAAACTTCTGATTTTCCTCCTATCTTTCTGCTTGCTGTTTTTATGTATTGTCCCATACTGTGATTTTTTTAAGTGATAGGGATCCTCCAGGCTGGACTTAGTCTTTCTTTACTTCTCTCTGTACATGCTCTTCTTTGATATCTTATCTATTCCATGGCTTTAACTGCCATGTATAATCTAGAGCTGCCCCCACTAAAATCTTTGACCTCACCTTTTCTTCTGAGCCCCATTCCATCTGTTGGTAGGCTTTTTTTTTTTTTTGAGACAGGTTCTTGCTCTGTCTCCCAGGCTGGAGTCCAGTGGCAGTGTGATCACAGCTCAATACAGTCTTGACCTCCTGGGCTCATGTGACCCTCCCATCCCAGCCTCCTGAGATGATGGAACCACAGGTGCACACCCCACACCTGGGTAATTTTTAAATAATATTTAAATAAATACAGGGTTTTGCAGGGTCTTGCATATACAGGGTTTTGCAGCCTATGTTGCCCAGGCAGGTCTAGAACTCCTGGGCTCAAGTGATCCTACTGCCTCAGCCTTCCAAAATGTTGGGATTACAGATGTCAGCTACTATGCCTGGCCTTGACAGACTATTTTTATTTGGTGTTTTTATAGACACCCCAAACTCAACATGCTCAAACTTTAATCCATATTCTACCCCACAAAGCAGCAACTCCTGTAGTTTCTTTTTTTCATAGACAACCCTGTAACTCATTTGATCATTCACACAAGACATTTGAGAATTATCTTTGACTCCCATCCCTATCTCAGTTTCCCATCTCCTATTCATGACTGATCCACTCCAAAAGAGTTTCCATGTCCCAGAAATCCTTTCTTCATCTTTTCCTATACTTTCCAGATAAACTTCTCAAAAATGTTCTCTTATTCTTGAAATCTACATTTCCTCAGGTTAGTCCTCAATCTTCTAATCATGCATCAACCCATCCCGTATGACTTTTGCTCACATCACCTGTTTGGAACAGCCTGCCATCACGCCACAACCTCCATGTGGCTAAATCCAAAGAGAAACTTAAAGGTCTCATGTTACTTAGCCTTGTAATAGCATTCGATAGTATGGGTGTCTCCACTCTTCTTGAGACATTTTCTTTCCTTTTCTCTGTCAAGAGATTTTAACCTCATCTTTTTGGATTTTCCTTTTGTCTGTGTAGTAGATTCCTCATTCTTTACCCAGCAATTAAATGTTGGGATTACTGTTAGCCCTCCATATCTGCAGATTCCACATCTGTGGATTCAACCACACATTAAAAATATTCCACACATACAAAAGCAATATAAAGTAATAATACAATAATTAAAAATAATACAAATAAATAACAATACAGTGTAACAATGTTTTACCTAGCATTTACATTGTATTATGTATTATAAGCAATATAGAATTGAAGTATACAGGAGGATGTGCATGAGTTCTATGCAAATACTATGCCTTTTTATATCAGAGACTCGAACATCTGTGGATTTTGGTATCCATGGAGGGGGACCTGGGATCAATTTTCTGTGAATACCAAAGGATAACTGTCTTCTATGCCCTTTTTCTCTGGGCAATTTTATCCATCCTATTACTTTAAATGACAATGTATACACAAGGTATACTAAGCTTGCATCTCCAGCACATACTTTTCCACTTACTTTCAGATAGAATGCAGGTGCCTATTTGCATCTCTTCTTGAATAGCTCAAGAGAGCCTAAACCTCAACATCTGCAAAGCCAAACTTATGAGCTCCTCCTGAAACCTTGTCAGTTTTTTTGTTCTTTACCACTGTAAATGACACTGCTATTCTCTGAATTTTGTAAGGCAGAAACTTAGCAACATTTCACTCTTCCTCAATCCTTAATTGAATCCTTCACCAAGTGCTCTCAATATTACCTTCCAAGTTTCCCCCTAATTTATTCATTTCTCTTCATATGTACTACCTTCACTCTAGTTCAAGTTTTCTATCATTTTGTGCCTGGAATTTTTCAGTAACTTTTTTACTAGACTCCCACATTTGCTCTTACCTCGGTCAAATCCATTCTCAATACAGGAGACTGGGTGATCTTGTCAAAACGCAAATCTGTTCCTATGCTCTTATCATAGAGGCTTATATTCTTAACATAGCCCACAAACCCTTACCTCATCCTCCTCAACTTCCTTTGCAGCCTTATCTCACCCTGTGTGTCTGTCATTGCACTAACTTTCCAGACACATTGGCCTCCCTTCTGTACCTTGTCCCTTCCGTGTTACTTCTTGCCACAAGACCTTTGTGGGTTTTCTTCCTGTCTGGAGTGGTCATCCCCGTTTCCTTTCAGCCCCAGTTACTTTGACTTGTTAACTCTTGAATATCCTTCAAATTGAAATGTAATTGTCACTTTTCCAGGAAAGCCCTGACATATCTTCCTAACTGGATAAAATCTTTCACTTATACAAATTCTACTAAATCAAATTTTCAAATAATATTTTGTCATAGCATATCAAATAGAGTTTAAAATGGACAATTACTGTGCATACTTGATTAATATCTTTTTCCAGCCCCAATCCAACCAAACTTCTCATGAATATTGCCAGCCTCATGAGAAGAACTTTGCTGGTGCTCACCATTTTGTCCCTAGTGCCTAGAACAATAATGAACATATAATAGACTGTTAAGATATGCTGGATAAACAAATGAATGAAAGTATATAGAATATTCCTTAGGGGCTTCTCTCTTTTTGAAGATTTAGATATTACTGAAAACTTCAAAATATGGATGACTCGAATGTCCTCTACACAATCCCAGTGAAATTACTATACTGGTTAAAAGCTGAGCTCCAAAGTTAGGTTGCCTGTATTCAAACTGGCTTTGCCACCTAATATTTGTGATCTCTGCAAATTACTTAACCTTTCTAAACCTCCATTTCTGATAAATGAAGATAACTATACTATGGCCCACAAACTCTGTGAGGATAAGATGAAGACATGCAAGTAAGTAGCTCAGCACAGCCTGTCACATAGAAACTGCTAATTAAATGGTAGCTGTTGTAATTACTGACCTGATTTCCTCAAGCTTCCTTCCTTTTCTATTCATGGATCTTTGTGAGCTATTTGTAGTGCATCTTCTCAGTGAACTTGGTGGAAAATACACCTCTTGCACCTTTCACGAGAAATCTAGTCCCATTAAACTTATTCTCATTTTTGTAGTTTTACTGAAGATGTGTGTTTTCACAGAGAGTTGCCTAGAGTCCAAGGTAGCCTACCCTCTCTTTGGCCTTCGCTGCACTTCTTCTCTTCTCTAAACCACCAGTCTATACTTAATTGCTTTCCCCAGGCTCCCCCATGAACAGATGTCTGTGATTTACAGTCTAGTTTTCTTTCAGCAACTTCTCCCATAAGGAACAGCCTTGTTAGTTTCATTTGTTTACCTCTTTTTGCTAAGGATTATGGTAAAGAAGTGTTTCCCTTCTCACAACACCAGCAACTCACTCCCCTGCCTAGAAGTCTTTTCTGAAATCTCTTGGCCCTTAATATAAAGCTCAAGGCAGGTTACATGACCTGGCTCATGCTAGTCTTTCTGATCTCATATTGTGCTACCACCCTCCTGCTCATTTCTCTGTAGCCACAATGACCTATTTTTCTCTGCCTTGAGTGCAATGAGATTTTGCTGTTTCAAGTCCTTCACAATTTCCCAACTCTCTCCCGTTGCCTGTTTAAGACTCAATCATCCTCTGGGTCTGGATTTAATATCTATTCCTCAGAGAAGTCTCAATTACTAGAATTGATTTCCCTTGTTATATAGTTTCATTGCATAATATACATTTCTCTAATAACTCATCACAACTGTAATTAAATAATTTTTAACAATTGTTTATAACTATATTTCTATATTTTAATTAAATAGTTACATATTGTTACTTAAATAAGAAAGGTGTATGTCTGCCCTGTTCATTGTTTCATACTTACTTCCTTAGAGTCCAGTTAATGAGGTCATAATTGGTATTCAACAGATATTTGCTGAATGAATGATGATTTAATCTTTACATACTATTGCAATTTTTTTGGCTTTAGTTTTTCATAGCATTCCCAAATTATTCAAAAGTCTGAAATCTATTTCTTTTTTAAATTTATTTTTATTTTTAATTTTTGTGGGACATACTAGGTATATATATTTACGGGGTGCATGAGATGTTTTGATACAGACATGCAATGTGAAATGAACATATCATGGAGAATGGGGTATCCGTTCCCTCAAGCATTTGTCCTTTGAGTTACAAATAATATAATTGCATGCCTTAAGTTATTTAAAAATGTACAATTAAGTTATTATTGACTATAGTCACTCTGTTGTGCTATCAAATAGTAGGTCTTATTCATTCTTTCTAACTGTTGTTTTGTATGTATTATTCATCCCCACCTCCCCGCAATCCCACCACTTTATTTCCCAACTTCTAGGAACCATCCTTCTACTCTCTACGTTCATCAGTTCAATTGTTTTGATTTTTAGATCCCACAAATAAGTGAGAACATGCAAGGTTTGTCTTTCTGTGTCTGGCTTATTTCACTTAATAATCTCCAATTCCATCCATGTTGTTACAAATGACTGGATTTCATTCTTTCTTATGGCTGAATAATACCACATTGTATATATGTGCCACATTTTCTTTATCCTGTCATTTGTTGATGGACACTAAGTTTGCTTCCAAATCTTAGCTCTTGTCAACAGTGCTACAACAAACTTAGGAGTGCAGGAATCTCTTTGATACACTTATTTCCTTTCTTTTGGGTATATATCAACAGTGGGATTGCTGGATAATATCATACCTCAATTTTTAGTTTTCTGAGGAACCTCCAAACTGTTCTCCATAGTGGTTGTACTAATTTACATTCCCTTCACTGTAGTTTTTATTTGCATTTCTCTGATGATCACCTTTTCATATGTCTTTTTTCCATTTGTATGTCCTCTTTTGAGAAATGGCTATTCAAATGTTTTGCCCATTTTTTAAAAATCAGATTACTAAATTTTTTTTCCTATAGAGTTGTTTGAGCTCCTTATATGTTCTGGTTATTAATCCTTTCTCAGATGGGTAGTTCGCAAATATTTTCTCCCATTTTGTGGCTCATTTCTTCACTTTATTGGTTGCTTACTTTGCTGTGCAGAAGTTTTTTAACTTGATGTGATGCCATTTGTTCATTTTTGCTTTGGTTGGCTGTGCTTGTGGGGTACTGCTTAAGAAATTTTTTGTCCAGACCAACCAATGTCCTGGAGATTTTCCCCAATGTTTTCTTGTAGCAGTTTCATAGTTTGAGGTCTTAGATTTGTCTTTAGTCCATTTTGATTTGATTTTGTAAATGGTGATAGAAAAAGGTCAAGTTTCATTCTTTGTATCTGTATATCCAGTTTTCCCAACATCATTTATTGAGGAGACAGTATTTTCTCCAGTGTATGTTCTTGGCACCTTCATCAAAAATGAGCTCACATTAAGTGTGTGGATTTGTTTTTGGGTTCTCTATTCTGTTCCATTGGTCTACATGTCTGTTTTTATGCCAGTACCATGCTGTTTTGGTTACTATAGCTCTGTAGTGTAATTTGAAGTCAGGTAGTATGATTCCTCCAGTTTAGTTCTTTTTGCTTAGGAGAGCTTTGGCTATTCTGGGTCTTCTGTGGTTTCACATACATTTTAGGACTTTTTTTTCTATTTCTGTGAAGAATGTCATTGGTATTTTTACAGGGATTGCATTGAATTTGTAGATTGCTTTGGGTAGTATAGATATTTTAACAATATTGATTTTTCCAATCCACAAACATGGAATATTTTTCCATTTTTTGGTGTCCTCTTCAATTTCTTTCATCAGTGTTTCACAGTTTTCATTATGGTGATCTTTCACTCCTTGGTTAATTCCTAAGTATTTAATTTTATATGTGGCTATTGTAAATGGGATTACTTTGTTATTTCATTTTCACATTGTACACTGTTGGCATTTAAAAATGATACTGATTTTTGTATGTTGATTTTGCATCCTACAACTTTACTAAATTTGTTATCAGTTTTAATAGTTTTCTTGCAGAGTCTTTAGGTTTTTTCAAATATAAGATTATATTTGAACCCCCTCAGTGTCCTACCCCTCTGTGGCCATGCTGGTACCTAAGGTGCTAGACAAAATTTCCTTTACTTTTCCCTCTGCTTTTCTCAAGCAGAATGAGTTTTGCCCTGTAGCCAACCTAGTGGGTAATGTGCTGAGTCTCACCTGAAGACAGCAAGTCTCAGAGGCTCATCCAAGGCCCTTGATGTACTACCTGGGTATCACTGCTGGTTATTCAGGGTGCAAGGACTCTTCAATTAGCAGGTAATGACTGCTGGAGACACTGTGTCCTTTCCTTCAAAGCAGTAGGCTCCTTTCTGGCCCAAGGTGTGTCTAGAAATGTCATCTGAGACCTAGAGGGCCTGGAATGGAGGCCTCATGACTTTTATCAGTGTCCTGTCTTGCTGTGGCTGAGCTGGTATCCAAGATGCAAGACAAAGTCCTCCCCACTCTTTCCTTTTCTCTCTTCAAGCAGAAGGAAGAGGTCTTTTCTGAAGCCATGAGCTGTGCAGCCTGGGTGTAGACGAGGAGAGATGGCAGCACTCCCTTGGCTGCCATAGCTGTTGTCTCAGTATGTTGCATGTCCCGCCAGTCTCCTGTCTTTGGGCCTCGTTCAGCACTAGGACCCAACTAAGATTTGCAGTCCTTATGGCCTAGATTGCCTTTCAAATTTACTTGAAGACAGAGAGTGCTGTAGCCCTCTGTGGCAAGGTTTGTAGGTACTCAAGTTCTAACTGCTGGGATTCATGATTCTCCTCTAGCTAGGGCTGGTTTAAATGTTCCCTCTGTGCATGGGCATCAGTTGAGTTTGGTCTGCTTTTCCTTTTTGCTCCAACAGAACGGCACTGAGTTCAATGCCTCACAATTGCCGCGTTATCCCTCCCCCAGTGCCCAGAGAAGCTCTCTGCACCATGCCACTGTTGTTGCCTTGGCTGGGGAAGGGATGGCATTTGAAATTCAGGAGTGTTTTTTCTATTTTTTCAGTGAATCTTTCAGCAATATGAAGTTATAAAACCAGGTACTACGAGGGCTCATCTGATTTTTGGTTCTTAGGAAGGTGTTTTTTTTCTGTGTTGATAGTTGTTAAATTGGTGGCTTTGTGGCAGGAGACGAGAGGGGGTAGGGAGGGGATGCTTGGTGTAGCCTTCTATTCTGCCATCTTGCTCCACCTCTCCATCTATTTCTTAAGCCCTGAGTTTAATTTGGGATGCTGAACTTGAATCCATTGTTACTATAGTCCTGCTGTCTCTTGTCAGAGTGCTGGAGAGGGCATAGGAGTGGACCAAGGGCAAAGAGGCTGGTACAGAGCCTGACACTGACCTGCTTAGCTTCCAAGACTTCAGTGTGAATATCGAACTAAATGAGAACTTTTCAAGTTTCTTTTACTGTAAAAGCACCCAGCCAAACGACTTCTCTTTGTTTTATAGATAGTGTACAAAAAAATAAAATCATCATTAGTTTTGTAGATTTACTTATATGATTTATTCATCTGATCAAGAGGTTTCTTTTCTATGGTTTTCCCAGAGAGAACTGAACGTTTTTTTCCTGAGTGGTTTTGAGTTGTTTTACTAGTTAGCGTCTGCAGCATAAATAATCAGAGACAACTTCTCAGGAATATAAGAGGAGTTTAAAGATTGTTCTCAGACACACAAAGCAGATAAGCATTGTTTAGAGACATAGGGTCTTGAGAAGAGCGTACTTTCCCAGTTGATTTGGTGTCAATAAAATAGAAGTATTTGCCTTTTTGAAGAAACAAGAAAATAAAACCCACTTCAGACTTCTCTTTGTAAGGGTGATTGATCTCCTATGTAAATTATAACGTTGAATGTTGCGAATGTCTGTTCTGTTCTCTAAAGTACGAAAAGACTAGACAGGTTCTGTATTTGTGTGTGTTGTATGTGCCTGTGTGTGTAAGAGAGAATGAAAGATTGAGAGGCAGAGACTTGATATGGTTTAATGCTACTCTATACAGTTTTGGCGACTTTTGTTCAGAGCCACATTAAATTTCATTTGAATATTTTAGACATTTTAATATACTCTACTTAGCCCTCCTAGGAAGGACAAAAAAAAGAATTTATGGGGCCTGAAGCTTATAAAATGTGATGGTCATTTTTCATGGAAAAGACATAGGGTATAAAAGTAATCATTCATGTAGAACAAGAGAAAATAGCACAGCAAATCACATATTTTAAATGCCCACAAAGGTCATACAAACATCCTTCTCTAATTTATTTTCTGCTTGTTTTGGCTTTGTAATATTTGATCACTATTTCACATGACAAAGATTTTGTAAAACCACTTTCTACCACTTTTTTAAAACTTTCTCTTTTCTACAGGGAAAAGAGAAAGTCTTTCTCAAGATGGAGTAAACAAAATTTGAGTTACATTACATGCAGTTGGAATGTTGAAACTTACTTCTTCATACACATGTATGCTTGCTTTTTGTACTACTGACAAGAAATAGAGGCAACATGATAAATTCTGTTTCTCATTCGTTTCATCAAAAATGAAAAAAGTTACATTGCATTGCATACTTGAATATATGGCATTTTTAAGTGTTTTCCTGACAAAAGAGAACAAAGGAAGCCACATGCTCTGCTTATAAGTTGATGAAACCAATGATTAGAAGAATTATCCACAAACTAGCATATGATTCTACACATTTCAAACTTTTTTTGCTTCCACAGCCCATAGAATCCCAGTACCAACAACCGTAAAACACATTTATATTACAATCAGACAACTGGTCTTACTCATTTACACACAAAGCAAGTGCTGTCAGTGCAGTAAGAAGTAGACATGTCCCTGAAAGTGCTAGTAGTACACTGTAACAGTTAGCCATAACTTAATGAGACATAGAGGTGACTATATACCACATAATTTTATACCACCAAATCCTAACTAAATTTCCCAACTCAATTTCCCCTTAGCCATATACCCATAATATCCACTTCTTATGCTACCCAGCAGAAGAATGGCGACAGTGGAGAAAGCGAAAGTAATCTTAACTGATTTCGTTAAAGGCATCTTCATTTTGCAAATCTTACAGAAAAAAAATAAAAACAATGTATGACTCCATGAATACATTGCTAGGTCCCACCAGATGACCTCAGAATGAGCAAATGCAAGTGAAAGACTCAAGCCTAAATTTCATGAGCTTTGTGGTAATTCTGTCTTTGCCCCCAGATCTGCCTCTGGTGAAGTCTCATCCATTGATGTATGTTTTTTTCTTACAGAATTTATACTAGGAGAGGCCACTGTGGTGGAGAGGGAGTCTGGCTTCCATTAGAGTGAACTTCTTAAAAAGCCATTAGTCTGAGCCTCGTATTTTGTCTCCTAGATCTTTTGTCTATTGGAAGGTCAAGGGGAAAGTGAATTTATACTTGTTATAGCAGGTGCTTTTATTTTTCATTATGTTCATCATGAAAAAATTCATTGAAGGGGATGGACTCTAATATTCCTTTTTGGGAATTTAGGTTATTTTCTGAGCACAAAATGATAGCTAGCATAAGAACATGTCTGAAAAAATGCAAAAGAATGTATTTCAGTAAGCTATGAGTCTTTTTCATATCCTCAATGATAATGTCTCCCTAATGTTTGTGTTTCTGTTCTATATGTAATCCTTGTCCTCCAGACATCTCAGATTATTGTAATCATCAGTAAATAACTTCATTCTGTAACACAACTGCTAATGTCAACCTCAAGACTAACTATGAACAAGTTCCCCAAAGCACATATTTTCCCCAAAGCACATATTTTACTGCATCAACTCTGGGCTTAGCAAAATAGCTGTTTGTAGTTGGTGAGGCTTTGTTTTCTCTATCAAATAAAATCACTAAGCCAGCATATAAGCAAACAGAAACATTCCCTTTTATTTTATCTTCATTGACATTTTGACACTTACCAATGAGATAGAAAAGATGTATGCAGGGCAAGGCTGAAGTCCAAGGGGGATGAACCTCTTTATTTTGGATCAGATCTCGAATGTCCAACATGGGTTGAAATATCTTCAGGAAAACCATGTTGATTCTCATCAAGTGCAAAGTGTTTCATTCCCTTAGCTGTTGATTGACAAGTCTTGGGTTCTACATAGAATTCTCACTCAGTAAACAGTAGGGAAAACAAATAAAAGAAATGAAATACACATTACACACACACACACACACACATACACACACACACAAACTATAGCTGTGCTTCCACAACCTTAGCATGCATAGGAATTATCTGAGTGAGCCTCTTAATAATATAAATTTTTGGACCTATTTTTTTAGATTTTGACTGTCTAGTCCATACTTAAAACCTATGCTTATTCTTTAACAAGCATTCATGGTGATTTTTATGTTTGTGATTCACCGCCACACTTAGAAAATCACTCTGCTGCAGTATTTTCAAGCTTATATTTACAAACTAGGACTCTTTTGATGGCTATTACTCAGTCAGTACCACATCAGCTTAGAGACCAATACATTAACCAGTCCTAACATATAGGCAGTAAGTGTTTTCCTTCTCGCTTTCCACATCTAAAAGTTCTTTCTAGTTTTTATTTTTTTGTTTTGTTTTGTTTCTAGTGTTATAATACATTTAAATTTTTAAAAATACTGAAGTAAGATATTTTTTCAGATGCTAACATGGAATATTAGAATAAGAAATTGGTGTGTATAAATTTTGCTGTTTTAAATGACTGTCAGACATCCTTCTAAATCACACAGTTATAATTTTTCTCTTTTCTTGATTCTCCTCAATATACTATAAATCGTCCTCCAAAAATCACACTCAAGAGCAAGCAAGCAATCAGTGGAACAAAACAGCCATGAAGATCAACTGTGTTCAGCCAATTGTGGAAATTTGGTATAAATTAAAACACCATTAAAACAGTTCTCAGAAATTCACAGCTAACTAGTTCAACATCAATATCAGTTACAGACGTTCCAGGATCTAATCTTGGAAGTGCAGAACGAGAAGTCTACAAAGAGAAATTTTTGGACAAAGTACGTGATTGTATTGTAAGAGTAGTGTACTCACTGCATAGAGCCATGGTTATTGTAAGAATGTTGTAACTGTTATTTGTCATTCCTTACAACATGAAACAAGCTCCCACTAAATATATCTGTAAGTGTTAACAAGAGTATGAAATAAAACCCATCATTCTTTAGAAATAAAAGATTTAACAAGTCAGAATTTTAATGGAATGGCATTTAAAGAACAAAATAAACATTAATCACTGGGAGACTATCAATGTTTATAAAAACAAAAAAAAGGAATACTAAGGAAAAATATAAACTTTTTCATTAAATTTCAGACATTAGGGCTTAGCAAGCCCTCCTTGACCTTTATGATAATTACTTTGGGATTCCGTTTCAAGATGGCCAAATAGGAACAGCTCTGGACTTCGGCTCCCAGCACAATCAACACAGAAGATGGGTGATTTCTACATTTCAAACTGAGCCTCTGCTGGTGATACCCAGGCAAACAGGGTCTGGAGTGGACCTCCAGCAAACTCTGACAGACTTGCAGCTGAGGGACCTAACTGTTAGAAGGAAAACTAACAAACAGAAAGGAATAGCATCAACACCAACAAAAAGGACGACCACACCAAAACCCCATCTGTAGGTCACCAACGTCAAAGACCAAAGGTAGATAAAACCACAAAGATAGGGAGAAACCAGAACAGAAAAGCTGAAGATTCTAAAAACCACAGAGCCTCTTTTCCTCCAAAGGATCACAGCTACTCACCAGCAACAGAATAAAGCTGGATGGAGAATGACTTTGATGATCTGACAGAAGTAGGCTTCAGAAGGTCGGTAATAACAAACGTCTCTGAGCTAAAGGAGGATGTTGGAACCCATTGCAAGGAAGCTAAAAACCTTGAAAAAAGATTAGACGAATGGCTAACTAGAATAAACATGTAGAGAAGACCTTAAGTGATCTGATGGAGCTGAAAACCATGGCACGAGAACTACGTGACACATGCACAAGCTTCAATAGCTGATTTGATCAATTGGAAGAAAGAGTATCAGTGATTGAAGATCAAATTAATAAAATAAAATGAGAAGTTTAGAGAAAAAAGAGTAAAAAGAAATGAACAAAGCCCCCAAGAAAGATGGGACAATGTGAAAAGACCAAATCTACATTTGATTGGTGTACCTGAAGGTGACGGGGAGAATGGAACCAAGTTGGAAAACACTCCGCAGGATATTATCCCGGAGAATTTCCCCAACCTAGCAAAGCAGGCCAACATTCAAATTCAGGAAATAGAGAGAGCACCACAAAAATACTCCTTGAGAAGAGCAACCCCAAGACAAATAATTGTCAGATTCACCAAGGTTGAAATGAAGGAAAAAAATTGTTAAGGGCAGCCAGAGAGAAAGGTTGGGTTACCCACAAAGGGAAGCCCAGCAGACTAACAGCAGATCTCTCAGCAGAAACTCTGCAAGCCAGAAGAGAGTGGGGGCCAATATTCAACATTCTTAAAGAAAAGAATTTTCAACCCAGAATTTTATATCCAGCCAAACTGAGCTTCATAAGTGAAGGAGAAATAAAATCCTTTACAGACAAGCAAATGATGAGAGATTTTGTTAACATCAGGCCTGCCTTACAAGAGCTCCTGAAGGAAGCACTAAACATGGAAAGGAACAACTAGTACCAGCCGCTGAAAAAACATGCCAAATTGTAAAGACCATCAATGCTAGGAAGAAACTGCATCAACTAATGAGCAAAATAACCAGCTAACATCATAATGACAGGATCAAATTCACACATAACAATATTAACCTTAAATGTAAATGGGCTAAATTACCCAAATAAAAGACACAGACTGGCAAATTGGATAAAGAGTCAAGACCCATCAGTGTGCTGTATTCAGGAGACCCATCTCATGTGCAGAGACACACATAGGCTCAAAATAAAGGGATGGAGGAAGATCTACCAAGGAAATGGAAAGCAAAAAAAAAAAAGAAAAAAAAGCAGGAGTTGCAATCTTAGTTTCTGATAAAACTGACTTTAAACCAACAAAGATCAAAAGAGACAAAGAAGGCCACTACATAATGGTAAAGGGATCAATTCAACAAGAAGATATAACTATCCTAAATATATATATGCACCCAATACAGGAGCACCCAGATTCATAAAGCAAGTCCTTAGAGACTTAGACTCCCACACAATAATAATGTGACACTTTAACACCCCACTCTCAATATTAGACAGATCAATGAGACAGGATGTTAACAAGGATATCCAGGACTGGAACTCAGCTCTGCACCAAGCTGACCTAATAGACATCTACGGAACTCTCCACCCCAAATCAACAGAATATACATTCTTCTCAGCACCATATTGCACTTATTCCAAAATTGACCACATAGTTGGAAGTAAAGCACTCTTCAGCAAATGTAAAAGAACAAAAATCACAACAAACTGTCTCTCACAGCACAGTGCAATCAAATTAGAACTCAGGATTAAGAAACTCACTCAAAACCGCTCAACTACATGGAAACTGAACAACCTGCTCCTGAATGACTACGAGGTAAATAACAAAATAAAGACAGAAATAAAGATGTTCTTTGAAACCAATGAGAACAACGACACAGCATACCAGAATCTCTGGGACACATTTAAAACAGTGTGTAAAGGGAAATTTATAGCACAAATGCCCACAGGAGAAAGCAGGAAAGATCTAAAATCAACACCCTAACATCACAATTAAAAGAACTAGAGAAGCAAGGGCAAACAAATTCAAAAGCTAGCAGAAGGCAAGAAATAACTAAGAACAGAGCAGAACTGAACAAGATAGAGACACAAAAAACCCTTCAAAAAATCAGTGAATCCAGGTGCTGGTTTATTTATTTATGCAGCCAACAGACACATGAAAAAATGCTCATCATCACTGGTCATCAGAGAAATGCAAATGAAATCCACAATGAGATACCATCTCACACCAGTTAGAATGGCGATCCTTAAAAGGTCAGGAAACAATGGATGCTGGAGAGGATGTGGAGAAATAGGAAGGCTTTTACACTGTTTGTGGGAGTGTAAACTAGTTCAACCATTGTGGAAGACAGTGTGGCGATTCCTCAAGGATCTAGAACTTGAAATACCATTTGAACCAGTGATCCCATTACTGGGTATATACCCAAAGGATTATAAATCATGCTACTATAAAGACACATGCACATGTATGTTTATTGCAGCACTATTCACAATAGCAAAAACTTGGAACCAACCCAAATGTCCATCAATGAAAGACTGGATTAAGAAAATGTGGCACGTATACACGATGGAATTCTATGCAGCCATAGAAAAGGATGAGTTCATGTCCTTTGCAGGGACATGGATGCAGCTGGAAACCATCATTCTGAGCAAACTATCACAAGGACAGAAAACCAAACACCACATGTTCTCACTCATAGGTGGGAACTGAACAATGAGAACGCTTAGACACTGGGCAGAGAACATCACACCCTGGGTTCTGTCGTGGGGTGGGGGGAGGCTGGAGGGATACCATTAGGAGAAATATCTAATGTAAATGACAAGTTAATGGGTGCAGCACACCAACATGGCACATGTATACCTAAGTAACAAAACTGCATGTTGTGCATATGTACCCTAGATCTTAAAGTATAATAATAAAAAATAAATATATAAAATACTTATTTTGGGAAAAAATGAAGAAAAGAGAGCAATGTGTTCTATACAATACCGTAGATAATGAAATTTAGAAATTTCTTTTTGTGACAGAATCAACAAGAACAACAGCAACTACAACAAAAATAGAGATGCCATCCGGTGACATATAAAGACGGATTCCATAGAGAGATGACTTGGTTGGGTCACAATGGATCAGACTCTAGCTTTCAATTTAATAAGATCAGAAACTCAGATTTATCAGCTGTGGAGTATTAAACAAAACTAGTTATATTCAGAAGAGACTGGTTGTATAGAAACACAAATTTTAACTTATTAATTTAAACAGCATAATTACTGCTAAGGTGATGGATCAGCAGGCTATTTTTTCAAGAGGAGAATTCTACTTGGGTAGCAAACTTATAATTAGGAATTTTTTTGACAGCATGAAATAAAACATGGTATTAGAATTAAACTTATTGGACAGAATGCCTTTATAATGGAATCACACCTTGATCACTGTGTCTCAAACTTGAACATTCACAAAAATATCTCAAATAGAAAGAAAAAGCTTTTCCTAAAAGTTTTTAGAAAAACACTGAGAATACAACCATTTTCCTTCAAGAGTTAGAGGTATTTTATTCTTGTTCTATAAATCAGGATGCAAATATAATAAGATTCAAAAGGGAATTTATGAATGATAATTACAGGCAATTTGGAATGTTTGGAATTTAGGGCTCAAATCATAAGAAATAATTTTCTCTCCCATAGCCTGGACTCATTTCCATTTGAAAAGATCAAGCCAGGTTTAATTAGTTATGAGTTGGCCATATAAATAACATTTATAATTTCATATAAACTGGTAAAAATTATGTAAAAGTGAATTTCTGAAATATTGTCACTGCTTCTAAAAATCTGAATATGCTGATGTTAAGAAGGCTTGATAGGAGTCAATTAGGAACACTTAAAGAATCCTAAAGTGAATGCCTTCTGCATGGATGTCAGCAGTGAAGACCAAGAAATGCTGCTGCTACCTTTTAAATAGTCAGAAGCACACTTAAAAATACATATATATACATATATATTTATTATGTATAAAAGTATATATACATAATATATATATATATTTTTGTGTGCGTATATATATATACACACTTTATAATGGTCTAAGTCAGTAATTATTAACTAAGGGTGACCATCAGAATCACTGGTGGATTTTTTTTCTCATATACGTGCCTGGCCTCTACTCTGTACTTTCTAAATAGAAATTTCATGGGTGAGGCTTAAACATACATGTTTTTGAAAAGCTCCATGGGGTAATTCTGATACTAAGATTTGAGGTTAAACATGGGCAAAACTGCCAGTGTTATAGTGTTAGGACAGGATATCAGAATTCAAAACCTAATGGGACAGGAAATTTGGATTCTATGATTGGAAATGTGCTCAGATGCAGCACTCATCTGCTTGTGAAAGCCATTACTATGTCATTTCCTCTGACCAAAGGCTGGATTTGAAAGAATGGGTTGGGTTGGGTCCCAGCTTTGTTGTTCATCCAAGATGTTTTTATGTTTAGTTATATATAAGGGATGGGAAATTACTAAGCCAGTGCTAGTTTAATAAAGTTGAAAACATTTGTAAATAGCTTTATTTGGTGATGAAATGAAAATAATTTATTTCGAGAAGTTGGATGGAAAATCAATTTGCATTTTACTAAAATTGTTTGCATTCTAGCAAGGCAGGGAATTTGATAATGGCCATGTTTTTAATTATTAACACCCTGTTTCTAAGTTCCTGAGATTTCAGGCCAGCCCAAGAATCAAGACAGAGATGGCAAGATCTGAACCTGAGGGGGGATTGAAAACAAAAGCCTGGATGTGAAACAGAAGTTAAAAGCCAAAAAGTGATCCATGAGCTTTCAACTGGGTCAGTGAGGCTGCAATTACATTTTATTGCTAAATGGAGCAGGTGATTGGGGGAAAGTTAGTAGAAAACAGAACCCAGTAAGATCTTCCATAAGGTTGAGGTCAGAGCTGAGAAGTTAATCTATTTTATTTAAAAAGTTAATTATTTTGTGTCAGGCTAAAACTAGGGGGATAAATGACTGAGACAAACTTCTGTCATTGAAAAATTTACTATCTAGTGTGGAAGGCTGATAATGTCGGAAAAGTGTGACCAATTCAGTCTTAATTTCATCAATTAAGATTCTTGACCAGGCGCGGTGGTCCCGTCTGTAATCCTAGCACTTTGGGAGGCAGAAGGTGGGAGGATCACCTGAAGTGAGGAGTTTGAGACCAGCCTGGCTAACATGGTAAAACTCTGTTTCTACTAAAAATACAAAAAATTAACTGCGCATGGTGATGCATGCCTGTAATCTCAGGTACTCAGGAGGCTGAGGCAGGAGAACCACTTGAACTCGGGAGGCAGAGGTTGCAGTGAGCTGAGATCGTGCCATTGCACTCCAGCTTGGGCAACAAGAGAGAAACTCCGTCTCAAAAACATTTTCAAGAGAAGGTAATAAGAACTTTTACTGGTCAGGAAAGGCTATGCTATGCTTCAATAACAAAATAAACTTGAAATCTCTAGGGTTTTTATAATTTTTGGTTTTATATTTAAGTCTTTAATCCATCTTGAGGTAATTTTTGTATAAAATGTAAGGAAGGGGTCCAGTTTCAGTTTTCTGCATATGGCTAGCCAGTTTTCCCAGCACCATTTTTTAAATAGGGAATCCTTTCCCCCATGCTTTTTTTTTTTTTTTGTCAGGTTTGTCTAAGATCAGATGATTGTAGATGTGCAGTCTTATTTCTGAGATCTCTATTCTTTTCCATTGGTCTATGCATGTGTTTTTATACCACTACCATGCTGTTTAGGTTACTGTAGCCTTGTGGTATAGTTTGAAGTCAGGTAGTTTGATGCCTCAAGCTTATCAGAATAAACGGCTAATGTATGAGGGGCTTAATACCTAGGTGATAAGTTGATAGGTGCAGCAAACCACCATGGCACACGTTTACCTATGCAACAAACCTGCACATCCTGGACATGTATCCTGGAACTTAAAATTAAATTAAATTAAATTAAAAAATAAATCTCAGTGGCCTAATTCAATAAATGTTTATGTGTTGCTCATCCAAATTACAGTAGATTTGTGGTCAGGGTTGGAGAGCTTTCCTCTACAGTCACTCAGGGACTCAGACTGCACCATCGGGAATACAGGATATCAAAGGTCACATGAACAAGAAATAGAAAACATAAAGTACGCATATCTGCTCTTCTATGCATTGTACTATAAGTGACACATGTAATTTTGCTTAAAGCCCCTGCCAGAACTAGTCACATGGGCCTACCTAATACAGATAATTAGTCATTCAGTAAGCAGTAGAACTCTTCACCACAGATGTAAGTCAGTTTTGACAAGAGTATTGGGGAAAAGGTGTAGAACATTATCATTTGTGAAATGTCTCCACAGGAGAGCAGAACGTTGATGTGAGATACAGTACCCAAAGACAACATCAAACTAAACTACCAATAGGTAGAGGCCATTCTGAAGGGTATAGGCTGGGCTAAAAGAATCCTAGAAGAGAGTAACTAAAGAGGATTGGGAATGAAATATAGGCAAAGAGCAAGAAGCAGTTTCTTGAATCCCTGAGGATTAGTCCAGGAGCCATTAGTAAGGTAACTCCTTCACTGAGTTATGTGTAGGAAGGGTTTGTTATGAGGAATAAACCAGTGCAGACACTCCATTTCTATTATAACTTAAAATTTACATGTTTCTATGAATACCAGAACACTTGAAAATACCAGAATACTCTTTTCGTTTGCAAAAAAGAAAAAAAAATACATTTTTTAAACAATTAACTTCATCTTTCATTGCTCTGGAAGTTAGGAAGTGAAAAAGAAATATATCGTACTTTTAAGTTGATTCAGATCTGGTCCTGTGAAAGTTTCCTTTGATTATTACACAGAGCCAGACAATGCAAAAGGGGACTTGGCAAACTGAAAACAAGAACTGAATGGGTGGACAAAAGGATTATTTAAAATATAATCATAGATAAATTAATCAAGCTAGACAGAGGATGCATATGGTAGAACATGAATTGCATTTAGGTGTCACACACTTAAATGTCACATTTTTGTATGAACATGCATGTAAAAATTCCTGGCATATGCCAGACACCCAATAATTTTTTAATAGGTGCCATACAAGAGAAGAATATTTCTGTAAGTTGCTATTCCTAGAATACCAAAAATGGGACATCGAGCAGAACTCTTGGACATGAAGTTCATGGCTGGCAATAGGTAAGCTATATGGAAAGTTGAACAAACTGTTGAAGAACTTTACAGTTGCCTTGTTATTCAGAATTTATTTATATATTCCAGAATTCCAAAGAAATAATCATCTCAATTCTTCATTACATACAATTAAGATTGATTATTGATGTATTAATATATACTAGGAATTATAAACTTCTTGGAAAAATCTTATTTTTCCTATTATGATTTACATAATTAATGAAAATTATCCTCTGCAGCTCAGTTTGTATAGGAAGAATTCATTTATGACAGTGATTTCCAGAGCTTCTTAAGGCAGATGAGTATGAAAGAATGGTACTTGGACTTTTTAAAAAAGAGAGTTGTCCAGTAGGACAATGGACTGCCTGACAGAGTAATGAGCCTCAATCATTTCATCTGTTAGCATGGAGGCTCACTCAGCATTTGCAGGGGTGTTCCTGTGTTAGGACAAATTCGTACTAAATTAACTTTTCGTATGTCTCATCTCTGAGCCACTGTGGTTTTATAATTTCCCTGTATTCATGTCCTTATATATCAAGAGACTTATTCAAGGTTAGGGAGTTGATGTGAGGTATGAGAATCATCTTTACATGCTGAGGAGTAAAACTGGGATGGACAGTTGGAGAATGTGAGAGATAAGCTCTTGAGAAACTTCAAGAATCAATTTGCTATGATGCTTTCTTTTCACATAAGCAATAACAAAATACCATTGGACCTGGGTCACTGGGAGTTGATTAATAGGAATGTGGTAGGTGAGAAAGATAGTGATTTTACTGGCATAAGTTTGGCCAAATGGCTGGGCCCTCCCACTGTTGATGTTCATTATCCATTTTGGCCCTGAGGAAGGGAGACTTAATATCTCCACAATCATGGGCTCTAAATATCTCTTTGGTTTCAGCTCTGTTCCCACTAATCTTTAGGAGATCACCCAATTCCCATTTCAAATAGGCAAGTAACAAAAATAAGCTGTTTGATTGCATCTCCATTGAAGAAAGCACTTGATATTTAAAGTACCTTGAAGTAGAGCATAGAACAAATTCCTGATAATAAGAGTTGGGATTCTGTATAATCAGTTTAAACCAATATTTTGGGACTCTCATCATCTGAATATTTCTTAGGACATTTCTTAATCACTCTAGAATATGATGGTTTATATAAAATCCTAACAACTGAAAGATTCTAGAAGTTTAAGGTTAGTAGGTTTTTTTCTGTTTTTTGTTTTGTTTTGTTTTAATATGTACTTTTAGAAGACTTTCTGGAATCTCACTTAGTCCTCTAAACCACATTAGAAAGTTGGCATGATGTTTATCCTATTTTTCTGTGGGGAAGCTAAGCATGGAGAGGCCAAATAGCTCAGCATAGAGGGGCCAAATAGCTCAGTAAGTCACATAAAACTAAGGCAGAGACAGGATTTGAACTCAAGATCATGCTCTTTGCCAGTTCATGAAATTACTTCTTGGCTTTCCTCTCATTTTAGATAATTTTATTCAGGGTAATGAGCTGGCTAAGAGGAAGAAGGCAAGTATGGAAAGGGAGTTTAATTTGGGGCCCTAGTAATGGTGCTATCTGAATAAATCTTTTCAGTGCCACATAAGCTAACATAAATCATGAGTGTTGGAGTCTTCATTATACAATTTCTTCAGTGTCAAAGATGTCAATGACAGGCCTTGATATGCATTTGGAAAGAATTATGAGATTGCTCTTGCATGACCTCCTAGCAGCTACTTTTTCTTTCAGCAAGCAATTCGGAAGATGAATTGTGAAAAAGAAACAAACAACAACAACAACAAATTAAAGAGCAAAGACATGTTTTCATCTCTCAGGTTAGAGTGGTTCAGTTCTCTTCACATATTTTCTTCTATTAAAGTGCTTTTAAATTATACACTTCCTAATAATGAAAACATTCCAGCAGGTTAGAATACAAAATGTTTAATAAATATATGTATAAATATACACTCAAAACATTAAATTAAACAAAATGTATCAGGTCAAGAGAAATGTTTTTGTTGTTAAGAGGTAAAAACAATATGTGTTTAATCTGGAAGATCTTTTCATGGAAAATTTAAAAATGTGACAGAAACTACCCATAATTCATTTCAGAAGATAAGCAATATTAACATTTTGTATCTTACTCTCTCTTGCTCTGTATGTGTATGTATGTATATGTGTATTTACATATACACACATATACATGTATATACATATATACACATTTACATGTATATACATATATACATGTACATTCACATATATAAATGATAAGCATATGCATATATATGCATATATACATGCAACAAAGTGTCATGAATATATTTCCACATCTATGAAAAGTTATCTAATTAGTATTTTGTGGCAGAACAATATTCTTCCTCAATAATTAATGTTTTGACAAATTTTTGTAATTACATGGACTTCAATGAATATCTTCATTTTTAGAATAAGTTCCTAAACATATAATTTTGCAAGCTCAGAGTGTGGTTCTTTAACAGTTTTGATGTATATTGCCTAGTCACATCTCAGAAAGGTCATACCCCAAGAATAAGATAGTTACTTTATTTGAACATTTATCAAAAATGAGTACTGTCATAAACTATACCTAATTATATATAAAAGGCAAAACACGTTGTTGCGATGTTGGGATATTCGTTTCTTTGGTCTCTGGTGTGATGAATACAGTTTTGGATTTTACTGGCCCTCCATTTCTTGCGAGACATTTTTTTGCCGTTTTTCAGTTGTAGAGTCATTGCTTTTTAGATCAGAAGTTATTTTTTAAGATAACTTATCATGTACTGTTACAAAATTTTTTATTTGCCTTTTAAATTCATGGTATGTTATGCCAAAAATCTTTTAATTTTTGTGTAAGCAAATGTATGAAGTCTTTCTTTTATGTGCTTTGCCTTTAGTGTCATGCATAAAATGTCCCCTTTACCTCAATTATATATAGTAGCCCATATTCTCTCCTAGAATTTTGTGCTTTGTATTTTAAACTTAAACCTTTAACATATAAGATTAACATGTAAGATTTGGTATTTTAAGTAAAACAGACACTTAATTTTAAAATTTTCTTAGATGGTTAACACATTGTCAAAAAAATCCCACAGTAAATATATACCCTATTCATCACAGTCACTACATGTTAAACTCACCTATATTTAATCTCTCTCTCTATATATACATGCATATACACACAAGCATGCATATGCAAACACATATCTGTAAATATATCTGCGTGTATATTTATGTAGATAGAAACAAATATAAATATTTCTGTGTCTGTACTTTCTATTCTATGCCACTGATCTGTTTGTCTCCTCTGGCAATCATTGCTGTTTTAATTAAATATTTTACCTTAAAAATATCTTCTGATTTAGTAAAGCAAGGCTGACCCCTCCCCTCATTATTACTCCTTTTTTTTTTTTCTTTTCTGTTCTTATATTCTAAATTTTTTTTGGCTAGCATTTTAAGATGTTTCTTAGTTTTTGTTTTTCATCAACAGGCCCTTTGTCTTTTAAGTAGCCTTAATATTCTACTGTCAAGCATTCTTAGAATAGGTATCTAGTGTACTAAATGGAAATGCATAGCACTTAGTGCTGAGGAGTCCAAATGCCATGGAATCCCTGAAGAAATTATTGTGACCAGCATCAGTGGTGACTCTGAGTACTGACAACTTGAGTACAGAAGGAGCAGGAAGTGAGGCAATGTGAGGGTTCGACTGTGATTTCACATGGCCACACCCCAATTTATTTATGGAAAGTGCATGTGACATCTATTCACATATGTTCCTATCTTTATATTCTCCAGGATATGCCAAATAAAGTAACAACGCCAAAGGCAGTCTGTTTTAGAAAATCAATTAGAAGAGGGTAAAATGCAATCTTATGCACAAAATAGAAACTTAGCTCTTCTGACCCCTGGTATAACGTTGGATAAAACAAGCTAACGTTTTTAAGTGTTTTGAGCAGTTGACTCAGTCTAACTCGTTTTGTATGAAGTATTTTCCAGCATGGTGCAGCAGTGAAACTGTGTGCCCTTCTTGCAAACAGGTAAAGGTATAATTTTTGAACAGTTTTTGTTTTTTTGTTTGTTTGTTTTTTTTGTGGGGAAAATGAATCTACACCGATTCATTGACAATGTTGTCCAGTAAAGCCTCATGAGTAAAGGTACGTAAAAGGATGATCAGCTAAAATGAGACATGAAGCCTGTGGCTGAAGAAAAATATAATGTCATTGGCACACACGGGGCTTGTACCCAGGACTATGGCAGTGTTATCACCACGTTTTAATCAGTCACAACTGACATCAACGTGACCCCTGCTATATAGATTATCCAGCCTGGTTGGCATTCCAGTCTTAAAGAGTCAACCTCTCCCAGCTTCACTGATGTGTGATGGCATTTCACCCACTGCCATTCCAACCCTGTCCCCTAAAGAAGAGCATTCATGAGGTGTTATAAGTAATTGTTCCTTATTCATCATCAAAGTTCTTTAGTAAAAACCAGGAGTGACCAATAGACATTCACATGTCTTTGCTTAATTCTATTAAAAAAGACTGAAAAACTTCTCTGTACACCCTTTGGAAGTCTTTTTGCTTACTCAAGAGCAGAGCATAATCTATTTAATACAATTTTTCACTTATATCCAAAAGGTGGCCTTCTCTAATCTGGCTTTCAAGTTGGAAAGAGAAAAGTTAAGTTGATTCCTGATGGATTTTGCTCTAAAATTTAACCCTCGGGCAGTGAAAGCCTCTTTATCCCAACTGAGTAGCTGCTAAATGAGGCCCCTTTATAACCACTTCAGAATGCACTTTCAAAACAAAAGTTAGAAGGCCCTATGATCCATTCTCAAGAAGGATCTGTTTCTGTTCAAAACCAGTCCCGACCTTTCTGTTGAAGAAGAACAAAATAATGTAGTAACAAAAACACAAGTGGCTGCCAAAGGAAGAGAGAGAAAAAAAAAGAGTTCCTGTAAGGGACTGAAACAATAAATCTCCTCTCTGCTGAACTCCCAAAGGGAGTGTGTGTATTTCCTCCCGTTCTTTATCAGAGCCCCCAAAATAAGTAGGAATGGGCAGTGGCTATTCACATTCACTACACCTTTTCCATTTGCTAATAAGGCCCTGCCAGGCTGGGAGGGAATTGTCCCTGCCTGCTTCTGGAGAAAGAAGATATTGACACCATCTACGGGCACCATGGAACTGCTTCAAGTGACCATTCTTTTTCTTCTGCCCAGTATTTGCAGCAGTAACAGCACAGGTATTTTTGTCTCTTATTCCTCTGGTGGTACGGATTGGAAATCACTAGTAGGTGACTCAGCCTCAGTTTACTTTCAGGGATCTTCCCCTGACACTTAGATGCAGCAATTCCTTTGATGAGTTGAGTGTTTGGATGTTGACTTGGAGTGCGTGGAGAAGGCTTGAGAGAGACGGTATTTGTTTCTACTGAAGGGAAATGTTTGCGGGTACAGCAGCCTGAAAGCATGTTCGATGAAATCACAAAGTACTGGAAATATACAATGGCCTCTTTAGAGTATAAAAATCTGGGAATAGAATGCTGGTTAAAAATGTACTCTCTCTCAAAAATGTATTCTTTGCAGACATAGCTCAGAAATAATAAGATTGGCATGTGTGGGTGAAAGGCTGTAATCGGAGACATTATATTGCAGATGTTAGCCTGTATTTTTCCCAACTATTTTTCAGCTCTGATAAATTGAGGAGTTGAGTAAAGCTGCCTAGGGAAGTGAGTCCTAATATTTTGAGGTAGGGTGAATAGAGAGAGATTCATTTGATTACAGTCTATAGATTTTTGCTGAAGAAATATGCACATATCTAAACATATACATACATTTTGCATAACATTTCAGGAATTTATAAACATAAAAATCCTACCTATTGACTTCTGGTTAAGAAACTCAGATAAAAAATAGGTTTGTATCTTCATAAGCCTTGAGTATATCAATGGACAATTTCAAGAACGATTTACATTTGACTTTTAACCCTTCCTGAGTGATTGAAAATAAACTGTTAAATTTAATCAATATTTATTAGGTTCCTACCCTGTACTGCAAGGAATATAAAAACAAGTAAGACGTCCTTGCCCAAAGTGGTAGAAGTACTACTGGGAGAAATAAGCATGTGATTTTAATATAAAATAGATTTAATAAGTGTGAAAATTGAAGAACAAACTACCATAAAAGAACACAATTGGGAAAGACTGATTCAGACTCTGAGGGGTCTTGGGGGGAAAAAAACAAAAACATTCATTTCTAATTTTATTTTGCTCATTCTCAATTTAAAAGATTACTGCCTACAAAATCTTAATTTACAGTGATAATGTCGGAAGAAAATAAGTACATCCCTCCCTGAACAACATTTTATCAGTCATTTCTATGTAAATATCTATGTAAATTTAGTACAAATTCAAAAACACTTCAAATTCACGCACATTTGCTCATCATGCATCTTGGAGTTTCTGCGGTTAAGTTGCAGCTGGTATCAAGGCCAGAAAATTTCACTTAGAAGAGTTACTAGAATCTGATTTTTTAAAATAAAGAACATTTATGTGGTACCACAGAAATTATTGCATTAGCTTATAAGTAACTTCGGTCTGCTTGGGGAAGATTGATAGGAATCTCAATCCCATGGAAAATATTGCTCACAATTAGATGTGTCAGATTAGTATAAAGTCTGAAAGTCTGGCTTAGCCTGCTCGCTGCTCCAGGTCTGCAAGCATCGACGAGTGCAATACTTTGCCGGCATTGTTAAACTCTGAATAGATCATTCGTTCTTCCGAAAGTAAAGTGGAATAGCATCAATAGAAGTAGCCTGCAATACCTGGCCTTAAGAAAGACATGAAGATGAAGGACAATCCAGAGATGTACTGGCAGGTTTTTCTGTTATGGTCATTTTGGGAAAATACAAACCTCCTTTTGCTCACTGGTAATGAGCTCAACCTGTTAACAGTTCTTCTTTCTAATGAACTGTTAACCCCTGTAGGATAATTTCCATTTGAGCAGAGACAATAGTTACATAATAACTATCTCCTTCAAGTCAGCCAACAAGTCTACTTGTTAACTGAAGGCCAGTATCTGTAAACAAACAAACAAACCAAACCTACTCCATTTGTCTTAGAGAGGAGGCTATGCTCAAGAGTATAAATTGACCATTTGAGTGGAGCATGAAAGGATTGGAAGATAATTTCCCATCTACATGTATGATTTTGTTGTACCTGGTTCTGCCTGTTTTTTTGTTTGTTTGTTTGTTTGTTTGTTTTTGCAGATTGGGCACAGGGAAGAAAGCATTTCCTAAGCTGACTGAGTACCTTTATTTTTCCTTAACCCCTAGTTCCAGATACACATTTGATTTCAGAGTTTTACATGTTCCTCAAACTTAGGAATGATTAACATATTTCATCAGCAAAGTTGATTCTTGGGGGTGAGGAGGGAGGCATTTCATCTGCCTTAAATTCACAAGCTGTCAAGCAGATCCATGCTCTTTTGCGTAGTAATTTATTCCTAAATAATTATCTTTTAGATAAATTGACTACTTTTCTTTTCTTCTGATGTTTTTGTCAGTCTCAGATTTAAATAACTACAATACAGTCTTTCATGCTGTTTGTGAAAATCAAGGGAATCTTTCTACATCACAGTCAGTGAGTTACTTTTTATTACTTGGTTGGTGGTATAATATTTTTTCAGTCTCCAATTTGGAAAGCTGTTCTATTGAAATGTGTATGGAAGGTTTCTGAAACGGAACTGCCATTCTTTCTTAAGGTTTTCTAAATTGTATTTAAAACTGAACAGACCCCTACCCTGGCGTTTAAATCTAGATGTATGGATGAGCTTTTGACTTTCAGGGCTGAGAGAAGTTAATGAAGAGAGATTCCTCCAAGAAGAAGGAAACAATATGCACTTACTCATCAAGTGCCACTTGCTTTTTGAAATTTGCCTTAACTTGGGAAATATTAAAATGTTGTAGGCATTCTCAGACAGGGACAAACACCATTTTCTTTATTGGTATATGAAGAAGGATTTAATTGCTTGGAGAAATTCCTTTGTTAGTGATTGAACATTCAATTTCATGAAAAAGAAAGATTAAACACACTATCAGCAGACTCCATGCTAAATATCGTAAGTTTATAGAACTTAATAAAAGTTAACCCTCACCGTAGAAGTGGGGGAGAGAGGAAGATGAGGGAAGTTATTATCAATTTGGCTATATTGTAGGCTTTAAGAGGTAAATAAAGAATGACATAGAAAATTTACAACTAGCCTGGTTTTGGATGTAAGGACATCTGAAACGGCTACATATAAAAGTGGAAATTATTATAAGCTTTGAAGCTTGAAAATCAAGAGGTTCTAGAGGAAGGGAATTTATTGAGTAGATACATTGAAACATTGGTATATTCTAGTCTAGAAACATAAAGAGGTCACAATTTGGGCATAGTTAAGTACTGAGAAATAAGATTGGAATATAGCCTCAGGAGATATTGAATACCAGGATGAGAAATATTGACTCATATAGTTAATTAGTTTGAGTCTGTAAATGGTTTGAGTATGGGAATTATATGATCATGGCTATAAAATGGGAAGACTAATCTGTCAGCAGAATATAGATTAGACTACTGGAGTCAAGAGAAATAAAAGGTAAGGAAACTAGGTCAACTGTCATTGCAAGTCTGAGAGTGTGTCAATAAAATGAAAAGAAGGGTCTAGGAAGAGCTTTAAGGAAGTAGAAAGTGTGTGATTTGACATATCATTGACTGGCAGTGAAGGAGAATGTGACTGAAATGCAGAGACAGAGTTTTTTTTAATACCAGAAATAGGAAAATGGCTTGGGAGCAGAGATTAGGAAAGATATGAGGAGACGGTTTAGTGAGAAAAATGGTATTTGGTTTTGGACATGGTGATTTTGTAATCCTGATATTTATGTAGAGATGTTCAATGGTAAATTAAAAGTGTCTGATGCGTAGTCGGTATGCCCCTGGAGCCAGAGGTGATGTTGAGAGGTGAATGTTCTTTAGTCCTGAATCCAAATATTTCTTAATCTTGCCCATTGTAACATTAATAACATAGAGAAGCAATTTATCCTTCTTCTGGATGCCCGTATATCTAACTCTCCTAAGGTACTTATTTCCAATTCTGTCATAGTTATTTGCATGAATGTCTTATTTCTCTACAAGATTATAAGTGCCTTGAAAGTAAGGGCTATATTTGTTACAGATTGCTCAGCAACAGTTCTGAACACATAATAAGGACATAGTTGTCTGAATGAATGGATAATTGAATGAAATAGTTGCCTTCTTATTATTTTCATATTTTAATTTCTTCCTATGACAATCACCTAATAGTTTACTATCTTGTCCTTATGAAAAAGTTATGGACAAGTATGAATCAGAGAACATAATATAGAAAAAAGTCGATTATTTTGATTTCAGTTATGAAAGTGAGCACCAAATATAAGGGAAAGGGATTCTTATCAAAGGTTAGCCAGCTCTCAAACTATAACCACTTTGGGGAAGAATATCTAAACAGAACCAGCTCTACTTATTTTTGGGTATCAAATACTCAATGTGATACATTCCTATAGTTAAAAGTATTCAAGGAGCTACCTTATTCTCAACCAACTTCTCAAAAATACAAAATGGCTTTTTTACAAGTGAAATTTACAGAAATAGAAGTTGGAGGAAAGTTAAAAAAAATCATACATCTTTATGCGTCATTACAGGTAACGTGAGTTGCTTCAGAGTAGATAATTTTGCTAAGTACTTCTGTTGAGCTTAATCCACACCAGTATCTCTTACCTGAAATGGGTAGTCTATTGTAGGAAGACTAAACCAATATAGAACAAATCCAAATGGAAAAGTATTTAGTCTGCAAACCATTTCTTTGCATTCTTTCTCCACTGCTGATTTTTAATAATCCCCACCTAAAAGTAGAAGTGATCATTCTAGAACTCCTACTTTCAAAAGATTTATAACAGTTGTCAGAAACAAATTCTCTGGCAATTTTATCTTGAAAATTGTAGTTATCCAGACAACTAAGAAAAAAATGAATATTTAAGGGTTTCACAAAGCTTTGAATTTACTAGACAACTGCCCATCCTTTCCTTTTCATTGGTGAAGTTACATTTCAAGCTGCAGCCAAATATTTTAACTTGTGAATAATTATCTAATTCAAGTTACTCACATTCTTTTTTTCTTAGTAATCACTTTCCAACTTCCTCTTTGTCTTTAAGAACAACATGAGATGCACGTTTCTAAATACTGAATGTCAGAGTAGGAATTTTTTTTTTTTTTTTTTGAGATGGAGTTTTGCTCTTGTTGCCCAGGCTGGAGTGCAACGGTATGATATTGGCTCACTGCAACTTCCGCATCCCGGGTTCAAGCGATTCTCCTGCCTCAGCCTCCCAAGTAGCTGGGATTACAGACACCCACCACCATGCCCAGCTAAATTTTTTTATTTTTAGTAGAGACAGGGTTTTACCATGCTGGCCAGACTGGTTGCGAACTCCTGACCTCAGGTGATCCACCTGCCTCGGTCTCCCAAAATGCTGGGATTACAGGCATGAGCCACCATGCCCAGCTCAGAATAGGAATTTAAGTAACTTTCAATTCCTGTGTACTGAATCCTTTCCAGCTACTGAATTCCTATCCATTATAGGTCTGTTAGCTTAGGCTAACAGTACCTTTTGACTGATAGAAGCAGCTCTCTCAGTTAGCAAACAAGATCCTTTTTGTACCATTGCACACCATGGGAAACATTAGTGGTGTCAATTACATCTAGAAAGGGCACTATATGGTTCCCAAATTTGGGGCAACCATAAGAAAAATAGATTTTTAAAACTTGAATAGAGGTTTCATATCCTATAGAATGATATATGTAGAGATAATCATAATTAGTCCCAAAGTAGAAGAAGTCACCGTATGAGCATTAGATTCCTGTTGTGTCTTTCCCTACATCTTCTCTGGCCACGTTTACTCCAGCCATTGCTATGGCAACCAGCTACGCACGGGTGTAACCTGACAGCCGCTTGCCTCACTTTAATGCATATATCCTGCTTTCTTTCTGGTGCTATTCTGTTATAAAGGTGCATTTCAGAATCTGGCATTATCAGATGCCTGAACTAGAAGTGCAGGAGCATTAGCATTCTATGAGACAGCTCCTGACAAAAGAGGGAATGGAGTCACTGAATACATAAATGCTTTTCTCTTATATTCCTGCTCCAGTTTCATTGTTTTAGTCCTTTTCTCCTCTTCCTATTTTTTTTTTTATAAACTGTCTGAACAGAAGCCCTTGTTTCAGGCTCTGCTATTTAGGAAAACCCAGGATTTATTATTTTTCTTGATGAGAACATTTTAGTTTAGATGGTAGTGTATATCTAAGTAAAGATTAGTTTTGGTTTCTCTGACACTCTCATTAATATGTACTACCCTTCTTCCTTTTCATTTCAAAGAAAATGAAATATCTTTGATCAATCTTTTGTTACATAAGCTTAACAATATTCTAAACAGATTCTGTTCTAAGGCAATTATTTGCCTGTTTGCAGTAATGAATTATACTGTGAGGTTAGTAGTAAAAAATGTTGATGTCATTGATTTTATTCTTTCTGTACTTCTCAACTGAAATGTGAACTGTTTTTTTAAATCCATTGAATCAGTCATACTCTAGCTGAAACCTGTATTAGTTGTGTCAAAGACTAGAGAATGGAGATCACAGTTGGGAACGGTCCAAGTTAACCCAAAGAAGTATTGTCACAACATCTACTAACATCTACCATTTATTGTGCCAGGCACTTTACACACATTACTTCCATCACAAATTTCAAGGCCAGCTTTATCCCATCTTACTGATTAAGAAACAGATGCTTGGAAATAGTATAAAGTTACACAAGGCTGGTGTGGCTTAAAATCAAAGCAAGGACTGTTGCTCTTCAGCTACCTTCTGATGTAGTGACACTTCAGTAAGTTGAGTTTTCTGAAAAAGAATAAGGATAAAGACTTACCGCTCGAGTAATTTAGAAGTCACTACTCCGCCTCACAGCAACTTCAGCCTTCTAAACTGACAACTAAGACTATAATGCCATAAATGAATTTTTACCTAGCAATAATGTTTTCTTAATATTCTGGATTCAATTAATTCTTAGGGGATGGGTTGGAAGGAGTTGTAGGCATTTGCCTACCAGTCATTGTTATGTTTGTTGAAAAAAACATGTACTTGGCTATAAATGTCAGTGAAGCTAATATGGGACTTGGAGAAGAAGGAAAGAAACAAAGAGGAAATAGCTATCAGTGAATTAATCACTTGGTGTCACGTTTATAATGCTTCTGGAGACAGATTGTCTGAGTTCAAGTTCCAGCTCTGCCACTTACTAGCTGTATAAACTTGGACAAGTTACTCAACTTTTGGCTTCCTCAGCTGTAAAATGGAGATGATTGCCTTATGTGGTTCTTGCAATATCTCTACAAGGAATTACCTCATAGGGATATTGGAAGAATCACACAAGGTAATATGCAGAAAGCACCCAGAATAGCGTCTGATATGAGATAAATGTTATATAAAGTTTTGCTGAGTTAATGGAACTCATATCCTGCACCGTAGATGAAATATTTTATTTCTAAGTTGATTCCAATCCAGAAGCAGAAAATATTTAAACAATTACAATGTTAATTCTCGCAAAGTGAAAAATGAGCATCTGAAAATTTTTCACAATAGAACTGTTGTAAGATGACTGCCAAGTAATATTTTAATTACAATATATGCAGGCACAATTTTATACATTATATGCAAACAGGTGTATTTTCTCAAATATCTTTCAGATTTATGTTATTTACCTTCATCTATAAACTAATCACTCAAATTAATAAGCAAAATTGTGTTTGTATTTAATTAAAACTCTTTTTAGTCTGAAAATAGTCAACATCCTCAAATATTGTTACTACTCTCATAAAGTATTGAGTGTTGCTTAATCTGAGAGGTTGAATATGTTAGTGGAAGGAAACACGGTATTAATGTGAAAACTTAAGTTTGAGTCTAGCTTCTAAGTATGTTCAAATTGGCCCAGACATTAAATCTTTCTTAATCCCAGTTTCTGCATGTAAAAAATGAGAAGAAAGATACATATTGACATGGTATTGGTGTTACATGACAATGGGAATACCCATTTTAGATACTGTGCACATCATAAATTACTAAAACATTAGCTATTATTGTATAAGTTAACATTAACTCACAGAATCAAGAGAGAAATAGGAAACCGTTCCATAAATTTCAGAATTTTCCCTTACTAGTTGGGCCTTTAACTGCCATTGTATCATTTCTATTTTAGCCATAATACCTTTACATAATTTTTATGGCTGTTCACATCCAAATGGCCATGTGTTGAAATAATGCTTCAGTTATAAAAATCACACACACAAAACACGGAAAACCATTTGTATCACACATTGAATTTATTTTTAACTGAAGTGGGAAAAGAAATACTTTTTTGTGGTATGAACTGTGAAATCGCCCTCCTAGGGTGTTCAGCAAGTGTGAGAACATAAGCGTTGAGTTCTTGGGCACTCTCCCCAGGATACAAAGGCCACTCCTACATTAATGAGCTCAAAGCCATTGTGACAACTCTAAACAACCATGAGAATTCTCCAATTATCTCTCTCTGCAAACCCAGTTTTTAAAAGTGGGACTCACCTTTTTTAAATGCACAGAGTGAACTAACTTAAAGATTTATTAACTAATTGCATTATTGGGATTAGAATAATTAAATGATGTGATCAGTGAACTTTTTATTTTTTCTCTTTCCTTTTCATTTTTTGACAGCCTCATTTGTTGGGTACAAGTTTTATATCAATTAAAGTTTAAAATTCTTAAGGTATACAAAGGAGAAGAAAAAATCATTTAGACATCTATTATTAGGTTTTGTTACAACTTAACTGTATATAGGAAGCAAGGACAATTTCTAAGTGACTATTTTTGTGTGTGTTTCCCAAGACCTATTTTTGGGCACATAGGTGATATTTCGTAGCTAGCCCTTGCTTTAATTTGGAGAATTCTGTTTCTTCAAAAGTCAGAAGAGTTGAAAATACCCAAGGCATTCCTAGATTTGTTTTCAGTTACTTGAGGGCAATATTTATTTTTATCCCTGGCCTCTGTAGAGCGGAAGCAGTAAGTGTATTTTGGAATACTCGTTTGGTTGGCTAAACTTATTTGATTTGCTTTATGAAGTTGACCTACCCTCTTACTATTGTATAAATAGCAGAAAATACTTAACTTTGAATTATAGTGACTGTTCAAATCATACCAGAGTGTCATGAATATCTGAACACAAGTGCCAAGTCATTCCTATTACTTGCTCACATATACAAAAATTAGTGGTCTGTAATTCATCAGGTAATTCTGAACCATTTAGATCAGATTAGTCCCCACCCCCACTAGGATAGACTGTAAAATTATGAAAATTCAATTGTAAAGGCACTTTGATTACATAGTTTGCCTTTCCAACTCTGAAGTCTTAATTCAGTATGTTGAGTAATTAACTTTATCCTAATCTTGTGCAGAAGCAAAAGCACCACATAATTCAGTTGTTCCTAGATCAGTAAATAATCCAAACGCCCTTTGTGCAATTGACATGAGATAAACCACCTTGTTCTTTGTTAAATACAGAATCCTTTCCCCATAATACATATGCTATTCATTAGAATATTACATAAAAGAAAGGGTACTTTCACTAAAAAAAAGAATATATTTGGCAATATAACAACTTTCTTATATTTTTCCCATTGAGCCCTGACTGGTGTGACAAGCCAGCATACTGAAGTGGTGAAGAGTACACTGAACCTTTGAGCCAAGAGCACTTGGGTTAGTTACCAGGGGCCACATGCTTGCTGTGTGACTGAGGCAGGCAAAATTTTTAACCTCTCAAGGCTTTAATTTTCATGTCTATAAAATGAGTGTGGTTTAATCAAGTGATATGAAAGATTTCTTCCAGATCTACAGTTCCATAACCTTTGTGTAACAAACAATTCTTATACATTTTGCCTGAAGTTATCTTGCTTCATTTTCATCCTGTTATCACTAGATACGCTTCTTCTGCAGCAAGATGTTTTATTCTATTCCCTAATGTTTACTTCCTTTAGAGATTTTTCAGTTAGGGATGTTAGAAAGTGTCCACTTTGCATGTAAAAGGCCAATTCTCTGTCATGAGAGTTATTTCTCATAGTACACATCAACAAAAAAACATGTTTTTCATTTTTCCATGTGGTCTCATTTTTATGCAAATGGGAGATATTTGTTAGGCGTGGGGCTAGAAAAAAGACTTGGAGAGAGGGTGGGGACAGAAACCAACATCCGGAAAAAAGATTGAGAATAAAAATGAGGTTAAAAGAGATTGAGGAAATGACAGATGCTGGGAGAAAGACAGAAACTGTCTAAGACAGCTGGGAAGCTGGGAAGAGGAGATGGGGAAACTCATTAATTGGTCTAAGGATTTGGGAAGAGTATTCTGCACAGGCCCTCTAGCCACTCTTACAAGGCCAGTACCCAGTGGAGTTCTTCCTTCTTGCCATTAAAGCTCTTGCCAATCCTTCTTCCCTCCATCCACTCAATGTGCAGTGTGCTCTTTTCACTGTCCCATACCCACAAGGTAAGCAGAGATGTTTACCTTTCTAGGAAAGTGTTAGAGTCTAGGGCTTTCAGGGAAAATATTGGTATAAATTTAATCTAAATTATTATTATTATTTTTTGCTTGTACTAGTTTAAGATAAATTTGGCCAAGGACAGATTTGGTTAATACAAATATTAGTCAAAGTGCTGAAATCTCACTAGGCATACAGGCTTAAATTCCAGCTTTGTTTGACAATCTCCTCGCAAAGAGGCGCCCTTCATCTCCTAATCATTATAAAATCATATCAATTGCTTTCACTTCTACTATTAAAGTCCCTCATGTTTTCATTAACATTGAATGATCCTGGGCCTCTATCCTATAGGGTACTCAAGAAATTTAGCCACATTTAAAAATAGTTTTATTAGAGAAACAACTATGGTATTCCCTTCAAAGTTTCAAGTGGGATCAAGATGCATTAGATAATCCAAACACAAATATTTCTGGTTCCCAGAGAACTGTTAACTGTAAGAAGAGTTTAAGAATATATAGAGGATTAAATTACTAGCATTTGTGAGCATGAAAAAAATGCAGAAGCTATGATATTATGAATCTAGGCTAGAAGGGTAGTCACACTTCTAGTATCAAAAAACAACAGACTGAAATTTGTCAACTGGTTCATTAGCTTACCGTTACTTAATGAATTAGGATAACTTACAAGAAGAATTTAGCAGTCTATCTTCCAGAATTTACAAGCTAGCAACCCTTAACCTCTAACTTGAATGTCTGTGTTGTTTGGCCACACTAAACATGTAACATACCAGGTGTGTTTTATGACCATATAAATATTTACAAATATTTTAAAATAAGGAAATTTTGCAAAACAACAATAACAACAATAAAAGAAATAAAGTTGTATTTTCAGGGTTTTTTTTTTGACAAATTGGACTTCATATCCCCTCATGATATTATTCAGTTAGATCTGAGTAATAAGCACCCCTTTAAATTGAGAAATGCCCCTTTTTTCTACAAACATATATGCATTTAAACCCTACCTTATCCTCTTTTACCTCTCTGCATGACCCATGGGCATTTGGGTTAATCTCATCACCTATTTCATAGTAGCTGTAGGGTTTTGTCTAAGCATTAGGCATACGATTTGCAAAGCTGTCACCATGTTTGTGGTGACTCAATGGATATCGAAAAGATAGGGTTCTGGGGGCCTTTTTCTACAATTAACTAGGCTTGCCAGCTCAATCTCAGAATTTTAAAGACACATTCTAGGTGCCAAATCTTTCCATTTTTCATAAAGATGATTGCTTTTATTAAAATGTTACTATAAATAATTAACTTAGCAGTGATTACCACTCTTGTTTCATAGTCTTAGGAAAGCATAAAACTTAGAAAATGATTTAAAAAACATAGAAACCACAAATCATAAAATGTAGTTAAAATTCTATTTTATTTTTGTTTCCCACTATCTCTTTAATATTGATTTGGTGAATATAAACTTTTCATCTTTGATGAAACTATTGGAAACCTATGGCTTTTTTGCTCACCTTTAAGAAATGGACAGTTTTGTGGACAACTAAATTTTCAGAGTGTATCAATTAGAAATTAGAATACATAATCCAAAATTATAATTAAAATTTCTCTCTTGTAGGTCATGCCAGTGTGGAGTAGGATTCTACAAAGTGGCTTTTTTTAGAGGTCTCTATTTTTCTGCTTCCTCTCTCAAGCTCCTTTCTGACCAACTGTACTGGGAGCAGAGTAAGGGAGGAGTGAGAGGATGAATGAAAGACATTACTTGATGTGGCGCCGTAAGCTGTGCTCACAGTCTGGGAGATAGTTAAAGCCCAACTGCTGAATGGTGTATTTTCAAGGGTTCCTCAAAAGTGCACTTTTCAGCCTCTCTCCTCTGTAGTTCCTTGCCTCATGTGGGTGAATCCCTATTCTGGGAGTTCACTGGTTACCCCTTCCAAAGCACTGGTCATCCTTGTTAACCGAGAGCTTCCTCATGTTCCCAGTTCTCCAGACAGAGCTAAGGAATGGAATTCAGGATAACCCTAAGCCCACACTCTCATTCTCTCTCCCTTTTATTTGGCCCACAGGAAACAGTCCAATACCTCTTTCCCTGGCAACATCAAGCAGTGCAGGCTTTGTAGGGTCCAGCCCCACAGGGTCAGTGAGTTTTTCTCCCCGTGTGTGGAGATGAGAGATTGTAGAAATAAAGACACAAGACAAAGAGATAAAAGAAAAGACAGCTGGGCCCGGGGACCACTACCACCAAGACGCGGAGACCAGTAGTGGCCCCGAATGCCAGGCTGCACTGATATTTACTGGATACAAGACAAAGGGGCAGGGTAAGGAGTGTGAGCCATCTCCAATGATAGGTAAGGTCATGTGGGTCACATGTCCACTGGACAGGGGGCCCTTCCCTGCCTGGCAGCCGAAGCAGAGAAAGAGAGAGAGACAGCTTATGCCATTATTTCTGCATATCAGAGACTTTTAGTACTTTCACCAATTTTGCTACTGCTATCTAAAAGGGAGAGCCAGGTGTATAGGATGGAACATGAAAGCAGACTAGGAGTGTGACCACTGAAGCACAGCATCACAGGGAGATGGTTAGGCCTCTGGATAACTGCAGGCAGGCCTGACATCAGTCAGGCCCTCCACAAGAGGTGGAGGAGTAGGGTCTTCTCTAAACTCCCCCAGGAAAAGGGAGATTCCCTTTCTCAGTCTGCTAAGTAGCGGGTGTTTTTCCTTGGCACTGACTCTACCGCTAGACCGTGGTCCGCTTGGCAAAAGGCGTCTTCCCAGACGCTGGCGTCACCGCTAGACCAAGGAGCCCTCCGGTGGCCCTGTCCGGGCATAACAGAAGGCTCACACTCTTGTCTTCTGGTCACTTCTCACTATCTCCCTTCAGCTCCTATCTCTGTATGGCCTGGTTTTCCCTAGGTTATGATTATAGAGCGAGGATTATTATAATATTGGAATAAAGAGTAATTGCTACAAACTAATGATTAATGACATTCATATATAATCATGTCTATGATCTAGATCTAGTGTAATTCTTGTTGTTTTATATATTTTATTATACTGAAAAAGTTCGTGCCCTCGGTCTCTTGCCTCAGCGCCTGGATGGCTTGCCGCCCACAAGGCTTATTCTCAACATGGTTAACAACTCTCCCGATCCTACATCAAGGCATTTAGGCAGCTATCGGCTATCTTTAATTCTCTAGATTTCCCAGGAGTGAGTCAGATCCTAGGCCGTTATGCCTTCCAACTGTAAGGATCACATATTAAAGTAGGTTTGAATTGAGGGAGCAGACAAGCCCTTCTCCTTGGGGATGGAAGAGGTGGGAATGGGATTCAGAAACAATATTCTACAAAGACATCCTCTTCTCAAATAATTCTCTCTCTCTCTGCACACATACTTTGATTTTGTTTACGTCATGGAATAGGTAAAGGGTTTACAGGGTTTATCAAACAGATTATAGATATTTTACTTGAAAATTTGCATATGGTTATTTTTCCCATCTTCTTGTAATTTAACATATCTAGATATCTGGTTAAAACTTTAGTATTCACATATTGTGCTTGATATCTTGCACTAACATTTCCTTTGAAAATAACTAAAGATCTGAATGTGTATTTTCTCTGGGTTTAATATAATTAGATAATAAATCAATATTATAATTAGGAAAATAAAATATCTGTATCTTTCCCAGCCTGGATAATATGGCAAAATCCTGTCTCTACAAAAGAATACAAAAGTAAGCCAGGTATGGTAGCACATACCACCCCAGCTTCCTGAGGTGGTAAGATTGCTTGAGCCCAGGAGGTCAAGGCTGCAATGAACCATGATCACGCCACTGCACTCCAGCCTGGGTGACAGAGCAAAACCCTGTCTTAGAACTAAAAAATAAAAAAGTAGATTGGTGAAAATAATAAAAATAAAAGCAAAACTAATGAAATGGAAAAGAAATACATAGTGCAAAGAACACCCATGTGTAATGATAAGGTTGGTAATCCTCTGCTGATACTAATCAAGAGAGCAGAAACAAGTGAATAGAAATGAAAAAGGAAATACTACTGCAAATTGTGCCAAAATATAAGTATAATAAATAGATATTATGAAAAGCCTTATGCCAATAATTTTGCCTTATGCCAAAGCCTTATGCCAAAAATTTATGTAAAGTAAATAAATTTCTAAAAACTATAGCCTATCAAAACTGACACAAGCAGAAATACAAAACTTCGGTAGGCCTTAAATTGTAAAAGAAATTAAATCAGCCATTAATAATCTTCTCACACAAAAAATTTCCAGCCCAGTAGGTGTCACATGGAAGTTATACAAAATTTTATTTTATTTAATAAATAAATTCACTTTTATATAAGCTCTTCTAGAGAATAAAAATAGAAGTTTTATTTTCCAACTTATGTTACAAAGTTAGCTTATTGTTGAAACCAAAACCTGACAACAATATTATAAAAGAAAAATGGTATAGACCAATCCCATTATGAAAAAAGATTTTTTAAAAGCCAGCAAAATGTTTAAAATGATACTTTTATTATATCAAATTGAGATTATATTATCAATGTGAAGTTGGTTTTACACTAGAAAATCAATTGACATAATTCATTACATGGAAAAATAAAGAGAAAATATATGATAATCTCATTGAAGCAGAAAAAACACTTCTGCACATTTAATATTTATTGCTGATAAAAATGCTTAGAAAACTAAAACAATAAGAGGATTTTCCTAATCTAATAGAGCAGCTTCAAAAACTGTAGCAATCATCGTGAATAATAGTAAAATGTTAGCATTTTGTGAGAATAACAATAAGACAATCTTGCCCAACAATTCTACTTTTATAAAACTTTGTACAAAATATCCTAGCTAATGCTGTAAAACATGAAAAATGAATATATTAAGAATTGGAAAGAAAAAATCAAAATTGATATTATTTGTAGATGTTATAGGACATTGATATAGGAGTTAAAAAGAAATTGTTTAGGCAGTTAATGAGCATAAAAGATTTCTTGGTGGAATTTCCTTTAATTAAAAGCAGCCCCCAAATCATTTTTTTTCTAGGGCGGCCTGAAAAATCAAGCCACAAGCATAGATATGCAAGCTTGCATAGGTAAATGCCTGCAATTGTACCAATAAAAAAGGGATATCTGGAAGCCAGGTATATTCAACATGGAGGTTTTGTCTTCCCTTTTCTTTCTTGCCACATGTGCAGGTAACATGGCCCCAGCCAGGTAAAGATCCCATTTGCATAATAAGAAATTAGGGTGGGACAGCCAGGCTCTTCGTGAGCTATGTAAATGTTACATCTAGTCCAACCAATCCACTACGTTCTATATAAATCAGACACCACTTCCTCAAGCCCCTCTATTAAGCCCACTGCATCCTGCCATGAAAAGGAAGACCTTTTTGGAACCTCACTTCCTTTACGTGGGGGAGCTTTTCTCTTCTTTCTTTCGCCTATTAAATTTTCTACTTTTAACCCCACTCCTTGTGTGCTGCATCTTCAATTTCCTTAGCACTAGATGACGAACCTCGGGTATTTCCCCAAACAAATGACACCATGTAAACATGATTGTTTAAGTACAGTATTTATGAGAACTTATCAAAAAAAAAAACCCACTAGAATTAAAGAGTTTATCAGGGTCTCTGTATATAAAGTTTATGAAATCAATTGTATTTCTATTGATGCAACAAATAATTAAAAAGAAAATGTAGCAATATGCCATTTACGGAAACATAAAAAAGCACCTACAAATAATTATAATAAAAGATGTGCATTATTTGTATGAGAATAATTATAACACTTTATTGAAAAGTTAAAGAAAACTTGAAATAAAGAAAACTGGATTGACTGGGCAATCCAGTATGTGGAATACAAGAAGCTTTTTATAATTTTGTATAAAACTGCACAAAACCAAGAAATCCTTAGTAATTTTTAAAGAAGAAAAACAGGAAAGGATAACATAACTCTACCATTTATAGAGTCCCATAACAAAGATACAGTAATTAGAACAGTCAAATTGGTGCAAGGTAGACAAATCAAGTGGTAGTCACATTGATGCCACATAGATGAATAGAAAAGAATAGAGAGCTCTGAAACTGACTTACAGATATATAGGTCTTTGATATAAAACAAAGATGGTATAACGGAGCAGTGAGTAATGATTGATCTTTTCAATAAATGCTGCTGGTACCATTGGGTAGCCAGTGGAAAAAAATAAATTAGACTCTTACATAGCACTACATATGAAAGCTAATTCCAGATGAACCATTGACTTAAATATGGAATGGAAATCTTTAAAACTTTACAAAAAATAGGAGAATAGCTTTATAACCTTATTTCAGGAAAACACACAAAAAAGCACTAACCATAAAAGAAAAGACATACATTTCATTGCATTGGAATTAATTATTCTATTTATCAGAAGATGCAGTGGCAAAATTGAAAATACAGCCACAAAATGGGAGAAAATATTTGCTGTGTATATATAACTGACCAAAAAATGACTCATCTTAATATAGAAAAAAAACTACAAATCAGTAAGAAAAATAAAAACAACCCAGTCAAAAAATTTGGCTGACTTAAGTAAGTACTTTCCTTTTATGCAATAATAGAAATAAAAATATGTTTTTAGCAGAACTTTTGAGAATAGCTCAAAATTAGTGACAGCTCAAATGTCTATCAATTGCAAAATAAATATGTAAATTATGCTTTATTTGTTCAATGTATTGTATATACCAGTGACAATGACTATAGCTATAATCAATAAAATGAAAAAAATTAAAATATACTGGGCAAAACACAATGCCTCAATATGTTGCCATTTACATAAAATTAAAACACTGAAATCTAAACTATATTATATTCACATGTACACATAGAGAGTAGTTCTATAAAGAAAGGCTAAGAATGATTACCATAAATCAGATTAGCAGTTACCTCTAGAGTAGTGGAAGAGGGATATAACTGATACGTTTACAGTCCCAAGGAGATTTTACACTGCTGGTAATATTCTATTTTTTAATCTGGGTAATGATTACACCAGGTTTTCGCTAAGATTTATTCATTATGTTTACATTTATATTTTGTCATGTTTTGGTCTGTTAGCTTTTATAGTTGTCACAAACATTAGGCAGAAATAAATAAAACTCAGATTTTGAGTTTAAGAATTTTAAATTGAAGCAGGGAATCTATTAAAAGTCTTATTGGGGAAAGATGATAAGATCCTTCAAGGTCTTAAGAATGATTACTACTTAAAAGAGACTGAATGTATTTAATTCAAAAATCTTAAGAAATATCAGGAAAACCATGGAGAGAAATGTCAGCAGCCTCTGATGTGTTTTGTGACAATAACAAACTCTTTTTTTTACAAATAAATCTGTATTATCATTATTCTTTGTACACTATTTGAGGATTTTCCATTTCCCCACATCTCTAGAACAAATCCCCTATGAACAAAAAAGATATACTTTACACTTTTAAGCTTTAATTTAGCTATTATCAATTGCTCTCAATGATACTCTGCTATTCTGAATTTCAGTTTCTCATTAAACCTTACCTATTTAGGGTTCAAAGCCTCACTTGTAAGGCTTGCTTAGGCTTGTCATTTTGTAGGGAGATAGCTTTCTGTAAGATGTGACTGCCTCAAATTATTTTAGCAGTTAAAGGTATTCACCATCTTTAATTAGTTATACACTAATTGATTTATCTGTTGTGCCACTAAATTGAAAACTGACCCCAAGGATTTGTGGCTAACTGCACACTTCAAAATCCTTGTTCTGCATGGGGTCCTTGTCACAAGGCTAGGACAAAAGGTTTGTCACGAGGCTGTCTTCTGAAGCCCAAACTGAAGCTTGCTTACAATGCTTCTTGGTGCTTAAGATAGACTATTATTAGTTGGAGAAATGTTTGAATTCTTCTGAAGACTTTAATTCACTTAAGTTTGATTTTCCTCAAATCCCATCTAATTCAGGGCAGAAAAGGTAATTAAAAAATGTAAACATCTTAAAAACTAATCAATTGTTAAAGCACTTATGAGCAAAGCCATGAAGTTTGTTCTTTGATGAATCATTTCAATGTGGTAACACATCTGACATTATAATGTAATACTAATATTGCCATATTTGTGTATTTAATTGAAAGTTTACAAAATACTTTTACATACGTTAGTTCTACAAAACACTTAAAAGCAGTCAAAGTGGTAAATGTTAACTATTTTCAATTAATAATAGAGTTTTGAATACTTAAGGGAGTTTACTTAACAAAATATATAAATGGGATTAAATGCTAAAGGATCCCTAGAATGATGACTGCATTCACTACATTAGTAAATGGAATAATCACATTTGTAAATTAAACTTAAAATCTTACAAGATAAATAGATTTTTTTATTCTGTAACTTAAAAAAAAATGGAACATTAACTTCTAAAGCCTAATTAACCACTGAAAAAATCTTTTCTGCAAACAAAATGTACACTTGAGGATATTTTTTAAAGAATACATTTAATAGCTCTAAGAACATACCTGCAAAGCATACTAAATAGTAGTATAATGAAAATAAGATATGTAAGTAAATTATTTGAATTGATAAGGAAAATAAATAATTAATGTTTATATCATCACCTAGCACAGCCCTGGTACATATAGGCATTCTGTAATTATCTGTGTTAAATGAATGAAAAAGATTCATTAAATGTTTAAATGTAGAGTTTAATAATTGTTATGCATAGGCCGGGCACGGTGGCTCACGCCTGTACTCCCAGCACTTTGGGAGGCCGAGGTGGGTGGATCACCTGAGGTCAGGAGTTCAAGACCAGCCTGGCCAGCTGGGCATGGTGGTGGGCGCCTGTAATCCCAGCTACTCAAGAGGCTGAGGCAGGAGAATCGCTTGAACCCAGGAGGTGGAGGTTGCAGTGAGCTGAGATTGTGCCACTGCACTCCTGGGTGACAGAGCGAGACTCCGTCTAAAAAAAAAAAAAGTGATACACTGTAATTATGGAAAGTATCATGTTACTTTCATGACAGAGATATTTTACTAATTGATTTAGCTTATAATTATAATTTACATTCCTTGACATGTCTCCAAGAGAGTTACTTTGTTCATGAACTAGATTTGCCTATTTATTTTCTCCTAATATTAGGAAAATAAATACTTTTTTTCATCTAGCGAAACAAATTTTAGGCTGAAATTCTTTTTACTTTCATTTACAGATTGGAAAATTAAGATAGGCAAATGATATAGATGTGTAAATTTGGTTGGTATTAAATTTCATTTCAGACATTGTTTCTTCAGACTAAACAGTAAATCATTCCAACTCCTTTCCTTCTCCTTTTGGAATCCAATTTACATCTTTACTCACATTAGTTTCTCTTCTTTGACAACTTTGCTCTTGTTTAAAATTCACAAAAACTGAATTCCTGCTGTAATAAGAATCCAACCACTATTGAAAAAAACAGCAATAGTTATCTCTTAATACTTAAATATCATGATCTCATCACTCTAGTACCATTTGAAAATAAGATTTTAAAATAAAATACCATATTAATGACTCATTTCCTACTTAGGGTTCCTTTGGTTTTACATCTTTCCTGATGCATTTACTCCTATACTATTTTACTAAATTTTTATGTATCTTTTTTGCTCTTTTGTTTTTTACTTTATATTTTTTCTTCTGAACTTTATCCTATACATGAGCAATAATTTCTCAAATTATTTTTATATTGTCATTTTCCTTAGTATTATCCAAGACCTTAAAAATGAAGTTCAACTTGCTCTTCTTTAAAAACTTGATTTGGGCCTGGAGCGGTGGCTCACGCCTGTAATCCCAGAACTTTGGGAGGCTGAGGCAGGCGGATCATGAGGTCAGGAGATCGAGACCATCCTGGCTAACACGGTGAAACCCGGCTTTACTAAAAATACAAAAAAATTAGCCAGGCGTGGTGGTGGGTGCCTGTAGTCCCAACTACTCAGGAGGCTGAAGCAGGAGAATGGCATGAACCTGGGAGGCGGAGCTTGCAGTGAGCCGAGATTGGGCTACTGCACTCCAGCCTGGGCGACAGGGCGAGACTCCGTCTCAAAAAAAAAAACAAACAAACAAACTTGATTTGCATTACTTTTTAAACTGTAAAGTTCATATTCCTTTGCAATGCTGTACTAAATCTTCTTTAGATTGACTTTGCTACTTACTGGCTCATAGGTTAATCTAGTTTTTTTTTTTTTTTTTAATAGTAACAAGAGACAAAAATCAAAAGCCTTACTCAAGTCTAGCTAGATTATTGTAGGTCTTATACTTCCTTTTTTATATATAATTTTTTCTTGTCATAGGGACTTTAGACATAAAGCGGTTTTTAATCAACTACATGGCCCTTAGTTTCTACCTATATTATCAGTCCCTAAAGCAATACTGAAATTTGGGCTTCCCTGACTTTATTTCTCAAAGCATGCTAATACAGTTCTTAAGGCATGCTAATATGAGAAAAAAAAAAGGAAAGAGAGAAAATGGAATGGGACTCACTTTCTGTCATATGGAGAAGCTATCATATGGTGCATTACAAAATCCTTCATGACTGATTTGGAGACCTTAAAAAGCTTTATCTAGAGCAATATTTCCAGTTTGTGTAATAGGGTACAACTTCTGGTACTTAAGATAATTTTAGCCATAAATGCCCATAGAATTAAATAACATTGACTCAAATCTCTAATCTGCGTCTGGTTTTTAATTTAGAACATACATGTTTGGTGCTTTCATGTTTTTACCATGCCCTAAAACTCACTAGTTCACTCTTTAACATCAAGAGAGCAAGGTTCAAGCATGAAACCATCATAGTTAATGATACCTGTCTAGAGCTGAATTACTTTTTTCACATTATTTGTTTTTGTAGTTATTTCTATTACCACTTTTGTGGTAGTATTATAACATTTCTTTTGGAACATTGAATTGAATCATTTAAAGGGAAGTAATTTTAAGAAAAAGAGTAAGAAAATAATAAAGAATATGAAAAAACTCATAAAGGTGCTAAGAAAGTGAATGAAGTTTTGGACATACATTTCTGGAGATTAAACCACAGGCAGCTGCTACAGCCAAATTTGGCATTTCCTTTTGCCAGCATTTTTTTCTCCCTAGAAGGCTGCTAAAATCGACAAGAGTTTTTAGGACATTTTGATAGTTGGTAAATGACTCTTCTGAACTTATCAAATATATTTTACTTCAATCTTTATCACCCAGGAGGATAGGAAGAGTAGTATTTTCAAATGTTACAGAGTCTCACTAGACATAAGAAAAATGCCAAGAACATGGGCAATATTCCCAGATTTTAAAGTGACCCTCTATCTGAAAAACAAAAATCATAAATCCATATTTATTCAGCATTGAACACTACTGAGGTCACAAAAGAGCAAAAGTGTGTTTAGAAATAATAATTATATGTGAACAGACTGCAAACAAATTTAAGCCGAGAAATTTTATTTCAATATGAAATTTCAACAGTAAATCATATAATCAATATAAATTCAACACAGTTGTTTTACTCTTCTACTTTTAGCAGATGGTAATTCTATTTAAAATGATAGAATAATCCTAATATTTTGATGATTCTAGCTATTCAAGAATAAATTTACTTATATTTAGCATTTAATAAACATTTATTGAGGGCCTAAAATCAAGTACTGCATTAGTAGCTAAAGATACACAGATAAATGTTAATGCTATAAAAGTTATTTGAAAACTGATTAGTCTTATATGTTTTATGTAATGACTCTAAACTAACAAAATTTTAATTATACAAAGCACCATATCTCTTAGGTCTCAATAAAAGAAATTACGTATTGATCATAATATGAGATTACATCGATTGGTTTTCTCCTATTTATATCCTTGTTACTCTGTCAGGAAAGTAAATTTAATTGTTCTGGCATGAATTTGTCTTCAAAACCAGAAAAATCAGTTTACAAATGTTAACTCTGTTCTAATGGTAGTCTTCACATTTAGGAAACACTTTATTACTTAATACAGGTGATATCTCAGATTTAAGTATATTGAGGCTGCATTGAAGTACTTATTCCATAGCTTCAGATTTTATTTGTTCTGATTATCCTGCCATATTTGTAAAGCAAACAATTTATAGCCAAACTGTTTGGAATAATTTGTTATAGAACAAATTTATGATTATCCTCTGCTTGTCAAACTCATTATTGTGACTCAGCAAATTTGATTTGAGCTTTGTAAACAATGTTTAATGAAATAAAAAAAAATTAGGTAACTCAAATATCATCTAGGTATTGCCACCCTTTAATATAAAATATGTTGAGATTGAAGACTTATTCTATGCTCAAAAATCCAATGCCACCAATTTCTGCAAATCCCATGTGGTAGAGGGAGGATTAAGTTCTCACGCTCACTTTTCTTCCCAGCTCCCTGCATCTGTCAAATCTCATATTTCTTTGGATTCTTATGACTTTTTTTTAAATTCACATTAGCAACAACCAAAATGTAGTTCCCCTTCCTTCATGGATGACAAAAAAAATACAGTTAATTAAAATCTTGGTAGGTGATGGGAGGTTTATATCACAGTAATGCAAAGGGTGAGTTTTAGATATTTTTGTTCTTAAAAGTCCTTTGGATGCTTCATTTTTTCTTGACCTTTTTTCTCTTCTCTTACCCATACTCTTGGGGCAAAAAAAAAAGTATAACAAGTTTTGTTTTATTTTCCGCAGCAGAAAAATTCATTTATCTTCAGCTCTTTCTTTTACTCTCAGTTCTAGACATTCTTTTAAATTTCCAAAATTGCCTCTTGCAAGGGTACACCTGACCATGTGTACTTAGATAATTATCATTTCTGTCCTCATCTGTGTCTTGGAATTTGAGAAGGGATTCTGGAGTGGTTTGTTTTTCTAGTTAAAGTTGGCCAATGTTATACAACAGGTTACTACTTTTAAATAATGAAGCAAGTTTGAGTTGATTGAGAAGCAAAGATATGCTGTTTACTTCTTGATCTCCTTCTTTTTAAATATGAATTTCCTGATTTCTCCCACTGTCAGCAGAGCAGATACTCCCCAACCAGACTTTGAGCATATTCTGAAACTGTGTCTGTTGCCTATTACTAAATACAAAACTATGTTGTAATGTTCAGTGTAGGCTCATTCCTTCTCCAAAGGCTACATCTGTCCCACAACATGCAGAGTTATTTCTAAATGTGTTCACTTTAATTAACCCACCACAAGTAACTCTTTTGATGGCATCTTAATGACATAGCTCAAAATATTTTTAATTTGGAAACTATACCATATAAAAGCTAGTATAAAAAATCAAAAATCAGACAATCATGAATTCTTCTTTGTTCTTGGATAAATACATGATGGCCTCTTGCTGAGCATGTGGTTCAGAGCAGTTTTTCCACATCCAATGTGGAGAAACTGGGGGAACAGATTTGGAAAAGGAAAAGATATGTTTTTGTCCCAGCACTTAGAACTGGTATATCCTGGAACCAAAGAGCTATAAATCCTCTACTCTGTAGGTATTTGCTTATTTGTTTTTAATTAAAAAGTATGAGTCATCAATGTTTGAAGAAAGTCTCTGACTATTTGCAGGGAATGAATAAGAAAAGCTGTCAGATTATGGATTTGTCCTGTGATGCTATATGAAGACTTGAGTGAATTTAAATAAACTCTACTTCTACTGCTATACTAATTGAAGATCCACAGAGGAGTGGTCCCCCAACTCTTAAAATATAAATAACTCACTTATATGGAAAAAAGTTGTGAAACAACCCCCGTGTAAAATAATAATTGCATTCATCATTTGAGGAAACAAATAAAATGCTACTAAATATTTTGCAATTTCTAAAATTTCATACACTTTTAATCAGAATAGAAGTTACTGATTTTAAAATTAGTAGCATAGATGGGTAAATCATTTTATCCATATATAGACAATATTTAGTGTGAATATGGATTCAAAGATCCCTGGTGTAAACTCTGCAGTTCCCAGTAGCCCAAGGTCTAGAGCATGAGAGCACTTAATGTGGAGCCCACAGAACCATAACAGGTAAAATCTCTTTCTTCCGCCACATGAGCCCAATTTGCAAGTTTTCTTTTTTCTATTCTGCAATCTTTTTGTTTTACAACTATAATCACAGTTTCTTAGAAGGAATGGTGAAAGGATATTAGAAAAAGAGAATAATAAGTATAATTTATAAATTCTAGAAAAGTGGTCATCAAAGTTGACAAAATTCAGAGAATAAGATTATGAGTTAGGGAGGAGATTAAGTTTTCATTCAAAAGATTTTAGTGTCCTGAACTTACTAAATGGGTTGGAGATGGCCCCATTAACTAGTTAACTGACTGTATAGCGACAGTATTAGCAAGGAACATAACCTAATGGTAGAACTCTAAAATGTACTTTATATCATTGAGTTATAAACATGATAAATTCAAGTGTAACCCAGATGTTAGCTGTACTTCTTAACTTTTTATATGTTTTAATCTCTAGATCTGCACAAAAAGTCTATAAGGTAGATTTCTATGAGATTATAAACTGAGGCTAAAAAGGTTAAGCTGTTTGCATATGGTCACATAGCTGATAAGTGATGGGGCCTGGACTCAAATTGGGCAACATGGCCCCCAGACCGCGTTTTCTACTCCCTACACTACACCACCCCTTGCTTTTTTTCTGGTAATAAATTATTTTGATTTATTTAGTGTCTTCTCTTCCATTCGCAAAGGACATTGGATATATATATTAAAGAATAATATTCTGGGAAGTATGTTGATAGTTGTATTGGGATCCCTTTATATATGATGTGTTTTTTATCTATTGTTGCTTTCTGAATTTTTTATTCATCTTTAATGTTTTGGTAGTTTGATTGTGATGTGTCTTGGTGAACTCATATTTGGATCGAATTTGATTTAAGACATCTGCACTTCCTGTATCTGAATGTTAAAATTTTCCCCCAGATTAGGGAAGTTTTCAGCCATTACTTCTTTAAATATGCTGTCTCTTTTCTCTTTCTTTTCCTCTTTTGCTTTTCTCTTAAATTCCCATTATGTGTATGTTTGGTCTCTTAATGGTATCCCACAATTGCTACAGGCTTTTTTCATTCTTTTTTCTTTTTGCTCCTCTGATTGGACAATTTCAAATGTTCTATCTTTAAGCTCACTGATTCTTTGAGTCTGATGCTGGAGCTTTCTATTGCATTTTTCAGTTTAGTCATTGTATTCTTTATCTCAAGGATTTCTATTTGGTTTTCTAAGTTGTTTCTATTTCTTTGTCATACTTCTCATTTTGTTTGTGTATTGTATTGTTTCATTTAATGTTTGTGTATTAATTTCATTAATTTTTTATTCCTATTTTCTTATAGTTCATTGAACTTCTTCAAGAGAATTACTCTGATATTTTTCCTGTCATTTCTTAGATCTCCCTTTAGGGTTACTGTTGGGACTTTAATAGTTTCTTTTGGAGGTGTCATCATTTCCTAAGTCTTTGTAATCCTCGTATCCTTGCATTGGTGTCTGTACATGTGAGGAGACAGCTACTTTTTCTAAATTTCACAGGTGTTCTTTGGAAGGAATAAACTTTCACTATTTAGTCTAGCCTGTGATTCTAGATGAACCAGTTGGTAACAACCCTGGTCAGAGAGAGCCTGCTTTTGAGTTCTCTAGATAGCTGGCCTACTGCCTTTGCTATTAATTTGGGTGAGGCAGCTGGCTGGGCTCTGCTATGTGGCAAGACCACTGACTGACCTCTGTTATCAGGCTAAGCTGCTGGATAGGCACTGCAACCACCTCATGTTGGGCCAGGTTACAGGGTCTATTCCTTGGTCAAGTGGTACCACTATTTTATTTTAAGAGTTGGACAGGGTTGCTGAAGGGGCCCTAAGGTTAGGTGGAGTTGCTGATCAGGATGGATGGGACCAACTGCTTTGCTCTGTAGAATTGCACGGTTGAAGTTTGCCCACCTGCCTATGGGGAGCCTTGAGGCAGGGGGGCTTTTAGGTTTGGCTGAACACTGTTTAAATTCATAGGTATGGCAGATTTAGCCTCTGATCTTTGCTAAAATTTGCTGTGATGGTCATCTCCCTCCCTTGGCAAGAACTGGAGATGGACTTTGAGGCCATGCAGAGAGCTGTTAAATTCCCAAGTGTGGTGCAGCTAGTTCCTCGGCAAAGCAATAGTAATTAAAATAGTATAGTGCTAGCGTAAGAGTAGATTCATCAACCTATGGAACAGAATAGAGACATTAGTCTAGGCAAAGTTTGTTTTATATTTGATCCCCCACATGCAGGCAACAAAAGCTAAAACAGACAAATGGGATTACATAAAAATAAAAAGCCCTATACATCAAAGGAAACAACAGAATGAAGAATCAACCTATAGATAGGGAGAAAATATTTGCAAGCCATAGCTATCATAAAAGAGTATCCAGAATATATAAGAAACTCAAACAACTCTATAGAAAGAAAATAATTCCCAACTGGAAATGGGTAAGAGAACTAAAGAGACATTTCTCAGTAAAAACATATAAATGGCCAACAGATATATGAAAAAATGCTCAATGTCGTTAATCTTTAGGGAAAATGCAAATTAAAATCACAATGAGATACCACCTCATACCTGTTAGAATGGCTACTATAAAAAATATAAAAGAAGATATGTATTAGATAGGATGTAGAGAAAACGGAACCCTAGTACAGTCATGCAGTGTTTAATGATGGGGATACATTCTACGAAACGTCTTGTTAGGTCATTGTGTGAACATCATAAAGCGCACTTACACAACCTACTACACACCTAGGCCTTATGGTATAACCTCTTGCTCTTAGGCTAAAAACCGATGTAACATGTTATTGTATGGAATACAGTAGGCAATTTAAATACAATGGTAAGTATGCATGTATCTAAACATAGAAAAGGCACAGTAAAAACAGTACACCTGTATAGGGCACTTACCATGAATAGGGCTTACAGGACTGGAAGTTGCCCTGGGTGAGTCAGTGAGTGAGTGGCCAGTGAATGTGAAGGTCTAGGAATTTACTGCACAATGCTATAGACTGTATAAACACTGTATACTTGGGCTATACCAAGTTTATAAAAAATATTTTTTTCTATACTAATATGTTAAGCTTATCTTATGGTAATGTTTTTACCTTATGACATTTTTAATTTTTTTAACTTTTTGAGTCTTTTGTAATAACACTTAGCTTAAAACACAAACACATTGCACAGCTGTACAAAAATAGTTTCTTTTTTAATATTCTTAATCTATAAGCTTTTTTCTGTTTTTAATCTTTTTTTTTTTTTTTACTTTTTCAAGTTGTAAAAAATTAAGACACAAAAACACATATTAGCCTAGCCATACACAGGGCTATGATCATCAATATCACTCTCTTTCACCTCCACATCTTGTCCCACTGGAAGGTCTTCAAGGGCAATAACATTCATGGAGCTATCATCTCCTATAATAATGTCTTCTTCTGAAATACCTAATGAAGGAACTCTCTGAGGCTGCTTTCTAGTTAACCATCTTTTTTTAAATAAATAGATGTACACTCTAAAATAATGATAATAAAGTAATGCAGTTGTGTTTCAGTATCCAACGAGGTTGGTTCTAGGACACCTGCAGGTACTGAAATCTAGGCATGCTCAAGTCCCACAGTCGGCCTTGTGGAGCCCACAGATATGAAAAGCTGGTCTTCCGTATCCACAGGTTTTGTATCCCAGAAATACCGCATTTGGTTGAATTTGTAGGTGCAGATATAGAGGGTTGACTGTATGGTATATACATAAACCAGTAACATAGTCATTTATTATCATTATCAGATATTATATACTGTACATAATTATATATGCTATACTTGAACATGACTGGCAGCACAGGTTTTTTTATACTAGCATCACCACAAACATGTCAGTAATGCATTGTACTGCAACATTACAACAGCTATGATGTCATTAGACAACAGGAATTTTTCAGCTCCTTTATCATCTTGCTCTTGCATATGTGGTCTGTCACTGACTGAAATGGTGTTATGTGTCACATGACTCCACACTGCTGCTGTGAATCTAAATTACTACCATCATTGTGGAAAACTGTATGGAGGTTCCTCAAAAAATTAAAAATAGAATTACCATAAGATCATATACCCTAATTTGTTACATTTATTTTCATAATGATTAGGAATAGCATAAGGGAAAAATGAACTCTTTAAAGTCATCAGAGTACTAAAGTAGTAGCATGGGAATACTGCAACCACAAACAGCATAATTTCATATTACAGTTCTAAACCTATAGCCAATGTAGAGAAAGAGAACATGGAAGCTGAGACTAGATCACCTGAATTTGAACAAGGCTCTAACACTTTCTGACTGCATCTTCAAAAGTCAAAATTGGTTACCAGGTTTCTCCATCTATAAAATGGAGATACAAGTAGTGCCTGTTCAACTGTTTCACAAAATTGTTATTAGAATCAAATAATGTAAATAAAAGTAATTATTGTTATATGTGCTTGTTTTCTTGGAATGCCAGTCATTTAAGTTACATTTTCTGTAACTTAAAACAACCTTTCAGGGCAAAAAAAATTCTCTCTGATTTTTTAGAAGGTAAAAATAACTTTTAAAATTTTACCCCTTTATAACTAGTCTTTCAGTTGATACAAACTAAGGAGTATTTTAAATCAACTAAATAGTTTTTCTTTACATTTAGAGAAAAGAAAAATAAGAGTAGATAATATGAAAAGCAAGACATCTCAGACTCAGTCAAATATCATGTTCTAGCTTCAAGTGCAATACTGTAGACTATTTTTAGAAACTCAGTTTTCACTAATTATAGGCATAACATACACATACTACACTTTAAAAGGGAATTAGCTAACGTATTGAATATGGGCTCTGTTTATTCAGGTAGGAATTGATTTATCTATAAAAAGATTTCATCTTATTATACTTGCTCTTCTATGGTGAAAAGAAAATTCCAAAGCAAAGTATTCCAAATGTCTGTTTCAAATTTTACCTTTAACATTTTCTCTAGTTCTGGGTAGATCAACACACTAAAGGGAAATACATTTAATCCAGGCAACATCACCAAATTGTAAATGAATGTAGTTATCTTTGTCCCCTAAAATACACAATTCCCTTTTGGGCACAGATTTCTCCCAGGTAAGAAGTTAATAACTCCATAGACCAATTATGTAGAACTCCTGACATACAAGCTTCCCCTTGATATGTATAAATGCAAGTTATTCTTTATTATTTGTCATGATGGATATTTACATTGTAACTGAACCTTAGATGTAATACAGTTTCACAGTTGAGGAGACATTGCTCAATAGTCACTTTTTATAGATGAAAAAATGGAGGCCCAGCAAGGTAAAGTGGCTCACACAGTTACACAGTTAGCTAATGTCAGAGTTGCCAGGTTTGTAATTTTCTTCCATCATGCCATTTCATGTGTGCAAGTCACTATACTAAACTAATGTGATCTGCTAGTAAAAAGTGTCCAGTGAGACTCTCCTTGTCTCCAAAGAAATGCTCAGGAGAGCCAGTACTTTACAAATTAAGATTGTAAGTGGCTACCTTTGAAGTTCAGAGGAAAGCTGTATTAGTCCATTCTATACTGCTATGAAGAAGTACCCAAGACTCAGTAATTTATAAAGAAAAGAGGTTTAATGGACTCACCGTTCTGCACTGCTGGAAATGCCTCAGGAAACTTACAATCACAGTGGAAGGTGAAGGAGAAGCAAACTCATGTCTTACATGACGGCAGGTGGGAGAGCATGTGTGCAAGTGCACAGGAAATACCCTTTATAAAACCATCAGATTTCATGAGACTCACTCACTGTCATGAAAACAGCATGGGGAAAACTGTCCCCATGATTCAGCTATCTCCATCTGGTCTCTCCCTTGACACATGGGGATTATGGAGATCACAATTCAAGATGAGATTTGGGTGGGGACACAACTCCTAACTCTATCAAAAGCCGAAGATTTAATTCAAGAGATAATAGGAACTGCATCCTCTCCTACTTTCCCCTCCTCTATGTGGAGCCCAGAAAAGGGACAAAGCAGTGCTGCTCCCCTCAGGACTGAGAGGGCACCCAAAGTGATCCCTTGTCTGAAGTCATGAGATGGATCCAAGAGACTTGATTGCTTTTGTTGCTCCCTACAAGGATGTGCTGAGCTCCAGCATCTTACTTCCTTGGAAGGTAACTTCCTTATAAGGATTTGTTGTTGCTTACAGGGATGTGCTGAGCCCCAGCATCTTACTTCGTTGGAAGGTAGTTTTTGAGCTGCAGAACCATAGTTCCTTTCTAGATTCAGAGAACTGTATGGAGGAAGAAAGGGATCTCAGGACAAGTGTCTGAAGGCCAAGGAGCATTGCCAAGATATTCCTTTTTCCTCCCACTCCTACATTTATAAATATTAAATGTAACCTTTGCCTTTTTTACCTCAGGATTTGAAATTCCTCAACCAAACTGGCTATAATATATAAAATGACTCCTTATACTAAAGTCCACAATCTAAAAATATCTCATTACTATGGAACATGATCTTTGAAGAATTATCCATTTGTGAAGGAAAAATAACTGCATGGCCCCGTACTTTTGAACAAGACACCTGGGTGAGTGTAGGCAATTTACCTTGTACACCTCCATCCATTTGTCAGCCAGGACATCTCAGGTTCTTGGGTCCATTTTGCAGATATTGTTGTTTTCTGTTTAACAAACTCACCACTGGAATGCTGTCTTCCTGTTCTCCCCAGAGCGGCCAGGTGGCTGAGACACCTGTCCAATCTCAGAGCCTGCCAGGCTTGGCACTCCCTCCCCACCTCACAGATGGCTGGCAACCTGAGGAGATTCCTCTTTCAGGTGCAGCTTTCTCCCACTTATCTAAATATTTTTCTCTCTGCGAGAGATGAGATTTTCTTACTTATCTTCCAAAGTCATTTCATATAGGAAATTTAAACACTCTCAGAACTGTTGTGCTTGCTACAATACTTTTTAGCTTTAATTGAAAATGTACTTTAAATTTAAAAGCTTCTTTTACAAGAGTTGCCCCTAGCTCTGATGTTTTCATTGTAAATGGGATTTCCCTGATTTCCCCTCCCAAAATATTAGGCTTATTAATGTGTAACATTGTCAATGTCCCTTTTTGGACCTCCTATTATTGGCACTATTGGTTTTCCTCTTCTATTTGAATATAAACTTTTTTCTTTCCCTGTTGTGTTCAGTTATCTGGCTTTTCTTGAAAAATTTTCCTCCAAGAAAATAATTTCTGATTATGCCAGACACGTAGAGAGACATGACCTCACTTTGATTTCACTTAATATTGTGTAGAACCAGCTATGTATAGTACTAATTATATAACACCATTTTTATATGGCACAACTGCAAGCATAATCTTCTAGTTGTTTCACATGTATTTATAGCTTAAGCATCAGAAAAAAACTTTTAAGTTACTCTAGGAAAAACACACATTTTAAAATTGTGCTTAACACCTGTTGAAATTGATGCTGAATAAATATTTATTGAGGCAAATGACTCTTGGCTAATGAGTTACTTATACATTTTTATATGATATCTTACAATTTTTGGAGGAAGGCAAACAGAAGAAATTATCCAGGTTGCATCATCACATAATAATTTTTTTCTTTTAACTGAAAAAATTTGCTGCATTTAATGTGGTTGGCCATGGATCAAAGTGACCTCTCCCATATCAAAAGAGAAGGAGCACCATTAGTGTACAACCGTGTTAATATGAAATTAATAATCAAAAAGAAGTTGGTGCCAGGTCTTTTATGAAGACTATTTGATGCAAATATGGAAACAGTACTTTATTTTATTTGTATCTATTTTTGTATATTTTATTATATTTTTATGTATATATTTTATATATCTCTTTAATATGTGAGAAAGACAGAAATTTTCAACTTACAGTTCATTAATGGTCATTTGCTGCCATAGAAAGTATACAATAAGAATTATAATGTTAGCAATTACTGAAAAATTACAATGAAAAGGGACCCTCCTACCATTTATAAGTCCCAATTTATGCATTGCCATTACATGCAAACTTAAGAAGTACATTTTTGTTCATGATATACTGTGATACACCAGAGAATAAAAATGCACAAAATCATAACTGAAAAACTGGCAATTATTTTATTTTAAGATAAAATTTTCAAAAAATTGTAAAACACTGAGTTGCTGGGAATAAATACAAGGTAGCAATGCATGAAGACCATATAAATTTGTAGAAATAAGACATTGTAAGTTGTTAAGAATTAAAATTGTTTTAATATCAATTCCATAAATTAGTTGGTCTAGGTTATGACATTATTACCTAATAATAGGGCATTTGACATTTATAAGACCACCTGGTAATTAGCATTTTGCATGTACCGTAATTATATATTTTTGAAGAAATCATTTTCTTTAAGAGTTTAAACCTTCCTTCCAAAATTTTGTTTATGGAGCACACTGGCAAGTAAATATGTTCTCAGAGATAATTCAGAGGGCAAGTGCATTCCATATACCCAAGTAGTATAATTAGAAACAAAAACAGATTTTTGTATATCATGTAATCAAGAGTACTGAAATAGAAATAAAAGAAACTTTTTTACTAATTGGTGCTATGATCTTCTGAAACTACCCTAAAACTCATAACTTTTCTAAGCTAGAAAATGCAAAGATTATATTTCATTAGGATACCAAAAAATTTATTTCCCGATCTCAAATCATCCTGGAATTTTAAGTTACTGTCTTCAATGTTTATGTTGATCTAGAAGAAGCCAGATCTACTTTCTTTAGTAGTGGATTTCTACTGGACTTTAGGTGTAGACTTAGTAAAGGAGAGGTGATCCGCCGTCCCAAAGAGGAAAGATAGCTGGAGAGAGCACTACTCATTATAAGAATGGATAAAAACTCTGACTTTAGCCAGTCATGGTGCACACCTGTAATCCTAGCTACTCAGGAGGCATAGGTGAGATGATATCTTGAGCGCAGGAGTTCAAGGCCAGTCTGAGAAAAATAGCAAGACCCTGTCCCTTTAAACAAAAACCTTTTAGTGACTATTTGACAATTATCTAAAAATATAATTACAAAGATTAGACATGCTTTGTAATTACAAAGAGTAGATGACTTTATCATTTGAAAACAGAGAAAATATATTTAGTTTCCAACTATAAGCTGAATTCTCAAAGATAAAAAACAAAGCAAGTTCACATTAAAGACCCTATATGTGCACATTTGGGAATTTCCTATATTGAACTTCAGAGAATACAGAACTATTTCAGAATCTATGGAAAGACCTCAGCAAAAATCTATCATAGAATTTTTATAATTAGAATAGTTATTTTCTTAATATTCAGATAATGCTTCATCCTTTGTAGTACAGGAAACTCGTATCACAGTATCCCTTGAGCTCTCTAAGTCTGGATATATGGGGACAGGGTAGAATCAGGACAAAATACCATCTGTTTCTCTTACAACATCCCAAGAGCAGCGCTATCTGCTTTGGCACAAGTAAAGTCATGAGGCTCAATTTGCCTTGTTAAATTTATCTTTAATCATTTTGACATACAGAGGAAAAAAATAGTATCTCACCATGTCCTGTGAAAAGGAGATACTTTAGAATAAGCTATTCCTCTCAATGGTTTATTACAAAATCAAATAAGACCTAGAAGGAATTTACAGATAATACAGTAAAAGCATATCTGGTGTTACTTGCATCATGGTCTACAAAACCTTCAACCATGGTAGTTAGAGGAAATAATTCTTTTCCACCACATGGTAAGACAAAGTTTCCAGTTGCAAAATTTTTCTAAATGAAAAACTTTTTTTTGCATTTTTCAGATCTAAATAGTGTTATCCAGTGGGAAATTTCCTTTGAAGCTTGAAGTCTAATATGGAAACATTTTATGTGTTCGTATGTATACATACACATGTATATATGTGGCACTTGAAATGTTTGGTTTTTTTCAAGAAAAAAATAGTGAACTATTTTGTCTATTTCCTCATTGTAGTTACATAAGAGCAAAACATGTGTGTGCCTAGTCACTATCACACCCTGTCAAAAGCAGAGAGCAGCTGGAGCTGAGGTATGTAGCTTTGCATAACACTACCTTCTTATGGCCAGATGTGTGATGGTTAAGAATATATTATCTGAAGTCAAGGCTGTCTGAATTTAAATACCAACTATATCACTTAACAGTGCATAGTGTTGGCAAACTGTTTACCCTTTTTGAGCCTCAGTGTGCTTATCCATAAAATGATGATCATAAGAATATGAGCCTCTTTGTGTCTTTAAATTAGATAACCCACAGAAAGTATTTACATTGAGCCTGGAATATGGCACACTCAGTACTTTTAGGAGTTGTCAGCCCTTGCCAAAAGAGGGCATGCTGTTTGTTAAACAACCCAAAGAACTAATAATAGAGATGTTAAAGAGTACTAATTAATTAAAGTTTGACTCAGGGGAAATCAGGGGCCAAATATGTTTAAGGATGTTGAGGAGGAAAAGCCTTACAGTACATCTCAATCTTACTGCACCAGTGGTTAGAAATTCACTTAATTGTAGTTTTCATACAGTCATTTTTTGGATGTGAACTCATTGATGTCACATGATGACTTCAAAAGGGCAGAGGACATTAATAAATATAAAAATGAAGGCTTGCAGCTTGATCCAACTGGTGTCTTCTCATTCTCTGCCCCATGCATTTTCCCATTGTCTTTCCTAGGGTGGAATTTCTGTTTGGTCACTTTCCATGGCTCTCCAGTGACTTGATAAAATCTTAAATCTTGGTCTGGGTGTTCATGGTCCTCTACAGTTCGCCTTCAGTATTTTCCCAGATCATGCGCACTATGTTCCTTCATAGCACACTGCAATCCAGCTAGACAGAACTGTTTGCAGTACTCTGAAATACCTTTCACTTCTCCACTCCAGAGCTCTGCTCATGCCCTTTCCTCTCCCTGCATGGATATATTATTACTCTTCCAGCCCTAGCTCCTAGCATGAAGTATTCATTATTCATGCCAGCAGAGTAGTCTTATTTTATCTTATAAAGTCTTTTCCAATTTATTGTTTGTCCAGCAGCTTTCAAATTTTTAACTAGAATCACATTAAGAAATGTATTTTGCATTGGCACACATTTCGTGCAGACTTACACACAACACACACACACACACCTATACCAAAGCTTCATGAAACAATACTTACCCTATTATTTGCAATACCACTCTCATATTGTTTCTTTTCTTTACCAACTTGGAAAAAGCTCTGACTGTAATCTACTACAGAGATTTAATTATTCTTTAATTGTATCACAACCTGCAGTATGAAAAACACTGGTTTATACAACCCATATATGATATACATTATTATTTATTGTGCATAGGCATTATATTTCCTACCAGACTGAAAGTAATGTTTGATATCATGTGATAAATCATAGAGTCTTTTATTGTATCTAATCATGATTTTTACATAAGTAGTTGCTCAATAAATATTGAGGGAGAAAACGAGAGAAGGAAAGGAAGGGAAAGAAGGAAGGAGGAAGGAAGAGAAAGAAGGAAAGAGGGAGGAAAGAAGGAAGGGAGGAAGGGAAGAAGGAAGGAAGGAAGAAAGGAAGGAAGGAAGGAAAACATCTCTAAAGACGTTGATTATGCTCAGAAATTAAGAATGTTACTATTTAGGAAGTCCATAGGTGAGGATCATTCAGGCTATTTATAGGTGAATTTTCCTGTCTAAGTGGTATTTATTTTGTAATTTCTTCAACCTCAATATGAAATTTAAAATTAGTGTTACATCATAGAAGTTAAGGCTAAAACAAAAATAGCCAGAACAAAATGACTAATGGAGAAAAGATAAGCTTCTAGAGGCTGCATTCCTGCTCCCTGCTGAATATTGTGGGGTAGGGAGGTAAGACCAAGGGTGTGAAGTGCACCTCCAGAGGTGAAAAAAGCTTTTGACTTGATTTCCATAAAGCCTGTGAAAATGCAGTTCTATCATTTCTGTATGTGCTGAACACTTTTCTCTATGTGCTGAATACATCAAGCAATTTCTATGTGCTATCTATAAAGAGTCAGTGCTAAGAACTAACACTTCCAAGCATCTCAAGACTATAAAATTATACAGCACATATTCTCTATGTCATGACATTTGAGATATTAGTTTCACTGACATGCTAGATTATTGGTTTTTCTCAGATTCAAAAGGAACATTTCAAATGTAATTTAAATTTGAGAAGTCATACTATTGACATACATTTACTATAATAACATACCCAGTTTGACTGGGATTTGAATATGCCTGTATTATTCAAAGTCCATCCTCTTAACTAACATGGTATATATACTCTATCCAGACCAAGTAACAACAAAAAACAATGCTTTCCATAGACGTGAATATTTTTTTCCAAATTCTCTTATACACTTGCTCGCTGTATTTTGATTTTTAACATAAAACTGTATTTCCAGAGATGAAAACAACAAAATACAGGACTAAAAATATTTTATAAATGCTAATAAATTACAATAATTTTATGTGAAGTAAATCTTTTCATAGAACACTGAGTTAAATCTTACATACTTCACTTTGAAAAATAATAATGAAATGATGATTTTGCCAACTCTGGTTGTTACAGAAGACTGATTTCATCATTTGTTTCAATAGAAGTTTTAAGAATCCTTATTTAAAAGAAATATATAATATGGATCAAAATGTATTGCCTTCATTTCTGTGCCTTTGCCTGCCCAATTAATGTTAAAATTTAGAGAAATAAACAATTAAAAAATGTGGATTTATGGTGGCCCTATTACTTTTAAGTATGTTGCAGTTGTTGAATTTCATTAAAGATTATTGTCTTTCTTTGGAACTTATCTTTGTGTGTATATATATGTGTGTGTATATATATACACATATATGTATATGTATATATGTATACTCTTGTCTTTATTAATTATAATGTTTTATATTTTATACTTTATATAGTACACATTTATATAGAGTGCTTTATATCAAGAAGACATATACTAATTTTGACATTTTACTACTTAATAACTTTAATGTGATGTAAAAATATTTAGTGAAACATCTACTGCCCAGAGAGTGCCCATTTAAGCATTTCATCTGGCAAGGTTAGTTTCGTTGGATTAAAAATATTATTAAATTTCAGATTTATACATTTATTCCTCATTAGTTTTCTCAGAAATTATATTGCTCTGAAACCACAAACTGCTCCTACCAGCCATCTTGAAAATTCATGCCACTGGGGAGAAGTAGATGCAGTTAATGAATAAATGCTGAGCTAAGGATAAATTGATTACAACTGGAAAATTGGTTGCAAATTCACATTCTACTGACCAGTACACTTGTTTAAATATACTAGTCTATTAATTGGCAAACTATATGTAAATGTTAATGCAACTACTTTACTTTTTTCAGGTGTTTTAGAGGCAGCTAATAATTCACTTGTTGTTACTACAACAAAACCATCTATAACAACACCAAACACAGAATCATTACAGAAAAATGTTGTCACACCAACAACTGGAACAACTCCTAAAGGTAGGATTAACTGTTAGTAAATTTAGTTTAACTTTAACAAATAAAATTAGTAGTATGTATATACATCAGTATGAAAAAATAATTCGGGATCTTATATCTGATTGTTATAAAGGTCAGTGCTATTTCACGATTTTGAAATTATGTGTTATTTGGGGTTCCATACAAAACCCTGAGATCTCAGTGGGCCGCTTTGTTGATATTCTTTGGGATCACAACCTGTTTGAGAATGATTCTATTGTGAATGTTACATACACAAAGTTTATTTTTAGAGAAGAAAGAAATTGCCATGTCCTAAGTCATAAAATATCTTTCTAAATATTCCAGTTCTCCACCTAAGCAGCACAGCCAACATGGTGAAACTGTATTAATAACAGATTGGTTTTGTTGGTTGCATTCTGTTGATAATAGATTTAACTTGTAGGTTTCAGTAGCAATGTAATCATTATTGTTGCTGGACTGAGTGACAACTATATCTAGCTAGGTATTAAAGGAGATTACTTTACCATCCACAAAAATGTTAAAAGCCATTAGAATACTTCCATTAAAAAAAACAAGAGATTATCAATGCAATGCATACTGCATCTGCCCATCTTGCAACACACAAAAAATAAGGCATATCACACAGGTCCTGTAATCAATGGAAAACAGATTTGTGGATTGTCTATGGACAAAAACTCTGGTTAGAATGCTAAGGTCATAGAAAGACCCCAGAAAATCATATATCTTGATGAATGGATAACTGAAATTCTTATGCTGTCTTTTTTACCTCTTTCTATTCCCCCCTTAATTTTCAGTCTAAGACTAGGGTCAAACATATGCAGAAGACCAATGAAAGCTAGTTCGCTGGGCTTGAATAGGGTGGTGATTCTCAGAGACAAAGAGTACTATGATCATAGTCCATTATTTCTGCATTGTTTGATTATAAGATGAAACCAAACCATTTTTAGCAACTTTACTACTTGGGGCCCTCCATAGCAGAACACTGAAGCATCCTTCTTTGAAGCAAGTGCATAGAATACTTGAGGTTACATACATACACCCACACATACACACACACACTCCTTTTTTGGGACACTTTCACTGATTTATATTACCCATTTAATATAAACTACACTGTTGTCTGTGTCCTTCAGTAGTTATGCACTTGAGTGTTAAATTATTCATATACAATTATAAAGAATGTAATGGGTCAGAGAAGTTTTACTTTTTATCAATTTTTATTATAAAAATAGACAGCTATATCCGAAAGTAGAGAATACTGTAATTAATCTCCATATGTCCATCTCCCCAAATCACTCTTTATCTAGATTTTATCACATTTGCTTCATTTTTCTTTTTATTTCCCCTTCCTGCCTTCTTTCTGTTTCACTCTCTCTCTTAATTTGGTTGTCAAGGTACTTTGAAGGGAACCCAGACTTCATGCCAGTTTACTTCTATACATTAAATATGCATCTCAAAAAATATAGACAATCACAAAGCTACCATGCCATCATCAAATCCTCCAAATAAATAACAATACTTTAGTATCATCTGATATTTATTTTGAGAATTTTAAGGGTTAAAATCTCGAAACATAAATCTAGCAGTGGGAGGGAAATTAAAGGAAGGAGGTTAGTCTATTCTAGGGTCTCTAATGAGAGCTACTGAGAGAGCGAGGTGGAAGAGAGATAAAGCAGGAAAGGCAGGCTCTCAGGTCCTCAGCTGCTTGGATCCAGAGTGGGAAACAGAAATTCTGGCACAGTGGTAGGGCTGAGAAAGCCGTTAGGCAAATTGGGGTCCGTGGTGCTTATAGGAGAATGAGGGAACAACATTGGACAAAGACAACAGAGAAAATAACTCCTTTTTGTCTGGCTTACTTGATCACCACTGTGTATTAAGGGTTAGATGAGTCAGACTAAGTACACTTAATATGCCCATCTTCCAAAGAGCAACGCAATTAGTATACAGTAATAAAGGAGATGGAGAATTTATCTTAAGAATTATCATGTTCTAGGGATTGTGTATCAGTAAATTTGACTTACTAATTTCAGGACTCTGAGGGGCTTAAATTTGGAGGAGTTTTATACACTGTCCCATTCTCCAAAATAATAATTTTTAAAATTACTCAATAATACAAAAAAAAAGGTATCTGTAGTGAAGAAGTCCCTTATTCCCTCTTTCTCATGTCCAGTATGGTCCTCTTAGCCACGATGAAAGTATTTACCAAAAAAACACAACATGGAAAAGCATCTTTGTTTTCATTTTAAGGCTTCCTAATCAGAATTCTTTTGTTTAAAGGTCAAAAGATCATTGGTCTAGTAGTGCTTATGTCTTTCTAAATCACATACAATTTATTTTTCTTGCCAATGGCAGAAATTCTATCATCAAAAAAGTGGAAAATGTGCAACTGAGATGAGAATTCTTCTTGCAGCAACATAATCACTGAAGTGGCAGACGTGATTGATAGAGCTTCGCCTGGAGCAGGGCTTGCTCTCAGAGATTCACCCAATTAGAGAAATGGGACTTGACCTCTTCCTAGATGTACATCAAGTGCAATGCACATTTTGTGCAAGGCCAAAAGGCTGGAGTTAAAAATCAACATTTGACAGATGTTGAATATCCCTATCATAAAATGAACTTCTAGGATAAAAAAGAAACTTGAAATTTAATTTTTTTAAGTTAAAAAGTTGATTATTATTCAGCTTCATTTTAAAAACATTGAATAGTCTAGTATTTTTCAATACTAGAGTTGAATTATAATGCAGGAATAAAAGTTTCTCAACAGTGATACTAACAGTTTCTGATAATAAAATATTTAGTACCAGAAATTTCAGCTGAAGTCAGTAAAGGAGCCTGATGCTTTTGGCCACCTATCTCACACAGGGTGCTAAATATGGTGATGTTTCCATTGTACATCCTCTATGTAGAAACTAACTAGATACAACTATAAAGAACAAAATTTTAAAAACATTCTTGGAAATTTCTTGTATGATTAGTCAGAAAAAAATGAGTTTGGGTACCCCATTTTTCTCTGTAGTCTTTCTCCTTTTATTCATTGTCTTTCTGTTCCCTGTTATATTTGAATAGAAAATGAAGTGCCTGGGATATCTTTGTACATGATTTTTTGGTTTCTCCTTTTCATAGAATTTTGAAGTGGCAAAGTTGATATTTTGCTTTTACTTTATCATCACAAAATATGAAATGTTTACAAATTAGGCATTTCTTTGAAACAGTTGTAGCCTAAATAGAATTCAACATGTTTCTCAAAGATTGTTTTGGAAAATGGCATGAATGAATGCTAGTTTAAGAAACAATTTTGCAGAGAATAAAATTATGATATCTTAATGATTTAATCTATTATAAACATTTATTGACTCAAAATAATATAATATCTTTAAAAATAAATAGCTTTTTGCCCTAATCACACAATATGCCCATGCAACAAACCTGCAAATAAAATTGTTAAAAAAGGAAGGAACAAAGAAGAGGGGCCGGGTGCTGCGGCTCACACCTGTAATCTCAGCACTTTGGGTGGTTGAAATTGGGGGATCACTTGAGGCCAGAAGTCTGATTCTGCAGTGAGGTATGCTCATACCACTGGACTCCAGCCTGGGTGACAGAGCAAGACCTTGTCAAGCAAGAAGGAGAGAAGAAAAAGGGGAAGGAAAGAAGGAAGGAAAAAAGGAAGGAAGGAAAGAAAGAAGGAAGGAAGGGAGGGAGGGATGGAGGGAGAAAGGAAGGAAGGAAGAAGGGAGGGAGGGAGGGAGGGAGGGAGAAAGACCATTACAGAGAGTTGGAGAGTAGGTATCAAACTGATGAGTCATGTTGACTACTTAGGGCAGATTTGCCCCTTGGTTGATTTTCATATGTTATATGAGTGCTTCCTTAGTTGAAACAACATTGACTAAATGCCTAGTGTATGCCAGGAATAATTCTTGATACTAAGATTAAAAATGTGACTAGAGGCTGGGCACAGTGGCTCACGCCTGTAATCCCAGCATTTTGGGAGGCCGAGGTGGGAGGATCATGAGATCGAGACCATCCTCGCTAACACGGTGAAACCCCGTCTCTACCAACAAAAAATACAAAAAAATTAGCCGGGCGTGGTGGCGGGCGCCTGTAGTCCCATCTACTCGGGAGGCTGAGGCAGGAGAATGGCGTGAACCCAGGAGGCAGAGCTTGCAGTGAGCCGAGATCGCGCCACTGCACTCCAGCCTGGGCGACAGAGCGAGATTCTGTCTCCAAAAAAAAAAAAAAAAAAAAAAAAAAAAAAAAAAAGGACTAGAATTGGATACTGCCCTCAAGAGCAAAGAGCAAAGAAGGGCACACAAATTAATAGGGAAGTTTTCAAGTTCCTTCATGATGTATGTTCATTTAGAAGTTTCACTGCCATAACTACATCAATAAAATGAAATGTAATTCTAGAAAAAAAAAAGGCATGATACTCCTAAGTCCTATTGACCATGTCACTTTTCTCACAGGGAAAAATAAAATGATTTTAAACATTAGAATTTAGAATTTTGTAACAATTTTTTGCATGTTTAAAGATACCTAAGTAACAATCTTCAGTGGAAACTTGTTTTGGGGACTTATTATGAAAAATGTGTGTGTGTGTGTGTGTGTGTGTGTGTGTGTAGGCCACCCAAATATTTAATATACATATATTTAATATACATATATTCTTTAGACAAAACGAACTGGAAAATGGGAAAAATTAAAGATAGACAAAGGAGAATGCCAGTCCACCTATAGATTTAACTTACTTTATTTATTGACAGATAACATGAGATTATGATTAATAATAATTTAATCTATTTTATCAAACTAGGAACAATCACCAATGAATTACTTAAAATGTCTCTGATGTCAACAGCTACTTTTTTAACAAGTAAAGATGAAGGTGAGTAATGATTCATTTTTCTACAATTTTAAAAAATATATAATTCACATAACATAATAGTCACCCTTTTAAAGTGTACAATTCAGAAGTTTTTAGTATTTTAACAAGATTTTACAGCCACCACCACTATTAATTTCAGCACATTTTAATCTCCCCAAGAGGAAAACCTGTATTAATTACCAATCACTTCCCATATCCCCCTCCCAGCTTCTGGTAACCACTAACCTCCTTTATAGATTTGCCTGTTCTGGACATTTCATATAAATGGAATCATACAATATATGACCTTTTGTGTCTGGATTCTCTCACTTAGCATAAAGTTTTCAAGTTCATCCATGTTGTAACATGTATCTGTAGTTCATTCTTTTTTATTACTAAATAATATTGCATTGTATGGATATACCACATTTTGTTTATCCGTTTATTAATTGATGAACATCTGCATTGTTTCTACTTGCTAATGATTATAAATAATGCTGCTATGAACATTTATGTGCAAGTTTTTGTCTGCCTACGTTTTTCATTTCTCTTAAGTATATGTCTTGAGGCCGAATTGCTAAGTCACAGGTTAACTCTATGTTTAACATTTTAAGGAACTGATTTCCAAAGCAGCTGTACTATATTACATTTCCACCAGCAACATACAAGAGTTCCAATATCTCTATATTCTAGCTAACACTTGTCTGTCTTAATTATAATTATCTCAGTGGGTGTGAACTGGTATCTCATTGTGACTCTGAGTTATATTTCTCTAATGATTAATGATGTTGAACATATTTCATGTGTTTGGTAGCCATTTGTGTATTGTCCTTGGAAAAATGTCCGCTCAAATTCTTTGTCTATCTTTTTAAAAATTTGGCTATTTGTCCTCTTATTGTCGAGTTGCAAGAGTTCTGTATACATTCAAGACTAGAAGTTTACAAGATAGATAATTTGCAAATATTTTTCCCATTCTATAGGTTATCTTTTAATTTTGTTGATAGTATCTTTTGAAGCCTGAAGATTCAGAAAGCTGCAGTGGACCCGACCACCAAACAGTGACCATGACCTTTATTTGGTGCAAGTTTGGCTTTGGGAAGTGCTTTGGAGCTTTTTCTCACTCCAACCACTGAGCTAGTTGTTGCCAGTTGTCACTTTTTGTCGCACATCACAATCAGATCAAGAAATGGTTTGTCGTGTAGAATAAGAGAAGATGACACTTCAAAACGAGGATTTTTTAATTTTCGCTCAGCTCATGAGGCACCCACTTAGCGAGATTTTCCCAGCTTTCCAATTTGCTTCAAATGCTAAAGGGCTGTAGAATCGTCAAGGTTTGAGTTCTTTGGCAACTTCTCATGTAGTTGTTAGAGAAACAGCTTCAATGATTGCTCTCAAATGGTCATTGTGGACTTCCGATGTCTGGCCACTATGCTCCTCATCTACAAGGATCTCTTTTCCTTTGCAAAACTTCTTGAACTTCTTGAATGCACTGTATGTTCGTTAGCAATTCCTGAGACAAATGCTTTGTTTATATCGTGAGTTGTCTGCGCTTCTTTTACGACCCATTTTGAACTCAAATAAGAAAATCGCTTGGATTTGTTTTTGTCTAACATCATTTCCATAGTCTAAAATAAACATAAACAGCAAGTGATGTCATTAGCAAAAAAAAAAACAAAAAAAAAAAACAAAAAAACACGAAACGGGAAATGCCCATTAGAATTATATATAACATGGACGGGTGCAGTGGCTCACACCTGTAATCCCAACACTTTGGGAGGCCGAGAAGTGTGGATCACTTGAGGTCAGGAGTTCAAGACCAGCCTAACCAACATGGTGAAACCCTGAGTATGTGTATGTCTCTACTAAAAATACAAAAATTTACTGGGCGTGGTGGCACGCATCTGTAATCCCAGCTACCCGGGAGGCTGAGGCAGGAGAATCGCTTGGATCCAGGAGGTGGAGGTTGCAGTGAGCCGAGATTGGGCCACTGCATTCCAGCCTGGGCGACAGAATAAACTCCACCTCAAAAAAAAAAAATATATATATATAATATATATATATACTTCTAGAATATATATATTTCTAGAATATATATATAGAAGTTTATTTTATGATAGGGATATCTATCTATCTATCTATAAAACATAACCACATTTATTTAAGAATGTATGCCAGTATCAAATGGTACATTCCAACAATGCAAAAGCTGCAACTACATTTGCATCCACCTAATATGAGTTTTTTCTGGACTCCCGAATCTACTCCACTTATACCTATATGCCTATTGTTATGTCAGAATCATATACTCTTGATTACTATTACTTCGTATTAAGTTTTGAAAACAGGAAATGTGAGTCCTCCAACTTTTTCTTTTTTATCCAAGATTGTTTTGGCTATTCAACTTTATCACGCCAATTTTATCACACTAATTTTAATGTGAATTTTGAGATCAACTTGTCAATTTCTGCAAAGCCAGCTAGGATTGTGATAGGGATTGCATTAAATCTGTAGATCAATTTGAGGAGTATTGCCATCTTAACAATCAGGGCTTTCAATTCATGAGCATAGGATGTCTTTCCGTTTATCAATGTCTTCTTCAATTTATTTTGATGATGTTTGTAGTTTCCAAGTGTGGAAGGCTTAAACTTATTTTTGTAAAATTTATTCCTAATATTTTATTCACTTTTAATAAAATTATTTTGTAATAAAATAATTTTTTATTTCAATTTTGGATTATTCATTGCTACTATATAGAAATATAATTTATTTTTATATGTTAGTATTATATCCTTCCACTCTATTGAACTAACTTATTAACTGTAATTTGTGTGTGTGTATATGTGAATGTGTATTCCTTAGAATTTTCTATGTTCAAGATTATGTTATCTGCAAATATAGATAGTTTTACTTCCTTCTTTCCAGTGTGGATGACTTTCTTTTATTTATAATTTTATTTTATTTATTTTATTGCTTAACTACCCTGGCTAGCACCTTCAATACAAGGTTGAGTAGAAGTTGTGGGAGGGGACATCCTTGTCTTGTTTCTAACTCTCAGGAAAAACTGTCAGTTTTTCACCAGTAAGTATGATGTTAATTATGAGTTTTTAATAAATGACCTTTATCAGAATGAGGAAGTTCTCTTTTATTACTAGTTCGTTGAGTGTGTTTATTATGCAAGGGTATTGGATTTTTAAAAATGCCTTGTCTTATTATATTGAGATTATCATGTTTTTAAAAAATTCCTTATTTTGTTAATGTGGCATATGATATTGATTTCTATATGTTGAGTCAACCTTGAATTCCTAGGCTAAATCCAACTTGGTCATGGGGTATAATTCTTTTTACATGGTGTTAAACTTTATTTATATTATTTTGTTAAGAATTTTTATGTCTATATTCATGAAATATATGTTTGTAGTTTTCTTGTGATGTATTTGTCTAGTTTTGAAATCAAAATAATACTAGCCTCATAGAATAAGTTGGGAAGTGTTCCCTTCTCTACTAATTTTTGAAAGAGTTTATGAGGATTGGTGGTAATTGCTCTTTAAATATTTGGTAGAATTTTCCAGGGAAGACCCTGGTGCTGAGCTTTCTTTATGAAATTTTTTTAAAATACTAACAATTTCTTTACTTATTATAAATCTATTAGATTTTCTATTTCTTCTTGCCTCAGTTTTTGTAGTTAGTGATTTCCTAGGAATTTGCCCATTTAATCTAGATTATCTAATTTGTCGGCATATAGTTGTTCACAGCATTGCCTTATAATCCTTCTAATTTCTGTAAGGTTGGTAATAATGAATCCTCTTTCATTCATAATTTTGATAACTTGACTCCTCTCTCTTATTTCTTTATCAGCATAGCCAAAAGTGTCTCAATTTTATATATCTTTTCAAAGAACAAACTTTTGTGTTTTTTTTCTGTGTTGTGTTTCTATTCTCTATTTTATTTCATTCTTCTCGAATCCTTAGTGTTTCTTTCCCACGGCTTCGTATGGGTTTAGTTTGCTCTTCTTTTTCTAGTTTCTCAAATTGGCCAGTGAGGATTTTGATTGAGATTATTCTTCTTGTTAATATGTGTTAACACCTATAAATTTCCTTCTTTCCATTGCTTTCTCTGCATTCCGTAAATTTTGGTATATTATGTTTTCATATTCATTTACTGCAAAGTATTTTCTAATATTTTTTATGATTTATTCCTTGACCCCTCTATGTGTTCATGTGTTCTCATCATTTAGCTCCCACTTATAAGTGAGAACATGCAATATTTTATTTTCTTTTCCTGTGTTAATTTGTTAAGGATAATGTCCTCCAGCTTCATCCATATTCCTGCAGAGGACATGATCTCATTCTTTTTTATAGCTGCATGGTATTTCATGGTGTATATGTACCATATATTGTTTATCCAATTTGTCATTGATGGGTCATTTAGGTTGATTGCATGCCTTTACTCTTCTGAATAGTGCTGCAACGAACATATGTGTGCTTCATAATAGAATGGTTTCTATTCATTTGGTTATATACCAAGTAATGGGATTGTTAGGTTGAGTGGTATTTCTGTTTTTAGGTCTTAAAGAAATTGCCATACTGTCTTCCACAATGTTTGAACTAATTTACACTCCCACCAACAATGTATAAGCCTTCCTTTTTCTCCACAACCTCACTGGCACCTGTTTTTTTTTTTAACATTTTAGTAATAGCCATTCTAACTGGTGTGAGAGGGTATCTCATTGTGGTTTTGATTTGCATGTCTCTAATAATCACTGATGTTGAACTTTTTTTATATGATTGTTGGCTACATGTATGTCTTCTTTTTAAAAGTGTCTGTTCATGTCCTTTGCCCATGTTATTGGGCATGGGGTTGTTTTTTCTTGTAAATTTAAATTCCTTATAGATGCGGAATATTAGACTTTTGTTGGATGCAGAGTATGCAAAAATTTCCCCCATTCTGTAGGTTATCTGTTTATTCTTTTGATAGTTTCTTTTGCTATGCAGAAGCTTTTTAGTTTAATTCAATCCCATTTGTCAATTTTTGCTTTTGTTGCAATTATTTCTGGTGTCTTCATCATGAAAACTTTGCCCATGCTTATGTCCTAAATGGTATTGTCTATTAAACTAACATTGAAAATCTTCACAGAACTGGAAAAAAACTATTTAAAAATTCATATGGAACCAAAAAAGAACCCAAATAGCCAAAGAAATCCTAGGCAATAAGAACAAAGCTAGAGGCATTATGTTACCTCACTTCAAACTATACTACTGGGCTACAGTAACCATAGACAAATGGAACAGAATAGAGAACCCAGAAATAAGGCCACATACCTACACTATCTAATCTTCAACAAAGCTGCCAAAAACAAACAATGGAGAAAGGACTCCCTGTTCAATAAATGAAGCTGGAATAATTGGCTAGCCATATGCAGAAGATTAAAACTGTACCCCTTCTTTACACCATATTCAAAAATTAACTCGATAGATTAAAGACTTAAATTAAATAATTATTTTATAAACTTTGACTATTAACTCCTTATCAGATATATAATTTACAAATTATTTTTCTCAATTTGTAAGCTGCTTTTTCATTTTGCTAATTGTTTCCTTTGCTGTGCACTAGGTTTTTAGTTTGATGTAGTCCCATTTATTTACTTTTGCTTTTGTAGCTGAGCTTTTGATGTAATATCCAAAAATAATTGCTGAGGCCATACCCTGAGCTTTTGATGTAATATCCAGAAATAATTGCTGAGGCCAATGTGAAGGAGATTTGCCCCTATCTTCTCTTCTGGAGGTTTATGATTTCAGATATTACATTTAGGTCTTTTATCCATTTAGAGTTGATTTTTGTGTGTTGTGTCAAATAAGGGTGCAATTTCATTCTTTTGCATGTGGTAGCACAGTTTCCCCAGTGCAATGTATTGAAGAGACTATCCTTTCTTTATAGTAACCTCTTGGTGCCCTTGTTGAAAATTAATTGACCATATATGTTTAGATTTATATCTGGACTCTTTATTTTCTTCCACTGGTCTATGTGTCTGTTTTCATGCCAGTATTATACTGTTTGGATTACTGTAGCTTTGTGATATAATTTTAAATAATTAGGAAGTGTGATGCCTCTACTTTTATTTTTCTTTCTCAAGATTGTTTTGCTATTCAGGATCTTTTGTGTTTCCATACAATTTTTTTTTCTATTTCTGTAAACAATAACATGTGAATTTTGATAGGGATTTTTAAAAATCTATATATTGATTTGGGTAATATGGACATTTTAATATTAATTATTTTAATCCATGAACATAGGATATCTTTTCATTTATTTGTGAATTCTTCAGTTTTTTTATTAATGTTTTATAGTTTTCAGTGTGCAGCTCTTTCATTTCCTTGATTAAATTTAATCCTAAATATTTTAAGAGCATCTTTTATTCATGTAAAACCAAATATACCACAGTACTAGTAGTCTACAGCATGTATTTTAGTAAATGCTAACCTTGTCAAAAGTCTCTTACCTTTTATTCTATTTCTTAAGACAAAGTGGTCAGACATTTTTCCTATGGGCATCAGATAAAACAATGCTGTAATTCAAATTATGTAATTCCAAAGGAATAAAGCTGCCAATCTCCCTCCCTATAAAATTAAAATCCATGACCACAAACCATCTCTTCATGTTAATTGGTAACTACACATTAGATTCCTAATATAGTTAATGTCCTGATTTATTGTTTTCCTCAATAAACTTAATTCCTCAAAATATACAAAATAAATTACACGTTAACAATTCCAAGATCATTATAAAACAGACCCTCTCCCACATTTCTCTCAGCCCTATGCAGTGGTTTTCACCTAAGGACATGCTTGGAATCAAGGTTTCTTTTCTCCATTTACAATCTGGTACTGATACGACTCCCTCAAGCATCTCTTGTGTTAAATTCTTATTTTTTCCAACTCAAATATGGATAAATTCATTATGTTTTGTCTTTAATGTGTCCCACCTATACCAAAAGCTACGATTTAAACATACATGAATCTTAAAAACACAAGTCATAAATGTAAAGCCAATGTATCTTGATGCAATTCTCTTATAAATTAATATTTCTCCAGAAAAATTATGTTTGTGAAACCTAATGCATGCACTATTGCCTAGGATTATAGTGCAATTCATAACTGTAGATGACAGCAGGTACATATTGTTTTGTAGGGGAAAGTAGAAAGTATTTAGATTTAAAGACCAGCTTTAAGATTGATTTACTTTTTCTCTGAAGGTGTGAATTACTCATTGGCAGTAGTTTGGAATAAACTATGTGTTAACTATAAATACAACTGGAAAAATTTTCTCAAAAAGATGTTAATATGACTATGATTCTCATATCTTTTTTTTTTTTTTTTTTTTGAGACGGAGTCTCACTCTTTCGCCCAAGCTGGACTGCAGTGGCGCTATCCCGGCTCACTGCAAGCTCCGCCTCTTGGGTTCATGCCATTCTCCTGCCTCAGCCTCCCGAGTAGCTGGGACTACAGGCGCCCACCACCACGCCCGGCTAATTTTTTTTTTGTATTTTTAGTAGAGACGGGGTTTCACCGTGTTAGCCAGGATGGTCTCGATCTCCTGACCTCGTGATCCGCCCGCCTCGGCCTCCCAAAGTGCTGGGATTACAGGCGTGAGCCACCGCGCCCGGCCGATTCTCATATCTTAATAAATGTTAGTCAACCATGCATAGATTCTTCTCTCCTGAGACTAGGATTTGAAGCATTTCTGTATATTAGTAAAGTTTAAAAATTTGTGGCTGTGGCAGCATCTTTTATTCTATTCAGTTTGAGTTTACCATGAATATTTTAAAACATTTTGATTTATCTTAAACATTCAAGATTTGCTCCAAGGCCTACTTCATGTAGTATAATTGACAACCTGTCCTACATTGAGTGTAGGCTCTAATTCTCATTTGTGAAGTATATTCCACATTTATAATAGGCAATTCTCTAAGCAAAATCTTTGGCATTGCATTCCCAGCTATTCCATTATTTTTCTCCTTTCTTTGCATATTTCCAATCTGGCAGCCCTCCACATCTTTCTTAGCTATATATACTCTTTCCCTCCACCAAGACTGTTGAGTCTGCTTGATACTAGGGAACTCTTTAGGCCTTCAGGATAGCTTTTTCATGCTTTCCAATTTTAGCTCAGCTGAAGAATTTTTCTCCAAAAATTTCTGAAGAGAAACTCCTGTTCTGATCTTTCCCCAACATATGTTGGAATTCCAGTGGGAAGCAAAATCTTTACCCCCAGGAGTTCCTCCATCCTCAAATGTTGAGTTTCTGCACCTTGGGTGACCTGTCCCACTTCCATGCTAACACGAATACCAACTTCTGCTTTCTTGCTGTAATAAGGCATTATCTCTACTTCACATATTTTCCTCCCAATTTAACACTTCATGATACCTCTGAAATGTGTGGCTATTTCCAGTCATTCTCTCTCATATGCAGGATTAACACTGTAGACTACATTTGAATTTGTTTCATTTTGTTTGCACACTAATTCCCAAAGGCTTTTTACCTGAAGGAAAATGTATTTATCTACTGTCTATGAAGTCTTCTTGCAAATGATCCCTTTCTTCAGCATGACTTCCTCAACTGCACTAAGAATTTGTATTACACAGTAGATGCTTGTTGACATAGAATGGAAGTTGACTGCACTTCTAGAAAACACCAGCAATTCTTGCTCCATTCTACTCTGTGTTAGAGATCTACTAAACTGCTTTCCCCTCATCTCCAGCTAGCATCACATCCAGCTAACACCAAGCATGCAGTAAATGGCATGTCTGCATTTTCTTCACTGGCCCAATGTTTCCACATTAGACTGAAAAAACTGAAGGGCATCGATTTTTTTTCAGAATATATGGGCAAATATAAGTTGTTTCAAGTCATCTTATTCCAATGTTATCTTTGAAAAGCTCAGCCTATATTTTTGTTGTAAATTTTTTTTTCAAAGAAAAATGAACTAAGTATAATTAAAAGTGTATTCCATTTATGTCCAATTATCCCTCATCCCCTGACTATTCCACCTGCTTGAAAATATTTTCCCAAGTGGCATGAGAACAATAGTGCCATACTTAATTACTACCACATCCTTACCTTTCTTTTCCCAGGGCAGCTGAGTGATTAACTTTTGCATCAGAAAGGCTTGAATTCAGGTCATTGTTCTCTCCTATTATAAGTTATGTGACCGTGGGGAAATTATTTAATTCCTCTGAGTCTTATATATAAAATCATCATCATCATGATTACTTAATTCGTAAGATTACCATGACAATCAAGTGAGATAACCTACAGCATGTACACAAGAAAGTTAATGTCCCTCCACATTCTTTAAAGTAATTAATTATATCACCAAAAGGTGAATGTTAAAATGCTGGATTTCTAAGGCTTAGTCAGAAGACTTCTAGAAATTAATCTTCAAGTTTTAGTTGGATATTAATATGAATATTAATAAGATGATCTGGTGATTTGTTATACTCCTGATGACTGTTCATTCTTTTTATAGGATTGAAAGCCACAACCACTGATGTCAGGAAGAATGACTCCATCATTTCAAACGTAACAGTAACAAGTGTTACACTTCCAAATGCTGTTTCAACATTACAAAGTTCCAAACCCAAGAGTAAGTATGAGGATTTGTGCTGAAGTGTTAAACTAGTGTGTTGCATAAAACTAGTTTCAGAATGTTTTCCAGCATACAACTGCCAAGGAATTATGCTCTGCTTAAATTGTCTCTTAATCTCTACCCAATAGAACAATCATTTGGCAGCCTCATCTTTTACAGTGATACCCTATCCCACTGCAGCCACAAAGGAATGGGTCACAAGGAAGATTAATGCAAGACTGGGCAGTAATCTATGATATTACCTGGCACTAAAAGGAGAGCTCAGCCAAAAAATTAGACAACTTAGATGAAATGAAAAAATTGTTAGAAAGAAATAAATTGCTAAAACTGACTCAAGAAGATATGGAAATCTGAAAAAACCTATAATGATTAAAGAAATTGAAATAGGAACTAAAAATATTCCTATGAAGAAAACCCCAAGCCATGATGGCTTCAATTGTCAATTCTATAAAGCATTTCAGAAATAAATCATACCAACTCTTCCCAAACTCTTTTAGAAAGTAAAGGAGGGGAAAACACTGCACAAATAATTATCAGAGGCTAATGTTACCCTGACACCAAAGCAAGAAAAGAATGAAAAGAAAAAGCAAGTAAAGAAAACTATAGACCAATATGGCTCTTAGACATAGATGCAAATATCCTCGATAAAATATTGCAAAAAAATCAGTAACAAGTAAAAAGGAATATAAAATATGAACAAGTCAGATTTATCCCAGAAATGCAAGATTAGTTTAACATATGAAAACCAAAGAAAGTAATACAACATATTAGTAAAATCAGTACATGTAGAAGGAGCATTCGACAAAATCTAACATTCACTCATATTAAAAACTCTCAATAAACTAGAAATGTAATGAAATTTCCTCAACTTGATAAAGGGCATATACAAAAAGCCTACAGCTAACATCATACCTAATAATGAAAGACTTAATGTTTTCCCCTTAAGATCTGGAACATACCAAAGATGTCTGTTCTTATCAGTTTTATTCAACATTATAGCCAGAGGTTTTAGATAGTACAATTCAACAATGGATAATACATAGATACATTTAGATTGAAAAGGAAGAAATAAAGCATTTTTTATTAGAAGACTACATAATTATCTACGTAGAAAATTCCAAGGATTCACTATAAAACTAAAACCACTAAAGAGCGGTTTGTAGCACAGGATATAAAATATATTAAAATAAATTATATTTTTATATGTTAACAGTGGTGATCCAAAATAAAATTAAGAAAATAATTCCATCTTCAATAGCATCAAAAAGTATAAAATATGTAGAAATAAATTTAACAATAGAAGTGCAAGATTTATACACTAAACTATAAACTATTTTGGTGAGAAATTAAATATCTAAAGATACATTACATGTTTATAGATTAGAAACCTCAATATTTTAAATGATAATTCTCTCCAAGTTGATCAATAATTGATTAATATATTTAATGCAATCCCTACCAGAATCCCAGTTCTTTTAAAGAAATTGATAAGATGACCCTAGATTTGTACGGAAATAAAAAGGACCTGGAATAGTCAAAACACTTTTGAAAAAGAACAAAGTTAGAGGACACAACCCAATTTCAAAACTTATTCTAAAGCTATTGTAATGAAGTATGAACCTCAAAAACATTATACTCAATGAAAGAAGCCATACACAAAACATGACATGTGGTATGATTCCACTTACAGTAAATATGCAGAAAAGACAGTTTATAGGGACAGAAAGCAGGTAAGTGGTTGCCTGCAGCTGGAGATGGGAGTGGGGATTGACTCTAAATAAGCTCACAGGAGTTTTTCATTTGATGGAGCTGTTCTAAAACTAGATTATGTTATGATGATGGTTGCACAACTCTACAAATTTACTAAAAATTATTACTTGTATTCTTAAAATGAGTGCATTTAATGGTGTGTAAATCATATTTTTTATAAAGCTTTGTTGAAAAACAGAAGGAAAGAAAATGATGAGCTTAGCCAATCAAATTTTCTTTCTGAGTAGTTTGAACTAGAAAACCCAACAAACAAACAGCAGAGTTAGCTACGGGAATTGAAGGTGCGAAGTTTAGTAGTGGGAGTCTGCGGTAGTCATGGCAATTCATGTGCATACCTATGGCATCCAGAAGCAGTTATTATGAGTAAACAAATTGACAGAAAAGAATGGAGAGTATATTGGGAGATAGGAATACCCTGTGAGCAAAATTAAAATGTTTGTGCGAGGCAGAGAGACAAGTAGAAGCTAGAACTCCCATAATTTCTGACAGCTTTCCAGTTCCAGTTTTCTCACAACAGGTACTTCTCACATTCTGGACTCCATGATATAAGTAATTTCTATGTATAGTAAACACACTTGACTGGAAGAGTTAGGAATATAAGTAATGGAAGCATTTTTGGTGTATCCATAGTCCTTACTAAGAAATGGCTACAGATGACTCATAATGTCTAAGTCTTTTCTTGGGAAATCTCTAAGGTAGAAAGAGATGACAAGTAGAAATTGTGGCTATCCAAGACCTACTCTTGTCTAGAAACTTCAGAAACATAAATTGTCTCTTTTTTATTGTAATCATCTCAAGCACAACATACAGAAGTTTGCCTAGAAGGAGTCTAATTTCACACCATAATTGTAAACTACTACTTCTTTTTAATGGGACAGTCACCCCGTAGAGGAATTTGAAGAGCAGAATCATCTCTTCTTCATATGGATAACATTTTCGTGTAGTAGTGGTTTGGTTTCTGATAAGTAGAACCTATTTTGTAAGTAATATATATCTAAAAGGCACCTTCAGGAAACCAAAATTCATCTACGTATAATATGATGGCCCCTATAATATAAAAATAAAACTACTATATATATATCTGCAAAGTGTATAGCAGCTTCTGGAAAATTAGACTCAAATAATTTGTATCCTGCACTAAATACTCACCCATTCAGTGACTTGTGAGGAAGAAAATGTCATTCACGGACTGTGATTTATTAAACCTATTACATACATTTCAGAAGTATGTGGTCAGCCCATGAGTCAGTTAAGACTTTTAATTCCACTTCAATTCATGAAGTAGAATGCTCTCTGCGTCTCAGTTCTGGGGACTGTTGTATTGATTTAGCTTCTAAACTCAGTTTAAAATGGCTTTCTTCCAAGTAGTTTAAAAAATACATCAAAGCCATTTTCTTAAGAAATGAAACACTCTGGAAAGCAGGATAATGAAATAAGCGTATTTACTGTTGTCCATTGCTTTTGTTATTTGACAAACAAGTTTTATACAAAATTTTTTAGAATTTATTATTACATTTATTTCTGGGTCAGCCATTATTCCCTAGATCCCTCTCTTTTCTCAAGGTGCTTATTGCCCAACATGGACCCTACTTGATATAATGTGTTTGCACACATTTCCATTTGCCAAGTGATGAAACCGGGACCTCTCCCAGATTCCTGGTTAGCAGAGCACCACTCCCTTTCCGCCCATCACACATAAACACTGTTAGGATTAGTGGATACAGGACAGAGAGATAGAGACAAAACAAAACAATCTACTGTTGGTTAAATGTTGAACAGCTGAAGATTCAGCTCCCTCTTAAACATCTGGGCAATGGTTCCTTGGATAGGAAATATCAGACAAGTACATTGTGGGTATTTCATCTAAAGATGAAAACAAATACAGGTTTAATTTAGAGTAGAAGAGTTAGTGAGATTTGTTGCTTTATTCCCTAGAAAGTTGGAATTCAGATCAAAAAAGAAGATCATACTCAAAACATTTCTCTCTAATCTTTTCCCATTCTTTTAGAGGGGTGTGTATTTTTCCTATTTAAAAGGAAACAATTTCTAGAATCCTAGAATTTTTAAGATAGAACTTCTCATTAATCTAGTGCTCTGACTTTATTATTTAAAAAATGTGGGCTTTTTGAATTAAAAATTATCTTATTTACTAAAAATCTTTCAGAGGATTATCTATGTACCTGGAACTATTCTGGATTGTGATAAATCGTTGTATATTAGACAGACCATGCTATCATGAAATTTACCTTCTAGTGGATGAAAAAGATAAATAAGTTAAATATTAATAATTCAATATCAGTGATACTCTAAATAATAATAAAACAGTAAAAAAAAGCAAGTGGTGATGGTAGTGCCAATTTTCATAAGGTGTTCAAAGAATCCCTCTCTGAACAAGTGCCATTTGGAAAGAGAACTAAATAAAGTCAAGAAGTGAACATATGGATATCTGGGAGAGAATTCAAAGAGGAAATACAAAGTGCACAGGTGCTGATATGTGGGTGGATTTAAGTTGTTTGAATAAAGAGGAGTCATCTGTGGTTGATTGGAAGGAATGAAGGGAAGAAAAGATAGCACATGCCATTAGAGCAGGAAGAAGGGGTCAGTCCAGACAGGGCTACATAGGCCATGGTAAGGACAGTGAATTTTATTCTAATTGGATACACAATGTGATGGAGAGTTGAGAGCAGAGCAATGATATGATATTATTTACATTTTCAAAAGACCTAAATTGTAAACCTACTAGAAGAAAACCTAGGAGAAATGCTTCTTGACATTAGTCTGTGCAATGATTTTTCAGATATAACATCAAAAGCAAAGGCAACAAAAGCATAATTAGACAAATGAGATTGTATCAAATGAAAAGGCTTCAGTGCAGAAAAGGAAACAATCAACGGGGTGAAGAGATAACCTATTGATAATGGTTTGGCTGTGTCCCCACTCAAATCTCACTTGAATTGTAGCTCCCATAATTTCCACGTGTCATGGGAGGGACCTGGAGGGAGGTAACTGAATCATGAGGGCAGGTCTTTTCCATACCGTTCTTGTGACAGTGAATAAGTTTCATGAGACCTGATGGTTTTATAAAAGGCAGTTACCTTGCACAAGCTCTCTTGCCTGCCATCATGTAAGACGTGACTTTGCTCCTCATTAGCCTTCAGCCATGATTGTGACGCCTCCCCTGCCATGTGGAATTGTGATTCAAGTAAACCTCTTATTTCATAAATTACCCAGTCTCAGGTATGTCTTTATTACAAGTGTGAGAACAGACTAATACACCTATAAAATGGAAGAAAATATTTGCAAACCATACAAATGTTAAGAGGTTAACATACAAAATATATAAGGAACTCAAACAATGTAATAGCAAAGAAACAAATAACCCAATTTTAAAATGGGCCAAGGACCTGAATGGACATTTCACAAAAAAAGACATACAAATGGCCAACAGACATATGAAAATATTCCCAACATTACTAATCATCAAGGAAATGCAAATTAAAACCACTATGAGTTATCACCTCATACCTGTTAGAATGGCCATTATCAAAAAGATGAGAGATAAAAAGTGCTGTCAAAGATATAGAGAAAAGAGAAATCTTGTATACTGTTGATGGAAATATAAAATAGTGTAGCCATTGTGGAAAACTGTATGGATATTCCCCCAAAATTAAAATTATAGCTATCATATGATCCAGTAATCCCACTTCTGGGTACATATCCAAGGAAATAAAATTAGTGTGTCAAAGGGATATTTAATTCTCATGTTCATCACAGCAATATTCACAATAGACAAGATATGGAATCAACCTAAGTGTCCATTAACAGATGAAGAGGTAAAGAAAATGTGGTATATATACACAATAGTATACTATTTTGCCTGGAAAGAAAAAGGAAAACCTGTCATTTGCGAAAGCGCGGATAAACTTAGAGGTCATTATGCTAACTGAAATACGTCTGGCACAGGAAGACAAATATTGCAAGTTTTCCCTTACATGTGGAATCTAAACATGTTGAACTCATAGAGATAGAGAGTAGAATGGTAGTTACTAGAAGCTGGAGGTGGGGAGTTGGGTAGGGTGGGAATGAGAAGATGTTGGTCAAATTATACAAAATTTCAGTTAGACAGGAGGAATACCTTCTGGAGACCTATTTTACAACCTAGTGTCTATAATTAATAATAATGTATTTTCTACTTGAAAATCACTAAGAGAGTAGATTTTAAATGTTCTGACCACAAAAAAACTAATAAGTATGTGAGATCATATGTTAATCAGCTTGATTTAATCATTCCACAATACATGTATATCTCAAAACATCACATTGTACACCATATGTATATATATATGGTGTACACACACACAAAATATTGTCATATACTGAAAATACTGAAAACAACCTCTCTGTCTCTCTCTCTAGAGATGAGAGAGAGAGAGAGAGAGAGAGAGAGAGAGAGAGAGAGAGAGAGAGAGAGAGAGAGAGAGCATCTGAGGGCAATGGCTCCAGCTAGGAGGAGTTGTCCAACTTAATAAACTAAATAAAAGAAGTCCTACAAATTCATGTAATTCTCAAGAAAGAGAAAGCCAAAGAAGACTTGCCATCCACTGGAAAGTCATTTTAATACTGATTTTTTTTTCATGTGGATTTGCCTGCTTCTCTAACTCAACAGTGAAATCTTTCAGGGCAAAGAACCTCTCTCCATGCTGAACAGAGCCTCTAGCACCCAGGGGAAGGCTAAATGTTTATGAGGTTTTACCATCAAGACAGAACATGATAAAGGAAGTTTCAAACCACAAAAGGTGGAGCCTTCTGAGGAGGCAGAGTTTTTTGTCTAGTACTGAATAAGTTTTGAGGAGTAAGCACCAGCTGCAAAGAAGGGAGGAGTCATTTTGGGAAAAGGAAAACTGTTTGAGTGAAGGTCAATTGAAAAGAAGATAGAGTATGTTTGTTGTTGGAATACAGGCTGTTTTAAGGCCTTTGTTAGTTTTAGGCCTTCTGACTTTAGGTCCCCCTTCTCAAACATTGAATTGCCCCCACATCCTATGTTAACTGAATTTATAGATTATAAGTTATAAAATTATAAAAGTTATAAAAACTTATAAAAATTTATCAAAAGTTATAAAAGTGATACAAGTTGAATATCCCTTATCAAAGTGCTTGGGATCAGAAGTGTTTCAGACCTTAATGGATTTTAAGGTTGTATGCATTTTGTAGACACATTAGGGAATCATTTATCAATTTAGATTTTGCTGATTTTTTTGTATAATGGAGGCAATAATTCTGTGTTTGAGATCTCAAAGATTTCACTAGGCCCTTGGAAATATTTTAGGCCCCAGATACTGTTATCAAAGAGCCTAGCAGTTAAAACAGCCCTAAAAATAAAATAAAATAATGACATAAAATAAACCTCCCAACAAAGAAAAGCTCAGGTCCAGATGGCCTCATTAAAGCATTCCACCAAAAATTAAAGAAGAATTAACACCAATCCTCCTCAAACTCTTATAAAAAAATAAAGAGAAGGAAACACTTTTTTTTTTTTGACAGGGTCTTGCCCTGTTGCCCAGGCTGGAGTGCAGTGGCACAATCTCGGCTCACTGCAAACTCCACCTCCCAGGTCCAAGCAGTTCTCTGCATCAGCCTCCCGAGTAGCTGGGATTACAGGCACCCACTACCATGCCCGGGTAATTTTCGTATTTTTAGTAGAGACGGGATTTCACCATCTTGGCCAGGCTGGTCTTGCACTCCTGATCTCATGATCCACCCACCTGAGCCTCCCAACGTCCTGGGATTACAGGTGTGAGCCACCACACCCAGCCAGGAACACTTTCAAATGCATTCTATGAGACTAAAATTAGGCAGATACCAAAATCATTCACAAAAACTACAAGAAAAGAACACTGCAGACTGATATTCTTAATGAATATTGATGCAAATACGTTCAACAAAATATTAGCAAGCCAAATTCAATAACACATTAAGAGGATTAGACATCTTGTTTCAAGTGGCATTTATTTGTGGAATGCGAGATGGTTCAACATAGGAAAATCAATCAATATAATATACCACATTAACAGAATGAAGGTCAATAGCCACATGATTATCTCAATTGTTGCAGAAAAACATTTGACAAAATTTAACATCTTTTCAGGATAAAAATGCTCAATAAACTATAAATTTTTAAAAATTGCCCCAAATAATAAAGTTCATATATGAAAAGTCCACAAGTAACTTTATAGTCAACAGTACAAAGTTGAAAGCTTTTCCTACAAAGCAAATGATGTCCACTCTCATCACTTCTATTGAATATAATACTGAAAGTTCTATTCAGAGCAATCAGGAAAGAAAAAGAAATTAAAAGCAGTCATATAGAGAAGGAAGTAGTAAAATGATCTCTGTTCTCAGATGACATGATCTTATTAATAGAAACTAATGATCGCACACACACACACACACACACACACAACCAAACTATATGTTGCTTAAAAAAGACATACAACAGTTAAATTTAAAAGAGTGAAAAAGGATATACCCTGAAATAAATACATCTATATCAGAAAAAGTAGAATTTAAGGCAAAAAAAACTAAATCGAAATAAATAGGAACATTTCATAATACTAAAATATTTAATTTTCCAGGAAAATAAAACAAGTTAAAAATTTTACGTTATCATATAGCATGAAAATATATAAAGCAAACATTTAGTGAAAAACACAAATCCACAATTCTCATGAAAATTTTAATATACCTTTCTCATTAGTTGACAAAATATAGGTATTGATGTAGCATAAATCAATATGATTAACAAACAATTTAATGGAAATATGTGGAACACTGCACCTCAACTACAGAAAGTGAACTATCTCAACTACAGAAAGTGAACTATTTTCAGGTAGATAAGAATTCGTTACTATCATAGATCATAGCCTGTGTCATAAAGCAAGTCTCAACAGGTTTTAAATGATTTAAGTGATACAGAGTGTGTCTCTTGATCAAAGAGGAATTAATCTAAACAAAAAAAAAACTAAAAGATAGCTCTATGCTGATACATTTTAAACTACAGTAACTTATGTGTCAAAGAAGTAATCATAATGACAATCAGCAAATAGTTTGAACTGAATGATAGCAAAAATATGCAGTACCAAAACTGGCAATATAATTAAAGCCAATCTTAACGGTAAAATTTATAGCTCTAAAATGCATATATCAGGCAGGAAAAAGAATGGTTCAAACTTAATTACTAGAACAACCATCTCAATAAGGCAGAAAAAATAAATAATAAACCCCCAAAAAGTTGAAGGAAGAAAACAATAAAAATATGAGTAGGAATTAATGAATTGGAAAGCAAATGTACCATAAAGTGGATCAACAAAAACTAATATTTTGGGTTTTTCAACATGAATGCATAACAATAGAAACTAGATAAGTTGGAGAGAAAAAAGACCAGAAAAATAGAATAAAATATCAGTGAGGTGTGGGACACCCCAGGGGCCTAAGATACATACAATTTCAGAAGAAGATGTGAGAAGGATGGACCGAAAACATATTTGAAGAAGGGCCAGGTGTGGTGTCTCCCCAACCCCAAAGTAGTTCCAACACTTGAGAGTCCAAAGTGGGCAAATCGCTTGAGCCCAGGAGTTTGAGACCAGCCTGGACAACGTGGTGAAACCCTGTCTCTACAAAAAATACAAAAATTAGACAGGCATAGTGGCAGGCACCTGTATTCCCAGCTACTTGGGAGGGTGAGGCAGGAGGATTGATTGAGCCAGGGAGATCGAGAATTCAGTGAGCCATGATTATGCCACTGCACTCCAGCCTGGGTGGCAGAGTGAAACTCTGTCTCAAGAAAAAAAACAAAAGAAAAAACGAACAAAAGGGAAGATAATCCAAGTGTATAAAATTATAAACCCATAGATTCAGGTAACTTAAAGAGCCCCAAGTTGAAGAAAACTACACCAAAGCACATCATAATCAAATCATGGAAAACCGGAGATAAAGAGAAAATCTTGAAAGAAGCTATTGAAAAAAATTATACATTAAATAGAGAAGAACAATGATAAAAATTACAGCAGAGACTCATCAGGAACAATGCATGCCAGAAAACAATGAAACAACTTTTTAGTACTGGAAGAAAAAAAAAAAAAAACTTTTCACCCTAGAATTCTGTAAATATTTTTTCAGACATATAAAAGCTGCGAAATTCATATCAGTAAAGACATTCAGGAACAGAAAAATATGGTACCAGATGGAAATTTCAATCTAAATAAAGGCATGAAGAACATTAGAAATGGTAAATATGTGAGCAACTATGAAAGACTTTTATCTCATTTTTAGTCTCTTCAAAAGACAATTTATTGTTTAAAGATAAAATAACAAAAATGTATGGAAGGTTTACGACATATGTAGAAACAAAATGTATAACAATGGCACAAATGCCAAAATGAGAGAAAGGTTATAACTATACTGTTGTAAAATCAATACTGGAGATAAATAAAATCTTAAAAAAAGACTCAATCCAAAAGAAGGCAATAAACAAGAAAAAAAGAAACAGAGAACAGATGGAAAATTTTTACAATCAGATTGTGTACTTAAAATCAATTATAATAATTTATCACATAAAATAAAACGGCTTAAACATTTTATTTATAAAGATAAGATTGTTAAACTGGATAAAAAGCATAACCTCTTCCCAAATATGTGCAGTATTCAGAAAACCTACTTTAAGTATAAATTTATTAAAAACAAAAGACAGGAAAAGGTATACTTTGGTAAAACTAATTAAAAGAAAGTTGAAGGGACTACAATAATATCAGACAGAGAAGGTTTCAAAGGAAGGAGTTTTATCGGGGATAAAGAGAGTTATTTGAACCTTGACTTTCTTAAAGAAAGTACAAGACACCAAATGTTTAATTAGTATTTATAGAAAGATCTATACTTTGACATCATTGGTGACAGTTATCTGGTATTCTCACCCAAAACACATTCCGCAGAAAAAGAAATTGTATGCTTAGCAAAAGAGGATAGTGACTTTTGTGTTTAGATTACTTAGAGTAGAAATCTCACAGTGTCTTGATGATCTATATTAGTTTTATATTCTTGCTAAAAAAATAAGATCACAGGTTCCAGGTCTGCCTATCTTTTGGGAGTAGGGGGTCAGGGAGTCACCATTTAACTCATCACAGACCAGGTCCTTGCATTAGCCCTCACTATACCTAGGTTTCATAATCCATACGTTTATCATTGACTATATGCAGAGCTACGTTGGTTGTCACTGAGGGGTGCTTCAAAAGAAGTGTTAGTTGTCAATAACAAAGGTCCCCCACCCTTCAATAGCTAAACTGTGGAGGGATTGAGTGTAAAACTTCCTTGCAAAACTTCAAATCTTTTTCTCTTCCTGAGCTATTTTTTTTTTTTTTTGCTAATGGCTTGAAAACACGACATACTCATTAACTCTTTTTTATTTTTTTAATTTTTTTATTATTATTATACTTTAAGTTTTAGGGTACATGTGCACAACTTGCAGGTTTCTTACATATCTATACATGTGCCATGCTGGTGTGCTGCACCCATTAACTCGTCATTTAGCATTAGGTATATCTCCCAATGCTATCCCTCTCCCCTCCCCCCACCCCACAACAGTCCCTGGTGTGTGATGTTCCCCTTCCTGTGTCCATGTGTTCTCACTGTTCAATTCCCACCTATGAGTGAGAACACGCGGTGTTTGGTGTTTTTGACCTTGCGATAGTTTGCTGAGAATGATGGTTTCCAGCTTCAACCATGTCCCTACAAAGGACATGAACTCATCATTTTTTATGGCTGCATAGTATTCCATGGTGTATATGTGCCACATTTTCTTAATCCAGTCTATCATTGTTGGACATTTAGGTTGGTTCCAAGTCTTTGCTATTGTGAATAGTGCCACAATAAACATACGTGTGCATGTGTCTTTATAGCAGCATGATTTATAATCCTTTGGGTATATACCCAGTAATGGGATGGCTGGGTCAAATGGTATTTCTAGTTCTAGATCCCTGAGGAATCGCCACACTGACTTCCACAGTGGTTGAACTAGTTTACAGTCCCACCAACAGTGTAAAAGTGTTCCTATTTCTCCACATCCTCTCCAGCACCTGTTGTTTCCTGGCTTTTTAATGGTTGCCATTCTAACAGGTGTGAGATGGTATCTCATTGTGGTTTTCATTTGCATTTCTCTGATGGCCAGTGATGATGAGCAATTTTTCATGTGTCTTTTGGCTGCATAAATGTCTTCTTTTGAGAAGTGTCTGTTCATATCCTTTGCCCACTTTTTGATGGGGTTGTTTGTTTTTTTCTTGTAAATTTGTTTGAGTTCATTGTAGATTCTGGATATTAGCCCTTTGTCAGATGAGTAGGTTGCAAAAATTTTCTCCCATTCTGTAGGTTGCCTGTTCACTCTGATGGTGGTTTCTTTTGCTGTGCAGAAGCTCTTTAGTTTAATTAGATCCCATTTGTCAATTTTGGCTTTTGTTGCCACTGCTTTTGGTGTTTTAGAGAGGAAGTCCTTGCCTAGTCCTGAATGGTATTGCCTAGGTTTTCTTCTAGGGTTTTTATGGTTTTAGGTCTAACATGTAAGTCTTTAACCCATCTTGAATTAATTTCTGTATAAGATGTAAGGAAGGGATCCAGTTTCAGCTTTCTACATATGGCTAGCCAGTTTTCCCAGCACCATTTATTAAATAGGGAATCCTTTCCCTATTGCTTGTTTTTGTCAGGTTTGTCAAAGATCAGATAGTTGTAGATATGAGGCATTATTTCTGAGGGCTCTGTTCTGTTCCATTGGTCTATATCTCTGTTTTGGTACCAGTACCATGCTGTTTTGGTTACTGTAGCCTTGTAGTATAGTTTGAAGTCAGGTAGTGTGATGCTACCTGTGTATCCTCTTGGTTTATGAGGATAGAAGAGAAAGGAAAGAAGAAGAGATGGAGGGAAGAAAACAATACATACGCATTTCTTGCTGGTAACTTAGTCATTCTGGTATCTATAACCAGATTTTAAAGGAGATATCTTGCACACTGTAAAGGATTGGCAGGGAAGGAGGGACTATTGCTCTTTTTCCCTTTACTGAATTGTAACTTGGCTGAGACAAGAATGCAGAATAAGATTATAGATAGATGATAAATTGGGATGTGCGGAACTCCAATATAGAACTCTACTAAAGCAAGTACTTGGATAGGAACACCTTTAAGGGTTTTGCCAAGTGAGAGTTTCTTCTACCACAGTGAATACAATATTAGAGATTTGAAGCCTGAAAAGATAATCTGGCTTTTCTTAATAACATTTATAATCAACCAGTATGCTATTTAGTAGGAATTGATAACATTTATATATAATAAATAAATTATCAAATGTATTTCCTTTTGCATAATTTATCTTAGTTTAATATGGAGTTTATTTTTATACAAAAAGCAAAGATAATTTTATAATAACCAAGTACGCATTTTAGATAAGCTACTAGCTGGACATGAGAGTGACCAACACCCAGGTCTTTTTTCTTCAAGGCATCATACCCTTCATAAAATAAAAATTTGGCACTTCAATCATGCCAAGAGTAAGTTAGCTTATTGGTTATGAATAGTGATTATGATGTCTGATTGCTTACGTTCAAAAAACAGCACAACTAGTTATTTGTGCTGTGTGGTTTTTAATTCACTACTTAACTTCTCAGTGCCTCAGTTTCTTCATCTGTAAAATAATTAAAATAGGATTATACTTTCACAGGATCTTTGTGAAGATTAAGGGAGATAAATCATATAAAGAAATAAACACACACACAAAAACACAATACATGTTAGCTATTTTTTTAGTCATAGTAATTCTCATAAAAGCCAGGCAAAGTAAGTATATATGATACCAATTTCACAAATAAGGAAACAAGTTCAGAAACACTAAATGACTTGGCCAAGATTAAATTTAAAAGATTAAAACCCTGTTTTTCTTGCCTCAAACCCTATACACCTTTCACTATACCACACTTGTTCTCATGAAAACTATTTTACACAAAGTATCTAAATCTAAGGAATTAGAAAACAACTAGCTTCTAATTAGGTGCATCATGCACTTGACAAGTAGGTGTTCAATAAATATATGACAAGATACTGACTGAATGAATAAATTTAAACCTGCAATTCTAACCAGGGTGGTCCTCTTGCCCACTATGCCTGATTTATACTTGAATGTGTATATTTTTCATTTGTCCCATTTGTATATTTTTTATTCCTTCTTTCCTCCTCCTACCTCTAAATGCTGATTCAAATTCTACACATTCATATTCATCAAGGACCTCTACTAGATTTTACCCTGATATTTCCCACAACTTCATGAGTGTTGCTAGAGATGTATATCATCTGTGCTATTATTTTTTTAGTGTTTTTCTTTAAATCGATGCACTTATTTTTAAATTTGTTTGAAAAATAAACTACCATAAATGAAAAACCAGTTTTGCTTGGCATAAATAAACAATAGCTATAAAAATCACTACTATGTAAATAAATAAATAAAATTCTAGCTAGAATTTGTTCTTTGCTAGAGGTTCTGAGCTTGAGACATGCTTGTTCTTTAAAAAAATAAACTAAGATAAGCACATGTTAGATATTAACAATATATGTGCATCCAATGAAAATTTTAGAATTTTCTCATTAAAATAACCAAGTAAACTGCAAGAAAGCTGAAAAGGAAACAATTTTCCCATTAAATGTTTCCATCTTATTTAATGCTGCTTTCCAGTACTACCTTATAGAATCTCTCACACAAGGCTATCCAACACTTTAGAAAACACTAATTTATCTAATTACCCACCCAGCTTCAATATTTATTTTGTGAATTGCACCATTTGTCTATGAAACTTATTTTGAGACTTAGTTATAACATTTCTCATATGCGATTTAATTAATTTATATCATTTCAAGTAGGCAGATACAAGAGTACTCCTCAGGATGATAAAGTCTTAGTCAGACGTCATGGTTTAGCCAGATGAGAAGTATTCTCATGTCTAATGACTCAGTCAATGCCATATGGAGAAAGGATGAAGAGGATTTGAATTGGTCATAATAAATTATTCAACAGCAAATCAGTAGATAATTATATATGGGAATAGATGTATATATTTTTCTCTTGTACCTGTTAATGATATTATCATGTTCTAGGTGTAAGTCTGTTAGTTCAAAATATCCTGCAATATCCTTTGTGAGATAAGAATATTTAGCAAAGTTATTTGTTGTATTGCTGTTCAAGATTTCTGATTTAAAAACTAAATGCTTGAGCAAAGTTTAACGTTGGATTAATGTGATTAGCATTTCAAAATTCATTTACATTTCATAAGACTTCAATTTCATATTCAAAAATTAAACTCAACAAACAGATTGTAAGTTGCCAACCACCTTGACTAAGTTTTGGGTCCTTACTAAACATCTAAGTTTGAGAATGGTTAACTAAGCACACTGCTAATTTGCTATTTGACTTTTCTGAGATTCTTTTAAGATCAAAGCTTGGCCTTTTCCCAAAAACACATGTTTCATGAAAGTCATAAATAATAAACAGGAATAATTGAAAATATCTTCACTCATTAATTCTCAGAACTTTAGCCATATTCCATAGCATTCATCTTTACTAAGCTTTTGTTTCCACAGAACTGAGTCCAAATTTGAAAGTTGTATTTATGTAAAAACACTTTATCATTTTTAAAATATTTTCTTGATTTCAGGGAAAAAAGGAATATATTCTATACTGGATTAAATATTTGAGACTTACAGAATTTTGTCCTCAAAATATCAATGTATTCATTTATATATATAAATGTCCAAACCTCTTACACTGCTCAACAGAAGGGTTTTGAAGTGATGTGTTTTATGAAGACTCAGCTATACCTTAATGTATAGTTATATTTCTTTTATTATGTTCCTCTAGAATTATTACACATTTTTGAAGGCTAAAATAATTCAAAGAAGGGATAATCAGAAGGTTTTGTCTTCTCAGTGAAGTCTACCAAGAAAGGTTATGACCTGATAATAAGAGGAACAAGGATTTTGATTTCCTTGTATTCTAACCCTCTTGCAGCTAATAGATATTTTAATTGTATCTTTCAAATGCAGCATAATGCCATGTTCAAAAGTGTTTTAATTAGTTATCAAAAGTAGGAATTAATTACATAGCTTTCTATTTGGAACAGTTTAGTGGAAGGAAAAGCTGTCCATTTTACTGAAAGAAGATGAAAACTAGAGCTAACAGACCTGGCCTATATACCTGGTTTTTTCCTTAAGAAATTAATTTTACTACTCTCAGCTAATGTTTACAGATCTGCAAAATGGAAATACAATATTTCCCTTATAGGTATCAACTAATAAGATATGAAACTGATCATAAAAGTTGCTTACAAATAGTAACTATAATTATCCAACTAGGAAATTTTAAATAAAGTATTCATTTTTCTTTAAAAGTTGAAATCAGGTAGGTAGAATTAGTTTTTTATATTATTATTTTCTACTGTCATTCATTCTATCCATATGTTTCTACTGGTAAGCACTGGAATCACTTCTCTGAACAAGATAAGAAATCTGCCCCCATGGAGTTATGTTCTGACAGAAAATAATAATTTTTTAAAGACAAAAGTACATACATGGTAGTAATAAAAGTACTGTTGAATGAATGAAGCAATGAGATGGAATGATGTGAAAAGGTCTGTGGAAACAATTTGGTGAAGGTGGTTGGGGAGACTTCTCTGAACAGCGACTTCTGAGCAGAGTCAGAAAGCAAGCAAGCAAGCCAGAAAGCAAGGAAGGGAGGGAGGGAGGGAGGGAGGAAGGAAGGAAGGAAGGAAGGAAGGAAGACTTCAAGGCAGAAAGGGCCTTGTGCCTTCAATCTGCCACAGCAAAGCCACGAGGTGGAGTACAACGAAACAGGGTCTGAATGGTTGGAGATGAGTTGAGGAGCAATAGGGAGCCATTGGAGCAGTGAAGTTTAAATTTAAAAAGATTTTCCTAAGCAGCTATTGCAGGTTCTCAGGGGAGAGATACAGGTGCTGGGTGGACAATAGCAGAAAAGGTGGTGAGACATGTTTGAATTTGGAATACATTTTGAAACTAGAGCTGATAAGGGTGAGAAACATAGGCAACTCAAGACAGGCTACTGACGTTTTGTTTTGTGCAACTGGAAAACAAATGGCACCACGTATTGAACCAAGAAAGCAACGGAAGAGACAGATTTCAGGATAACAGTCAAGAGTTCTGTTTGGGGCATGTTAAATTTAAGATGCTGATGTAGAGAGTCAAGTGAATATACAAAGGAAGCAAGTGGACTTTTAAAAATGTCATTATTGGGCTTCTATTTGTTTCAAGATTATTTTCTGTATTTTTCATGTGCCAAATCTTGAAAATGCTGCATGTACTCAAAGGTGTTGAAGTGATCTTTGATTATAATTCTTCCAAGTGACTTTCCTTGCAGAAAGCTCTCCTGGACTATATCATAAAATAATTTCTTACATTTTAAAAGTATCTGTCTGAACTTTGCTGCTTCTTCCACAGATCATGAGATGCACCAAGTCTTAGTAGGATTACAACACATGGCAGCCACTTTCATTAAGCACTTACTGAAGGATTTTTGTTTTCTATGTTATCTCAGGATATTCAAAGTGTGAGGGTATACCAGATCCTATAAAGCAAGACTCAGCAAACTATGGCCCACGGGCAAAATTGAATACCCTGACTTTTTGAAAATAAAGTTTTATTGGCACACAGTTATTCCCATTCTTTAGATACTGTGTATGGCTGCTTTCTCTGTGTAAGGCAGAGGTGAATAGTTATGACAGAGATTTATGGTCCACAAAACCTAAAAAATTTGGCCCTTAAGGGAAAAATCGGTTGAACCACTTTTTCTTAAAAACCTTCTCTGAAGTTTCTTGTAATCATGAAGAATCATGATTTTATGATTTGAAAATAGTGAATCAGAAATGAGCTAAAATTCATACTCATTTACCACCTGAAACAATTGTGAGAATAGATCTGATATTCAACATTTAATTGTACTGATTTTTTTTCTTTTTTTCCTTCTAAAGCTGAAACTCAGAGTTCAATTAAAACAACAGAAATACCAGGTAAGCTCTTTTTTCTCTGTCTCTCTCTTAGTATTTTCATGGGTAAAATCTCAAGAATAAAACAAATTACACCAATCAGTTTGGGGGCAGGGAGAAATAGCACAAGGGAAAACATTACATCACAAATAAAATGTTTAGAAAAACTTGAGTTTAAAAAAATGCAGACCAGGAGAACATATAAGGACATGTCTAAGTGTTCTGTGACTAAGGTGAGTGGAGCCAGCTCTAGCGAATGTATAAAAGCCTGTGAAATTGCCCTCTGTCCTCTGCCCTGAAACCCACTGTTCTTGATCTGTTTCTGTTGTCAGTGTGACCTCTCCCAGAAGTACAAAATGTCTTCTCTTACTTTCTAACAAAATCTGGTCATAGTATCCAAAAAGATGACCTTAGAAACCACAGTTAACAATTTAAAATGCTATCATTCCAATTAGTGCTCGTATTTGCCACCCTTAGTTTTAGACTGAATGTTTTTTGGATAATGGAGCAATAGGAATTGAAGATCGTTGGGCAGGGGAAGATGGCAATGTTGAGTCTTCCTGTTCAGAAATCATAGTTATCTGAGGGATTTTTATCTTTCTACATCCTACCTGGTACTTATACAAATGACAAATCTCATAAGCTTTCAGTGCTGGTCATCTTTGATATATGTAAACTAAATGAAAACTAAATGAAACAGGAACAGAAAACCAAATTCCGCATGTTCTCACTTACAAGTGGGATCTAGATGATGAGAATTCATGAGCACAAAGAAGGAAACAACAGAAACTGGGGTCTACCTGAGGGTGGAGGGTAGGAGGAGGGAGAGGAGCATTAAGAATAACTATTGGGTACTAGGCTTAATACCTGGGTGATAAAATAATTGGTACAACAACTCCCCATGACACGAGTTTACCTATATAGCAAACCTGCATGTGTATCCCTGAGACTAAAATTAAAGTTTAAAAATGAAAATAAATAAACTAAAAATATGAAATAAACCTATAGGTTCATAAAACTTTTTAAAAATTAGAAAAATAAAAAAATTATGAGTGACACTAAAAATTATGGGTGCTCTATTTTCACAGCAAATATTCTAAGTAATCACCTTAGTCTAACTTCTACCTCTTGTGTTCAAGGAATTTGAATCAAATTATTATGCTTTTAACTTTTAATAATTATCTTCTTCTATATCATATATCTCATTATTAAAGAAGTTATTTTTATATTATTAATTCCCTTTACTCCACTAATCACCATTTTTTTAATTCATTAATCACCATATTTTTTATTATTTCCATCTTCATAGGCTAAAAATTGGCAGGCACTAGAGGAAAAACAGCAAAACAAGACAAAAACAGTGCATCCAGTCAGAGAAGACTGATGCAGTTCTGGGAAGAGATTTTTTTCCCTCTGCTTCACAGATTGACTATCAAGGAGAAGTCAGAGTTGAAGAATTGGGAAGCAGCCAAATTGTCAGTTCTCTTTAAGGAGGGACTGAAGGATCCTTCATTTTGTTTAAATAAATTTTATTTACAAAATGCCAGCTATAAGTTTAATTGATTTTTGTGGAACAAAAGCTCATTTAGGCTATTTTTATTTTTCGAGTTATGTAAACTAATTTTCCTAAGCCAAATAAGTAACAAACAATTTATTTGCGTAGTGGATTAAAAAGAAATGAGACTGGTCCTATAAGCCACTAGAAAATTGAGTCTCATTTTTTTACATTCAAACTTCAAATATGAATTGCAGCTAAAGACTAAATCAGGAAACACCATCCCCCAAAAGATGAATTAACAAATTTATTAACAGGGTATTCTTTATACTTCTGGTTTTTTTCAGATTAAAGACTTCTTTAGTTTTATGTATTTGGCATCAAAGATGTTAAAATACCAAATTTGTGAAATATTCATCCATGCGATTAAAGGCAGGCATATTATTAAAAATAATTCATATTTCTGTTTTAGGTAGAAGTTGACATAAAATTACAGCCCATAGAATTACTAGTCCTGTTTCCTTTCTATAAATATAAGCAAATATGGATTCAGTCTTTGAATATATCACACACAGTTCTCACATTTGATATTTTCTTTAACATTATGCAGCTAGTTTTAATTTCCTTGAAAAGTTACATTTTTGCAACGACTTCAAAAACTATTATTAAGCGTCTAGAAATTGATGATGATTTTATGTAGAACCTTTTTGGGAGATTAAAAATAAGTAAGGATTCTATATAAAATGTAAATTATGACAAATTGTACATAGATATAGTATTTTAACATTATAAAACAAAAATAGATCCATGTTGGTGACATCAGCAAGATGGCCAACTAAAAGCTTCTAGTGCTCTTCCCACTTCCCACAAAAAACTAAAAATAATGAATAAGCAACTACATCTTGATCAAAATAACTAAAGGAAAGCTCTGGAGAACAGCAGCAGAAATCCTGTAGACCACTGAAACACAGGATGGCCACATAGGAAACAGGAGGAAACACCTTGCCTCTGCCATCCCATTTCCCTAGTTGGGATCAACTCAAAACCAGAAGAGACCCCTTTCTGCAGGAAAAAGGTAAGCAAGAGGACCCCAACAACCTCCGTCATCTCCACAGATACATGCAGTCTTTGCACTAGAGACTTCTGCAGTCCTTATAGGGTTTGAGCCCAGCTGAGGGTGCTCCCCAGAGTCTACATACTGAGCTATCCCTAGAGAAGGAGCTGATGCTGTGGCCCTCCCTCCTCTTCTCAGCCCCTACCTCTTGTCTCATGGCTCCTGCTGCTACTGCCCTGTACAATCTTGGGAACAAGTGCATCCTGCTCCAAGCGTGAGTATGCATTGCACCCCTCCATCCCTGATGTTTTGTTACCACTGCAACAAGCCATATAATAGCATACCATCCACCAGCCAAGCTGCTACTACTTCCTACCCTCTAGGGCCAAGTTCCGTGGAGCTACTCCACTCCCCACATTCCAGTTACTGTGCACTCTCCTCTCAGGACTGAACTGAAATGGCGCTCCAACCCTCAGGGACCTCAGGTCTTCTGCACACCAGAGCAGTCATGCCCCTCAATGCCATAGATGAGGCAGCATACCCCACCACCACCATCCAGGATCACAGACTTACACTAGAGCAGTAAACTCCCAGCCCTGGCACCACAGATAAGACAGCATGCTACCCACAGGGGCTCAGAGCCTTTGGCACACAAGAATAATTGCACACTCCAGTGCCATAGCTAATGTAGTACCGTACCCCACAGGCATCCAGAGGCTCCACTGACCCATATGGACATGATTTCTGGGGCCAGACAGATGTGGCACAACACATCCCAAAGAAATAAGGCCTGGCTTGAGCTGTGCCACCCTGCCCTCCAGGCTGAACAGCCACATGCCTGCCCACCCAAAATTGCACTACACCCCTGCAGTCTGACATGCTGCCTCTTGGGGGACTGGTGCTGTGCTGCACCCCTCCCACCAAGGTCCAAGCTACAGCAGTGTCTTGCCATTTCTGCATCATTGCTGCTGCTGTACCTGGCCTCATAGAGCCTGGGGTAGTGATATGTCCCACCATCCCAGGGTCCAGAGTCACCACTACATAGTACCTCATCGCTAAGTGTCTACATTTTTGCTGACCTCTGTTGACTCCTGGTCCCAAATTACAGCTATTCTCTGCTCCCTGGACCCAAGCTTCTAGAGAACTCCTTTTTCTACCAAGCTGTGCCAGTGGTGTCCCATGTCCACCAGGGTCACAACCTCAGCTATATTTCAGCACTCTGGGCCTAAGATGGTGAGGTGCACCTCAGAGGAACAGACCCTGCCTTACTGGGGAAACTGCATTCATTTGTATCTTGGAAAGTGAACCTGTGCCTCAAGTCCAAGGTGCTACAGTAGTCTCACAAGACCCTGAGCCCATGACCTATATCCACAGCTACTCTGATCACCTATGCCCTGGCTCCCAGTGCTGCTATGGTTGCCTGTGGGCCATATCAGACCAAACACAAAAATAGTTTTCTTCAGCTAAGACTCCCCACTGTGGGAAAGACAAGAACAGGAGAATTGTTAAGCCTTTGCCCTAGCAACCTACAAACTAGGCCACTGAGGCACCTACATTCATTGCTGACATTGATCACAACTAAAGAAGCTGCACATTGATTACCCCACTGTGCCTACATGTAACCAGAGGCGCCCTGCCCAACTGGCAGCCTCAGACCCATATGCAACTGAAAGTCTTCCCCTACTAGAGTTTGAAAAAGGAAACTACATCACTAAATGTGCAGACATCAATGCAGGGACACAAGGAACATGAAAGCAAGGAAGCATGGTACCACACGGAAATCATAGTTCTCCAATAACTAGCGACAAAGAAGCAGAAATTACAAACTCTCTGAAAAGTGATTTAAAGTAATGAGCTGGGCTGGGTGTGGTGGCTAATGCCTGTGATCCCAACACTTTGGGAAGCTGAGATGGGCAGATCACTTGAAGTCAGGAGTTCAAAACCAGCCTGGCCAACATGGCAAAACCCTGTCTCTACTAAAAATACAAAAATTAGCCATGTGTGGTGGCACACACCTGTAATGCCAGCTACTTGGGAGGCTGAGGCAGGAGAATCTCTTGAATCTGGGAGGTGGAGATTTCAGTGAGCCAAGATTGCACCACTGCACTCTAGCCTGGGTGACAGAGTGAGACTTTGTCTCAGAAAAATAATAAAAATGAAATAAAATTAAATAATGAACTGAAGGAAACTTGGAGATTCAAGAGAATACAAATAGACAATTTAATAAAATCAGGAAAACAATTCATTATATAATTAGGAAATTCAATGAAAAGACAGATATAAAAAGAACCAAACAGAAATCTTGAAGCTGAAGAATTCAATCAATGAAATAAAAAATTTATTAGAGAACTTCAAGAGCAGACGAGATCAATCAGAAGATAAAATCTGTGAAGTTAAAGATAGGTCTTCTGAAATTACTCCATCAGAGGAAAAAGAATAAAAAATAGTGAAGACAGCCTACAAGACTTATGGAACACCATTAAGCAAGCACATTCTACAAAAGAAAAAGAGACAAAGAAAGAGACAGAAAGCTTATTTAATAAAATAATTGCTGAAAATTTCCCACATCTTAAAAGAGATATAGACATTTGGATTCATAAAGCTCAAAGGCCCTCCAAAATATACAACCCAAAGAGATCCTCTCTAAGGCACATTATAACCAGACTCTTCAAAGTCAAAGACAAAGAGAAATTTAAAAGCAACAAGAGAAAAGCATCAAATCACATGTAAAGGAATTGCCATTAGGTTATCAGTGGATTTCTCAATAGAAACCTTGCAGATCAAGAGAGATTGAATAATATATTTAAAGAGCTGAAAGAACAAAAGCATTGCTAGCCAACTATACTATGTTCAACAAAGCTCTCCTTCAAAATGGGGAAATAAAATTGTTCCCAGACAAGAAAAGCTGAAGGAATTCATCACCACTAGACCTGCCTTACAAGAAATGCTTAAAGGAGTTCTTCAAATGGGAATCTTAAAAAATGACAATTACTATTATAAATACATATGACATATCTATAAAGTATAAACTCACTGAAGAGGTAAATACATAGTAAAATCAGGAACACTCTAATACTGTAATAGTGGTGTGTAAATCATGTGTATCTCTAGCATGACGGTTAAATGTCAAAATGGTCAAAAATAACTAAACGTATAACAAGTTGTTAATAAATATACAATATTAAAAGATGAAAATTGTGACATCAAAAGCAAATTGTGAGGGGAAAGGTAAATGTATAGAGTTTTTGTATGCAACAGAATTTAAGTTATTATCTGCTTAAAATAGTTGATTATAAGGTGTTTTATGGAAGATTCATGGTAACCACAACATAAGAAACTACAGCAGGTATATAAATGATAAAGAGAAAAGAATCAAGGATTAACACTACAGAAAATTACCAAATTACAAAGGTAGACAATGAGAGAGAAAGAAACGAAGCTACCAATAATCAGAAAACAAATAACAAAATGACAGCAATGAGTCCTTACCTATCAATAATGACCTTGGATACAAATAAATTAATTTCTCTAGTTAAAAGACATAGAATGGTTGAATGAATAAAAACAAGATCCAACTATATGCTGCCTACAAGACACCCAGTTAAGCTTTAAGGACACATAGGCTGAAAGTAAAGCAATGGAAGAAGATATTCCATGCAAATAATAAAGAGAGAAGGAGTAGCTATACTTACACCTGATGAAATATAATTCAAGTCAAAAATTGTCACAAGAGACAAAGAATGTCATTATTTAATGATAAAGGGGTCAATGTATCAACAGGACATTACAATTGTAAATATATATACAACCAACATTGGAGCACCTAAATACATAAAGCAAATATTAATGGACATGAAAGGAGAAATAAAGAGCAATATTATAATATTGAAGGACTTTAATACCCCACTTTTTTTTTTTTTGAGACAGAGTCTCACTCTGTTGCCCAGGCTGGAGTGCAGTGGCACAATCGCAGCTCACTGCAAGCTCTGCCTCACAGGTTCACACCATTCTCCTGCCTCAGCTTCCCAAGTAGCTGGGACTACAGGTGCCTGCCACCATGCTCAGCTACTTTTTTTTTGTATTTTTAGTCAAGACGGGGTTTCACCATGTTAGCCAGGATGGTCTCAATCTCCTGACCTCATGATCTGCCTGCCTTGGCCTCCCAAAGTGCTGGTATTACCCCACTTTTAACAACGGATAGATCATCCAGCAATCCCACTGCTAGATGTCAACCCAAAGGAAAAGAAGTCGTCATATTAAAAATACACTTGCGCATGTATGTTTATAGTAACATGATTTACAACTGCAAAAATGTGGAACCAACCTAAGTACCCATTGATTAATGAGTGCATAAATAAAGTGTGATATATATTTATATATATCACATATATATATACACACACACCATAGAATACTTCTCAGCCATTAAAAAGAGTGAAATAATGTCTTTTGCAGATATTTGGATGGAGTTGGAGGCCATTATTTTAAGTGAAGTAACTCAGGAAGAGAAAACCAAACATTGTATATTCTCACTTACAAGTGGGAGCTAAGCTATGAGTATGCAAAGGCATACAGAATGATATAATAAACTTTAGAGGCTCAGAAGGGGGAACGTGGGAGTGAGGCTAGGAATACAAACTGCACATTAGGTACAATATACACTACTCAGGTGACAGATGCACTAAAACCTCAGAATTCACCACTATATAATTCATCCATGTAACAAAAAAACCACTTGTACCCCAAAAGCTATTAAAATAAAAAAGAACACAAAATTAATAAAAAATAATTTAAAAAGAGTAGATAGATCAACCAGACAGAAAATTAAAAAAGAAATACTAGACTTGAATTGCACTTTTCACCCATTAGACCTAACAGACATATACAGAGCTTTACTTTAACAGCAGGATAATATGCCACATTTTTCTTTAGTTCACATGGAACATTCCCTGGGATAGGCCATATGATAAGCCACAAAACAAGACTTACTAAATTTTAAATTGAAATAATATCTAATATCATTTCAGACTATAATGCTATGAAACTAGAAATCAATAATAAGAGGAATCTTGAAAATCCACAATTATATGATAATTAAGTAACGTGCTCCTGAACAACCAATGAGTCAAAGAAGAAATAAAAAGAGAAATTAAAAAATATCTTGAGACAAACAATAATTAAAGCACAACATACCAAAACCTATGAAATGTAGCAAAAGCAGTTCAAAGAGAAAAGTTTATAGCAATACATGCCGACATTAAAAACAAAAAGAATCTCAAATAAGTAATCTAACATTACACTTCAAGGAACTAACAAAAGAAGAATAAATTAAACCCCAAATTAGCAGAAAGAAGAAAATAATAAAAATAAAAACATAAATAGAGAACAGAAAAATCATAGGAAGAATCAATAAAATTAAGAGTTGGTGCTTTCAAAAAATAAAAAAAAATGGATAAACCTTTAGCTGGTCTAAATGAAAAAAAGGGAAGACTAATAAATAAAATCATAAATTAAAGCGAAAAAAATGAAACACCTCAGAAATTAAAAGGATCGTTAAGACTACTACGAAAAAATATATGCCAACGACTGGATAATCTAAACAGATAAATTGCTTAAAAAACAGAATAAAACAAAACAAAACAAAAAAACAAAAACTAAAACCTACCAGGATCAATTCAAGAAGAAATAGAAAGCTTGAACAACAGACCAATAACAAATAAAGAGATCAAAGAAGTAACAAAAAACTTCCCAACAAAGAAAAGCCCAGAAACAGATAGTTTTATAAAAGCTGAATTCTACCAAACCTTCAGAGAATTAATAATGATACTTCTTAAACTCTTTTAAACAAAATAGAGGTAGAATGAATAGTTCCAACCACATTTTATAAGGACCACATCACCTTGATACCTAAGTCAGACAAAGATATTACAAGACAAGAAAAATGCAGACCAATCTGTCTGACGAATGCAGATGCAAAAATCCTTAGTAAAATATTGAGGATTAAACTAAACCCAACAACATAACAAACTAAACCCAACAGCACACCAAAAGAATTATATATTGTGACCAAGTGGGATTTATTTCTGATATGCAAGGCTAGTTTAACATATACAAATCAATCAAAGTAATATATGACATTAACAGAATGAAAGATAAAAACCACACAATGATCTTGACACAGAAAAAGCATTTTTCAAAATCCAACATCAATTCTTGATTAAAAAAAAAACTCTCAACAGTTTAGGCATAAAAGGAATGTTTCTCAATATAATAAAAAACATTTATGAAAAACCCACAGCTACAATTATAATCAATGGGGAAAAGTTAAAGCTTTTCCACTCAGATCCAGTACTAGGTAAGGATGCCCACTCTTGTCACTTCTGTTCAACATAGTACCAGAAGTACTAGCACGAGCAATCATACAAGGAAAAGAAATAAAAGACATCAAAATCAAAAAGAAAAAAAAATCTCCACTTGCAGATGAAATAATCTTATGTGTAATGATTCCACAGAAAAAACTGTTAGAACTAATAAATGAATTCAGTAAAGTCGCAAAAGGAAAAATTAACATGGTACCAGAAGTACTAGCATTTCATACACAAATAACAATCTAACTGAAAAAAACAATTTCATTTATGGTACCATAAAAAATTACTGATGCTTTCTGACTTACCATGGGGTTACATTCTGATAAACCCATCATACGTTGAAAATGTTGTATGTCAAAAATGCACTCAATACCCTGATAAACTCATATTAAAGCTGAAAAATTGTTGAGTCAAACCATCACAAGTCCAGATGCTCCTCAGCTTACAATGGGGTTATGTCTTAAACCCCATTGTAAAGTTAAAACTTGTGAGTTGAGGACCATCTGTCCTTAGGAATAAATTTAACCGAGAAAGTGAAACATTTGTATACTGAAAGAGAAAACATTGATAAAAGAATTTGAAGGAGACAGAAATAAATGGAAAGATACACTGTATTTATGAATCAGAAAAATTTATATTGTTAAAATGTCAAAAAGCAATATTCTATATATTCAACACAATCCTTGTTAAAATCCCAAGGTCATTCTTCACAGAAATAAAAAAACATTCCAAAAATATGTATGAAAACATGAATGACCCCAAATAGCCAAAACAATTCTGAAAATAAAAAAAAAGTTGGAGGCATCACATTTCCTGAGTTAAAATTATATTACAAATCTATAATAAAACAATATGGTGCTGGCATAAAAACAGACACATAGACCAGTGAAACAGAATAAAGATCCCGGAAATAAATCTAAATGTGTACTGTCAACAAATTCTTTACAAAGACACCAACAGCACACAATGGGTATATGATAGTCTTTTCACTAAATGGTGCTGCAAAAACTGGATTTCTACACGTAAAAGAATGAAATTGGACCCTATCTTAAACGATGCACAAAAATCAACTGAAAATGGATGAAAGACTGAAAGGTAAGACCAGAAACTATAAAACTCCTAGAAGACAACATAGGGGAAAATCTGCTGGGCATTGGCCTCAGAAATGATTTTTTTTTTATATCAGACCAAAAGCTCAGGCCACAAAATCAAAAATAAATAAATGGGACTACATCAAACTAAAAAGCTTCTGCACAGCAAAGGAAATAATCAGCAAAATAAAACAGCATGCTACAAATTGGGGAAAAATATTTGCAAACCATATACCTGATAAGGGGTTAAGATGCAAATGTAGAAAGACAAATAGCATGATTAAAAAATGGGCAAAATACCCTGAATAGACATTTTGTGAAAGAAGACATGAAAATTGCCAACATGTGCATGCAAATGTGGTCAACATCATTAATCATCAGGGAAATATAAATCAAAACTACTATGTGATACTACCTCACACCCATTAGGGTGTATATTATCAAAAAGTCAAAAGATAACACATTTTGGCAAGGGTATGAAGACAAGGGAATTCTTTTTTTCCCCCAACTTTCATTTTAAGTTCCAGAGTGTATGTGCAGGATGTGCAGATGTGCAGGTTTGTTACACAGATAAACGTGTGCCGTGATGGTTTGCTGCATAGAGCATCCCATCACCTAGATATTAAGCCCAGCATCCATTCACTACTCCTAATGCTCTCTCTTCCCCCGCACACCTCTCTCACCACTGATAGGCCCCAGTGTGTGTTGTCCCCCGCCCCATGTGTCCATGTGTTCTTATGGCTCAGCTCCGACTTGTAAGTGAGAACATACAGTGTTTGGTTTTCTGTTTCTGCATTCGTTTGCTGAGGATAATGGCTTCCAGCTCCATCCATGTCCAGACAAAGGACATGATCTCATTACTTTTTATGGCTACACAGTATACCATGGTGTATATATACCAGATTTTGTTTATCCAGTCTATCACTGATGGACGTTTGGGTTGATTCCATATATTTGCTATTGTGAACAGTGCTGCAATGAACATATGCATGCATATAACTTTATGATAGGATGGTTTATATTCCTTTGGGTATATATCCAATAATGGGATTGCTGGGCCAAATGGTATTTCTGCCTCTAGGTCTTTGAGGAATTGCTACACTGTCTTCCACAATGGTTGAACTAATTTACACTCCTACCAAGAATGTAAAAGCATTCCTTTTTCTCTGCAATCTCATCAGCATTTGTTGTTTCTTAACTTTTTAACAATCGTGATTCTGACTGGCATGAGATGGTATCTCATTGTAGTTTTGATTTGCATTTCTCTAATGATCAATGATGAGCTTTTTTTCATGTTTGTTGACTGCATGAATGTCTTCTTTTGAGAAGCATCTGTTCCTGTCATTTGCCCACTTCTTAAAATGTTTTTTTTTTCTTGTTTAAGTTCCTTGTAGGGTCTGGATATTACACTTTTATCATATGGATAGATTGCAAAAATTTTTTCCTATTCTGTATTTTGTCTGTTCACTCTGATGATAGTTCCTTTTGCTGTGCAGAAGCTCTTTAGTTTAATTAGACCCCAATTGTCAATTTTTGCTTTTGTTGCAATTGCTTTTGTCATTTTCATCATGAAATCTTTGCCTGTGCCTGTGTCCTGAATGGTATTGCCTAGATTTTCTTCTAGGGTTTTTATAGTTTTGAGTTTTACATTTATGTCTTTAATCCATCTTGAGTTAATTTTTGTATAAGGTATAAGGAAGGGGTCCAGTTTCAATTATCTGCATATGGCTAGCCAGCTCTCCCAGCATCATTTACTAAATAGAAAATCCTTTCCCCATTGCTTGTTTTTGTCAGGGTTGTTGAAGATCAGATGGTTTTAGGTGTGTGGTCTTATTTCTGAGTTCTCTATTCTGTTCCATTGGTCTATGTGCATGTTTTTGTACCAGTACCATGCTGCTTTGGTTACTGTAGCCTTGTAATATAGTTTGAAGTCAGGTAGGGTGATGCCTCCAGCTTTGTTCTTTTTTGCTGAGGATTGCCTTGGATATTCAGGCTCTTTTTGGTTCCATATGAATTTTAAAATAGTTTTTTTCCTAATTCTATGAAGAATGTCAATAGTAGTTTAATGGGAATAGCACTGAATCTATAAATTACTTTGGGCAGTATGGCCATTTTCACAATATTGATTCTTCCTATCCATGAGCATGGAATGTTTTTCCATTTGTTTGTGTCTTCTCTGATTTCCTTGAGCAGTGGTTTGTGGTTCTCCTCAAAAAGGTCCTTTGCTTCCCTTGTTAGTTTTATTCCTAGGTATTTTATTCTCTTTGTAGCAATTATGAATGTGAGTTTATTCATGATTTGGCTCTATGCTTGCATGCTGTTGGTGTATAGGAATGCTAGTGATTTTTGCACATTGATTTTATATCCCCAGGCTTTGCTGAAGTTGCTTATCAGCTTAAGAAGCTTTTGCACTGAGACAATGGAGTTTTCTAGGTACAGGATCATGTCATCTGCAAACAAAGATAATATGACTTCCTCTCTTTCTATTTGAATATCTTTATTTCTTTCTCTTGCCTAATTGCCCTGGCCAGAACTTCCAATACTATGTTGAATAGGAGTGGTAAAAGAGGGGATCCTTGTCTTGTGCTGGTTTTCAAGGGGAATGCTTCCAGGTTTTGCCCATTCAGTATGATATTGGCTGTGGGTTTGTCATATATGGCTCTTATTATTTAGAGGTATGTTCCTTCAATACCCAGTTTATTTAGAGTTTTTAACATAAAGGGATTTTGAATTTTATTGAAGGCCTTTTCTGCATCTATTGAGACAATCGTGTGGTTTTTGGCTTTAGTTCTGTTTACGTGATGAATTACATTTATTGATTTGCTTATGTTGAACCAACCTTGCATCCTGGTGATGAAGCCAACTTGATCATGGTGGATAAGCTTTTTGATGTGCTGCTGGATTCGGTTTGCCAGTATTTTATTGAGGATTTTTGCATTGATGTTCATCAGAGATATTGGCCCGAGGTTTTATATTTTTGTTGTATCTCTGCCAGGTTTTGGTATCAGGATGATGCTGGCCTCATAAAATGAGTTAGGGAGGAGTTCCTCCTTTTCAATTATTTAAAATAGTTTCAGTAGAAATGGTGTTAGCTCTTCTTTGTACCTCTGGTAGAATTCAACTGTAAATCCATCCAGTCCCAGGCTTTTTTTTTTTTTTTTTTTTGCTTGGTAGGCTATTTATTACTGCCTCAATTTCAGAACTCATTTTTGGTCTATTCAGGGATTCAGTTTTTTCCTGGTTCAGTCTTTGGAGGGTGTATGAGTCCAGGAATTTATACATTTCTTCTAGCTTATGTGCACAGAGGTGTTTATAGTAGTCTCTGATGGTTGTTTGTATTTCTGTGGGGTCAGTGGTGATATCCCCCTTATCATTTCTGATTTTGTCTATTTGATACTTCTTTCCTTTCTTCTTTATTAGTCTAGATAGTAGTCTCTTTTATTAATTTTTTCAAAAAGCCAACTCCTGGATTCATTGATTTATTGAAGGTTTTTTCGTTCTGTATCTCCTTCAGTTCCACTCTGATCTTGGTTATTTCTTGTCTTCTGCCAGCTTTGGGGTTTGTTTGCTTTTGGTTCTCTAGTTCTTTTAATTGTGATGTTAGGTTGTTGATTCAAGATGTTTCCAGCTTTTATCAGCCAGGGGAACTCTTGTACACTGTTGATGGAAACGCATACTGGTGCAGCCATTATAGAAAATAGTATGGAGATTTCGGCTGGGTGCAGTGGCTCACACCTGTAATCCCAGCACTTTGGGAGGCTGGGGCAGGAGGATCACCTGAGGTCAGGAGTTTGAGACCAGCCTGGCCAACATGGTGAAACCCCGTCCCTACTAAAAATACAAAAATTGGCTAGGTGTGGTGGCACTTGACTGTAATCCTAGCTACTGAAGAGGCTGAGGCAGGAGAATCATTTGAACCTGGAAGGTAGAGGTTGCAGTGGGCCGAAATGGCACCACTGCACTCCAGCCTGGATGACAGAGTGAGACTGTCAAATAAAAAAAAAAGGAAAAAAAATAAAATAGTATGGAGATTTTGAAAGAAATTAAAAATAGAACTACCAAGTGATCCATCAATCAATCCCTTTTTCTGGGCATATACCCAGAGGATATGAAATTACCACCACATAAGGATATGTGGACTCCCATTTTCATGACAGCCAAGACGTAGAAACTAAAAGTGTCTGTTAATGGATGAATGGATAAAGAATAATATTCCATATTCAGTGAAATATTATTTAGTCCTAAAAAATAATGAGACTTGCCATTTGCCAAAACATGGATGAACATGGAGGACATTATGCTAAGTGAAATAAGCTAGACACAGAAATAATATTGCATGATCTCACTTACATGTGAAATCTAAAAGAAAAATTCAGATATACAGAGATAGAGAACAAAGCAGTGGTTACCAGGGACAGAGAGGAAATGGGGAGATGTAGATTAGAGGATACAAAGTAGCAGCTATGTGGGATAAAGTCTAGGAGTCTATTGTACAACATAAGGACATTGTTAACACAATTGTACTGTATTTGGGATTCATGCTAAATGAGTAGATTTCCATGCTCTTGCCACAGAAACAACTAAAGTGTATAATTATATAAGATGATTGATATGTTCATTTCCTTCACTATAGTAACTTTTACTATCTAAATATATCTCATAATATCATGTTGTATACCTTAAATATATACAATAAAATTTATTTTTAAAAATTTATTTAAGTTTTAAAATGAGAGATCAAAGAAAGATAATTATAGTTATGTGGAAATGATCAATTGATCAATCAAGATCTAAAGACATCTCCACTCATTTCATTCAATAGCACAACAGTAGTATGTGATAGAAAGCTGTGTTTAATGATGCTTAACATGAGAAAATTATGCTCAATATTTAAAGTATTGGGGAAAATCAAACTGCAACTGCCCACTGTAACATATCTGGTAAGGCCCCAAACTTGGTATGAACCTATGCTAACTATACAGAATGGTATATTTAATCAACCACCATTAACCAAGGCTTTTAATAAATATTCATCTTGTTCCTATTATGTGTACACTAGCTAAAAGAGGAATGATACATGGAACCTGCCATTAGCAGTTACTAAGGACACAAGTCAATATTATACATAACTATAATAATTCTAGTAGTCATGTAGGTATAAAGTAATATGTCATGGGTGAACTTCAGATAATCTTATGTAAGATCAGAGGATAGAGTAATTTTTATTTTTCGTTTCTTTCCTTTGGCTGTGGTTGAGGTATCCATTGGGTGAAAAAAAAAGGCTGGTTTTAAAAGATGAGAAAGGGTTCATGAAAGAATTGACCCCTTGGCAGCCAGATTATTCTACCTACTCATTTTTCTAGCTCTAAGTTCAGACCTAATGAGGAGATTAAAAGACCCTCTGAAAAGTGATGAAGGGCTGTTTATTCCCTAAAGATAAATGCAAACATTGCATAGCCATTACAACAATTTTAAGCAATCATGGAATTCATTTTTCTTTAGCCTTATCATTTTCACACAGACAGGCAGAGCTAATAACTTGTCCTTGAAAATGAACCTTTTGATTTCATTGATAAGAGATCTCAGCCCTGAGCAAAATGGACCATTGTGCCTTACCGAATTGAGAAAGGAATAAGCCATTAACCCTTAATTTTCTGGGGAAAACAACTGTATTAGGGTTCTCCAGACAAACAGAACCAATAGGTTGTGCATTGACAGCGAGAGCGAGAGACAGAGAGAGAGAGAGAGAGAAATAGATAGAGGGATGGGGGAGAGAGAGAGCAAGTGAGAGAGAGAGAGCAGAAAGGGAGAGAAAGAGAGAGAGAGATGTATTGTAAGAATTGGCTCATGTGATAATAGAGGCTGAGAGGTCTAAAGACTCAGGCCAGCTGATGGAGTAATGCCAGCCTGAGTCCAAAGGCCTGAGAACCAGGGTCACTGATGGCATAAGTTCCAGTCTAAAAGTTGGCAGCCTCAAGCTCCAAGAAGAGCCAGTGTTTCAGTTTGCCTCCTAACTCAGGGAAAGACCAATGTCTCAGTTCAAGAGAGTCAGGCAGAAGAAGTTCCCTCTTTGTTCTACCCAGGGTTTCAACTGGTTGGACGAGAGGCAACCAGTCAGGGAGGGCAATCTGCTTTGCTCAGTATACTGATTCAAATGTTAGCCTTATCCAAAAGCACCCTAACAGACACACTCACAACAATGCTTGACCAAACATCTGGGCACCTGTGGCCCATTCAATATGACACATAAAATTAATCATCACAATATTCCTACAGCAACTAGCGTAACTTGAAAGATCTCATCATACATATCTTTTTTACTTTCCTTAACTGTGTTTCAGAGTCTCAGTTGCATTGTGGTCATTACATCTGATAGAAAAACAAAGCCAGAACAGGTATTAGAAGTCCCACCAAATCTGACCAAAGGCCTTTGGAAAAGAGGATGCTCCATCCTGTCTGAGCATATTCACTGTGTTTGACACTCTTATTTTTGGGCATTGGCTGCTGACCCTCTAGGAACTTATATAAAGTGAAACATGAACCATTCTATAGGGGGTAGTTTATTTAAGTTTTCTAACTTTGAATGACAGAATCCTGCTATTGTCGTTTAGTTAGGATCCACTCAAGCTAGAAATATACCTCTAGCAGAGTAATATCTAGATTTTTTTAACATAGGATTTTAGGATGTTTAGAAAATTAATTGAGAATAAAAGAATTCAATTATGGAATAAGAAATATATCAACGTATATGTGATCGTGTCTGGTACAAACTTCTCCTTAAGAAATTGTACAGATTCTGGGTATGGCTAAGTGGTTTCTTATCTAGTTCAGGGATCTACCGAATCTCAAAGTAGTGCTCTGCACTGTTCTTGCACCACCCTAGTCTGCACTGAAAAGTCATAAAAACTCACAGTCTTCACTGGTGAGCTGCCCAGCAATCACTTTAGGAAGCAACACATTTCCTGGTATTGCTAAATGGGTATGGTTCTCCAATGAACTCTACGACACGCTTTATTTACTATATTAGGAATAATTCTCCCTGTCTCCTTGTTTCTATCTGCATGGTCTGGTTTGACCTGTTGAAGGAAAGTGTTTAGCTTGTTTTGATAAGAAAAAATGCCTTTTTGATTGAGGCCTAAATTGAAAATAGATTATATTTTATGTAACAAAAATAAGAGTCATGTCCTTATAACTCATTCCTACTGAAATGCAGCAGATTGGGCAGCATAATTTTGGGGTTGATACCACAGACTCTAGAGCGTGCATTCAAATCCTGGCTCTGCCACCTACTTACTGTGGGGCCCTGGGCAAATGAATCTCTCAAGGCATCAGTTTCTACTTTGTAAAATGCAAATACTAATAATACAATAATTAAGTGTGTTAATAGTTGTAAGACACTTAGAACAATGTCTGTCACCTAGTCTCTTTTAAGGGTTTGAAAATAAAATCCTTTTTAATGTTTTCATGTCTATATTCATGATGCAGGAAGAGGTGAGAATATCTCAAAACTTTCAGAATGCTAAGAATAGATTTTATTGATTCCATTGATAATGATGTCATAAGTAACTAAGATAAACATTTAAAATCTATTGATTACATGGCATATTAGAAAGAAAACAGAAAGGGTTTTGAGTCATATTTGGCTTATGGTTTAGCCTTGCACTTACTGTTAAATATATTACCTTATCTCTCTGAGCCACAGTATCTCTCATCTTTAAAACACAGGATTAAAAATATTTGCTTAAGAATAAAATAAATTAGCACATATGGAATTAATTAGCACAGTGCCTCATTCACTCTTATCATATATAATTTTGTAAAAACTATTTTAATCAAAAAGAAAAATATATCCTTTTTCTACAACAAATATTTCTACAGAATTAAAGTACGTTAATCTCCATTCAGTTATTCCATTATTTCTGGGTTAGAAGATGTTATTACCTCAGGTTACTAACATTGACGGCCCAAAGCAAAGCAAAGGAAATTTAAGGTAAGGCTTTTTTTGCATTGCTATAAGAGTGCAACCAGGTCAGAAAGGTAAGGTCAGATGAGAGCGGGAATTAATTTGCATCATCCGAAGGCAGAAAATTCCTCCTGTGATATTTTACCTATGAAGTAGACAGGAGGCACCATTGTGTGTGAAAATACGTACTAGCCACAGATTGAAAAGAATCTAAAACCCTAAAGTTAGAGGAGACTCCAGGATTATATCAACATGTTCCCTTTCCAAAACACAGAATTGCATCAACTATAGTCATAGCACTTATTGTCTATACCACTCATGTTTCACTTATATAATAGATTATTTTCCTCTCCAATAATAACAGCCCAGAGTAGACCTCATGTTCTCCTTTCCCTGAGTGTCAGGGTGCTCAGAGTCCATTCTTGTGGCCAACACCAACGATTATGTTTATGTCCGATATTAACTCTTAGAAGGGGCCTGTTTACTTCTTCCATTTGCATTTGTTCTGATTTCTTATTTCAATTTCATTCATCTTATGGTCTGTATAATTGCTTAAGCTCCTCAAGTTCTTTTTATTAAGAGTTGTAAGTAAAATTTAATAAACAATAACATAGTCTCTGCTATTTTGATCCTTGCTCTTTGCCATGCTGTTTTACTTATTCTTTATTGCATGTTTCACATCTATCAATTTTGGGATATGCTTCTCACCTTCCCTACTAAAATGTGAGCTCCGTAAACGCAACAGCTACCTCTCATACTCTGTTGTATTTTCTTCAACATTTAGTGGTGGACCTAGAGTAGGTCTCTATTTTTGTTGTTGTCGAATGAATGAGAAAAAATAATAATATCACGATTTTAAACATGTGCCAATCCCGATGTTAAGATTAAAAGGTAATCTCATAAATTCACTTCATCTTTCACAGTAGTCAATTCTGCTGCCAAGAAGTTTGTTTATACATTCAGTGATTAGTGATGGGCCCTACTTCCAGACACTGTTATAACATTTGGGAAATATGAGTGAGCACAATAAAGATCCTTGCCCTAGAGGTTCTTATATTCTAGCAGGGAAAGTAAACTATACCCAATAAAATAATAACTAACTAAATTATATAGTAAGTTAAAAGGCATAAGTGCTCTGAGAAAGAGAAAATGTGCAGCAATAGAGGAGGAAGGGATCACAAGCACTGGAGAGGTGGGGAAGGGTTTGCAAGATTGAAAAAAGTGGCCAAGGTAAGTCTCCCTGAAAAGAGTTGAGTAAATACAAGAAGGAAGTGAGTCACCCAATATGTGGAGGAAGAACATCCAGGCAGAGCTAGAACTTGAGGAGAGGCCTGGCATGTTTAAAGGACAGCATTAAGCAAGTGGGCGGAGTTGAGGCAGGGGATTTGCCAGGCAGATTACCTAGGGTTTTGTGGGCTATTGCATGGACTTCGGCTTTTTCTCTAAGTGGAATGGTGAATCACTGAGGGATTTGAGCAGCAGTGTTACATTAGCTGACCCATGTTTTATAACTCAGCTGAAGGAAGAAAGGATATAGGAGAGAGAAGATGGTGGCTTTGACCAGGGTGATCACAGAGTAGATGGCACAAAATCTCCAAAATCTGGATTTAGTTCGGAGATGAAGCCAATAACTATTCCTGATGATTGCGTGTGGAATAGAATAGAAAGAGATGAGCCAAAAATAGGTCTTTGGCCTGAGCAATTGGAAGGAATGTCTGCTCCAAGCAAGGATAGGAAGGCTTCAGATAGAGTGGAAGTTAAAATGTGGACATGTTGGGTTTAAAATGTCTATTACTTGCTAAGTAAGTATCCGGATTTATAAATCCAGAGCTTAGGAAAAGGTCTGGGATGGAAGTATAAGTTGAGGAATCAGTGACATTGGTGCATTTAAACCTTGAAATTGAATGAAATCTCCAAATAAATGAGGGTCATTGGAGATGAGGACCAAGGACTAAACCCTAGGGGACACTCCAAGATTATAATTTAGAAAGAAAAGAGGGGACAGATGTGGTGGCTCATGCCTATAATCCCAGCTCTTTGAGAGGCTGAGGTGGGAAGATCACTTGAGGTCAGGAGTTCGAGACAAGCCTCAGAAACATAGCAAGGTCTATCTCTACAAAAAAAAAAAAAAAGAGAGAGAGAGAAAATTAGCTGGGTGTGGTGGTGCACACCTGTGGCCCTATCTACTTAGGAGGCTGAAGCAGGAGGATCACTTGAGCCCAGTAAATGAAGGCTGCAGGGAACTGTGACTGCCCCACTGCAATTCAGCCTGGAAGACAGAGCAAGATCCTGTTCTCAATATAAAAAGAAATATTAAAAAGATTTTAAAAAAAGAAATAAGAGGAGGAACCAACCAAGGAGACGAAAAAGAAAAAATATCAATAGTCTGCTCTATTCTATTGGTAGCCACATAAAGAAAACGTGATAAGAAGAAGAGAAAGATTTGTGTCAAAGGCTGAAAAGTTATTTTTTTAAATGGGACATGAATAATCTATCAAATTACAATTAGAGACCAGTTCCAAAGTGCTGGGATTACAGGCGTGAGCCACCATGCCCTGCCCAAGATTTCTTTTAACTAAAAAAAAAATTGGGGAGGGAAACTCACAGAATAAAGAAGGATAGCATTGTAGTAATTTCAGGGATTTTGTAAACCCATAGATAGTCCCTTTAGAGCTTCACTCTGAGAATAACTCAAAATCACCACACACTCAAATTCTTAGGAGAGAACTTTAGTCATACAGTGACTCTGAAGTTGGATTAAAAAGGGGCACCTCATGACCACATGAAGTGGGGAAGGGGTGATTTTCCATAGGAAGAGTTAGGCTTCCCAAAAAAAATGGAAAATAAAAGGTTTAAACAAACAGATATTTCCCTTATGAACCAGTGCCCAAGTCTTCCAAGTCCAGTTTAAAATTCCTGAGGCTTCATTTCTACTCCCAATAAGAAGTGGCCTTTTAAATACTTGCCAGGGAGACTGCTTTAATCTGAATGTTCAGAGAAGCAGAGTTCAAGATTCAGTTAAAAGTACAAGGATTTTATTAGGGGAAAATGCCTATGAGAGAAAAAATGCCTGTGAGGGGACAAGGAAAGTCTAGAAGAGCCACCAGACTGAAATGCACATCTGACATGGTGATAGGGAGAGAGAACGGGGATGCTGAGCAGAAGCATCTAGGCTGCCATGCATTCTAGGGGAGGTTCAGCAAGACCATCAGGGAATCCTCCAGTCCACATTCCTCCCAGGACAAGCCGGCCTTAATATTCCTGGCAGGTCCACTCATTGGCTGGGAGCAGCCTTAGAGAGACATGGCACCAGCACAAACAGAGAGATGGGTTTCAGAGGACACGTGGGTAAATTTGGTCACTTATGCTTTCTATAGTTGGAGTTCTGTGAGGAGCATTATTATAGCAATCACAGGTGCCTTGGGACATTGATAGGTCTTCTGTCTTTAAAACTCTCAATGATTTATTAAGTAATTGGTCTACAGTGAGGTCTCCAAATATGTACCATTGTCAGATGCTGATGGGGTAAATTTGGGCATACATTATTACAACAGACTTGACTCTGAGGGTCTCTGTCTCATCAGCTTGCTCCAAGTTCTGACCTGAAGTTTCCAGGCTGGACTTAAATCCTGAAACAACCTAGCCACAAATTCAATAATCATAACAATCACCAAAAGTCAGGGTCCAAGAACAAATCTATGTCATCTAAGAGTACCATATTCTACTCCAGTTTCTCCAGTTCCTCTACTTCTTGACTAGAGCAAAGAAGCATGTGAAAACACAGAAGTGGCTGAAGTTCATATATTTTTCATTCTTAGAATTTTTGAGAAAATTAGACAAACTGACCTTGGTTGGGAGGTTCAACTCTCTAGGGGAATAATCATAATATAAGAATAGAACATTATTATTATATATAATATATACATATTAATATCACATTCCCTTCTAAACAGTTTAAATTTATTTTTACTCATATAATTTTCACAATACCATGATGTAGAACTATTATAATCTCCATGTATATATGTGGAAACTCAGGCACATAGAGGTTAAGCAACTTGCCCAAGATTCCACAGGGGTAAGTGCTAGAGTCAGATTTGTACCCAGCTATCCTGTCTTCAGAATCATGCTCTTAGCCACTCTGCTATAGCTCTCCTATACTTCCTCTGGCAATGCCACTTTGTTAGTAATGTAGGATAATACAGTCTCAACAAAAACTGTGTAGATCATCAGGCTCTGAGCATGTCATGGATTCCGCATCTTAGTCACAGAAAGAATAACATTAGGCTCATGTTTTATGGATTCAGCCAAGTACCATAATTTCAGCAATATGATCATGCTAAAACACAGAGCTTCTCAAACTGTAGGTTAATTCCCATTATTGGATCATGAGCAGTAATTGTGTGTGTGTGTGTGTGTGTGTGTGTGTGTGTGTGCTGGATTCAGAAATAATTTCTTAACTGAAGGTTGCAGTTTAAAGAAAAACAAAACAAATTTTTAAAGTATTTGTTCAAGCAGCCACCAAATCTTTCCACTATGAAGTCTTAACATTTTGGCCTATCCATGGGTCATTAGCAATAACCATTGGCACTGGGCAATCAACACGTTTTAAGCAGGGAAGTTGGGAGTTTGTTCTGACCCAGACACATTACAATCAGTCCTGAGTCTGCCATTTAGCCTGTCTACAGGAAGGTAATATGGTAGGACAATTAACCCTTGAGAAATCCCAAAAGGATTAACATCATTGGTTATTTAATCAGCCACCTTCTTTTCCACCAAGAAAACTGAAAGAGCATTCATCCTCACTAAACTACTTGACACTGGAAAAGGCAGCTGAAAGTACCAAGGTTTCAGCTAGTTCCCACTCTTTCATTTAATATTCCTTTTTCTGCCTGCTTAGTGCACTAGCCTGACATTTTTCTTTGTTCTTATGGGCATATATCTAGCTTCCACCCACAGATCTCTTGCATGGCAAGAACGGTACAGACTCTGAACGTTATTCTTCACCCACAGATGTCAAAAATGCATGAGCATGCAGTGCGTGCTGGGATGTGGGTGGTGAAGAAGGAATGAGCCAAGGCAGTCATAGAAATATCAATTTCTTTGGTGCAATTATACATGGCCTCAATACGCCCAAGGAGCCATAATCATAAGAAGTGCCTCTTAGTGTCAGCTACATTTGACTGCATACCCCCTGTACCCAGAGCTCCATGTTGGGTGTGTGGACAAGTATGGCCCTCACACTCTAGGAACTTGCAATTCAGTGAAGAGGCAAGGCAAACAGGCATGATTTAAATAGAGCACTTCATACTGCACGAGGAAGAGAATACATTTTCAAAAAGTTTTCTAAGTACAAATTGTACTTTATTCCAAATTCACAAGAATAAATGTTTTCAACTTATACAATACTTAATTATTTATATTTCCTTTAAACTTATTGACAGCTATGGATTTTGAATAGTAGATTTTTACTTATAATTTTTGCTTCAGTCCTTCTGATTGAAGATGGCAAATGTTAACTAAACAAACAAATAACGATAACAATAAATTTTTAATTTATATTTTCCTTGGAAAAAAAAGAGCACGGATGCTAGTGAAAAAAAACAGTCAAGTAGCATTACTCTAGAAAAGGCACATAATAAAACCAGCTGCTGAACTTTAGGGATGAAAATGAAGGAGTCTTCTTTGATTTTTCCTCAATTCTTCTAACCAAAGCCTCAACTGCAATTTTTTTCTCTTCAATCACTGATAAATACATAAAATCTGACGTCCTGTGCAGTTATGATCATTTTAACTATGTGTGATAGAAAAAAAACACTATCACCCAAAGTTATAATATCTGAAATTTGAAAAATGCTTTTGCATAGATTTACATCCCACAAGAATCTTATGCAGTAGGTTATACAGGCTGTAATCTACGCTAAAAAACTTACTGAAGTTTTCTTGGCGAGTTCCTGAAGATGTAAAACTGATACTCAGGCTTTGTGATTCTAAATTTAATTATCTTTCCAGGAGGAATGGATGAACTTATGGTTTAGTGTTATGATTGCATTTATCCTACTATTTGACAATAAATAGTTTTCACAGATCTTCAGAAAAGCAAACTGTTTGAATCTGCAAAGAAATCCCATATGAAGGCTTAATACCATAGCCTGATTCTGCATTTGTAATTTTCATACAGGTAGTGTTCTACAACCAGATGCATCACCTTCTAAAACTGGTACATTAACCTCAATACCAGTTACAATTCCAGAAAACACCTCACAGTCTCAAGGTATGATATCTGTGTGCCTGAGTGGAAATCTGCTCTACCTGACCCTTTCTTGACTGAAACCCTAACAATCTTGACTCACAAAACAGAGCTCCTTCAGAATGAGACTGAATCTTTTGCACTTGCAGCATCATACCTACAAATCATGGCTGTTTCCTTAAATGAGGGTGGAGGGAGGACTGCAAGAATTGGCACACATTAACCAAAAGTGACTTGTTTTTTTCTTTCTTAAAGTAATAGGCACTGAGGGTGGAAAAAATGCAAGCACTTCAGCAACCAGCCGGTCTTATTCCAGTGAGTAACAGCAATGCCTTCATTCATGGCAGTAGATATGCAGAATGTTTGAATGTGACCAGTAAAGGAGAGGAATCAGATTATGGGCAGCCTTTTCTCAACTTTACTGAGCCTGCAATCCCATTACAATCCCATCTAACTGCTGCCTGCTCTGAAAATTTCCCACAAGTGAGTCTTAATGACAAAAAAAAAAAAAAAGAAAAGAAAGAAAGAAAGAAAGAAAACAGAAGAGGAAAAAAAGCACAGTTTGGCAATTTTTTTCTTAGTTTAGTGTTTAACAATTACGATCAAGGGCCAAGGATGACTCGATGGGACTAGTTTCAGATAAGTCAAAATGCACAGGTAGAGGTCCCCATAAAAGTGAATTATTTCCAAATTATCAGGTTGTATACCCTGAATATATTTTATTTTTGTCAAGTAAATAATTAAAATAATAAATAAATTATATCAAAAAATGAATTGTTTGCCTTCATAGAACATTAAAAACGGCCTTTAAGAAATGTTCCATTTTAACTAAAACCTATATATGTCATATAACATTTATGTGTGTGCTAAGACTGAATACAGAATATTAAATAACTTCCTTAGTAATTAAGAATAAAAAGACAATATTCAAAACTGTTATTATAAAAGGCTCTATTAAGTTTAGTTAAACCCATTCCATTAAATAAGTCATCATAGAAATTACTGACCTGCTGATTCACGGCATCTTCATTTGGGAGGCAATAATGATTTCACCTAAGGTCTATTATGAAATCAGCAGAACTTACTTAAAACAAATATTTAACTCTGACAATGGAAGTGTAAACCATCCTACAGATGAATTGGAGAGTAAGTCTCACCCCTGATAAATATATAAGGAGTACATATGAAAGCAAATATGCTAAACTAATAGTCATCTTAATTTCCTTTAGTTGTGTGTCTATGACAGCTCTCTTGCTTTTATCACTGTACTTTTAACCTTGGAAATAACCATCAGAAAAGAAGGAAAGAAGGAAGGAAGGAAGGAAGGAAGGCAGGCAATACTCTTCCTCTTAATACAAATATGAAAAACTCACCCTAAGTTACTGCAGCAACATCACTCCCCCAAACAGACACACATACACATCTCTCTTGAATCATGTTCATTTTCAAGAATCATCTTCACTGTGGTATCTACTTACATTATTTTATGCCTTTTCTAGTTTTAAGGTATTATTATAGAAAGAAATTTGTGAGTGTTTTAGAAAGCCAGCATTAGGACTAAAGCAATCCCCGTTGGGTTATATATATTTTGGTAACTTCATTATAAAGTACTAAAAAATGTAATGAGTGAATGAGGATTTAATTATAATCTAGAGTACATCTTCTGCTTCTCCAGTCTCCCATCTCCCCACTTCTTCAGTCTCCAGGAAGATGGGGGCACTCTCTCTTAAGGTTGGAATTTTGTTTCAGAAAGGTTACAAGACTGACATCAAGTGGTTATGTCAAAGATGACAACTAGAGCAAACCCCATGAATCAGAGGAATCTTTGCCTAAAATATGTTTTTAATAGAATGATATTTAAAGAAGAAAGGAAGTACTCATGCTTTGGCTCACTTACCAAACTATCGCTGTGAAATTCAGTAGCCACTCTAATTGACAATGTCTCCAATTCTTTTTAGGTATTATTTTGCCGGTGGTTATTGCTTTGATTGTAATAACACTTTCAGTATTTGTTCTGGTGGGTTTGTACCGAATGTGCTGGAAGGCAGATCCGGGTAGGTAACAGTGTTTTGTTTTGTTTTCCTGAAAGAAGAATGAATGCTCAGTTTAAACTTGATTTTAAATTCTTAAAGGGAGAGAAAAGTTATAGAAAGAAATGAAATGTCATATTTCCTGATCACAGAAACAAAGGACGAAGGGCACAGACACCCACTGAATGCTAGTGAACTGCAGAGTGGGAACTAAATACTATGAGTAGATATTATCAAATATAGGGAAATTCTTTTTAATAAAATAGCCCAAATTTTATGGGTGGTCAGGGGAATATGATAGTAAAGAGGGCATAACAATGACATAACTTGTCTATGGTAAAGATTAACTCCATTTCTATGTAACAGAAAATAAAGAGGGAGATTGCTAAGAATTCAGCTCAGGGGCCCATAATCTCAAAAAATGTCCCGTGACTAATTTCCCTCCTGGGAGACACACCCAACGAAAGTATCTTCCAAGACCATGTTATATTTTTTATCCTTTTTAAAAATAAACTTTCTATTTTAGAGTAGACTTAGAGTTACAGGGAAGTTGCAAAGATAGTACAGTGAGTCACCATACCTAGTTTCCCTTATTCCCTTATTAAGATCTGATGGTATGTTTGTCACAATTAGTGAACTAATACTGATAAATTATTGTTAACTAAATTCTGATTTCTTTTAGTCTTTACTCAGTCTTTTTTCTGTTCCAAGAAATTTGCCTCTTCTTTACTCAACCTTCACCTAAATACCCCTTCAACTCCCATGGCTCAGCTGTCATGTTACCGTAATTGCAAACTATCTTTCCACTTCACAGCCCAGCCCTGGTCGTATAATGTAGTAGCATGTATCCATGCCCTCATCCATACTATTCCTTCTGGAATATCCAGCCCACCTCTTACCTTTCATAACATACCTAATCTCCAACTTACCCATTAGGACTCAACTCAAACACAAATTTACTGTATCTTTTTATAACATACCACTTCTTCAAGCAGAATGAATTCTACCTTTAATTGTATTACTACAGATTTGGATTATATCATTTATCATACCATAGTACAGTTACTTATTTCTCCATGTGCCTACCTCTCTTGAAAGTCAGGCAACCCTTCCAAGTCACAAATCACATATTGTTCACATTGCATGCTACCTAATATATAGCAGGCCCTTACTATATACTTATTGAGTTACATTTTTAAAGGTACAGTAAATAGAATTCTTCTTCCCCACTTTAATTCTAAATATGTCACAAAAAAATCTAAGTCTCATAAACTGTTAGAAGGTAAAAAGCAATTATTTTTATAATGTATATAAGCTGCATTATTCTTTGTTTACCTCATGGACAGTGTGCCCCCCAGGACACCAGTGAATGCTATCCCTAAAGCCACCTGCTCACCATGCATTGCATGGACAGTTGTAGTATGATAACGACAGTACCAAGAGAAGCTAGGAGACCAAAACAGCAGAGTTCATTTTAGCTCTTGGTGAAAAGTAAAAACAAATCAATGCCTTTTCCTTTGGGAATCAGTGAATAAACTTCTTAATGTCTGAAACATGTCTCCTTGTTCAGTTTTCAGAGGAGAAACAGCATTTTTATAAGTCAGTTTAATTTCTCTAAGTTTCTGAACTACCTACCAATCCTGTCTTTTACTGAAAATCAGCCTGAGAGTGTTGAGTAAGCAGGATATGTAAAAATTAATGTGCTAAATTTATTTGTAAAAATATGCTATACTAAAAATTACTTTACATAGGAAGATTTAAGAATGTATTATTTGAAAAGTTGACCTTTTCTATTAAAGCGGTTTCCATGGATGTATAAAGTTCCTACCACTACGGATAGCTATTCTGAAGACATGAGTATTTTAAAGTCAAGTTTGGCAATTGTACAATTAGCCAAATCTTTTTGGTTGTTGTTAACTTTGTTTCTGAGACAGAATTTACAGCACTGTTATCATTAAATTAGCACCATTAAATACCTGCAGTTAATCACTCTTCAAGTATGTGGGAGAGACTTTATCTAGTTTGGGAAATTAGTAAACCCATTCTGCTCTGTGGAAGACAACATGAATCAGAGATTTCCGTAAGAAATGAAGCTTATCTGGACAAGGTTGACAGTGGACTGAACTTTAACCAAATAAGAATGGTATATACGCAGAAAATAGTCTGTTGGCTTGCATCTATCTGCTAATGAGACTATCGCTATAGTTTCCTAGGGAAAAAATATTAAAACAGGCATATAAAAATCTCAATACATTTTGCTGGAGAGAATGCGGAGAAAAGGGAAACCTCGTACGCTGTGGGTGGAAATGTAAATTAGTACAACCACTATGGAGAACAGCTTGGAGGTTCCTCAAAAAAACTAAAAATACAGCTACTATATGATCCAGCAATCCCGCTGCTGGGTATATACGCTTAACACAGGAAATCAATATATCAAAGAAATACCTGCAGTCCCACATTTGTTGCAGCACTGTTCACAATAGCCAAGATTTGGAAGCAACCTAAGTGTCCATCAGCAGATGAATAGATAACGAAAATGTGGTGCTTATACACAGTGATGTCCATTCAGTCACAAAAAAGAATGAGATCCTGTCATTTGCAACAACATGGATGGAACTGGAAGTCATTATGTTAAGTGAAATAAGTCAGGCACAGAAAGACAAACTTCCCATGTTTTTATTTCTGGAAGCTAAAAAATCAAAACAATTGAACTCATGGAGCTAGAGAGTAGAAGGATGGCTACCAGAAGCTGGGAAGGGTAGTGGAGGGGAAGTGGAGATGGTTAATGGGTACAAAAATGTATGAAGTATGGGTAAAACCTAGTATTTGACAGCACAACAGGGCGACTATAGTCAATAATAAACTTAATGATACATTTTGAAATAACTCAATGAATATAATTGAACTGTTTGTAACACGAAGGATACTTGAGGGGATGGATACACCACTGCCATGATGTGATTGTTATGCATTGCATGCCTATATCAAAATCTCTCTTATACCCCATAAATATCTACATCTACTATGTACCCCCAAAAATTATAAATGAAAAAAACTCATTTTAAAACAGGGCTATTAGCATCACAGGTGATATTGTATATGACACATAGGAATCAAAAAATGCTGTTAAAACCTTACTGATGGAGCAAAGATGAGGTTAAGTCTAATTGGTGAGCAGCATATGGTGCCATGGGTTAAATCCTACGTATTAAGAGTTACGATGGCAATATCTTAACCAAGATGACAGAAATAGAAGCAGCCAAAATATGAGTGGAAGTTAAGGTCTTTATAAAACAAGGATAGTCAAAGCCAGGAGAATTATATTCAAAGGGCATACTCAATGACAAGATTTAGATTACATATAAAAGGAAATCTAAGAAACAGAAGCTGCAATGGAATAAAACCAGACCAAAGGAGCACAACAAGGGGAACCTTATGCAATCACATTAAACAGCTGGCCTGATTGGCCATAGATTAATGCAAGATTTGATCACCAACATTCACTCCAGAGAGGCCATGTCCTTGTGCAGAATGAATCATTCTGAGTTCTCACTCTAAACCCCAGGTGTTTTCTATCAGACAGCTGTGAAGCAGCCTGGCAAAGAGAACAAAAGATTAGTTGCAGCTAGTAGCCTCTGCGACATTTTGCAGGGCTCTTTTGAGAGGCTGAATCAGTGGGTTTAAGATACAATTAGATATAGTATCTACATTGTAGCTCACCACAAACACAGTGATTTCTGTCCCAAAAAAGAACAATGTATAAAGGAAAGTCAAAACTTCAATTCTCTGGCATAAAACCTTCAATACTTTTAATAGAATTTTTTCAGAGATACTGAAATAAACAGACATTTTCTGTTGTCCATGGGATATGCAATAATGAACAGTAATTTCACATAGTGATATGAAACTACAAGATCAAGATTAGTCCAGAACTAAGTTTAGTGGACTTGACCTAATTAGGACTATCCCATGAGTGCCAGGATAAGTATTAACCATACCTGAGGAAATGGCTTGGCAAGGGGAAAATTAAAATATTTTAAAATGACTTAGAAACATCTCTGCATAGAAAAGAGTGGACAGCAGGTGAGGGGGTTAGAGGGGCTTGCTCATATTTATGGTAGCCAACTTCTTTGCAACTCTAATAACAACTCCCTCTTCTCCTAGGCACACCAGAAAATGGAAATGATCAGTAAGTAAGCCCATATCATCTTTTGTTTAGACCCTACCATTTACGTAGTGAAAATTATTGTTACTCTACTTATACTTTTTTGGATTATTTCTAAAGTGTAGAAAATCTACATATTGGCTTTAACTGTTTGTCAGAGCTCTCTCCATTTAACAGAGAAATTCCAAATGTAAGATCATGTTTAATCTTAGAATGGTAAAATGGGAAATAAAAAGATGAAATGGAAAAGTAGAAGAATGAATATAATTATGAGGGAAAATATCATAGAAAAAATACCTAGAGTTTTAAAATAGTTTCCCAGTGAAATTTTTAATATGTTTATCACAGGGAAATTTGTGCTTCTACCTTGAGCCAGTTCTCAGTGCCTTTAAGGTAGATGGCTGTTTTACTTTGACTTGATTAAAATAAAGCAGATTTTAGTAATCCAGGCAACTGTAACAACCAAGGTGCTGCAAAGAGACATGATGAATTGATTTTCATGTCAAAACAAACCCTGTTTTCCTTGTTGACAGGAATTTGTGGTCTACCTTTATATAAGTGTTTTTATGTTTCATAAGGTTGTAAACTTTAGAAATAATGCTAAATTACTATTCATATGACTTAGAGACTCCTCAGATGTCCAAAGGAAATAATTAGAGTTTGAAACTCTTTTGGATAGATGAGAACTCTTGATTAAAATAGGCAGTTCAGATACTATACTACAGTATCTCAGAACTTCAGGAAAAGGAATATCTCCAGAATTCAGCCTAAGCCCAAAAGGCTTGTAAACATTTCTATGTCTTCCTCTCCATAATTCAGAATTGGAGACATGTGCGATATGGACCTTGTGCCAAGTGTTTCACACAACTCAAACTAATTTTTAATTTATCTGACAATCACCACTATAAGAGAGTGGCAGGGATTTATTGGCTTGATTCCAGAAAAAGTAAAAATTGCTAAAAAGTATATGTGTATTTGTATGTGAAAAGACAAAGTTCTTGCCATGGAGATATATATATATATATATGTATGTATACACACACACACACGTATATATATACACACACATTATATATATATATGCATATGTATCTTCGTCATTCTGTTTGTGTCACAATACTTTCACAAACATACAATGCTGATTACTGTGGTGTTAATTTCATGTTTTTTTTTTCAAATAGACCTCAGTCTGATAAAGAGAGCGTGAAGCTTCTTACCGTTAAGACAATTTCTCATGAGTCTGGTAAGTTTCCAGACAAGTTGATTAGATGAAAATTAGTTATTTTAGAATCTAACTATAACCTTGGATTTTGTTCATGTGAAACATAAACAAAAGGCCTAACTTCTTTAGAAATAGCCAATTACTGTCAATAAGTGTAAAATTCTCCCATGAAGGAAAGAAAAATCTTACCAATTTGATAAGATTATTGGACTATGTGGCCTTTAGAGGTTGCTTTCTATAGATGTGTGGATGTGTAGATGGCTGGAGGCATTTCCTATTCTGCAGGAGTGGCAGAAAGATACCAAAATTTGTTAACAAGTTTTTAAATTATTGCTGTTGTTTTGTTTCATTTTGGTGCTGGCTATGTAGTCGCATATGGTCAAAAAGGCAAAAAAACTGGTCATCAGTTAAAATGTAAATCATGTTTTATATCATTTATATACATTTAATTGAGCCTCTCCATAAAGGTAAAATATAATATTCTATTGATGTAATGTGAATTTTTCCAGTTTCTTAGGTATATTCATTTGATTGGAATTGTAAAAGTCTTTCAAAATATAGGTATGATTTGTGTCAAGAACAATGAAAAAATGTGGTGCTAGATAGCTTTTCAAAATTAAAATCATGGATTTTTCTTTCTTTTGAGTAGATTAGACATTTAAACCATTGATATCACGAAACAGATCAATTAAAAACAAATTATTAGTTTTATAAAATAATCTGGCCGGGAGCTATGGCTCATGCCTGTAATCCCAGCACTTTGGGAGGCTGAGGCGGGCAGATCACCTGAGGTCAGGAGTTTGAGACCAGCGTGGCCAAAATGGTGAAACTCTGTCACTACTGAAAAATACAAAAATTAGCTGGGCATGGTGGCGCATGCCTGTAATCCCAGCTACCCTGGAGACTGAGGCAGGAGAAATGCTGGAACCCGGGGGGCGGAAGCTGCAAGATCGTGCCACGGCACTCCAGCCTGGGTGACAAAGGAGCGAGACTTCATAAAAAAAATAAAAATATAGATATAAAAAACCATGTGGGTCTAATTTAAATATCATGTTACATTAATACATTTATAATAACCAATTCCCCAGTTGAATAAGCTATATTATAAATATTTCTGGTGGCTGAAAATAATTTTGTAAAACAGAAAACTATAAATATTGTCCCAAATCAAGAGCAAGATATTAAAGGCTGAAAGTGTTCTCAATTTCATGTATAAATTCAAACTAGAACAAACGGCAAAAGGCAAACAGAAGAGTTGAAGAGCAGGAACAGCTGAAGCCTGCACAGGAATGCTGAAATCCCTCACATGAGCCATCTTATTTTAGGAGAGATCTCCTTTGCTCTTGTATCTCTTCCACTCTTCAATACACATATTTCCTTTATTCCCATACTATACTTTCTCTCAGGAGGAACCATCTGAAGGGGGCAAAGGAGCAAAGTGTACCCATAGAGTGGTTAGAAGCCACTCACAGTTTTCTCCTGGCTATTCACCAGCCTTTACTAAGTAGCCAGGCCTATTTTACCAGGTCAGGGAAAAGGGCAAAAAAAAAAAAAAAAAAAAAAAAAAAAAGTGCTCAAGCAGCCTAATGTGAACCAGTCCTGAGTAAGCACATGAGAGATCCTAAGTGTGACTACACGATTTATCAAGAAAAGACCTCAGAATCTGCCCGTGGCTTGCAAGCAGGCATCACACATACTCCAAACCCTCTGCAGTCATGTTGGCTCTCCAAGTGGTGAGTCAGGGTGCTAAACATACCTGGAAGTGCTCTGTGTAGAAGCTCCTGGCTCTCCTTGTGAGGAGGGTGCTGGGATCAGTTTTCTACCACCCATTTCTGCCAAAGAAATGGGACAACTGACACTAGAATCATGACTTCCAGCAGGGGGAAAGCCTCAGAGAACCTTGTGTTTCTTCGTTGCAAATGTAATAGCAGACTCTAAGGCCTGGGGAAAATTCCGTGTAGGCTCTCTCCCACTCTAGTGGTGACCATAGCAGTAAGTGGAATAGACGATGGCAGACTAGTTAAATAGACCGTTGGCCCACCTAACTTCCTTTTCTTCAAAAATAACTTGTCAGGTCACAGGTCTAAGAGGGAGATATTACCATGGAAATAGTAAGATATATTCTTGGGTACTTTTATTTCTGCCAACTTCAATTTAGAAATTGTATTGCTTTTACCAAAATAACCTCTCAAAGGGCAACCCAGATGATTACCATGGAAAATATTTGGTGATAAGGCAACACTGAAATTGATGATTCAGAGTAGACTTCAGTAGCCCAGAATTTATCATCTAAAATATAATGCTATCCAAATGCTCCTTGTACTACCACAATTTTTATTCAAGTCTATCATTAACAGAACTTGGTGGCTCCCCAAACACTAGCAAACAAATTTCTTCCCACTGCATTTCAAAATGTATTCAAATATCTTTTCTTTATAATGCTATGCTCACTACACTCAAGAGAAGTTACGTTACTAAAATTATTTTTATTTAAGTAACTTCTCTTGCCTAATACTGACATCTTTCCTAAAAAATAAGTAGAAAAAAAAAACTTAAATGGTTAGGTTTGATGTCAGTTCACAAGCTTAACTCAATTTTTCTACTGCTGCCTATATAAAAATTTTTAGAAATTTTTAAAATACAGAAAACAATTGATAGAACAAATATCTGACCACCAGCTACTCAGAATTGATGACTGTTACAATTTACTTTATTTGTTTCAAGACCTAAGAAATACAATGTTAATTAATGAGCATAGAAGGGTAACACAATGAAATTTGAGCTTCAGTGGTCATAAAAATTATTTGAATCTGTCATTGCTTCAGTGTAGAAACCCTGGACATTTTACTATGGTACAGACCAATAAACAATGTTTCCAAGGAAACAGCCCTCTGCAGCCACCCACTTTTAGGGAAAATGCCAAGGGATGCCAAATCTTCTGGTTTTCTAGAAGCCTCAATGAGCCACAGTTAAAGTTCTGGTCATTTTCTCCAGGGAAGAGAGTTCTTTGACCCAAATCCCTCTTTTTCAGTTAGGTCATGGAATAAGTAATATGGTTGATGTTCATCCATCCATACTCCCTTCTTCCTTTAAATATATTCTTCGTTGAATAAGGTCTTCTGCTGAAACTGTAACTCATGCATGTTTAAATTTGGAATTCTCTTAAATGTAAAAGAGAAAGCTTACTAGGGTATAACAAGAAGATGCTTTCAGGAAAAAAAATGGGCATCAAATGTTGCAGATCAAGGAGTCCTTCATAAGAACATATAAGCTACTTCTCAGCTTTAGTAAGCGATCTTGTCAGGTTAAACATCACCATGATTGACTAAAAAATGTATGTGTGACATGCATTTTAAACATGATTCTTATTTATATCATCTCAGACAGTTAATACACATTATCTCACTTTTAATATGTCAAGTCATATAAATTATAAAGAAAAATCTTGAAATTAGAAATATATGACTCTATGGAAGAAGAAAAACATTGCATCACTAAACTTAGCTTCAAGGCATCAGTTGATTTTGAACCATTTAGAGTAAGAAAAATCAGATCTGAATTCATTAGAATATTCCTCTACTTGGAAGACTCTGATAAGTAATAACTTAAGGTTAAGTTCAAACACCTTAGCATGTCTGCAACACCGTCCATGATGTGCCTGCCTTCTCTAGCTCAGTTTTGAAAGCACTTGATATACAATAATAATGCATATTTCTCCGACTTCATTCATTCCCTTCCCTGTCCCCTGACTGTCTCTCTCTCTGAACCCAGCTTTCTAGAAGGAAGAGAGAGTCTCTTGCTCTCCTTTGTCATGTACACTTACCCCTCTAATGGTAATTACATATAATTAATATGTCATTAGCAAACTAACTAATTGGTATGCTATGGCAATTACTCATTAAGTGCATAGTCATCTTTGTTTGCTTATTTATTTTTACAAGTAAAAGTTCATTAACAACAAAAAAAAACCACAGAGTAAAAATGAACAAAACATTCACAAATTTATAAAGCCATATATAGAATCCTCTTCTGTCCGCAGCCCGTCAATATTTGTCTCATTCTCTGCATTTCCACCAAAGCTTCCTTGACTGTTTCAACTACAAATAGTCTTTCCCTCATCTTAACATGTTGTTAATTTGGCAAATTAACATATATTACTGCCTTATAATATTTCTTCATGGCTGAAACTACCATTTTAATATTTGACCAGATTATGCATAATGAAAAATAGAAAAAAATAGAGAATAAAAAAGAATTTAAAACTACCTATGAAACAATCTTCATACAACCACTACTGGTATTTGATATATTTCCCTCTGGATTTTTTTTTCACTAGATATGTGTGTGGGTTGTTTTCTTTTACTATAAATATCATTATTCTTGTTACTGATATCATATTGTTATTAAATTTTTCTCAAAATTTCTAGTCTGTCAATTAAACAGACCTTGAGGAAGAATATTACGAATTGTAAAGATTTTCAATGACTTGCTTTGCATGACTTCTGGCAGATACTAGGGGATGACTCAATATTTATTTTATTTACTTCTCATTCCAGTACTTCATAGCCGTGGGTTCCAAGCAGGTGCTGTGTCTTCTGCAAAACGAACAATAGTTAGCAAAAGATTGCCTTGGAGCAGGGGCTGGGGGTGCTGCAGAACTATGCCCAACATTTCTCAGAGCATAGAATCGAAGGAGCTCTTGAAGAGGAGTCTTGAATTTGTTCTCCTCAGAGGTCTCTGGCACTATTTATTATTGCCGTGATGGTACAAGTAACAGGTGACATCCTCAGAGTCCCGAAAGGACAGATTTCCTAACAAGTGGCAGATAAAAGCTGGAGCAAAATGATGAGAATTATTCTAAAAGCCGGAGATTTGACCTATATTGCTTTTATATTGTTTGACTGATGTTGATACTCGATTCTACCTGAAGGACACAAGTAATGCGAAATATATTGGTCATGAATCCAGTGGCATGTGAAAAATACTTGGGGCCTCTCAGCTTGCCACCATCCTAGGTTAATATTTCTCTGTATATTGGATGGTGGAATAGCACTGGGATTTTGAGTAATGGCACCTGCGCTGCTCTGTATATCACCCAAGTGTTCATATTGGCCTATAAATTCATTTTCACAAAACCCTCACTGAATTATTTAAACAGAAGGACCCTAGAATGTCTTCCTGATAAAATGGCACTTTAAACACATGACATGGGCTTGCTTAGGCACAGCCAGCTCATGTAACAAGCAAAAATCAATACTTATTCCCCAGGGTTTCTCTAATGTTATCATCTCCCAACTCACATCCCCGCCCCCACTGCCCCCTGACCTATCCCACCCAGGACTTCATATTGCTACTTTAAAGTGAAAACAGATGATGTCTGGGAAAAGTTCATATATTTTGGTGACTAATTTCTAGACAATACCAAGAGGCAAATGGTGGCTTTAATGACATTCTTGCAGGAAAGTTGAACTTTCCTTGAAAAATAGAAAAAAGCTAGGAAACTTTATTTTCATCCTTACTCAGTCTCTGAGCTTACAGATCAAAACATATCTTCTGTTCTCAGGTGAGCACTCTGCACAAGGAAAAACCAAGAACTGACAGCTTGAGGAATTCTCTCCACACCTAGGCAATAATTACGTAAGTTTCCCAATTTCATTCACGGAGACAATCATTAATATCTGTTTTGTTAGCCTGGTGCAGCTTAGATTGTTTTTAAAGAATTTCAAAAGCTGGAAAGCTAATGGTTTGTGTCAATGCAATGATCATTGTCTATTTGTCTAAAAACAAACTCTAACAAAAATTGCCAAAAAATGAATGACCTGGTGGTTGTAGACGATTTGTCCAATTCTCTTGCCTGTCTAAGGAATGACACAATTTGCTCTTTCTGCCTGTTGTTAATGTTTCCTTGTAAATTCAGTCTGCCTACCTAGGTCAGTAAGCACACACTAACTGTGGCACTTAGACAGGCTTCTGTTGCTGACAAAGACTGGCAGAATCCAAGTGACGGTGCTTGCAAATTTGCAGTTTATTGCAAGAAAATGATAAAATATAGAAACTGCATTAAAGTAAAGATGTGTATCACAGCCGTAGGCTGGCTCAGGGAAATGGGTTCAGAGAAGCTAGTTGAAGGGTCTAATTGCCCTCTCTCTATAAGGACCATACCAGAATATGGTCCTTATATTTTTCTCTCTGGGTCCAGAAACCATGGATGTGTGGAAAAAAACACCTCAAACAAGATGATCTAAAATTCAGTTTCAGCCAGGTTTCCTTTTACTCAGCTGGTCATGTAGACATAGTCTTGCTGTGTAACCAGCCAAGCAACAGAGCCCTCCAGGTATCTTGACAAAACCAGATACAAATGATCAATCTTACTACAATAATTGTGAATCAATAAAAAATGGAAATTTCTCAAAAGTATGTTCCATGTCATGACCAGGAGTAAGCTCAAGGCAGGTACGTTTCTTATTTTAGTAAACAGCTCAGGCCAACGTTAAACCTGCTTTGGAATTAAGTCTCCCAGTTGGTATGGGATTGACTTTTACTTTCCTAGAACTAAGTAAGGAAATGCTCTTCTGACTTTAATTTAATTGTTACAAGAAGTATTGATTAAGTGCTGTCACTTAGTTTTTGAGGTTTTATAAAACTTGCAGAAGAATCTACCTTTCGGCAACTAACAATAAAAAATAAAATAAAATAAAATAAATACGTGTCCAGAATTGGCCTGACCACAATGATAGTCACTCTAGGTAAAGTGTCCACGATGAGAAATATTGTTATTCATGGCCTATGTCTAATCCCTAATTAACTAACACTGTTCTGTTACAGACACTCAGAAATTTCTTGTAGAATAAATGGTACCTGCTGTGCTTGTCTGACCAGTAGCAGAAGACAGAGACAGAGGAGTGCCATCCAAACATATGTGTCAGTATCAGAATTTTATCCCTCTCTAGCCAGTAATTAGGGATGGATTAGGAATCTTGGAATTTGTGCACCTCCAGCATGCTGCAGTGCCCTATGGAAAAGAGGCAAGACTGCCTTCCCCTGCCCTCCTGCTCTTCACCAGTCATGAGCCCCTAGCTTGGGCCTGCAATGCAACCACCTTTCCCCAGCTGATTATTCTAATTGGCAGTGGCTCTGAGTGGCATGCCAAGGTCCCTGCCCCTGCTGCCACCAAGCTGGGGAGAGAGAAAAAATCCTAAGCTTGTCTCAGGCCTGCAGTGCACAGTCTGGGAGTGCTAAGCTGAGATCTATGACCAGCACTTGAGTGGGAGAGGATCACACACTCTCAGAGCACTGAGGGGAAGCATGGCTACAAATGTGAGGAAACACAGAGGGGCTGCATGGCTGGGTAAGAGCCTATCTACCAGTCATTATGTTTAAGCACTATCTATTAAATTGCAAACCAAACTTCAACACCAAAAATACTTTGGTAATATACTCCTCTGTAAAACCAAGGACAAGAACTCAACTGCAAATAAAGACCCTGCACAAAGCCTCAGCCCTCTGAACACATACAGAAATGAAACCGACTGACTATACTCAAATTACACTGCAATTAAAGAAACATCAGTCCACATAGGTGAGAAAGAACCAGCTCAAGAACTCCTGAAACTCTAAAAGCCAGATTGCCTCCTTACCTCCAAATGACTGAACTAGCTGCTCTGCAGTGATTCTTAACCAGAATAAAATGGATGAAATTACAGAAATAGAATTCAGAATCTGGATGGCAATGAAGATCACTGAAAATCAGAAGATTGAAACCCATTCCGAGGAATCTGAGGAATTCAACAAAACCATACAAGGAATGAAATATGAAATAGCCATTTTAAGAAAGAACAAAACTGATCTGACAGAGCTGAAAAACTCACCACAAGAATTTCATAACACATTGGAAGTATTAACAGCAGAGTAGACCAAGTCAAGTAAAGAATCTCAGAACTCAAAGACTAGTTCTTCACATTAACAGTCAGATAAAAATAAAGAAAATAGAATTTTCAAAAATGAACAAATCTCCAAGAAACATGAGATTATGTAAAAAGACAAAACTTATGACCCATTGGCATCCCTGAAAGACAGGGAAAGAAAGCAAGCAATTTGGAAAACATGTTTGAGGATATTGTCCATGAAAATGTCCCCAACTTAGCTAGAGAGGTTGATATTCAAATTCAGGAAATTCAGAGAACCCCAGCAAGATACTATATAATACAACCATCCCCAAGACACATAGTCATCAGATCCTCCAAGGTCAATGTGAAAAGAAAACTATTAAAGGTAGCTAGGGAGAATGAGCAGGTCAACCTACAAAGGGAACCACAGCAGTGGATAACACTGGACCTTTCAGCCAAAACTCTACAAGCCAGAAGAGACTGGGGGCCTATATTCAGCATCCTTAAAGAAAAGAAATTCCAACAAAGAATTTCATATCCAGCCAAACTAGACCTCATAAGCAAAGGAGAAATAAAATCCTTTTCAGACAAGCAAATACTAAGGGAATTCATTACCACCAGACCTGCTTTTCAAGAGGTTCATAGGGAGTGCTGAATATGGAAATGAAAGACCATTACTGGCTACTACAAAAACACACTAAAGTTCATACACCATTGATGCTATAAAGCAAAAACACAATCATGTCTACGTAACGCCAGGTAACAACAGAATGACAGGATCAAATCCACACATATTAATATTAACCTTGAATGGTAGTGGGCTAAACACTCCACTTAAAAGGCATAAAGTGGCAAATTGATTAAAGAAGAAAGACCCAAGTGTATGCTGTCTTTAAGAGACCAATCTCACATTCAAGGACACCTATAGGCTCAGAGTAAAGGGATGGAGAAAGATTTATCAAGCAAATAGAAAACAAACAAAAAAGAGCAGGGGTTGCTATTCTTATTTCAGACAAAACAGACTTTAAACCAAAAATGATCAAAAAGGACAAAGAAAGGAAGTGATAAAGGGTTCAACTCAACAAGAAGACTTAACTATCCTAAATATATGCACCCAATACTACAGCACCTGGATTTATAAAACAAATTCTTTTAGTCTTACAAAGAGACATAGGTAACCACACAATAATAGTAGATTTCAACACCCCACTGATGATATTGGAGAGATCATCAAGACAGATTACTAACAAAGACATCTGGGACCTACATTTGACAATTGACAAAATAGAACTAACATGCATCTACAGAAAAGTCCACTCAACAAAAGCAGAATATAAATCCTTCTCATCCATGCATGACACATACTCTAAAATTGACTACATGCTCAGCCAGAAATTCTCAATAATTTCAAAAAAGCCAAAATCATACCAGCCACATTCTCCGACCACAGCACAATAAGAGTAGAAATCAATACCAAGAAGATTTTTAAAAACCCTACAACTAAGTGGATATTAAATAATCTGCTCCTGAATGACTTTTGTGTAAACAATGAAATTAAAGCAGAAATTATGAAATTCTTTAAAACTAATGAAAGCAAATATACAACATACCAGAATCTCTGAGATACAGCTTCAACAGTGTTAAGACAAAAGTTAATAGCACTAAATGCCCACATCAAAAAATCAGAAAGATCTCAAATTGACAATCTAACATCACACCTAGAGGAACTAAACAAATAAGAACAAACTAATCCCACAGCTAGCAAAAGAAAAATAACCAAAATCAGAGATGAATTGAGTGACATGGAGATGATAAGAACTATGCAAAAGATCAACAAAACCAAAAGTTTGCCTTTTGGAAGAATAAATAAGACTGATAGACTGTTAGCTAGACTAAAAATGAAAAAAGAGAAGATCCAAATAAACACTATCAGAAATGATAGTGGATATTACCACTGACTCCACAGAAATACAAAAACAAACAAACAAACAAAAAATCCAGAGACTATTACAAACATCTTTATGTACCCAAACCAGAAAACCTAAAAGAAATAGATAAATTCCTGGAAAAATACAACGTCCCAAGATTGAACCAGGAATAAATTGAAACCCTGAACAGACCAATAATGCATTCCAAAATTGAATCAGTAATAAAAAAACCCTACCAACCAGAAAAAGCCCTGGACCAGACAGATTCACAGCTGAATTCTACCAGGTGTACAAAGAAGAGCTGGTACCAATCCTACTGAATCAATTCCAAAAAAACGAGAAGAAACTCCTCCCTAACTCTTTCTATGTGGCTAACATCACACTGATATCATGAAACCTGCAGAAACACAATGAACAAAGAAAACTTCAGGCCAATATCTCTGATGAACCTAGATGCAAAAGTTCTCAACAAAATACTAGTAAAGTAAACTGAACCCAGAAGAATGTCATAAAGCTAATCCACCATGATCAAGAAAGCTTCATCCCTGAGATGCAAGGTTGATTCAACATACATAAATCAATAAGTGCAATTCATTACATAAACAGAACTCAAAACAAAAATTGCATGATCATCTTAATAAGTGCAGTCAGAAAAGGCTTGTGAAAGAATTTAACATCTTTTCATGTTAAAATCCCTCAACAATCCAGGCATTGAAGAAATATACCTCAAAATAATAAGATCCATCTATGACAAACCCACAACCAACATCAGACTGAATGGGAAAAAGCATCTGGAATTGTTCCTGGGAAAACTGTAACAAAACATGGATGCCCAGTCTCACCACTCATATTCACATGGTATTGGGAGTCATAGCCAGAGCAGTCAGGCAAGAGAAGAAATAAAAGGCATTCAAATATGAAGAGAAGAAGTTAAACGATCTGTCTTCATAGATTATATGTTTCTATACCTAGAAAACCCCATAGTCTCTTCCCAAAGGCTCCTAGCTCTGATAAACAACTTCAGCAAAGTTTTGGGATACAAAATCAATGTACAAAATTCAGTAGCATTTCTATACACCAACAACATCCAAGCTGAGAGACAAATCAAGAATGCAATCTGATTCACAGGAGCCACAAAAAGAATAAAATACCTAGGAATATAGTTAACCTGGAAGACAAAAGAGCTCTATAATGAGAAGTACAAAACACTGTCAAAAGAAATCAGAAATGACATGAACCAATGGAAAAACATTGCATGTTCATGGATTGGAAGAATCAATATTGTTAAAAAAGGCCATACTCTTCAAAGCAATCTACAGAATCAATGTTATTCTCTATCAAACTACCAGTGACATTTTTCACAGAATTAGAAAAAAGCTATTCTGAAATTCATCTGGATCCAAAAGAGAGCCCAAATAGCTAAAGCAATGCTAAGCAAAAAGAACAAAGCTGGAGGCATTACCTTACCCAACTTCAAATGATACTACAAGGCTACAGTAACTAGTACAGTATGATACTGATACAAAAACAGACACACAGATAAATGAAACAAGTTAGAGAGCCCTGAAATAATGCCACACACCTACAACTTCAAATGATACTACAAGGCTACAGTAACTAGTACAGTATGACAAATGATACTACAACTCTACAGTAACTAGTACAGTATGATACTGGTACAAAAACAGACAAATAGATCAATGAAACAAGTTAGAGAACTCTGAAATAATGCCACACACGTATAACCATCTCATCTTTAACAAAGCTGACAATAACAAGCAGTGGGGAAAGGACTTTCTATTCAAGGAATAGTGCTGGGATAAATGGCTAGCCATAGGCAGAAGATTAAAACTGGATCCTTACCTTTTATCATATACAAAAATCAACTAAGATGGATTGAAGACTTGAATGTAAAACAAAAACTATAAAATCCCTAGAAGAATACCTAGGAAATACCATTCTGTGCATCAGTCTTCATGATGAAGACTCCAAAAGCAATTGCAACAAAAACAAAAACTAACAAGACCTAGCTAAACTAAAGAGCTTCTGCACAGCCTAAGAAACTATCAACAGAGTAAACAGACGACTTACAAAATGGGAGAAAATGTTCACGAACTATGCATCCGATAAAGGTATAATATCCAGAATCTATAAGGAACTTAAACAAATGAAAGAGTAAAAAACAACCCCATTAAAAAATGGGCAAAGGACATGAATGCACACTTCTCAAAAGAAGACATACACAGGGCCAACAAGCATATGCAAAAGTGCCTAATATCACTAATCATTTGGGAAATGCAAATCAAAACCATAATGAGATGCTGTCTCATATCAGTCAGAATGGTGACCATTAAAAAGTCAAGAAGTCACAGATGCTGGCCAGGTTGTAGAGAAAAGGGAATGCTTATACACTGCAGGTGAGAATGTAAATGAGTTCAATCACTGTGGAAACAGCCTGGAGATTTCTCAAAGAACTTAAAATAGAACTACCATTCAACCCAGCAGTCCCATTACTAGATACAGACCAAAGAAATACAAATTGTTTTACTACCAAATCACATGACATGTATGTTCATCACAGCACTATTTACAATAAGAGAGACATGGAATGAACCTAGATGCCCACCAACCTAGATGCCCACCAACCTAGATGCCCATCAGTGGTGGACTAGATAAAGAAAATGTGGTACGCATACACTGTGGAATACTATGCAGCCATATAAGAGAGCCAGATTGTTACTTTTGCAACAACATGGATGAATCTGGAGTCCATTATTCTAAGTGAAGTTACCAAAGAGCAGAAAACCAAATACTTTATCTTCGCATTTCTAAGGGGGTGCCAAGCACTAAAGGCACAAAGCGGGGAACAAGAGACACCAGAGAATGAGTATTGAGACACTACCTATTTGGTATTATGCCAATTACATGGATGATAAAATGGTCTGAACGCCAAACCCCTATGACGTGCAATGCCCATGTAACCAACCTCCAGATGTACCCCTTGAAACTAAAATAAAAGTTTTAAAGGAAAAAAAAGGAACCTGGAAGTTGGTCCATCCTATGCAATGGACACTTTCAGGTGCAAAGTTTGAGAAGATGAGGATGAGAGACGTTGTCCAGCCCTAGCTGATATATGGAAACCTTCCTTTCTACTTGCTATGGTTGCTTTGCAACCCAGTGGCTAGTAAAGGGCTGTTTTTTAAATTACCAAAATGCTCAAATATTAGTAACTAATTGTCCAACTTGGAAAAAGCAAGTCTTCTGCAGTTGGAAAAAAAAGAAAAAAGAAAGAAAGAAAAGGTATATAGAAGGCAAGGAACAGTGTTGATCTTCGAACCAGCTTAATAAAAGTAATTTTTGTTCAACTCCCATTCCTTTCCATTTCTGTACTTTAAAAAATATTCCTAGCCTCAGATTCCAAGCCTTTTGATTTGAAAAGCTAAATAACTTTTATTGCTCCTTTTTGTAATTTTGGAATTATATAATGATGTTCTGAAGAGTAAAGATCAGAAAGTAATGGGAAGAAACAAGTTTGACATCTGTTCAATTCTATTGTCTGTCTCACTTTTTTCCTTAAGATATTTCTATCACTGTACTTTGAATTTAATAACCAAAGAGTAACTACTATCTAGGTTGTCAACTTGAAATTAGATATCAACTTGGAGATTCAGAATATATAGAAATGAATTCATCAAACCTAGAAGATTTCAGGAAAGAAGTTAAAAAGTCTTGAACCCTCATGAAACAGCAAACAGTAATACAGAAATCATCACCTATGTTAAAAATTTCCATATCAAAACAAGATTTTAGATATATTTAATGCTTGTTGCTTCATATATTGATCATCTATTTAGTGCACAGTATTATGTTTAATGTGATTCGGCAGGGCAGACAGGAATTTTGAAACATTTATGAGCTATAAACCTTGCCTTCTGCAAAGCTTTACTTCGTGGGAGCATGAAATCATATACAAGAGGGGTAGCAAATACGTAGAAGCAGCTTAAATGTTTAATGATATGGAAATTATAAAATAAATTATACTTTGCACAGTGACATTATATAATGAGTAAAAATAATTCTCGAAATAATTTTTAATAACATGAAAGCATGTCTAAGATATAAAATTAAAAGGGAAAAATAACAACTTTAGAATTGAACAGATAGCCATTTAACTGTTCTATGACCAACTCTGCACTGTTGTCAAGGGGGAATCTGCTGCTACCTGGTTGCTCCCTCACCAGTAGGTCTCATCTTCCTTCTGTTCCAAGACACCTTTGAAGGCTGAAGAGTGAAGGGGGTTTCAGACCAGTGAAGAACTGTGGTGTTAGAAAGTCCGGTAGCTTGGATCAAAGTCCGTTCCCACAGACCCTCAGCAATGTGGATTGTTAGCTATTTCCATTTTTCTCCAAGATACAATTCCCTGATACTTCTGTAATTTTCTTAATGGTGCCCTGATAATCTGGGAGTAGCTTTGTGAACTTCCAGAAGAGCTTAACATGTTTTTCAATTATTTTTCTTTCATTTTAAAATAAAATAACACAAGCTAAAAGGAAAACATCATAAATAAAGGATATTTACAATTGCCTCTCTGTATTCATGGAGGTGGAAGATTGATTTCAAAAGGCCTGGAGATACCAAAATCTGTGGTTGCTCAAGTCCCTGATGTAAATAAAACTGCATAGTATTTGAATATAACCTACACGAATTCTCTCATGTAGTACTTTAAACTATCTCTAGATTACTTGTAATACCTAATACAAGGTAAATGCTATATAAATAGTTGTTATACTATATTTCGATTTGTATTATTTTTTATTAATGTATTGTTCATTTTTACTGTTTTTGAATATTTTTAATTCACAGCTGGTTGAATCTGTGGACATAGAACCCACAGATATGGAAGGCCAACTGTATATTATGATCGTACTCTATAATCCTGAATGAATTTCTTAATAATGCTCTACACTGGGTTCCACATCTATAAAACCAAGACAAAATGATCTTTTCTCCTATGGCCATTCTGATTGTTTATAAATTGTTGTCAGTAGTGTTAAAGAAACATATTATGAAATCTTATTATAAAATAGCCATTTATTCATTATAAAAACCACAAATATATGAAAATCTAGGTTGTGAGAGATTCAGTGACTATTCAGTCCTATACCATTATTATTGAAGCCAACACACTAATTTTAGAGGGATTATAATGTTGTAAAAAAAAAGCAAAGACTGATATTGGTATGGACGTAAAGAATCATTAATGAAGCAAGATTTATTTTTTGAGAAAGATTGTCAATGTGAAATGCATGCTGATGAAACTAGAGTTTGTTCTTATTTAGGTTGCTGATCTTTGAGAAAATAATTGAAACAGTATCAATCATGAGCATTATCCTATTAGCACAAATTCAGATGTTTACCAGTTGAACTATGCTACAAACTCTTGACTTCACTTGAAAACTCATCTATGGAGGAGTATGGCTCAGTTGAACAAAAAGTGGCAGACCTTAATCCTTGTCAAGTACTATCCCAGATATAAGGAGGGCTTGTCATGGTTGCAGTTCTCAAGGAGCTTATAGAAGTGGAAAGACACACACATAAGAAAAATAATTTTAGTATAATATGGTAAATGATAACATAGTGTTATGTAAAGACAGACATGATAACGTGAAGTTTAGTGGCAAATTTCTTAGAGATGGTATTTGAGCTAAAACTTACAGAATGAGAAAAAAAACAAAAAACAAAAAAAAAAAATGTGGCCTAGGTGAAGAGAGGAAAGATTTTCCAGGCACAGGGAATAGCATGTACAAATAGGAAAAGAATTGTGAAACTGAATGGTATATGAAAGAAATCATAAAACTTTAAAAACTGTTATAGCAATCTGATACTGCTGCAACATTCATGTTATTGTATTTTTTAAAATGTCTGTTTGTAGCTGATTAGATATTGTTAGAAACCAACATTGTCCTTCACTATAAACAGCTTGAGAAGCGTTGACCTCTGGCTGGGAAACAAGGCTCAAGTAGTAGAGGGTACTAGATCACAGGAAGCCTTGTTTCCCAAGATAAATCATGAAGGATTGCATGAGGCTAGAATGAAGTACTAACTTTCTTCATTCACTAATGACATCAAAAGTCCTTTATCCACAAAGAAGGGAACAACAGACACCTGGGACTTCTTGAGGGTAGAGGGTTGGGAGGAGGGTAAGGACTGAAAAATACTATGCTTATTACATGGGTAAAATAATCTGTACCAAAAAACCCATGACATGCAGTTTACCTATATAACAAACCTGTATACATATACCCATGAACCTAAAATAAAAGTTTAAAAAAAAGAAGATAAAAATAAAAAAATAAGTCATTTATCATTTTGAGGAACCCCTCACTTGACCTTGGATATAAAATATGCCTAAAAAACTAGTTCAGTAATTGAAGGAGAGGCCTTGTCTGCAATCATCCTTCTAATCATGGTACTTAAGCTATACCATGCTCTGGCATGTGCTCGACTGCCTAGCAGCCACAGATGCTCTGGGAAGAAGTCACGGATATCCTGTTCTACAATCCTTTCCTTATCCTAAGACTTGACATGGATACCTGTAGCTGCTACCCGCAGGCCATAGCCGCCAATGTCCTGCTTTCCCCCATGTAAAGCAACAGTTCGGCCATCCCTATCAAAGAACTTGCCTTCACCAACCAAACCAGGAAAGAGCTGGTTACAGGTCTCCGCCACTTGTACCACTCCCCACACCCCACCACACACACCATATCATGCTCTCCCCAGAACCTAGCAAACCACCAACACTGCCATCAGCAACACAACACCACCTAATCTCTGCCAGTTTGGGCCACTACCCTTTTCGTACTTGGGACATAGAAGTCTCCATCTCTTGCTCTTTTATAGACCAATATCGAAAGTTGTTCCTACACTGCAGAGAAAAATGCAAAATACTAAACCAAAGGCTTGGCTACCTTTCCTATGAAGAAGTGGCAAATGGTATTCATTCATTCTTTCTTCTGATGCCTATTCATTCTTCTCCCTGATGAGTAGAAAGCAGCAAAGCTTTAAAGTTGCCCATAAATTTTTTAATTACTCACATTGTCACCCCAAGCAACAGATCTTGAACTGTATCCCATCAGTGATAGGGTACAGTTAAGGACTTTAATCAGAAAAGGAATATGAGATTTGTGCTTGATATACACCAGTGTGTGTTTAATTTGGAAGACTCATTCAAGAAGAGCAAGATCAGAAGCAGAGAAGTCAGAGGCTATTGCAATATTCCACTGGAAAAAGATAAAGGCTTAAGCTAGGGAGCTGCAGTATGGAGGAAGATGAAGAGGCAGAATAGAATAGAGAAAAATGTCTGGAGGTTAAAAATTTCATGATGTGGTGATTGATTGGATGTGGCCAATGGGGAGTGAGGAAGAATAGGACTATAGACAATACCCACACTCCCAGCCTGGGTGCCTGAATGCATCATGGAGGAAATACCAAAGATTGAGATTGTGAAGTGAGGGGAACAGGTTTGGGAAAGAAAACGAGCTTTTCTTTTCAGATATGTCAAGTTTGAAGAGCTTGAGAGACAGTCAAGTGATTCTACTAGGTGGAAAAAATGGAGCTAGTGACAACCATTTCTTACTAAGAAATGGACTCCCCCAGCATCTCTATTTCTTCTTCGCTTTCTTGGAATCTGAACTTTGTTGTTGTTGTTGTTGTTGTTGTTGTTGCTCACAGGCTTAATCTTCAGCTTCTATGCACCAAGCGTGGAAAAGGAGAAAGTCCTGCAGAATCAATCCCGACTTCCATACCTGCTGCTGGACTGTACCAGACGTCTGTCCCAGTAAAGTGATGTCCAGCTGACATGCAATAATTTGATGGAATCAAAAAGAACCCCGGGGCTCTCCTGTTCTCTCACATTTAAAAATTCCATTACTCCATTTACAGGAGCGTTCCTAGGAAAAGGAATTTTAGGAGGAGAATTTGTGAGCAGTGAATCTGACAGCCCAGGAGGTGGGCTCGCTGATAGGCATGACTTTCCTTAATGTTTAAAGTTTTCCGGGCCAAGAATTTTTATCCATGAAGACTTTCCTACTTTTCTCAGTGTTCTTATATTACCTACTGTTAGTATTTATTGTTTACCACTATGTTAATGCAGGGAAAAGTTGCACGTGTATTATTAAATATTAGGTAGAAATCATACCATGCTACTTTGTACATATAAGTATTTTATTCCTGCTTTCGTGTTACTTTTAATAAATAACTACTGTACTCAATACTCTAAAAATACTATAACATGACTGTGAAAATGGCAATGTTATTGTCTTCCTATAATTATGAATATTTTTGGATGGATTATTAGAATACATGAACTCACTAATGAAAGGCATTTGTAATAAGTCAGAAAGGGACATACGATTCACATATCAGACTGTTAGGGGGAGAGTAATTTATCAGTTCTTTGGTCTTTCTATTTGTCATTCATACTATGTGATGAAGATGTAAGTGCAAGGGCATTTATAACACTATACTGCATTCATTAAGATAATAGGATCATGATTTTTCATTAACTCATTTGATTGATATTATCTCCATGCATTTTTTATTTCTTTTAGAAATGTAATTATTTGCTCTAGCAATCATTGCTAACCTCTAGTTTGTAGAAAATCAACACTTTATAAATACATAATTATGATATTATTTTTCATTGTATCACTGTTCTAAAAATACCATATGATTATAGCTGCCACTCCATCAGGAGCAAATTCTTCTGTTAAAAGCTAACTGATCAACCTTGACCACTTTTTTGACATGTGAGATCAAAGTGTCAAGTTGGCTGAGGTTTTTTGGAAAGCTTTAGAACTAATAAGCTGCTGGTGGCAGCTTTGTAACGTATGATTATCTAAGCTGATTTTGATGCTAAATTATCTTAGTGATCTAAGGGGCAGTTTAGTGAAGATGGAATCTTGTATTTAAAATAGCCTTTTAAAATTTGTTTTGTGGTGATGTATTTTGACAACTTCCATCTTTAGGAGTTATATAATCACCTTGATTTTAGTTTCCTGATGTTTGGACTATTTATAATCAAGGACACCAAGCAAGCATAAGCATATCTATATTTCTGACTGGTGTCTCTTTGAGAAGGATGGGAAGTAGAAAAAAAAAAAAGAAAGAAAGGAAAGGAAGAGAGGAGAGAAGAAGGCAGGGATCTCCACTATGTATGTTTTCACTTTAGAACTGTTGAGCCCATGCTTAATTTTAATCTAGAAGTCTTTAAATGGTGAGACAGTGACTGGAGCATGCCAATCAGAGAGCATTTGTCTTCAGAAAAAAAAAAAATCTGAGTTTGAGACTAGCCTGGCCAACATGTTGAAACCCCATATCTACTAAAAATACAAAAATTAGCCTGGTGTGGTGGCGCACGCCTGTAGTCCCAGCTACTCTGGAGCCTGAGGAACGTGAATCGCTTGAACCCAGAAGACAGAGGTTGCAGTGAGCTGAGATGGCACTATTGCACTCCAGCCTGGGTGACACAGCAAGACTCTGTCTCAAAAAAAAAAAAAAAAAAAAGGAAAAAAAAGAAAGAAAGAAAGTCCCAGCACACCTAGATAATTTACCGAGCTCTTCAGCAAAAACCATGTTACATACAGCATATTCCAAAGAAATGAACTCTTCTGCAATTTAAATTATAAGTAATATGTTATTTTGGATCCTAGAGAAACCATTTTCTCTACATTTCATGAGCATGGTTAGAAAAGAGTTTACAAGAATTAGGAAGAGGGAACAATTTTAATGGTCAGAAAAGAATAAAATTTATTCTAGTTCAAGAAGTGCACACAAAGAATATGCATTAATCTAACAACTATGAGATTAAATCTTTCAAAAAGGTCAAAGGAGGATTGAGAAGTTTACAGAGATGTCCACGGCATTTTATATCAATCTCAAAGGTAAGGTCTGCATTTTTATAAACCAACTTAAACTTCTGTTGAGATAGGATATTTTGTTTTCAAGCCAAAATTACCATTAATCAAATATGTTTTAATTATCTGATTTAGATGATCTACTTTTTATGCCTGGCTTACTGTAAGTTTTTTATTCTGATACACAGTTCAAACATCATTGCAACAAAGAAGTGCCTGTATTTAGATCAAAGGCAAGACTTTCTATGTGTTTGTTTTGCATAATAATATGAATATAATTTAAGTCTATCAATAGTCAAAACATAAACAAAAGCTAATTAACTGGCACTGTTGTCACCTGAGACTAAGTGGATGTTGTTGGCTGACATACAGGCTCAGCCAGCAGAGAAAGAATTCTGAATTCCCCTTGCTGAACTGAACTATTCTGTTACATATGGTTGACAAATCTGTGTGTTATTTCTTTTCTACCTACCATATTTAAATTTATGAGTATCAACCGAGGACATAGTCAAACCTTCGATGATGAACATTCCTGATTTTTTGCCTGATTATTCTCTGTTGAGCTCTACTTGTGGTCATTCAAGATTTTATGATGTTGAAAGGAAAAGTGAATATGACCTTTAAAAATTGTATTTTGGGTGATGATAGTCTCACCACTATAAAACTGTCAATTATTGCCTAATGTTAAAGATATCCATCATTGTGATTAATTAAACCTATAATGAGTATTCTTAATGGAGAATTCTTAATGGATGGATTATCCCCTGATCTTTTCTTTAAAATTTCTCTGCACACACAGGACTTCTCATTTTCCAATAAATGGGTGTACTCTGCCCCAATTTCTAGGGAATTTGTCTTTTGGGCTTGAATGTACTTGTTTTCTGTTCTAAATACTTTTTAAAGAAAAAAAATTTTGACAAATAAGGGAAAATATTCATTTTGCCATCCATATTACATTCCCGAATTTGAAGTCAGAGCTTCTACCAAGGTCACCAAGAATAATTTTAAAGCTTCCAAGAACTGTTTAAAAGTGTTTTCAAGTCTGAACAAGAATTCTGACATTTAGAAATAAGTAGGAAGATAAGGCTATTTAAACTCATACTTTCCTTTAAAAAAAGAGAAATTCTAGCAAAGTGATCATGGGCAATATAATTAGTTAGTTAACACCCTATCCAACATGCACTATGTGCCAGGAACTGTGTAGAAAACTTCACAGTCACCATCTCAGTTAACCATCACAGTAATAGTAAGAAACTATTCCTTATATATGATTAGCAGCAGCAGAAACATCTCCCTTATAAAGATATGAAAATCAAGGCAGATAGTTAAATAACTTGCCCAAGGTTGTACAACTAGTAAATAGGAAAAATTTGAGTTCCAACCTATGCCCAAATCCCTGTTCTCCATCTCCAAACTACTTAGTCTCTCTAAGCCTCAGTTTACTTATCTATAAAAAGGGATGAAAGCATTATGCTCCAGGTCATAATTAAAAACAGGGACCAGTCCTATCTCACTGTAAACAGTTTGAAAAATGAACGGCTATTTCACACAGTAGACAAGAAGAAGAGCTGAACTGGGATTCATGAGCAAAGAGAAACAAAACAAATGAGCCCTATGAATGCTCTGACTGACACATTCCAGACTGGCTGTATAGCAGAAGATCCCTAATTAGAACCTGAGATGACAGCGATTGGAACCAGGAGACAAAAGTGACTGGAATTTGTGGAGAATGGAACCAGGGAGGAGGGAGCTACACAGAGAAAGACCTCAAAAAAAAAAAACAAACAAACTACAAAGGTGACCCTGTATCTGATAATAATGGGATAGGAAGGCGTGAACACACTTAGAGTAAAACTCCACGAGGCCAGGAAAAGAACAACCGGGAAAGAGCAACTAAGTAGTTGTATGCTGAAAATGTCTACATCTTATATGGAGCAGAGAAACATTCAAGGTCTGGTCAACCATATTCAAAAATCCTCACCAGTCACCTTTCTTAATGTCCTGGGAATGGTCGTATCTTAGTAGTTGTTCTAAAACACCCCTAGAGTATACACAACTGTAGGTAAGCCCTAACACAGCTTAAAAGTAGCCTTGCAAGAATTAAACTAATCCACAAAATATTTAACAGGCTTCCAGAACAAAGTCTGATAATCTTTTATAAAGACAAAATGGAGCATAACAACAACTCAACAACATAGAAGTCTAAATATCCACCATTTAATCCAAAATTATATACATGCCCCAGAGGAGTAAATTGTGAACCATAAACCCTGAGAAAAATTTATTAATGACAATAGACTAAGTCAGAGTGATAAAAAGTATGAGTACTTTACAACAAATTCCAGGATGTTGCTATTACTTGATAATAAAACCAGTCAAAGATATTACAAAAGAAAACCTACAGACTAATAGCCCTCATGTACAAAAACAACAAAACTATTTGCTAAATATTAGCAAATCAAAACTATCAAATTAAAAAGCAATAAGTGAGATTTAATCCAGGAATCCAAGTTGTCTAATATTTGAAAATCTATTATTGGGATTGTGATTCAACATATGAACAGAATAAAGGAGAAAAACTATATGCTTATCTCAATAGATGTAGAGAAAGCATTTGACAAAATTAATATTTATTTATGATAAAACCTCTCATTACACTAAGATTAAAAGAGAACTTCCTCAATCTGATAAAGGACATTTATGAAAAAGCCACAGCTAATTCTTACATAAATGGTAAAAATCTAAGTGCTAAAATCTAAATCTAAATGCTAAATTCTAAAATTAGAAACAAAATAAGCATATTCACTTTTACCTATTATATTCAACATTGTTCTGGCGTGGTGGCAGGGTAGTTATAGCAAATGCAATAATGCAAGAAAAAAAACATATAGATTGGAAAGGAAGATGATAAGATCATACATAAATCCTGATGTTTACAAAAAAGCTACTAGAATTAATAACTGAATGTGTTACAGTTGCAGGATACAAGATCGATACAAAAAATCAACTGATTATCTTTTGCTAGTAACAAAAAAATGAAAATTGAAAATTTAAAAAAGTAATACTTAGAATAATGTCGACAAATATAAAATTCTTAGGGATAAATTTTTCAAAATCTATGCACTTCTTATACCCTTAAAACTGTCTAACTCCTGAGAGAAATTAAAGAACACTGGCTCATGGACTAAAAGACTCAATATTATTAAGATGTCACTCTCATTTAAATTGATACATAGATCCATCACAATTCCAATCCAAATTCAGCTATCCTTTTTATAAAAATGGATAAGATGGTTCTAAGGTTTATATGGAAATGCAAAGTACTTAGAATAGCTAAAACCATTTTTTTTAAAGCAAAAAGTTGGAGAACATGCTACTGGATTTAGAGACTTAATATAAAGCTACAGTAATCAAGACAATGTGGTGCTGACTTGGGAATAGAATTTAACTGATGGAACAAAATGGAGATTCCAGAAATAAGTGCTTTTCTCCCATATACACACACATTTACAGTCAATTGATTTTTTTTTTACAAGTGTGCCATAGTAATTCAATGAGGGAAATGAAGTCTTTTTAATAAATGGCTCAGTACAATAGGATACCCAAGTACAAAAAACAAAAACAAAAAAAGTTCAACACTTAGCTCACACCACACACAAATATAACTCAAGATGTGTCATAAACTTAAATATTAAATTCAAATTTATGACGTTTGCCTTCCTTAGAATCAGTAAAGATTTCCTAGATAAGATACAAAAAAATTAAAACTAAAAACAAAATTGAATTTTATCAGAACTAAAAATTCCTGCTTTTTAAATGGGAATTAATAAACTGAAAAATTCAAGTCAAAGAGTAGATGATTTACATTATATATATATATATATATGACAAATGGCTTGTATCTAGAATATGTAAGGAGTGCAAAAATTTAAAAATAAGGCAGTTCACTAAAAAATGGGGGAAATGTTTGAACAGATAATTTACAAAAGAAGATGTATGACTTGCCAACATACAGATGAAAAGACACTCAATATCACTTAGTCATCAGGAAAGTGAAAATGTAAAACCACAGTGAGCTACCACAACATATCCACAGGCATGACTAAAATTATAAAGGCCACTGATGCCAAGTGTTGGTGGGAATATAGAGAAACTAGAACTCTTCCTGCGTTGCTAGTGGGAATGTAAACTTGCACAACCATGTGGAAAACAATTTGGCAGTTTCTTTAGAAGTTAAACATATAGGTCTCATATGATACAGCATTGCCACTTTTATATATTTACCCAAGAAAAATAAATACATTTGTCCTGTCCATACAAAGACCTATAATGAAATGTTCATAGTAGCTCTATTCATACCAGTCTAAAGCTGTAAACAGTAAACAAATTGTGGTATAGTCATACAATTGAATACCACTCACCAATAAAATGAAACTATTGATATACCCTGAGTTAAATGGCTACATCTCAAAAACATTATGCATTGTGCTGCACAAAAGTGGCTAGTCACAGTGGAGTACACACTTCATGGCTTCATGATATGAAATGCTAGAAAAGAAATGAGACCACTGGCTGCCCAGAGCTCAGGGATGGAGAACTGCCAGGAAAGAAGCACAAGGGAACTATTTGGTATGATAAAATATTCCGTAGTTTGATTTTGGTGTTGGTTACATGGGTGTATATATTTGCCGAAACTCAAGCTATACACATAAACTAGGTATGTTTTTGTATGTAAGATATATTTTAATAGAATTGACTTTAAAAAATATTTTTAGAAACTCACAAGGGGGGAAGGATATTACTAACTTTCTGTTATGGGCCAAATTGTGTCCTCCCATTACCTCAGAATGTGACTGCAGAGATAAGGTCTTTGCAGAGATAAGGTCTTTAAAGAGATAACTAAGGCTAAATGAGGTCATTAGAGGGAGTCTTAATCCAACATGACTGATGTCTGTGTAAGACGAGGAGGTTCAAACACAGACACACATACACACTCACACACACAAACACATACAGAGAAGGCCACTTGAAGACATCCACAGTGGCCAACTACAAGCCAAGGAAAAAGACCACAGAATGAAACCAACCCTGCTGATGCCTTGATTTTGGATTTTGAGGAAATAAATGTCTATTTTTTTTTTCCTGAGATGGAGTCTTGCTCTGTCACCCAGGCTGGAGTGCAGTGGTGCAATCTTGGCTCACTGCAACCTTTGCCTCCCAGTTCAAGCAATTCTCTTGCCTCAGTCTCCCTAGTAGCTGGAATTACAGGCGTGCACCACCACGCCTGGCTATTTTTTGTATTTTTAGTAGAGACAGGGTTTCCCCATGTTGGCCAGGCTGGTCTCGAACTCCTGACCTCAGATGATCCGCCCAGCTTGGCCTCCTAAAGTGCTGGGATTACAGGCGTGAGCCACGGCACCCGCCCTAAATGTCTATTGTTTAAGCCACCCAGTCTGTGATACTTTGTTAATGGCAGCACCCCACAAAAGATTATACTTTCCTACAGGGTTATTGAGACAATTAAATGAGATTATGAAGTACTGGGGACATAAAAATATTAACATTTTCTCTCATTTATTCTAGTGACTAGAAGGGCTACAAATATTCACATTTATGTTCCAGATTAATTGTCAAGCCTGAGACTTCTTTCCAATAGCTGGGAAAATGTCTAAACCCTTCTATTCTATCTCTAGATTAGAGCCATCTAAATTTCTAAGCACCATAATTCTAGTACCACCTATTAATATAAATGAGCTTTTAGCAAGGTTGACATTTGTCTGAGACTTAAAATATAGAAATGCTTTAGTGCAAAATACTACAGAAATGTATCAGCAGTTATTCACAAATAACTGCTATCCTGGGCCCACTCCTTCCCCAGATGCCCTCCTCATCCCCACCCTGAGACCCTCAGATTTCTCCAGAATCCAGCCCCTAAAAGGTTCACACCTGACAACAGTGAAAGCATATGTTTTGATAAGTCAATCGTCCATGCCACACCTATGATTAGGTATTTTGAATATCACTGGTGTTTAGAGATATGTTTTGATAATGAAGAGGAAGACAATAAGGATGAGTAATTCGAGAAAATAATTTTTTAACTACAGATTTGATTTCTAGAATATGTTCACTTTGTTAGCCAAATATCAACCTGAAACATCTCAACTTAAGCACACTTAATGCAAGATAATGTTTGCAATGTTTTTAAGTACAAAACCTTACTTATGCATTTAACTTTAGTGTCAGGTCTTGATTGGTCTTTTCCAATATCAGGTGTTTGTAGATATCTGCACATGCCCTTGTTCAGAAATATAAACCAAATCCGTGTGTGTGTGTGTGTGTGTGTGTGTGTGTGTGTGTGTGTAGTTAAGTTCAGTAGCAAATAAAGGGATTTTTCTAGAAATCTTTAGAATAATATTTGTGTGTGTGTTATGATAAAGGATACAGCTTCTTTGGTGTGCTGGCAATATATTAGCAAAAAACTGCTGCTTCTGATGCTCTGTGCATTTAAATTATTAATGTAAGCACCATGCAAAATTTACAGTATTTTGCTTGAAACTAAAACAAAAGCAAATGAAAGCATTTAAAACAAACTATTAGCCACTGTATTGGTGTTCCCACTGCAATGTCATTTAATTGTGTCAAACAGCTTAGATGATCTGACAGGGTAGGAGGAGGCACTATTGAGGTTTTCTCTGGCTTTGCAGTAAAGCCCACTTATCTGCTGAGTTCAGTGCCACTGTTTGTGGCATTCATGCTACAAGAGGCAGGTTTTAATTAATACCTCTATTATCTAAGAATTGTGGTTCAGAAATGTATTGAACTTCAATTTGGTGTCTTAGAAATATGTGCTAAGTCTTAGCTCCATCCTGTTATTGTGATATGACACACTCCTTAGGATTGACATAAATCTATACTTCAAAAAAAGAACCGTAACTCTAAAGTTCTGATAGCTAAGCTTCCCACTCTGTGGAGGTTCAGAGTTTGAAATATGGAATTGAAGTCTAACTATCTGGATAGAGAAGTGTGGGAAGCTTTGAAAGGTTGAAGTTTTAAGAAATGTGTGTGGGAAGGAAATGGAAATTGAAATCATCTATTAATATCAAATGCTAATAGTTATCTTCATCATCACATCATCATCATCATCAATAAAGTTTTATTACCTCCTACTAGTTCAAGGTATTATTTTATGCACAGAAGTTACAAAAAGACTTCCTAAATGATAACTACTTCCAAATCTTGTTCTGTAGTATAGAAGATAGGTAATATAGCCTAAGGAGGAGAGTGTTTTTTGACTTACAACTAATATGAGCAGGTGAACTTATGTGATTAAATGGAAAACTTAAAGTTATATGGCATTGTTCATACTTCAAGCTACATACAGTACACTGCATAACGGTGGAATAAATGATGAGCTCAGTCATTAGACATGAGCTCATGTCTAGGTTCCATCAGTTATTATCTTAATTCTAAAATGTCAATATTAAAGTTTTGAGAAGCTTGAGTAAAATAATGCATGCAAATCATTTAACACAATTTATAGCATATAGGCCAAACATACAAAATAATAACATCAAAAAAAAAAATTAAATGTGGCAGAGAGCTAACATAGACATGTAATTAGGTACATAAGGTTGAAGCATAAAAAGAAATCACATCCTGGAAAAGTTTGTGCTATTTTCCTATAGGCGTTGAAGAAACTATAAATGTATTTCAGCTTGGTAGTATCTTATGAAAACAAGAAACAGAAGAAAGATGCAACAGATCTTTTTTATTTTGTTCTTTTAATGAATGAAGAGAGGAAAAATACAGTCAATATTTCACAAAGAGTGAATGCAATATTGACACTTAAAATAGCATCCTTAAGTGGACAATTTAATGACAGACGATTATATTTCCTTCTCTAGGTCTATTTTGGGAGATACTCTTTAACCAAAGACCAAGGAAGACTCTCTTCTTCTAGCTGAGCCCAATTAATTAAAAATGTGTTTTGCTAAGTCAGTAAAAGGTCTACACCTTAAGATACAAACATTATTCTAAAGATTTCTAGAAAAAATCCCTGTATTTGCTACCGAACTTAATATTATTTAATAATCCACTATTATCTACACTGGATTCTCAAACTTCAGTCAGCTTAGTCTCTCTCCTTTATATTAAAGGCCTGGGTTATTTTCTAACTCAACCCACTCTGCCCCTTTTTAAGAGGGATGTATTTAAAAAATTGATTCATACAGGGTCAGTCACTACATCTAACCATCATGGTGACCTGCCTACTTATATTACTCCAATATGACTGACAGCAACAAAAACCAATTACAATCTGTGCTTTTCTATTATGGGTATTGGGAGGCAGATTTCCACTCTTTACTAAAAGACATTGCTAAGTTACATGTAGGCAAAAATTCTCATGAAAGTGAAAGCTATGATAACAGAAGTGCATCTTGTACTATCATTATCATCTTAATCACAAATTATGTGTTGGTGTAGAGTAACACGAGACTTTCTGTATCATACCTAGGCATGGCTTGTCAAGTCCACAGGAAGAAAGCCTCAACAGAATTGTCCAAAGACTATGCGAAACTGAATCTTACTAAGAGGTTCTTCAATGAATACTTTAAAATCTAATCGTAATAATGGAAGATGTATAGATTCTCAATTTTTGAATAAGCCTGTAGACAGAATTTGAAGTTGAGCCTAAAATATTATAAACACTGGGGATATAAAATAATGGCATGGTCCAAAGGAGTTATGAGATGAAGACAAAGAGAGTTGCAAGACACAGTAGAGACATAAATGTCTTTATTTTACAGAAACAGCAACCATAAAATACTGCCTGAGTTAATGAAAAAGAGAAAGATTTAATTATATTATTTAAAATTTAAAAGATAAGCAATATGAGCATTAAATACTAATATAAGTCTATAACTTGGGAGGCAAGAGGAGGGAAAGTGTGAAGTAATGTTAGTGAGCTAAACTATTTTTTGTTCACAGCAGGGAGTTATTAGCCACTGTGTAAAGCTGTTATACGAAAAAGTACATGCTTATTATTTAAAATTATAATGATGAATCCTGGAAGAACTGAAAACAGAAATGGTTAAAAGTTCTTATCTCTGGCTAGCATTCAGGAGCAGAGGGTAAAAGTAAATCTCAGTTTAGTTTAGGCTTGGCAAGTGGCATTATATACTCTATTATAAAAAATACTGCGTATATATTTTCTCTTTGAAAAAATAAAAAAAATATACATTCTATTTCACTGTCTGTATATTGATTGAAAGGTAATAAAATCATAGCACCTTATATACATAAGGCTTTACAAAATAATTTATTGAATACTCTGACAATTATGAGTAATTATGAGTTGCAATCATAGAATTATGATTCTATTTGTCACAGTAACCCTGTGCATAGGTTGTGTTGCAATTATTAATTTCCCCTTTTTTACAGTTATGGTAACACATTGTTAGCTCCCAGAAACATAATTTTTCAGTGGAAAACATGCACACAGTTTGTACGTAGCCAACCAAGTGATCTCACCCAGGCCTCTGACTTCTGATTCAAAGCCATTTCCGTAAGAGAGGCTGAAATTTTGGCTTTCTTTAAACTTTAATGGTCAGATAGCCTTCTATCCTCACTTGGAATGTAATCTTGATTGATGGATTCCCAAAACTACTCATCATGTCAAGCAGAAATCATTCAGTCACCAAAGACTTAAAAGCAAATTCTCTTATCAACATAGCTTATCAACCTATAGCTCTTAGCTTATCATCTGTTATCAACTTAGCTTCTTGAGAGGAGAATAAAGGGAATTTAATAGGTACCTATATGGAGAAATTTGCTATTAGATTGTTCTGGGCTATAAAGTTGTTAAGTCTCAAGTGTCCACTGGCATCTAGACAAATTATATCACTAGACTCCACAATCCTATGACAACTTCTTTATAGTCTAAAGCAATGATATTCAATAGAAATAAATGTGAGCCACATGTATAATTTAAAATTCACTAGTAGCTACATCAAAAACTATGAATATGAAATTTGTTTTAACCAAATATATCAAAATGCTATTATTTCAAGTTGTATATAAATATACAAATATTTTTAAGACAATGAAAAAGTTTTTTTTTGTCAAACTGTTTTTGAAATCAGGCATGCATTTTACACTTGCAATCAATTCAGACTAGCCACATTTCAAATATTTTATAAACACCATATTTAACGGCTACCACATTGAACAGCACAAGTCTAGGTACTGTAGGGACTCCAATCCTGGGATTTAGTAACTCCAGTACCCCACAAGGATAAGGACTGAGGGAGGGAAATGGAGCAGTACTTTAAAATATCATATAGTTCAGAACCAGTCCTTAGTGATAGACTCAAATATTTGACAAAATATCCAATTATTTCCTTTAAAAAAGTGTTACCTACATCATCATTATAAAGAAGAACGACCTTAAATGATAAATCAGTTGCCCTACTAGATATTTCCACTCTCTAGCTTTCTTCTCAAAAAAAAAAAAAAAGTAGGCTTTTAAATCATTCATACCTCAAACCTCAGCATCACACAATATATTCAGGTAACAAACCTGTACATGTATTCCCTGAAAATAAAATAATAGTTGAAATAAATAAATAAATCTAATATGTTGCATATAGACCTAGCAGGTATTTCTGCTTATTATCAATACTGATCAAGCTATTGAATAATTATCAAGAATATAGTTAAAGATAAAGTAAGATTATTTTCAGTTTATACCAACTGCTCATCATGTTGAAAATTCATGAAGAGGAACTGCCTGTGAGCCAAGTGGCATCATCATTCTCTTGCTCTTACACTATTAATGCTTCCTTGAGGCTCTTTGCTGATAAAATTGCTCACATCATAGTGAACAGAAATAAATTTGTGACAGTGACAAATCTATTGATAATAAGTGAAAATCAAGACCATGTCTTGAAATCCTCAATCTTGCAATATATATTTAAATAGTTACTTGGCGACTGGATAAATCTGCTACAGCAAATGAAAAAACAATCATTCTTCACTAAGTTAATATGAGTTTTACTATTATAACTAGGAGGCAAATAAAAAGGAGTTGAACATTATCCATAATAAAAGAAGCACACACTCACAAAGCTCCATACCAACTACATTAAAGTGGAAATCACTATATTTGGAAATACAATTTAATTGGAAAACATTAAGTAATTTCATCAAACTTTTTTTAGTGCTTTGACAAGCAATTACATAAATTTACTCCAGTAGGTTCATCAGGATATAGTTCTATTGACATACCTTTACTATTTTTAAATAAATATCAGCTGATCTTAAAAACTTTTTAATCAAAACCGCCTCTCCCAAATCAAATGCTAAAGAAATCTTTGATTATACTCCCCTACCCATAGACAACCTGCACTAAACTCTATGAAGATATAAAATACCTTTCATCTGTATAATGATGTTGGTCAGGCTCTTACTCATTCATTTACTTATTTGTTCACTCAATTACATATTCTGTACTCAATCGTTTGTGTCCCCATTTCATTTATGTATTCTGTATTCAATCATCTGTATTTGCATTAAATCTGTGACTCTTGTCAGGGTGCACATCATAATTAACAGAAGTAAATTCATGACAGTTGCCCAATTTGGGTGCACAGTTAGGCAACCAAAAAGTCATTACAAATTATATCTTGCAATTTCTCTTCTTTTAAATGAATTTGTCAACGTATAAGGAGTTTTCAGACCACAGCAACATGTTCTGAAATCTCCCCTTCCTGTCTCATTCATTTTATTCATATACCGCACCCACCTTTCTCAAATCTCCTCCAAATATTCCCTGAGAAATTTTTGTCGGGACCTATCTCAAGGCTTCACGTCTCTTTCTCTCTTTTTTTTTTTTTAAAGCAAATTAATAGTAAAAAGAGATGTTTGCCTACTTTTTCTTTCTATTTTATTATTTTTTTAAATTTTTCCATGAGTTATTGGGGTACAGGTGGTATTAGGTTACATGGGTAAATTCCTTAGCGGTGATTTGTGAGATTTTGGTGCACCCATCACCCGAGCAGTATACACTGCACCATATTTTTAGTCTTTTATCCTTCACCCCACTCCTATTCTTCCTCCCAAGTCCCCAAAGCCCATTGTATCATTCTTATGCCTTTGTGTCCTCATAGCTTAGTTCCCACATATCAGTGAGAACATACGATGCTTGGTTTTCCATTCCTGAGTTACTTCACTTAGAATAATAGTCTCCAGTCTCATCCAGATTGTTGCAAATGCTGTTAAATTCATTACTTTTAATGGCTGAGTAGTATTCCATCGTATATATATTAGATATATAATATATATAATATACATATATTTTATATATATATATTATATATAACAGTTTCTTTATCCACTAGTTGATTGATGGGCATTTGGGTTGGTTTTGTGATTTTGCAATTCTGAATTGTGCTGCTATAAACATACATGTGCAAGTTTCTTTTTCATATAATGACTTCTTTTCCTCTGTGTAGGTATCCAGTAGGGATTGCTGGATAAAATGGTAGTTCTACTTTTAGTTATTTAAGGAATCTCCACACTGTTTTCCATAGTGGCTCTTCTAGTTTACCTTCCCACCAGCAGTGTAGAAGTGTTCCCTGATCACCACATCCATTCCAACATCTATTTTTTTTTATTTTCTTGATTATGATTTTTTTTATTATTATTATACTTTAAGTTTTAGGGTACATGTGCACAATGTGCAGGTTTGTTACATATGTATACATGTGCCATGTTGGTGTGCTGCACCCACTAACTCGTCATTTAGCATTAGGTATATCTCCCAATGCTATCCCTCCCCACTCCCCTCACCCCACCACAGTCCCCAGAGTGTGATGTTCCCCTTCCTGTGTCCATGTGTTCTCATTGTTCAGTTCCCACCTATGAGTGAGAACATGCAGTGTTTGGTTTTTTGTCCTTGCGATAGTTTGCTGAGAATGATGGTTTCCAGTTTCATCCATGTCCCTACAAAGGACATGAACTCATAATTTTTTATGGCTGCATAGTATTCCATGGTGTATATGTGCCACATTTTCTTAATCCAGTCTATCATTGTTGGACATTTGGGTTGGTTCCAAGTTTTTGCTATTGTGAATAGTGCCACAATAAGCATACGTGTGCATGTGTCTTTATAGCAGCAGGATTTATAATCCTTTGGGTATATACCCAGTAATGGGATGGCTGGGTCAAATGGTATTTCTAGTTCTAGATCCCTGAGGAATCGCCACACTGACTTCCACAATGGTTGAACTAGTTTACAGTCCCACCAACAGTGTAAAAGTGTTCCTATTTCTCCACATCTTCTCCAGCACCTGTTGTTTGCTGACTTTTTAATGATCGCCATTCTAACTGGTGTGAGATGGTATCTCATTGTGGTTTTGATTTGCATTTCTCTAATGGCCGGTGATGATGAGCATTTTTTCATGTGTTTTTTGGCTGCATAAATGTCTTCTTTTGAGAAGTGTCTGTTCATATCCTTTGCCCACTTTTTGATGGTGTTGTTTTTTCCTTGTAAATTTGTTGGAGTTCATCATGGATTCTGGATATTAGCCCTTTGTCAGATGAGTAGGTTGCAAAAATTTTCTCCCATTTTGTAGGTTGCTTGTTCACTCTGATGGTAGTTGCTTTTGCTGTGCAGAAGCTCTTTAGTTTAATTAGATCCCATTTGTCAATTTTGGCTTCTGTTGCCATTGCTTTTGGTGTTTTAGACATGAAGTCCTTGCCCATGCCTATGTCCTGAATGGTATTGCCTAGGTTTTCTTCTAGGGTTTTTATGGTTTTAGGTCTAACATTTAAGTCTTTAATCCATCTTGAATTAATTTTTGTATAAGGTGTAAGGAAGGGATCCAGTTTCAGCTTTCTACCTATGGCTAGCCAGTTTTCCCAGCACCATTTATTAAATAGGGAATCCTTTCCCCATTGCTTGTTTTTGTCAGGTTTGTCAAAGATCAGATGGTTGTAGATATGCAGCATTATTTCTGAGGGCTCTGTTCTGTTGCATTGATCTATATCTCTGTTTTGGTACCAGTACCATGCTGTTTTGGTTACTGTAGCCTTGTAGTATAGTTTGAAGTCAGGTAGCATGATGCTTCCAGCTTTGTTCTTTTGGCTTAGGACTGACTTGGCGATGCGGGCTCTTTTTTGGTTCCATATGAACTTTAAAGTAGTTTTTTCCAATTCTGTGAAGAAAGTGACTGGTAGCTTGATGGGGATGGCATTGAATCTATAAATTACCTTGGGCAGTATGGCCATTTTCACGATATTGATTCTTCCTGCCCATGAGCATGGAATATTCTTCCATTTGTTTATATCCTCTTTTATTTCATTGAGCAGTGGTTTGTAGTTCTCCTTGAAGAGGTCCTTCACGTCCCTTGTAAGTTGGATTCCTAGGTACTTTATTCTCTTTGAAGCAATTGTGAATGTGAGTTCACTCATGATTTGGCTCTCTGTTTGTCTGTTATTGGTGTATAAGAATGCTTGTGATTTTTGCACAGTGATTTTGTATCCTGAGACTTTGCTGAAGTTGCTTATCAGCTTAAGGAGATTTGGGGCTGAGATGATGGGGTTTTCTAGATATACAATCATGTCATCTGCAAACAGGGACAATTTGACTTCCTCTTTTCCTAATTGAATACCCTTTATTTCCTTCTCCTGCCTAATTGCCCTGGCCAGAACTTCCAACACTATGTTGAATAGGAGTGGTGAGAGAGGGCATCCCTGTCTTGTGCCAGTTTTCAGAGGGAATGCTTCCAGTTTTTGCCCATTCAGTATGATATTGGCTGTGGGTTTGTCATAGATAGCTCTTATTATTTTGAGATACGTCCCATCAATACCTAATTTATTGAGAGTTTTTAGCATGAAGGGTTGTTGAATTTTGTCAAAGGCCTTTTCTGCATCTATTGAGATAATCATGTGGTTTTTGTCTTTGATTCTGTTTATATGCTTTGTCTTAACTTTGGATAACCTGATGACAATGTGCCTAGGCGATGATCTTTTTGTGATGAATTTCCCAGGTGTTCTTTGTGCTTCTTCAATTTGGATGTCTAGGTCTCTAGCAAGGCTGGGAAAGTTTTCCTTGATTATTCCCCCAGATATGTTTTCCAAGCTTTTAGAATTCTCTTCTTCTTCAGGAACACCAATTATTCTTAGGTTTGGTCGTTTAACATAATCCCAGACTTCTTGGAGTCTTTGCTCATTTTTTTATTATTCTTTTTTCTTGTCTTTGTTGGATGGGGTTAACCTGAAGATGTTGTCTTTGAGCTCTGAATTTCCTTCTTCTACTTGTTCAATTCTATTGCTGAGACTTTCCAGAGTATTTTGTATTTTTAAAAGTTTGTCCAATTTTTTCTGAATTTTAGATTTTTTTTCTTTAAGCTATCTATTTCCTGAATATTTCTCCCTTCACTTCTTGTATTGTTTTTTGGATTTCCTTGCACTGGGCTTTGCCTTACTCTGGTGCCTCCCTGATTAGCTTAATGACTAACCTCCTGAATTCTTTTCAGGTAAATCAGGGATTTCTTCTTGGTTTGGATTCATTGCTGAGGAACTAGTGGGATTCTGTGGCGGTGTTAAAGAAGCTTGTTTTGTTGTATTACCAGAGTTGGTTTTCTGGTTCCTTCTCACTTGGGCAGGCTGTGTCAGAGGGAAGGTCTGGGGCTGAAGGCTGTTGTTCAGATTCTTTTGTCCCACAGGGTGTTTCCTTGATGTAGTACTCCCCTCTCTTCCTATGGATGTGGCTTCCTGTGAGCTGAAGTGCAGTGATTGTTGTCTCTTTACTGGGTCTAGCCACCCAGCAAGTCTACCTGGCTCTGGACCGGTACTGAGGGTTGTCTGCACAGAGTCCTGTGATGTGAACCATCTATGGGTCTCTCAGCCATGGATACTAGCACCTGTTCAGGTGGAGGTGGTTAAGGGTTGCAATGGACTCCATGAGAGTTCTTAGCTTTGGTGGTTTAATGCTCTATTTTTATGCTTGTTGGCCTACTCCTGGGAAGTGGCACTTTCCAGAGAGCACAGCTGTGATAGTAGGAAGAGGAACTAGTGATGGGCAAGTCCCTAGAACTCCCAAGATTATATGCCCTTTGTCTTTCACTACCAGGGTGGGTAGGGAAGGACTATCAGGTGGGGGCAGGGCTAGGCGTGTCTGAGGTCAGATTGTTCTTGGGCAGGTCTTGCTGCGGCTGCTGTGAGGGATGGGAGTGAGATACCCAAGTCCATGGAGTTATGTACCTGGGAGGAATTTTGCTGCCTCTGCTGAGTCATGCAGGTTGTCAGGGAAGTGGGGGAAAGCCAGCCTCGCCCAGCTTCCATGCAAACCGAAGGGCTGGTCTCACTCTCACCATTCCCCTGCCCCAATAGGCCTGAGTTCTGTTTCCAGGTGGTGGGTGAGCTAGGCTTGAAAATTTGCCCCAGACTACTTGCCTCCCAGCTGCAAAAGAAAGGGGCTTGGTTCTTCCTCTGCCTGTGGAGTCTACACATAGGATTTGTGCCCTCCCCAGAGTTCTGGCCAGGAGGCTTCTCGCCCTGTTCAAATTGTTACAAAGATCAGCTGGAGATTTCCTTCTCCCTATGCAGTTTTCCCCCTCACTCCTCTGGCTGCCCTCCTGATGGATCCCTGTGGTGCCAGGCAGGAATGGCCTGCCTGGGGACCTAGTGAGCTCCCAGAGCCATTCTGCTGCTTTCTCTATCCCTGTATTTCACTTGACTCTCTAAACTGACTCAGTTCCAGGTAAGGTTGGAAGCTCCTCCACACAAACAGACTTTCAGTTTCTGCAGTGAGGGTGTGTGTTCAGGAGAGGAGGCTCTCCCTTTTCCTCTACCGCAGTTGAGGCACTCACAGTATTTGTGGTGTCTCCTGGGTCCTGTAGGAGCAGTTCACTTCCTTCATAGGGTCTGTGGGTCCTCTCAGTATTGCTGGTTTGTTCTTGCAGTCAATCTGAAGCTAAAGTTTACAATGCCATCCTCCGAACCATGCTCTGTCTGTCCCAGTCAGAGTTGCAATCTAGTCCTGCCTCCCGTCCGCCATGATGATCCCTATCCCATGTCTCTCTTTTTTTCTTCTTATTCTAGTTCTCTGTTACAAAATCCCAAAGAACCTGCAAGAAACCTCCAAAGAAGGTACAAGATGGGAAAGGAAAACAAAAAGAAAGGAAAGGAAAGGAAAGGAAAGGAAAGGAAAGGAAAGGAAAGGAAAGGAAAGGAAAGGAAAGGAAAAAAGAAAAGAAAAGAAAAGGTAAGAAAAGAAAAGAAAAGAAAAGAGAAACTAAATGCCAAAGCCTCTATCTTGTTTTAAAAAATAAGGACATTCATAATTCAATAAATTTTAGTCCCATTAAATATCTATTCAATAAATATTTAGCACCTAGAAATAAGTTCCATAAAAGCAAAAATTAGATAAAAATTGATGCTATTAAGAGGCCCTGGTCTAGTGTTGTGAATGTGTCTGTGTGTGTGTGTGTGTGTGTCTGTGTGTGTGTGGTGTTATTAAAATAGTTTCATTTAAATTTTATTAGTACCTGGACTAAGACAATTACCATAAGGGAAGAATAATGAAAACATTGACAGAATTCTATGGTGTTTAAGATATAAAAGATGAGCAAAGGAGATATCCCTTAGATGCTTCCCAGATGACCCACTTAAATGACTGGTTGGATCAATTTTAAAAACATAAGAGAACTGAGAGTGAATTTGATTTTGAAGAAGTAGAGTTTGCAATACATATTTGTTATACACATATTTTGGGTTAAGTGGACTTGTGGGAAGAATTAGATGCCTGGATCTCAGGAGAAATATCCCAACTGGAAATATAGACTTAGAAGTCATCAGCATATATGAGAAAATGTCAAAAAGTTTGTGGAAAAATTGAACTAAAAAATAAAAAGAAAGATATAAACTTTATTTCTCAACATAAGCTCCATCAAATTCAAGACACTTTTGTAAGTGAAGATACTACCATTTAGTCCATCCCTAAAGAACTGAGGGTCCAGGGATTTTACCCATGTCAATGCAGTCTTTTTCACATTAATAATGAAGGAAACCTGAGTGACATTTAATTTTTTTTTAAGATTAGGAAACAAAAAGAAGTCAGAAGGAGCCAAATCAGAACTGTAAGGTGGATGTCTAATGAATTTCCATTGAAACTCGCAAAATTGCCCTTTTTGAAGGAGCAGGAGCATTGTTGTGGTGGAGAAGGGCTCTCTGGTGAAGCTTCTTTAGTTGTTTTTCAGCAAAAGCTTGGTTAACTTTCTCAAAACACTCTCATAATAAGCAAATATTGTTGTTCTTTAGCTCTCCAGAAACTCAACAAGTGAAATGCCTTTAGCATCCTAAAAAACTGTTGCCATGACCTTTGCTTTTGACCAGTTCACTTTTGCTTTGGCTGAACCATTTCCACCTCTTGGTAACTATTGTTTTGATTGTGATTTGTCTTTGGGATTGTACTGGTGAGCCATGTTTCATCTCCTGTTATAATTCTTCGAAGAAATGCTTCAGGATCTTGATCCCACTTGTTTAAAATTTCCATTGAAAGCTCTGCTTTTGTCTGTAGCTGATCTGGGCCCAATGGTTTTGGCACCCATCGAGTGGAAGTTTGCTCACCTTTAATTTTTTCAGTCAGAATTGTGTAAGCTGGGCTGTTGTCTATTCTTTCTGCTGATAATTGTCAGTCCTCTTTAATTAGGGCATGAACAAGATGAACTTTTTTCCTCATGAATTGATGTGGATGGTCTGTCCCTGTGGGTTTCATCTTTAACATTGTCTCATCACTTTTTAACATTAGTTATCCATTTGTAAACTGCTGATTTATTTGGGGTACTATCCTCGAAGGCTTTTTATAAAGCATCAGTGATTTTCACCATTCTTTCACCCAAGCTTCACCTAAATTTGATGTTTGTTCATGCTTCAATCTTAGCAGAATTCATATTGCCTTGATAGGGACACTTTTCAAACTGATGTCTTAACCCTCTTAATGCCTCAAACTAAATCCTGTTCAGACATGTTATAACAAGTTAGTATAATTTTTTTTGGTGCAAGAGAAATTGAAATTCATACATAGTTTTTTCATAGTATGCATTTTTCGTGAACTTTTTGAAGACCCCTCGTACATGGTGATTGAAGAGTTGCAGGAAGAGTTCACATGGTGACAATAAAACAGTGAAAACACCAACACTTAAAGGATCGGCAGAAGGAAAATTTAAAAATTGAATGATAATGGGGTAGAGAAGAACCGAGAGAGAATTAATGAAGGTGAGAGTTTTCTCAATTGAACATTCTATTTCTGATAGTCAAACATGTGAGTTCCTTAGGAATCAAACACCAAACACCACATGTTCTCAGTTATAAGTGGCACCTAAGCTATGGGCAAGCAAAGGCATACAGACTGGTATAATGGACATTGGAGACTCAGAAGTGGGAGGATGGGAAGAGGGTAACAGATGAAAATCTATCTACTGGATACAATGTACACTACTTGGGTGATGAGTTCACTAAAATCCTAGACTTTACCAATATACAGTTCATCCATATAACCAAAACCCATTTATACCCCTAAAGCTATTGAAATAAAAAAAGTTTCAAATGTTTTTTGAAAAGTATTTCTATATGACTAAAGGACAAAATATTGTCTTTATAACAATAAAGATGTCCTGTCGTTCATAAATGTAATATAATTCCACTTAGAATTTCCAATACCTTTTAAAATTAGCTATGACATTAAATTTTTCTTAATCAGACAGCCCTTCAAATCAGAATAGGCTTAGAAAGACTCCTAATTTTTTTTGCATTATGAAAACAACACTAGCTTTGCATGAAAAATTCAGGCCATGCAGAAGGTGTTAAGTGAAAAGTATTGTCCTCGGCCTACACCCTGACTCCTCAATGCAACTCCCCAGAGGTGAATCATCATAAATAGCTTTTAAAAACTATTGTAAAATATACATAAAATAAAACTTATCATTTTAGCCATTTTAAGTATACAGTTCAGTGGCATTAGGTACATTCATATTGTCATACAACCATCACTGAGACAGCATCCATCTTTAAAATATTTTTCATCTTGCAAAATAGAAACTCTCTACATGCTTAACAGCAACTCCCTTTCCCCTGTTCCCCCATACCCTGGCAACCACCATTCTACTTTATGTCTCTATGAATCTGACTACCCAAGTACCTCATATGAGTGAAATTATGCAGTTTTTGTCCTTTTGTGTGTAAATAGCTTTTTAATATTTTTTGGATGGTTTTTTTCAAAGGCATTTAAAATTTTTAAGATTAATGACTGTTCATGGTAGAAAATTCAAATTGCATGAAAAGACTCTTTATAGTGAAAAAGCAGAAGTTCCTCTTCCCCACAATGTCCATTCCCACTCACTACAGGTAACCATTGTTAATAACTTTCCTGGCCATTCTTCTAGAACTTTTGTATGTATCTATAAGAAACATTCTCACCTACACATGAGCATACACACACACTTCTGTGTTTTTTCTGACTTCTGTTTCATTGTAAGAGGGATAATATACATACTGTTATATAATTTGCTTTCTTTGCTTAATGTATCCTAGGCATTTTTCCACAGTGAAACATATCTTCTTAAGTGAATCTTTTTCAACTTAATAAAGTAATTCTGAAGTATATGTAAGAATAAAGAGTCAAGAATGACAAAGAACATTCTGGAAAAAACTACTGAAGAAGGACTTGCAATACCAGATACGAGAATGCATTATTAAAATATTGTGATAAACGTGGAAGAATAGAGAAATCAGTGGAGCAGAAATTAATCTCAGGAGAAAACTACAGAACATAAAAGCTTCAGCTGAATTTAAAAATATTAAAATCAGTAGGAAGAAGTGTATTATTCAATAAACATGCAGGAACAATTGCTTAACAATAGAAAAAAACCGATCAAATCCTCTCCTCACATGATAAACCATAATTAGTTGCAGATTTATTAAAGCATTAATTGCATAAAATGAAAAACAAAGCAAATCATCAAATATGTAAAATAAAAATGAATATTGAACATTTTGTGAGGAAGGTTTTCTAATTGTACAAGCAAATATAGAAACTTTAATGAAAACACTTGAGAAACTGACAATTTAAAAATGAAAAATTCAGTAACAAAACATGATAAAGATTAGCTGGAAAGATACTTGTAAAATGCATGACACAATGTTATCCTAATTTTATATAAAGAATTCTCTTCATATAAAATTTAATACACCCCAACAGAAAAAAAAATGAATGATGTGTAGGAATAAATAAGGTATAAAGCAATAATGTAAATGGTAAATAAATATATGAATTATTTCAAAATTTTCAGGTAAGCAAAGTAACAAAGGGTAAAAGAACAATCTTTTTTCACATATCAAATTAGAGATTATTAAAAACTTGATATAATAACATTTAGTGTTGGCAAAGATAAAGATAGACACTCACATATACTTCCATTGTGGAAGATAGTTTAGCCTATGTATGAAAACTTGTAAAAAAAAATTTGACCCTGAAATTCTCCTTTTGGAAATTTAACTAGAGAAAATAACTCTAATTGTACGCAAATATTTGTCTACAGAAATGTTCACATAGCATTGTTTACAATGTAGACAAAGTTATTGTTAAAGAAATTGTTAAATGAATTATGGTGCATTTATGCTATGGAATACTATAGTTAGTATTTAATGACACGGGAAAATGTGATACATTTTAAATGAAGTGTCACTCACAAATAAGTAATGTCATATATCCTAATTATTTTTAATACATACTAGTGCATAGGAAATGTGTGTAAGGATATAGTCTAAAAGTTTAACAGAGGTTTAAACAGTTATATGTGATTTTTATTTTATTATTTTTATTTCCATAATGTTCACAATGAACATATATTACTTTTATAATAAAAAGTAATGTTCAAAAAATAAAATACTTTTAAAAAGTGTAAAAAATGTGAGTTCCATTTCAACCAATAAATCATATTTATTCTAGCATAGCTCTAATAATCCAGGTGTGAGTCCATTGTATATTGGATTTGAAATACATAAGACTTGAAGTTGTCCTGTGCTTTATCAAGTTCGTATCTTGAATTCATTTAAAATAAAAATCCTTGTAGAGTGCTTCAATCTCCATGGAGAAAGAAGACCTATATTAAATATTAGATTAATGCATGTTGTTATATAGATGCACTGTCAACAACTTTGGGAAAACAGTGAACATTCAAGGATGGCTAGAAATGAACTGCATTTACTAAGCTAATATTTTCCTTTGAAGAAACATTTTGGTCAATATTTGATGCCCTGTAGATTTGAGCAAGAAAGATAAAGGCATTTAGGTTTGTGATTGCTCTTGGCAAGAAAGCTAGTGTCTGTAAGAAATTAATTACAACCAAAAAAAAAAAAAAGAAAGAAAAAACCAAAACCTTAATGGGTGGAGCTCATAGGTGAATGAGGACCTCTGCAAATTGACATGGATTTCAGGTTTAACTTTCTTGTAATGGAAATAAAATACAACTGAACATGCTCTCATTTTTTAACTCTGTACAAAATACCTACTCAAGGCATCTTTGTATTTTGGTTCCAGGTTCTCATCAGAGAATTACCGAAAGTCAACTCTGAGCAGTTACCAATGGATAGTTTTAAGCAAATCATATATCAGAGAAATAATGTAATAGGCATTTTAATTAGCCATTCTCCTGGATTCCCTAAACTTAGTCCCTGCATTAAGAAAGATCATTAGGAAATAATATTCCTGAACCCATTTCATTTCCCTGAAGAAATATCTTCCCTGAGTAATGCCTTAAAGTTTTCTTCTGCAACTTTTATAAACAACAGATATATAAAACTCCACTTTGAACAAAATGGATGTGCCCTGTGCAAAATCCCAATTGAAAACTTCACAGGATCTGTTACCCTATATCTCTTAAAGAGTCGCATAGTTGATGCCTCTTTGAATTCGTACCACTGAAGTATGTCACTGCAGATGAGCTTGTATGATTTCTATTAGTAGGCAGCATGAAGTCATCATGTCTTCCATTTTGCCCAACGTACCAGAACACCCAGAATTAAAACAGTATATTAATTAATGAAATTAATATGCCTGTAAACAAAAAGTAACATGGTATTTGTCTCATTGCTTTTTTTTTTTTTTCTTTTTTTTTTTTTTTTGAGACAGAGTCTCACTCTGTCAGCCAGACTGGAGTGCAGTGGCACGATCTCGGCTCACTGCAACCTCCTGCCTCAACCTCCCGAGTAACTGGGATTACAGGTGTGTGCCACCATGCCCGGCTAATTTTTGTATTTTTAGTAGAGATGGGGTTTCACCATGTTGGCCAGGCTGGTCTCAAACTCCTGACCTCAAGTAATCCACCTGCCTCAGTCTCTCAAAGTGCTGGGATTTTTACAGGCATGAGCCACCGCACCCAGCTCATTGCTACTTTTATTAATTTCTTTTAAAATTATGTTTACTTTTTAAAGCAAACTTAAACAAAGCAGCTCAATCTCCCTGCAAAAGGCTAGGGTACCTTTCAGCAGCAGCCCCCTGGTGGTTGTTATAATGCTGTGCCCATCTTTCCTGAAAGAAGTCTAGAGATGAAATTACATCAAGGAAACAAATCTGAGTATCATCACAGTCTGGTACTCTTAATCATACCCTTGGTCCTTTTCACCGTGTCCAGTGGCAGGTACCTTCTAGCTGGAATAGTGATCTGTTCTTATCACATCACGGGATCTGTTACCCCATACCTCTTACATAAAGAAACACAATGGATGCCTCTTTGAATGGAGAGAGCCATTTCATCACTATAAATACTTGCTTTGGGCTAGGCAGTAATTTGGCTAACTGGAAGATATAGTAAAAGCAAAATTTTGTATACCTTCACCCCTAGGACATCTAAGCTATATAAATAAAATCTTAAGAATTTTTTCGGGTGTACTATAGTTTCTCAATGTAATGTGAAAATTATTTTAAAATTATCTGAGGATGTACATATATATATATAATGTGTGCATGTGTGTACATAAAATATATGAGTTACATATATATATATAATGTGCGTATGTGTGTACATAAAATATATGAGAAAATGAAGAAATAAAAATTTAGAAAACCTAGATTGTGCCAAAGGGCACAGTAGATGTTAAAAGAAATGAATCTAACGTTAATGAAATGGAATTTGATTTTGAATAAAAATGGTAGAGGTTGGCACAATCATGATGGGGTATTATACAAAAGACTCTATAGTTAAGGCCTCACTTAAATCCTTTACTTAATAGTAGGTTTCCAGTTTTATAATTACTGTTTAAGGCTGTCCATTCCCTTAGCACATCACTCCCCTGACATCAGATCAGTGTCCTTGAAAATCTATGATCATGTTTTCCCAACAACTTTACTTGTAGTTCATTTTGTTCCATTCTCTGAGCATTCTTAGCTTATACTTTAATTTTATCTTCATTTTATCTCTCTTGGACATGAGCCAGTGTGTTATGCCATGACTTCAAGGGATGGCAAACAAATACTGACTAATTGAGGCAGCCACACAGCTCCAACTCTAGCTCAGGTGTGTCTACAATCACACACACACACACACACACACACACACACACACCCCTCCTCCTGTAAGAACATAATGATTCTCTCAGCACTATCTCTTCTAATGTATCCACTGCAGCTTTAAATTCATTTTCTTTAGGGAAGCTTTATCCAATTTTGCAACTCTTACCCACATAGTCTCCTCACTACCCCTATACTCACATATCTTCCCCAGTCATTATCACTATGGCTTATGGTCAACCACCCTCTTGAATCTAGCATTATCCTTACATTCTAGTGAAAACTATTCTCAGTGATCTATAGGAAATTGCCTTTAAAGCCTTTCCGGTTATCTTCCACCCTCTGTTTTCAATCACAATTAACTACATGCAATCCCCTGACTACTCCAGACTCTGGGTGTTATTACCTTTCCTAGAAACACTCCTATCCTTACAGCTCCATCCCCTATAGCTCTTAGTATTCATTATTTTCTCTGAAGACTCAAAGCAGAGCTCAAGTGTATCTCATGGCAAATTTTACATAACTCTCTGATATCTCACAATATCTTGTAACTACTTTTTAGTGTATAGCCACCCCAAACCTCTACCCTCCATGTGGCTGGAAAGAATTCTATGATGGCATAGTGCCAGCCATAAATAGGTGCTCAATATATGTTTGTAGAATGAATGATTGATCTTCATACAATTTCTCACATATCAAAATTTCCAAATCAAGTTATTAACACTTGTTAGAGTTATAGAGATATTACTAGTTTGGAAAGAAGTAAAATTGGCACTAAGATGTAATGAAATCATAATGGGGAAGCCTTGTTTAGATTACTTTTTAGCAAATTTTCCTTGATTCAGTTCGTTCCAAAAGACCCACTAATGTGACAATTGTGGTATTTATGTGTTCATTAAATAAATTATTTATTGAGCACCTGGAATATTCCTGACACTGAGATTATATCAGAAGTAAAATGGGAAGACAAGTATAGTTACTGCCCACATAAAAGTTAGAGAGGAAGGTGAAAATTCATACAATTGCCTGAAATTAGAATTAAAGTGATAAAACAGGACTGGGAAACACAATCATGGTCCCACACATACTTTGCTTCTAAAAAGGAAACAAACCTGTTGTTCTGCAAAAGCAAGATAATGGAAACAAAAATATCTTTTTATTTTCTCCCTCCTGTCCCACTCAGAAAAAGGATATGAACCAACTAAAACATTGCACATGAATTCTATCACTGGATAGATTCTGCTTTTTGAGGCAAGCAGGGTGATATTTCCTTCCCCCTTCCCCCAGGACATCATACCAGTCTCTATATCCACAAAGAGACTGCAGTGCTCAGAAAACAACTGGCCAGAAAATAGAAACAGTTCTTAAGTACATGCATAAAAAGAGACCTTGGAGTAGAATATTCTGAGCATTATTCTTTTACATTTATTGCACTGATTCAAGTTGTTACAGAAGAAAACTAAAATGGGGTATCTTGAGCAGAGAGTGCCATATGATTGAACCTCAATAGGGTTGTATTAGGTAAAAGCCTCTCAAACTCCGGAAACTGAAATAGAAACTGTGTGGTATAAATTTCTCTCTTGCCATGCCTGTCAGAAGATTGAACAAACAGAACAAATTCTCAAGTGAGTGGTAAATGAGATCAAAGGCAATCCATATACTCTATTTGTTTACAAACAACAGCTGAAGATCTATTTTTTTCAACGAAGAGTAAACAAGCTAGTTAAAGAGAGCCTATGAAGAAAAGCTGTAGGACACACTAGAGCAAGATAATGAAGACTCAGAAAAAGGTATAGGTCGAACACTAATTTATCATGAAAATCAGAGGATCAGCCCAGAAAATAATATGACCTCTATGACACAGAAAACCCAAACAAAAATCACAGGTTAAGAGACAATTACAACATGTGAGAGTGAGTGTTTTGAAGATTTCAAAGGGAACCAACACAATAGGAAAGAAAAAAGAGGGAGAACACAAACAAAACAAGCAATGAGTAAAGGTCAAAAATAAATATATAAAGTATTTTTTTTCTTAATTGGAAAGGAAAAATCTGCATAACTCTGTACTAATAAATGTAAAATTTTAAATAAAATGTATTATATTTGGAGAAATATAAATGGCCTAGATTTGCTCATAAGGAAATAGAATGGCTATTACTATTAAAAAATAACGATCCTGGCAAGGTTTCAGAGAAAAGGAATGCTTATACAATGCAGGTAGGAATGTAAATTAGTTCAGCCATTGTGGAAAGCAGTGTGACAATTTCTCAAAGAACTTAAAACAGAATTACCATTTGACCCAGCAATCCCATTATTGGGTAAATACCCAAAGGAATATTAATTGTTCTACCATAAAGACACATGCATGCATATGTTCATTGAAGCACTATCCGCAATAGTAAAGACATGGAATCAGCCTAAATGCCCATCAACAGTAAACTGGATTAAGTAAATGTGATGTATATACACCATGAATTACTACACAGCCATAAAAAGGAACAAGATCATGTCCTTTGCAGCAACATGGATGGAGCTGGAGGCCATTATCCTAAGTGAACGAACACTAACACCACATATTGTGAGTGGGAGCTAAACAATGAATATACATGAACACAAAGAAAAGAACAAGACACACTGGAGTCTACTTAAGGGTGGAGGATGAGAGGAAGGAGAGGATCAAAACACTACCTATTGGATACTATGCTTATTACCTGGGTGACAAAATAATCTGTACACCAAACCCCCGTGACATACCATTTACTTATGTAACAAAGCTGTATATGTACCCCTGAACCTAAAATAAAAAGTTAAAAATAAAAAGTTAAAAAAAAAAAGAAAAAGAAATAACCTGAAAGTGCCAAGAATGACGTTTTCTCTTCTTTTGTGTAAGGTCCTCTTCTATAACCAAATGGGAGCTGAGATAGATGTGAATTTAGGGGAGGGAAAGAACCCCTCTCTGTTCTCAGTCCAGCAAACCAGGATTCTCTGAGGAAATTCCACACCAAGCCCTGACGGCAATGAAGTTTTGCAGTCTTGTCTTTGGTTCATTTCCTCCTTGAACACCTTGGGAAGAAGAGAGCTATGGTTTGAAGAAGGATTTTGTTCCTCTGAGACTCCTTGAATAATACTACCTAATAGCCAACCTTGCTGTAAGTTACTAATGACATTCGAGTATGTACCTTCTCCTTCCTTTGCAATTACCATTCTGAATCCTCTCATTAACATATTGTATTAATCTGCTTGGGCTGCTGTAACAAAATGTGCCACAGAGTGGGTGGCTTAAAGAACAGAAATTTATTTTCTGACAGTTCTGGAGGCTGGTAGTCCAAGATCTAAGGCCTCTCTACTTGGCTTGCAGATGGTCACCTTCTTGCTACCTTTTCATGCTGTCTTTTCTCTATGTGGAAACATTTCTGGTGTCTCTTTTTGTATTTCTTAATCTCTCATAAAGACACCAGTCAGTTTGGATGAGGGCCCACCTACAGCATCATTTTAACTTGATTACCTTTGTAAAAGCCCCATCTCCAAATTGTTTCATTCTGAAGTACTAGGGGTTAGGACTTCAACAAATGAATTTGGAGAGGACACAATACAGTCCATAACAGATGCCTGCAAACAATGCATATTATAGATGTACACACCAGGCATTTAGGCTTCCCAATGCTTAGCCTAAGACCTTTCCCTGGAGCATCTACTCAATTTACTCTGCTTTATAATTGTCCACCTGTAACTACAAATGAGTTTCTTCTTACCACCATGAACATCAATTTTCTCTCCGACACAATAAAGGCATTTGACTAGATAAGAATTATAGTCTTCAAGTCAACAGAATCAGGATCCAGTCAGATGTTATAGTGAGAGGGCAAGGGGCTGAAGAAAAAGTGCCCAATCTCAGAAAAACAGATGGCCAAGCTTCCTTCATAAGCAAAGCTTTTGTAAGCAAAAGCCCTAGCCCTCTTCTCACTCCAGCCCTACAGAGGCAGGAAGCAGAAGCAGAAGAAAACAGAGTACAGCATGCTTGCCTTGACCTTGAAATTCTTAAGGAGGCCTGCTATAAACAATCTGATGTGGACTTCTCATTTTTCACAGACATATTGCACACAAAATATTCTGAAAATATTCTGGCTACTTACTTACCTACCCACATACATACATGCATAGAACTTTTTACACGTATTTATATAGTTTACAGCATTTATTTGGTAAACGCCATGCTCATTGTTTCACTTTTTTTTTTTACTTTGAACATTCGTAGAAATAGAATGTATCTTAAAGCCATTCTGACCCTGCAGCAGTCATGATGAGGTTGTCATTGCCTATGCATATAAATATTTGAGGAATGGGTATGAAATTTGCAAGAAATTCTCCCTAACAATAGGGGATGATCTTTTCAAGAAATGTACCATCACCCAGGCTCTTGATGGCACAGAGCATAATATTTTGTGGGAAGAAAAAAGAATAACCTAAATTAAGTGTAAAAATAATTCATAAGAGGCTCCAAAAAAGAAGTTCAGGAATCCACCAACCAATTTATATATATATATAAAATATGCAACAGTGACATGATAAAAATCGATGTCTAAATAAGACTAAATGAGATCTTCTAATAAATATAGAATAAGAATGCTAAGTGATGATAAAGGCATCGTTCCATAGTTTAATTCACAGGGTTTCTTTTCTTTCTTAGTGGGTTCATGAAATAATGGGTTGTCTTCCAATTAATGTATCTTATATTCAATTACATATGATAATTATTAAGCCCCTACTGTGTGTCAGGCTCTATGTTAAGCACTGAGAATACAGAGTGAACATAGTGCCTGCCTTTCAGAACTTTAGAGGATCTTAGTGCATATAGTTACTAAAAAATATAGTAAGAAAAATAATTGTAAGAGAGTTGAGTGCTATAAGAGAGAGAAATATACAGTGTACATGGAGCACTAATCTCAGCGAGGATTTCATGGATGCCCTCCTTGAAGAAATGGGGCCCAAGTTAAGAAGGATGAGAAAGAGTTAACCAGAAGGTAAGGAAATAAAATTCCACACATAAAAGAATAGCATGAACAAAGACCTGAAAGTGAGGACAAACATAGCTAACTGGTAAAACCAAGAAAACTCCAGCTTGAGTGAAGGAGAGAAAAGGGGTGGAGAGGCAGGCAGCGGCTCACGGCATGAGCCCTGGGTCTTCCCAGCCTACAATGGTTGTGGGTTGAGTATTCATAGTAGCAGCTTGAGGGCAGTTGTGGTCAACACTTGAAGCTTTATTTGTAGGTTGTAGGAATTTCCTCTGGGTCTTTTTTAGTAAGCCATTCAGGATATTTCACAAATTCCCCTCTCATGCAGAGGTGCTCTATGTTGCAGAAACTCTGACTTAATTTAGCAGTTTTAAAAGCCTGCTGTCCTATTGATGTGTCCAAACTCTTGACACTTAAGGAAAGCCTTAATATTTTATACAATGGTCTCCTTTGAGTCTAGTATCCTTTTAGTCAACTTTATATTATTCTTAAGTTGTCTTGTGCCTGAACAAGATGTATCACTATGAGAAGAAATGTCCTTAAAATGTTTTTGAAGATATTTTTCAGCCAGCCAGATTAATATTTAAATAATATGTGTGATCTCCTAAGAACTTTAAAATATCATCTCTATTATCTAAGTTAGCCATTCACATTCCTATATTTCAATGTTGATCTGACTAATCTATTTGCATATAATTTTGCTCCATAGAAGAAGATAATAACAACAACAAAAAAACTGTAATAGCTAACAGAAACTGAGCTCTTAATAAATCCCAGGTATGATATAAAGGTTTTTACGTTCATTCTGATTTAGCCTTGTCTAGAAGGTAGGTACTATTATAATCTCCCTTTTGCAAATAAATAGAAAATGAAGCTTAGGGAGATCAGGTAATTCCCTAGGTTCAACTAATTTATTCACTTTCTTAGAAGCAACATAGTATATTTGTTGCTTTTAAAAACACTGATGTAGTACTTATGCTAAGCATGGGGGGAAACATTATCCAAACACTTCTCATTTAATCCTCCTAGTGACTCTGTGGAGCAGACACAAAGAGGTTCAGTCACTGATCACACAAGAGGCAGAAGTAGAAATCAAACCCAGGTCATCTGGTTCCCAAGTCTTTGCACCTAACTCCTGTGTCCCAGTTTTTAGAGGCCAGAAAACCAGCCAGCAATTTCACCTTTACAAATTATCAGCTTTATGAACTTGATAGAATAATTTAATCAAAATTAAACTATGAGGCAAAATTTGCTAATCTATAATGACAACTACACAGACCATTGTGAAAATCAAATGAGATGATGTTATTTTAGTAATTGTTGTGACTATTCTTAATTTGCCACTTCATAACTACTACTGATTTATGTAAATTATATGCTATGTTGTCATTGATTTGACTATTAGCCTTCACAATGATGCTTCATTGAAAGTATCGCACATTGTTACATTACATAAGTGAAGCTTTACCACCTCTTATATTGCAGGTTTAGCTCTGTCTCAATCCTCAACAAGAACAAAGAAGAAGGGAAGGACAGGGGATAAGAGTCAAGTGCTGAGAGGCAAATACAAGCCTTGGAAATCCATTCTGAGTCACAAATCTCTCTCAAGAAGTGGGCCAAGGTTGCTGTTGCCACTATCCCATGCTGTCCAAGAACTGAGGCCATTCTTTTGCTTTCTGTATTTGGAAGAACAAGTGCCAAAGGCAATTCAAATAAACCCAGTGCCCTTTTCACAATCTTCTTTTGGAGAATCGTACAATCAAAGTGTAATATTCAAGTAAGGATATAAATGAAGCAATGATATAGTATATAAAATACTAATTACAAAATATCCATGTTTACCACCAATTAATTATAATCAGGGAAGTAAAACCTTCCCGTTTCACCTGCAGCCAGAGTACTTGGTCACCTGGTTGACTCCCCTCCAATACCTGGCTTTGTTTGGGGCCACAGGACCTTTTTCAGCTCCAATTCCTTTTTCTCAATCCCTGTACTCTGGGAAAACTTCAGGGTAGTTTTCTAGATAAAGTCAAAACCTCAGTTGGCTGCATACAGAATTTTTTTCTTCATCAGTTCCCACTCCAAAATGCTTTTTTTTTTTTTTTTTTTGAGACTGAGTCTTGCTCTGTTGCCCAGGCTGGAGTGCAGTGGTGCCGTATCAGCTACTGCAATCTCCACCTCCCAAGTTCAAGTGATTCTCTTGCCTCAGCTTCCCGAGTAGCTGAGACTACAGGCACATGCCACCATGCCTGGTAAATTTTTGTACTTTTAGTAGAGATGGAGTTTCACCTTGTTGTCCAGGCTGGTCTCAAAATCCTGACCTCATGTGATCTACATGCCTCAGTCTCCCAAAGTGCTGGGATTACAGGAGTGAGCCACTGCTCCTGGACCCCAAAATGCTTTAATCCAAAAAAAGTGAGTGGCTATAGTGACCCCTATTGTAATTGCTAGAAGCTTTTGTAAGATGCATCCACCCTCTTGCTATATTTCAGTTTTTTAAATTTCCAGCAACAAGAAAAATGAAGCCTCGTTTGTTAGAATAGAAATAGAATAGAATAGAAAGTGGGGTATTCAGCAATTGTAAGCAAAATGAAAGAGATTTGGGGATTGGGCATTGTGGAACACTCACAGGATCCCCAGGGAAGGGAATTTCCAATGCTGACTGCAGGGCGAAGTATTTCTAAAGCAGCAGATGCCAATGAAGAACACAGATTTCTTTGATCTTTCTTTTTAGCTTAAATGATCTGCTATCCAGGGGCCTAAATAGGTGGCTGAATAAGTCAGCCAAAAGCAATTTCCAATATGAACCTGAAAGAACAGGGCTCAGTAAAACTATGACCTGCAGGCCAAATATACCCTGCCACCTGCTTTTGTTTTTGTTTTTGTTTTTTAACAGAACACAGTTTTATCAGAACACAGCCATGTCCATCCATCCATGCACTGCCCATGAGTGCTTTTGCACTGCAATAGCAGAGTTGAGTGGTTGCAACCAAGACCATATTGTCCACACAGTGTAAAACATTTGCTATCTTGCCCTTTACAGAAAAAGTTGGCCAACCCCTGCCTAGAGCTGAATAGAGGAAGAGGAGTTGAGAAGGTGAGAGGATAACCAAGCACAGTTTGAAAAGCCATTTGGATATCTGCTTTTTATCTCTTGGTTTTCCCTAGTGTGTTTTACATTTACATTCAGATTTAGAGCTCTAAGCCATGGGAGAAAGCTTACTTTCTTCTTGTGTTAGCTCAGGTCCTCTGAGGAGCAGATGCCAAGACAGTAGTAGACCTGCAAGAGAGTTATTGGAGACAACTCTCCTGTAGGGAAAAGCAGAGGAAGCTGGAAGAGGCAGGGAAAGCCCACTCTGGAAGGGGAGGAAAAAGGAAGGAAAGTTGATTGATAGGAAGAGTCTCACACTGCAGCATAGTGCTGAGATATTTCAGCCAGGCCTTAGAGTTTGCAAGCCAAACTCACCCATGTGAGGAGTCCTGCCCCTCACTGGAATGAGCTAGTCTTACCACCAGAAGCGGGGCTCTGTGAGAACACAGCAGCCTGCTACTATACTGTATAATTAAGTATAAATTCAGGTCTGGACATTGAGTCTCTCTCATTCCATTACAGAACTATTAAAAAATAATCCTGTATTAGGAAGGTTGTTTCTAAGGCATAAAAATCATAGAACAGAGATAAGAAGCCTTGGAAGCTACAGGCCATGCTACTCTTTCAGATTTATCTTGTTTCCAACCTGCCCACAATGGTTGAGTGGCCATTGTGTATACAGAGCACTAGGTTAAGCAATGTAATGAGAAGGAAGAATATAAAAGATTAAAAAGAAAAGTCACTGAATTCAACAGGGTGAGTATAACTTTGGATTTGCTGACAGAGGGACAGTGATACCTGATTTTTTTTCCATGCAGCTGATTTTTTAGGCCATTGGCTATGAGTTAGACACTCAGAGCACATATAGACCAGGAAAACTTCCCTCCTGACTTTGTTAAGTGCCCTCTGACTCGATAGACCACAGAATGAAGAATCTATTTTATGTTGGTCTTTGAGTCACTTCCACCTTAACTTCCTCTCTCCTCTGCTGTCCAGATAGAATGTACATTGACAAGAGTAAAGATACTTTATACAAGCCAAATTGCTTTTGAGTTTCTGATTATTATTGCTGCTTCACAATGGAAACAGGCAGAGATAAGGAAGGGATTTCAAAAAGATGAGTCCATATAATGTTATTTCACAATCTAAATGCTTGGCTTTCTTCATTTCTTTTCTCTCTTTCTCTATTCCAAACTCCTTTTGTCAAAACTTGATTAAGGAGCCACTATGGCCACCAGCTGAATAGTGAATACAGTATAATTTACTATCACCCCAAGAATGTCAAAGTATTTTTAAATAAATAAGTGAATAAATTGAGGTTGATATTGATAATGTATTTTTGCTCCCTGTTCAAGCTCCTTAACTGGATGACCTGGAATCTCAAGAACTTGTTGGTGATTGCTTTAAAAAGCAGAATTCTTCTAGAATACACTGTAGTTTTAGAATTAGAAGACACCCTTATTCCATGCAGGAATATTACCAAGTCAGCTTTTATTGCTTTCTAACTAGATCCCTTAGAGATCAAGATAGCAGTTGCGGATCCTTGTTCAGCTTAAATTTATGTCACCTTCTCATATCTCTGTCCCTCACTGCCATTTAATAAAGCTCTGTCATCTTTTGTCTTTTCCTCCAACTCTAAATGCAATTAGAAAGAAGACAGAGAAAAGGAGAACTAACTTTCTGTTTCTCAAAAGTTAATACCTGTAGCTTCCAAAGCCTCTTACTTCTGCTCTATGATTTTTATGGCTTATCAGCAACCTTTCTAATAACAGTTTGCTGGTGGAAATTTTTGCTAATTCTACAATAGAATGAGAGAGACCCAATGTCCACACGTTAATTTATAATTCATTATATGGAAAAGTAGTATTAATAGCATTGTATTTGCAGATATACTTTTAAGGACAAGCATTCCTACCTTATGTAAGACCCAGAACTTGCTGATGATATGAATTTTGTAAAAGCACATTCTGAAGTTGAGCCTCCCACAATCTCACCACCCACAGTGCCCATCCCAGGAAGTGCAAGCATGTGGAATTCAAACTTACTGGAAATAAATAAACATGAATAATTTTAAAAGATCAGAATTAAAATTAATAAATGATTACAGCTACATATATATATATATATATATATATATATATTTTTTTTTTTTTTTTTTGAGATGGAGTCTCACTCTGTTGCCCAGGCTGGAGTGCAGTGGCACAATCTCTGCTCACTGAAGCCTCTGCTTCCCAGGTTCAAGCAATTCTCCTGACTCAGACTCCTGAGTAGCTGGGACTACAGGCGCATGCCACCTCACCTGGCTATTTTTGTATTTTAATAGAGATGGGGTTTCACCATGTTGGTGAGGATAGTCTTGATCTCCTGACCTCATGATCCGCCCACCTCATCCTCCCAAAGTGCAGGATTACAGGCATGAGCCACCGTACCCAGCCAGAACCCTATTCTTATAGATTTGCTGTTCTTTCTTCAGTCCTATTTTAGAACAATGTATGTATATATGTGCTTATATATATATGTGTGTGATACTATTAATAAGTAAGTTATTAATTAAAGAGAAATCAACAGATATCTTCCCTATGCTCAGTTCTACCTTATTTTAGGTCAATGGTTTCCAAAACTTAGCTTCCAAGTGACCTTTTAATTATGTTTTATCTATGTGTCTCATTTTTTGAAATGTTCTATCAAATGAACAGACTTAAATAGAAATACATTTTTCCACTTCTATTCACTAGGGAACATGTAACTTCCTCAGAACTTCCAAAGAGCTTGCAATAGTTAGCATATCACCAGGAGTTTATATAACTTTAGCTTGAAGACAAGAGACAAGGTTTTAGCCTGCAGCTGGAGCAGCTTTATTGTCAGTAGATACACAGTTTCTATAAGGTTGCTTTAAAAAATAGTGAACATTGCCTGTAGGTCTCCATTACTAACTTTATGAATCCCCTGAGATCTAGGGACACTGTTGAGAAATATTGCTTGAAGACAGAGGAGCTGTGTATCTCAACCTTTTTCCAACCCCAATATTCAGGAGATACAGCCCACTCTTCTAAGTAGCTACTGATCACAGTGGCACATTCTATCCATGCTGCCCCCAGGGTAGGAATGTGCTAGAATCTTTGGGAAAGAGTGGGGCCTGTTGAGAGGAGAGAATGTGTGGTTTGACAAAGTGTCACAAGAGATTCTAAAATAACCTTCGTTTTACCTCCTTACTTGAAAATGACTGCTGGAAGTTATATAATTCCTGAACAAAAAGAGAGTTTACTTATTCAGTTAAGAAAATTAAACTGTTTTCTGTGAACTTTAGGTATCACTGAATTACTAGGAAGATTTTCATGATCTGAAATATTTTTATTGGGTTTTCTGTATTTTGGAACAGCAAAATAATATCTTTAGTCACTCTTGAAGCCCAATCACTCTGAGAAAAATACAGTGTTGTGACAGAATTCCTAAAGGTTGAATTTGGTGAGTAGAACATATCAATTTCAGAAAAATACAAGAAAGAGAGCTTTCAGGGACTGTGGCAAAATTTCACCACAAATTTCTCCATATACTCCTTGCATTTCAGCTCCTGGGTGGGCTCTTGCTTTGGAGGAAGCTACTTTGAATTTCAGATGCTAAAATAAAACAGTATGAGGATACACATTGAATGTGGGAGGCAAGCTTACTGTCCCCTTCCCTGTGATTATGAAAAACGCTTCCCACACTCCCAAAGTTAACATTCCAAATGAAATGATAAACCTGAAATACTAGAATCTATTTTGGAAATGGTAGTCTTGGATGTACATGAAGTTGATTTTTTTGAACTCTGATAATCTGCCAACGTTTTCATCATATTTTCCAGGGAGCTTATTATTAGCTGCTCTCAAAGTACATGGACACCTTGAACACATTAGAGTAAGCCCCATAGCTTTATCTTTCAAAAGATTTTGAGCTAGAGCTTTGGCTAATTTTATTTTCCTGTAGAAGCCCATTCCTGCCAAAGATTCAAAATTGGAAGCATTCCCCAAACCAAGCCTATTTATTTTTAATACATTATTTTCCTCAGTAAAATTTTGCCAAACATGAAGAACTGTGCAAATTTTTAACCATGTACTTCATGGAATAAGTTTCAGGGAGTTAATAATTTGCATTTATGGGGATAAGAAGCAAGATATAGCACAAAAGAGGCTAAAGAATAAACAGAAGATACTGTAAGGAAAACTAATTTCCAAATAGTCAATGTACTATCCCCATATACATAAGTTTACATCTAAATAACACAAGGACTATTGTTGAAATAGCCTATATCCACTGTAACTTTTTTACTTTAGAATTCCCTGCATAGATGACATCATTCTACCAAAATGTGTTAGAATAGTAGACTCAGCAAGCAGAATACACTGGGTCTTGAAACTTTGTTAATCTGAAACTCTGAATTCACTCATGAAGCAACTGAGACACTGAATGGTTGAATACATATCTCAGGTCATATAACAGCAGTCCCAGGCCATTTTGGTTTAGTTTCTTTCTATTACAATATCTAGTTACATATGAAGATCCTAAATGCATTTCATTCTTTATCAAAAAGTGTGACAGTGGAATGAGAAACGGTTCATCTCAGCTGTGGAGGCCACTAAAGAACATAGGAAGTAATGACATAGTCAGGATAAACTGTTTATTAAATGGCTGCAGTTGTACTGTTATTTGACATGTCAAACTCCTAAGTGCTGGGCAAAACTTCTTGAACTAATTAAAACAAAGTATCAATTATTAGTAAGTTAATAAAAGACTGACTGGGTGTGTTATGTTATGGAATAAAAATGACATTTGGCTAGCCTGACTGCTTGATGCTGTTATTCCAAAAGACAGAATGGGGAAGACTTTCCTTTAAAATCAAACAATTTTTATACAAAGTCAATTTCTCTATATGGTTATATTTCAGAGATTTACTAAAGTTTTATTGAGTTTCATTTTTTGACACATGACATATGTAAACTTAATTTAAATGTCAATACAACTGTATTTGAATTTGTGACAATTAATCCTCTAAGGAATTATGGCATCTTAAAATATAGAAAGAGTAAGCATCTAGCATTCTTAAAAGAGACCAGCACTTACTATAGTGTATTGAAATTTGGTTTCATTAGAATACATTCCCTATGAATTCCCTACAGACGTTAATAATATCTTACTAACATCATTCACAGACTCTAGCACAGTACTTCAACAACGTAGGATCCTTAATAATATTTTTGTGTCAAATTGAGCTGAATACAATGATTTTTATTTCAACATGCAGAAGATTTGATACAGTTCAAATGTGGCCTTACTAATGAAGAAATTATCAGAAAAGTAACTCAAAAGGGGGTTCACTGCTATTTTCTGAGGAGAGTGATGGCTCATGTGGAAGAGAAAGTTAAATGCCCTCCAAAATTGCCAGAATACAGAGACGACTTTGGGAAGTGGCTCCACAGACATAGATGACATTCTCCACCCTCCCAAACAGGTAGGTGGGCACATACAACTAGTCCTTATTAGACTATTAAATCAGTGAGAAATAACTTCTCACGTTAAGCTACTAAATCGTGGTGGTTTTCATTGTTGTAGCAGCTACTCTGAGCCCAATATAGACCATAAAATACCACTTTGCCTACCAGTTATTGTGTTTTTTTTTCCCCATGGAACTCCGTACACACACATTTTTTTGTTTCTGGATACAATGAAGTGGTAAAATTAATAGTTTGTCACTCAGGAGTTCCAATACTGCTTTTGAAGTATTGTGTTATGCAACAGGATTTGCAACATTTGGCTGAATGCATTATCAAAGTGACTCTGCTGACTTTCCTGCTGGTGACAGTTTTGAAGTGCTTGCTCAAATCTTTAGAAAAGCATCATTTTTCTCTTTGATCAATCATAGGTAGATATATCCCTTCACATTCCTCTCTTCCTCTCATTTATTCTCCTTTTGCCACCCACACTTACTCTGATGCCCTTGATACTTATAGAGATTCCTAACCAAATAGCTCAATTTTTAACTGCATTTTTTACAATGAACAAATCAGCATTTTTCCATATCTGATGAATTATTGGCAATTGAAGAAGTGGGTATTATTTTGCATTTAATGTATAATTGTTGCATTCTAGCTGTCACTGGTATTACCTATTGGAAACTATTACCATGGTGTTGATCATTTAAGAGACAGGTAGGCTGCCTTTGGAAACTGGACTAACTCTTTTTATGTTATAAAGATGTATAAATCAAATTTCCTTTGTATGTATTTAGCACAAGTTCAGATTTATGCCTTTAATAAGACACAGCAGTGATCCGGTTGCATATCTGAAACTAACAGTCTGCAGAATTTTCCCTATGGGTTCCATTTGCCTGCAAGCCATGAGTAGGAGGCTGCATGGTCCCAAACAGAGTAAAAACATTTTCCAGAATCCTGCTGGGTAAGTCAACAGTGGAATGGACCTCTAATAAGGAAGTGGGTAGTTAGAAACTCTGTAATCACTTAGTGATCATTTCTATCTGCAAACATTTGTTGTTGGCTAAGTGCCATCACATTTCAAGAAATGATAATTTCTTTACTATTTCAATGGATTCTTGATTCCCCCATATTCTTGGATCTAAGGTCTCAAACTTCTCAAACAGATTATGAGATCCTTTGTGATCTAGCCAAAATGTGCTTTTCTAGGTCTATCTCTCATACTGCCATACTTTCTCACAATGACTCCACTCTTACACACACACATGCACATACCTTCTTTGCTCCAAGAATATGAGCTGTTGGTTCTGTATACATTCTTGTGCACATTTACTCTAGTTCCCAAGTTGGCTAACAATTTCTCTAGAAAGACTTTCTTCACGGTTTAATCCTTGAAAAGAAGACTGACACAAAGATCACTCTGCCAGAGGACTTTTAGAAATAACTTTGAGGATCAGTATCCGTAGATGGAAAAAGAAGAAATCAGATTGAGCAATGAGAGAAGGCCAGCTGTGATGAAATTCGAACAGAAATCTCAGATGATTCTATGAAGAGTTTTGAAGCTGACCCTTCAGCATTGCCCCAAGCTGGGGGAAAAGGGTCAGGAATTTATATTTGATGTCAATCAGGCACTGGACACAAAGTGCTGAAGGAAGAAATGTAACCTTGAGTGAGTCAGCTGTCATCATCCAAGGGAGTACCTGAAGGGAAACTAGAGCTGTAGGCAATCTGCCAGGAGGACTCTCAGCAGCTGAAGGAATTAAGTCATTTTTTCTAGAAGGGAAATCTAGAAAGCACATCACAGAATCCACTACAGTCCACCCTTGGCTCCACTCAGATCTGCCTTTTTTTATAAACTGAAAATATTTTAGATCAAAATGTATAGGATGCAACTAAAACATTATGCTGAGGAAATACATAGCTCTAAAAAGTGATCAAAAAATCTATCACAAGTAGTTAGAAGATAAATGATTTCAAAGAATGATGGGCCCCCAAATGGGCAAAAGCTGTCAGAATCACATTTGTCAGAACTTTGGAAAGATTTTTTTTAATCAAAGGTTCATAATAATCAAGGAAATGTACAATTATAAAATATAAGGGCACTTACACACAGTAGAAGAATTTTGTGTCATTTTAACTTACCCTTGCCCAACTCCAACTCACTGACTTATTTGAAGACAGCATCCGATGTTTCTGATGTGTCTTTGGTATCAAAGGGAGAAAAATTAACCTTGTTCTAAAGAAATTGTGTTTGTGTGTTTTGACCTGTGTGGGAATTCTCTGAAGGAATGACATAAGGTCTTGCCTCTGTTTCACCTAATTCAGAACTTTCTCAGAACGGAACTGGATATGCTGAGGTCATTTTCTGAAAACATTGAAAAGCAAATGAGCAGCTACTGCTACCTATGACAAAATATAGTTGTTGAAACACACACAAGAGACATGCCAAAATCCTGGGAGAAAAAAGCTGAGGAAAATGTGTTAACAAAATAGAAAATAAATACAAAATTGAGAGTGTGGTCAGGAGAAAGAGATCCAGTTTTAGTCATGAAACAACAGAAATTATTACAGATCCAAGAGCAAAAATTTTGAAATTTGTAGAGACATATTCTGAAAACATTTCATCAGAATAGACACAGTGAAAAATAAAAAAAACTAAAATTAAAACCTGAATATGGTTTAATATTAAATTAATCAAGTCGGTAATGTAAAACTTCCTACCAAAAAACTCCAGATCTAGATTGTTTCACCACTGAGTTCTGCCAGACATTTAAGAAAAAATAATTTTAATTGCATACAAACTCTTCCAGAGAATTGAACAAGTATTTCAGTTTTCAACTAATTCAACTGGTTTTGAGAATTAACACTGCCTGGATAGCAAATGCCAACAATGGCAGTAAAAGAAAAGAAAATTATAAGCCTATCTCATTCACAAACATAGGTGTAAAAAATTCCAAACAAAATTTTATCATCTTAGAAGCAGCAATATATGAAAATAATACTATATCATGACCAAGTTGGATTTATATGTCTATCATAAATTTGGTTTAACATTTGAAAATCAATAATTTAAGTATGTTAAATATCCAGAAGACATATAAATTACAACTTCTAAACTAGCAAAAGCAAATAAATAATAGAAAGTGGGGACAAAATATTTATAAAACTTTGATAAATCCAAGAAGGCAGAAAAGGGTGGGGGAAGGGAAAAGCATTTAAGTGGAGAAAATGAAAACACAACATGAAATTGTAGAAATAACTCCAAATACACCAGTAACCATTGTACATATAAATGCACTAACTTGTCAAGTTTGTCAGATTAGAAAACACTGATAAATCAAGAAATAGTAGTAGAAGCACATTATTTAAAGCCGTGAAAGTAATAATAAGAACTGAAAATAGAAGATATTAAAGTCTTTGCCTCTGAGGAGCTATACTAGGAATAAGAAGCAATTGTTAGGAGTTTCCCTCCAACTTCCTTCCAATTTGAAGTTTGTTACTAAATGTTAATTATAAAACTCACTCTTAACCATTCAAGAATTCCACTCATTTACAAGTGCTCTTTTTTCTGTAAAACAATTAAAGTGCTTATTATTTCTCTCTAAGCATTATACGTTTCTAGTTTGTTAGCCCTAAAATGAATGATAAACTGAATCCCAACTTTTAAATTCTTCTTTACAACAGGTCACTGGCCATTACCTAGCAGCTCTATATGGGGGTAACAGATTCAAAGTTCCAAATCATGGTCTTATTAAAAACCACTAATCTTCCCTTTTTGAATCTGACAATAATGTTCTCAAGTTTCTTTATTTGCCACATGGACTTTTATACAGAAGATTATAATTTCTGCCAGCAGAACACAGCCCCTTCATTTTGCCAAAGGAAGATTAAAACTGATGATTTTAATTGTTTCAAATATATTCTGTGGAGAGGTTTCCTGGCCACAACTAGATCCAGCAAAGCCACAATGGAACTATACCCATTTTAATTGTATTTACTATGCCCCAAAAGCTGAAAAGCTAATGCTTTTTTTTCAGTATACTGAATTACTGAACCATCACAAACTCTTTCACATAATAAACAACTTGTTTGCTCTGGGAATAGTATTTTGTGAAACGATACAGAAAACAATTTTAGAACTGGAAAGGAACTTAAGAACATTCATTTTGTCCAAATCATTTTCCAGATACGGAAAATGAGGCCCAGAAAATTTAAAATTCCTTTCTTAAACTTACAGAGAGCTAATGGCAAAGTCAGGCTAGACCTGAGTCTCCTCACTGCCGCTTCCTCTGTGTCTACACAATTAGAGAACTGGTACCAAGGAAGTTTGAGAAGATGAAAATCTGGTAAAAAAAGAGAAACTTCAATCATAGGAATCATGCCCCATCTTATATCAAGAATGTATCTATTGAACAACAATTACAGCAAAAGGGAAGGGCAGGTCAATACACTTGTGGGCAGGTCGTGGTCATCTCAGTAGGTCTTGGTCATGTGGTCCAGATCACATGGCTGTTATGTTAATTTAGATCAGAGCATTTATGGTCAACATCACCTAGTGTACATGAATGATAATTGGGCTTTCTCAAATACTCAAGAAAAAGCCATAATTAAACTGTTTTAAATAATAATTTTGTCTCAAAGGAATAACTTATTAATGTAGGCATAGGCTGAATCTAAGATTTAATTACTAAAAGCTATGTGATATTTTCAGTGATGAAGACCTGTCTAAAAGTCTTGAGAGACCATACGATCACCATGAAGCAGTTTGCTACTGAGTGCAGCAATATTTTGTTACAAATACAAAAAATTGTGTTAAAAACATAAAATTTCAGCCCCACCTAGACCTAACTGCAAGTAGAGCCAAGGATCCGTGTTCTAATAAGCTCTCCAAGTGCTTCCCACACATGTTCAATCGAGAGGTTTTCAACCATTTTTGCACACCAGGATCACATTTTAAAACGCTAATGCCTGAGTCCCATCCCATATTCATATTTATTGGACTGGAGTGTAGCCAAGACATAATCATGGTTGAGAATCAATTCTCCAAAAAATTTTGTTTTGCTGCCTCCTCCTCCTCTTCCTCCTCCTCTTCCTCCTCCTCCTCCTTCCCTCCTCCTCCTCCTCCTTCTTCTTCTTCTTTTAATAGAGATGAGGTCTATTAAAAAATGTTGGCTGGCTATGTTGGCCAGGCTGGTTTCTCTTGTTTTTCTTTAAATTTTTATTTTAGGTTCAGGAGTTCATATGGAGGTTTGTGGTATAGGTAAATTGCATGTCATGAGGATTCAGTGTATGAATTATTTTATCACCCAGGTAATAAGTATAGTGCTCAATAGGTAGTTTTTCAATCCTCACTGATAGGGTTTGGCTCTGTGTCCCCACCCAAATCTCACCTTGAATTCTAATAATCCTCATATGTCAAGGGCAGGACCAGGTGGAGATAATTGCATCATGGGGTGGTTCCCACATACTGTTCTTGTGATAGTGAGTAAGTTCTCACCAGATCTGATGGTTTTATAAGGGGTTTCCCCCTTTGCTCTTCTATCTCCTGCTGCCATGTGAAAAGGATGTGTTTGCTTCCCCTTCTGCCATGATTGTAAGTTTCCTGAGGCCTCCCCAGCCATGCAGAACTGTGAGTCAATTAAACCTCTTTCCTTTATAAATTACCCCGTCTCGGGAAGTTCCTTATAGCAGCGTGAGAATGGACTAATACATTCACATTCACCCTCCTCTCACCCTACACACTCAAGTAGGCCTCCAGTGCCTATTGGTTCCTTTTTTACATCCATATGTACTCAATGTTTAACTCCCACTTATAGGTGAGAACATGTGGTATTCGGTTCTATTCCTGTGTTAGTTCACTTAGGATAATGGCCTCCACCTCCATTCATGTTGCTGCAAAAGAAATAATCTCATTCTTTTTTATGGCTGCGTAGTATTCTATGGTGTATATAATGCCACATTTTCTTTATCCAATCCACCATTGATAGGCCCTAGGTTGATTTCATGTCTTTACTATTGTGAATAGTTCTGTAATGAACATACATATGCATGTGTTTTTATGATAGAATGATTTATATTCCTTTGGGTATATAGCCAATAGTGGGATTGCTGTGTTGAATGCTAATTCTGTTTTAAGTTCCTTCAGAAATTCAGGCTGGTTTCAAACTTCTGGCCTCAACCAATCCTCTCATGTCAGTGTCCCAAGTAGCTGGGATTACAGGCATATGCCACCCTTCCTGGCTTGTTTTGGTTCTTTCTTATGAAATTAATGAAAATAGACATCATCCTACCAAGATTCCCCCAAAGTTTTGAACAGAAGTCTACAAAATGGGGAGATAAAAATGCAACCTATTTGAATGTGGGCATAAAATATTATAACTTCCATTTTTATTTATTTTAAATTTCAAAATTTTAAAATTTATTTTTGCCAATGATTTCTATAATATAGTAATACAGGAGTAAAAAGTAAAATACCAGGGTAAATTTTCTATAAATATTATTGTAAATTCAGAGGATGAGTACAACATCTAATTATCAGAGTTCATGTTATAGAATGACGGTTTTCAAACTTGAGTGTACATGAAAAATCACCTGGGAAACTTACTAAAAATGCAGATTCATGGAGCCTTCATGCCTGAGATAAATTCAGTTAGTCTAAATTTGGGCCCAGAAATCTATATTCACAAGCCATGTCCCAGATGATTCCAATGTTTAAATGCCCCATAGACACTCTTTAAGAAATATTCATTTAAAACCAGGTTCTGTTGTAGTTAGGGAGAGAATAGAACTATTTGGGAAGGTAGAGCACCCATTCAAGGCTTCAAAGGGTGATAGTACCTCAATGAGAGAATCATGTTCAAAGACACAAACCTCAGCTCTGAAGGATATTAGTACACTCAGCAGGGTTAGTTTCTCGGGGTTAGCCCTGGTTACAAAGACAGCTACATACCCAGTGAGAGAGAGATGTATATATATCATATTATGATATGAAATATCTTATTATATATTATATGTAATATAAAATTATTATATATGATATAGTATCTAATATAAATATAGATATAATATGAATATATGATATAAATATGTTTTACATATATAAACATGTGCATGTGTGTGTGTGTGTGTGTGTGTATGTATGTATCTAATCTGAGGAATGCAAGACTTTTTAAATTATCAGGCCCAGAGAGGCATTAAAATGAGACGGCAATCACATTTTATCTCCCCCCTTGATCTATGTAATATTCTCTTGAAACTGCTTGCTGTTGCCACCAGTAACTATAAGTTAACCTAATAATGTCTCATCCTGATACCATATCCTATAGCTCAACAATGTACAGCTAATCACAAATCAATGTTATTTCCGTAAACCAGTGAGAATTCCTGATGAACAATTTTGTATCAGCCCACTTGTTGTTCCCCTTTCTTGCCTTCAAAAATATGCTTGCAACAAAGGCTGAAGGGAGCACTCCCCATTAAAACTTGGAAGTGTGTTCCAAAGAAACTATATTAACTTTGTCTCAGTTTCTTCTTTTAGGTCAACACAAGGAATATTAATGGATAGCTTTACAATGAGAATTATACCTTTTAAGCAGACTATAGTGGTTCTTATCAGTTGCCAAAGCATTATGGCACTGAAAAAAAAACATATTGGATGCCAAGTTATAATTATAAATTTACTTCTTTAGTCTGGAAAAAAGAGCAAAGAGAAATAACTATAATTTGAAGTTTTAAGAGTTACTGCCTTCAAAATATGATAGGTGACACACTGGCACAAAGAGAGGAGAAATTGGGCTAAATACAAATATGAATAACATAAACATACCAATTCAAAGGCAGAGATTGTCAGAATATATGCAAACAAAACCAACTGTATGTTTCCTACAAGAAATCCATTTACAAGTAGTTAAAAATAAACAGATGTAATAAGATGTACTGTGTTAGCACTAATTAAAGAAAGCTGACAGCAGATTTCAGAGCAAATAATATTACCAGAGACAGAGGATTATTTCATAATGTAAACCAGTCAACTATTAAAGAGAACATAGCAGCCTAAAATATGTATGCACCTGACTACATAATTTAAATAAAAATAAAGCAAAAACTGATGTATCTGCAAGTAAAAATAAATACATCCACAATTGGAGTCCACGATAGACAATGCAGGAGTTTTAGCCCTAAGATGAGAGAAATTGATACTCCAAAAAATTGGATGAATCTCAAAGGCATTATCCTGAGTGAAAAAACAAATCCAGACCAAAAAAGAATATCTACTAGATTATTGTATTTATACAACATTCTAGAAAACTGAAACTAATCTATAGTGACAGAATGCAGATCACTGGTTGCCTTGGAATGGGGAGAGTAGATCAGAAGAAACATTTGGGTATGATGGGTATATTCATTAATTGTGGTTATAATTCCATGAGTACATTCATATGTCAAAATGTATCAAATCATATACTTTAAACATATTCTGTTTACTGTATATTAATTAAACCTCAATAATTGTATTAGAGAATAAAAGTCACTCTTGACCCAGCAAACCTTGCCCTGCTGTCTCTGGCCATGCCAGAATTAAAGAAGTCACAGCTTGTCGGGATCTGTTTTTTAAAGGTAATAATATATTTTGTAAATTATATAAACTATTCTGGTCTTACATCAATACAGGTCTAATTTATAAATCTTAAACTGCAGTGGGAGTTTCTTTTTAGATGGAAAATTATATCATAAACAGGTTCCATTTTCTAAATTCCTTCCATTCTTGGAATCTGCAATGCAACTTCCATAGCTACTATCCTTTCTCTTTCTGTCTCTTTCTCCAATATCAAAAACTACTTTTGCTGGGGGCTGGGTGGTATGTTCCAGGACCCCCATTGGATGCCTGAAGCCGCAGATAGTACCAAATGCAATTGTTGTCAATCAGAACGTTTCTGTTCACGTCTTCCAGCCACAAATTTAATGCCTTTTCCATGACAACTAGACATTTATTAAGCACTGTGGCTGTAACTTTTGCAGTTTGATGTGTAACACCAAAAGTAGCACAAATTTATTTTTCCTTCATAATTTCATGAATAGAAGATTAATTCTTGCCTTAAATCATAGCAACCTCAGCATTTAGTTTTTTTCTTTTCTTATTTAGTTGGGAAATTTTACTGTTTCACTTAAAAGCAGCACTTTATGGCTTTGCTTTGATATACCCAGTTTACCAGCATCATTACTTTTGTATTTTGGGGTCATTATTAAGTAAAATAAGGGTTACTTGAACACAAACACTACAATACCAAGACAGTCCATCTGATAACTGAGAGGGCTGCTAAGTGACTAACAGGCAGGTAGCATATACATTATGAATACACTGGACAAAGCGATGATTCATGTCCTGGGTGGGGCTGAGTGAGATAGCAAGAAATTTCATCATGCTACTGAGACTGGCATGCAATTTAAAACTTATGAATTGTTTATTTCTGGGATGTCCCGTTTAATATTTTCAGACCAGAGTTGGCCATGGGTGTCTGAAATCATGGAAAACAAAACAGCAGATAAGGGAGTACTACTGTATTTTTACTTGCGCTAGGTAATTTATGAGATTTACAGTTACAACTATTCTAGGGGAAATTACTGATTTAAATAAAAATAATAAAGCATTAATCAAAAGGAACGAATTTAGTTTTGTGGCATTTCAGACATCATAAATTGGGTACGATAAGTAATTTGGGATTGGCAGAACTTCTAATTCTATAATAACATTATCATAAATAGTGTTGTTCTTTTGTTTATCTAGGACCTATGATCCCTATTTTTGGTATATCAAAGGAAAATTATTAACTTAATTTTCTTTTGATGTTCATTTTTTTCACTCTAAGTTATTGTGGTTTGACGAACCCATACTCCAGCTCTAATAAGCATAAAAGATTATGTTTCTTCTAAAAAACTGCTAACTGGAACAAGAATTTCTCGTTTATCATTAACAACTTATATTTAAATAAATATATATATATAAAATAAAAATACATTGGGTAAAACTAATGGCAAATGAGTTACCTCAGAAGAAAATATTAGTGGATTGAAGACATAGCAAATGAAACAAAAATGATTAGTACATTAGTGGTGGGACAACATCAAGAAGTAAAATATACATGAAATTTGAGTCACAGGAAACTAGAAAATAAAGGAAGGTTATAAAAATATTTGACTAAATAGTGGACAAAATTTTTCTAAATTTGATACAAAATATAATCTTACAGATCCAAGAAGTTACGTGAACTCAAAACAGAATGAACATTAAGAAAACCACATCAAGGCACATCCTAACCCAATTAATAAAAAGACTGAAAAAGACTAAATATTAAAAGCAGTCAGAGAGAAATAGAAGACATATTACATACACAGAAACAAGCATAAGAATGAAAGAAAGTTTATCATCAAAAGTGAGGTACACCAGAAGACAATGAACTACTGAAAAGAAAAATTCTGTCAAACTAGAATAATGCATTATCTTAGCTCAGCCTCCTATAACAGAATTTATATAATGGGATGCAAAAATTAGCCAGACTTGGTGGTTCATGCCTGTAATCCCAGCTACTTGGGAGGTTGAGGGAGCAGAATCACTTGAACCTGGGTGGCAGAGGTTGCAGTGCGCTGAGATCATGCCACTGCACTCCAGCCAGGGCAACAGAGTGACTCTGTCTCAAAAAAAAAAAAAAAAGAATTTATACAATGGGTAATTTATATAAACAACAGAAGGATATTATTAACAGTTCTGGAAGCTAGGAAGTACAAGATCAAGTCACCAGAAATTTGGTGTCTGATGAGAGTTTATGTCTCATAGATGGCACCTTCTGTGTCCTTGTATGATGGAAGGGGCAAGCAGGCCCTCTCAAGCTTCTTTTATATGGGTGCTAATTTTATTCAGGAGGACTTTGTCTGTACAACCTAATCATGTCCTAAAGCCCCACCTCTTAATATTGTCACATTGGGGATTAAGTTCCAGCATATGAATTTTAGCGGTTACTAATGTCCAGACCATGACATATACCCAGCAAAAATATATTTCAAAAGGAAAGTGAAATAAACACTTTTTCAGACAAACAAAAACTGATAATTATTCTCCATAAGAAATTCGCTACACGATCTTATAAAATGAAACTTTTTCAGACATAAGAAACATTACGCCTTGTGGAAAATTAAACTGATATAAAGAAATTTAAGGCACTAGAATAGGAAATATATGCATAATTAGAAAAGATATTTTTGCATTTACCATTCTATGTGGTAGGTATTATTACCCTACTTTATAAATAAGAAAACTGAGGATTAGAGAGATTAAATAGAGTCCCAACTAGTAAATGGCAAACCAGGGATCTGGGCCTCTATGATGCCAAATTTCATGTTCATGTTTCCAATATTATTCAAGGAAAAAGAGAACGTGAATAAAACCTACACTTTTAGATTTTTTCATCCTCCAGTGTAAAGCATGACATGGTGGGAGTCATGGCAACTCCTATATTCTCAATATGTCTAATTAAAAAGAAAATGTTGAAATCACATGATATGTATTCTAGAATCATAGTATACCTCTATACAAATTGTTGTTGATTACTATTAATGCATACATATTTACTATGCTTTTAAAAATAACTTGTACTAATAAGAATACAGATTGAGGAACTACTTGCAATAGGAGAAAAACAAATCAGGAAAATATTAAATAAGAATATCACATACACAGCCAGGAGCGGTGGCCCACGCCTGTAATCCCAGCACTTTGGGAGGCCGAGGCGGGCAGATCACCTGGTCAGGAAATCAAGACCATCCTGGCTAACACAATGAAACCCCGTCTCTACTAAAAATACAAAAAAATTAGCCAGGCGTGGTGGTGGGCGCCTGTAGTCCCAGCTACTCGGGAGGCTGAGGCAGGAGAATGGTGTGAACCCGGGAGGCAGAGCTTGCAGTGAGCCGAGATCACGCCACTGCGACTCCAGCCTGGGCGACAGAGTGAGACTCCGTCTCAAAACAAAACAAACAAAAAAAGAATATCAAATACCCAAAAAAGTTCACACACACACACACAATCATTTAAGATGCTCTATATGGATTGTGACATTAAAAAATTGGATAAGCAGTAACATCATTAGGTATGTTCAGGGATAAAAAGACCATAATATATTAAACTGGGACACCAGACTGAATTAGATGACTGTTGCATTCTGAGCTGCATAATAATTTGAATGTCATTGTTATGCACAGGAAAATGCTTTAAGTTTAGCTGTACTGAGGCCATTATGCAAATATGATCCTTCTTTGTCTAGCCTAGTCCTATTTGCAAAACTTAATATCCACAGCCATGTTTTAGAAGCTCACTAAATCATTCTACAACAAATACAAGGCAAGAATAACTAATAGAGGAAAGTTAGTGAAAAACTAATGGCTGAGGCATAATATCCAAATGAGGAAATATATTTTGTTTAAATGAACGATGAAATTGAAAATAATTACAACAAGCAAAAGATACTGCTAACTTAACAGAATAGAGAATACAAGGGTTTACATGTGAATGGTTCTGACCTGAATAAACCAACCTATTATGTCCCCAAAGCAACTGTTTTGTCACATTTAGAAGATTAGGACCCTCTATTACAAGTTCCGTATTTCAGATCCTAAAAGGAAATGTACCTGTCAAAGTTATTGATCTTTGAGTTATTCAATTCATTAAGAATAAAATATTATACTTTATGCATACTCAAATAGTAAGAACAGCTACCATTCCTTGAGCCGTTAGTATTTTGCAGGCATTGTTGCAAGTGTTGTATGAGCTCATTTAATCCTTGTAACAGCCTATGAGGTAAATAGTATTAGCATTTTTATCTACAAATGAGGAAACTGAAGCCCAGAGAAGTTAAGTTGTCCAAGGTCATACGGCTGTCAGATACTACAAACAGTATTTGAGCCTAGGCATCCTGGTTACAGAGACTGCAGACTTTACCACTACACTGTGCTAACTCCACTACAGAAGTAATATTGTGTATTGGTGTCTGAGTGTGTGTGCATTATGTTTATGTGGTGTGTTTGGGTATATAAGGTATTTTACAATTATTAAACTAACTTTTAAAAACATTTATCTTATTAACCTTTTTTTTTTTTTTTTGAGACAGAATCTGGCCCTGTCACCCAAGCTGGAGTGAGTGCAGTGGCATGATCTTAGCTCACTGCAATTTCGCCTCCCAAGTTTCAGTGATTCTCCTACCTCAGCCTCCCAAGTAGCTGGTACTACTGGCGTACGCCACCACACCCATCTAATTTTTGTATTTTTAGTAGAGATGGAGTTCCACCATGTTGGCCAGGCTAGTCTCAAACTCCTGGCCTTAACGTATCCACCCTCCTCAGCCTCCCCAAGCGCTTGAATTACAAGCGTGAGTCACTGCGCCCAGCCTCATCTTAACCATTTTTAAATGTACAATTCAATGTCATTAAGTACATTCACATTGTTGTACAACCATCACCACCATCCATCTCCAGGACTCTTTTCACCTTGCAAAACTGAAACCGTATACTCATTAAACAATAACTTCCCTCTCCCGCCCCTTTTCTCCACCATTTTACTCTGTTTATGAATTTAACTAATTTAGATACATCATATCAGTGGAATCAGACAGTATTTGCCTTTTTGTGACTGGCTTATTTCATTTATAATTATAGCCTCAAGGTCCATCTGTATTGCAGCATATGACAGAATTTCCTTCTTTTTAAAGGCTGAATAATATTCCATCGTATATAATAAGCCACATTTTGTTTATCCATTCATCCATCTATGGACACTTGAGTTGATTCCTTCTTTTGACTATTGTGAATAATGCTGCTATGAACATGAGTATGCAAATATCTATCTGATGCCTTGCCTTCAATTATTTTGGATATATACCAAGTAGAAGTAGAAATTGCTGGATCATACAGGAATTCTATTTTTAATTTTTTGAGAACTGCCATACTGTTTTCCATAGCAGCTGCACCATTTTACATTCCCACCAACAAAGCACAAGAATTCTAATTTCTCCACATCTTTGCCAAAAGTTGTTATTTACCTCATTTATGATAGTAGTCCTCTTAATGGCTATGAGGTGGGATGTGTGTTTTAAGTTCTTAGAAGTTTCTAGATTCTGTATTCTGAGTTATGACATATACTGCAGAGTTTATGTTACTTAGAATGTTTGCCACGACCATGTCCTCTGTTAAGAAAAGAGATAATAGGCATAAATGCACATAACTTGTACCAGATAGCTTCTGAGGCATGTGGCCATATGCTTTATACATGTGACCCTGCCCTTTGAACAAAAGAATGGCACCTGAAACACCAGACCAACAATTAGGTGTTTTGGTGGAAGAAGAAAAAAAAAAAAAAAAAAAAAGGATGCCCCCAAAGGGCATCTACCCAAATTTCCTCAACCAGTTTCCATCCTGCACTCTCTGTCTTTGTGGGCTGTCCCCCTCTGGAGGTTTAACCAAAAGTTTTAAGTCATAACGAGTCAATCCCTAACAGCAGAAGTGGAGGCAATAGAAACAGAGATGAAGAATCTAAGACCCCAGAATGGTGAAACATTTATAGGCACCAGTTCTGGAAAGTTTGACCACTAGCCAGGTCGTCAGGGATACTCTGTTTTCCCTAATGGTACTCTAGTGTTGGGTAGACTTGGCTGCCCATCAATTTTGCACATTCTCCAATATACCTTTCCAATAAATATAATGACCTTTGTACTCTGAGCATGCCTCTGTTCTTTACAACCTGACTATGTCTAACAAAGATTTTGAATAGATATACACTTACTAATTAAAACCAAAAAAGATTTGAGCTTTATAAAGCCATTCTTATTTTTTTCTAAATGTAACTTTAGTGAGGTACTTCTCCTTTGCACAGTTATGTTCCTTTTTATGTTGTGATGCACATCTTAAGATTTCTGTTTTACCTAAGTAGGAAAATTAGTTAGGTCACATAAAATGAAAATTGCAAATTTGGAAAATTGAAATGTATAAGGACCAGCCCACGTAGAGACTGGAAATTTCAAACTGCAGTTAGATCTCCAAATCTCAGCCAAGATGATCTATGTCTCCTCTAGCACAATCTGTGAGCCAGGCTGACAGACAAAGTATATACCATCTTTTGACCCCAAACATGGGGAATAAAATCAGACCACAGAAAAGCCACACACAAACTCTTTTCCCAAACAGGCTAAAAAGTAAAAGATGGTGAGTCTTAACAAACTCAGTTTTTTCATACAATTTAAAATAAGGTGGCGAGATGGGGGAATAAATATCAATATACACGCCAAGTAACCGTTAAGTATGATGTCATCCTGGTTTTAACAAGTCAATTTCTAATTAAGGAACTGGTAAGACTAGCAGCCATTTGTTGAGTGAATGTTTTGCCAGCCACTCTGCACACATTATCTAATTTAATACCTACAGCAATCTCATGAGGTAGGAATGATGTTCTACATGTTACACATGACATTCAGTTATCTGGCCAAAAACAAAAAGCTGGTAAGTGACAAAACAGTATTCAAAATCTGGCTTGCTGACACCAAAACCTATGTTTTAAATTTCATGACACTTTTCATAGGAGTTATTAAATACACAGTAATAAATAAAGAAGGTAACAAAAGTCTGCTGGGTAAAGCATGACAAAATCTCCAAACATAGAATGTTATATGTTCTGTGAAAGAGACAATGTGTATTTCTATGGCAGTTTCATTCCTGGCCTGATGTGTGCAAACAGGAATGTAAGGGGCAAATGAATTCTGTCTACTATTTCTTAACACATATTCTATTTTTGGCATAATTCTTTTACCTTCTTTGTCTTACTTTTCCCTAGTAAACTGTTAATTCCCTTTTCTAGACCCCAGGAACTCCTTTCCTAGACAGCTATAACCTTTCCGCCAGTCTCTTAATACCATGGCCAAAGCTACTTTCCATACCTGCCACTTTCATGCTGTACTTTTATATGAAATCCCTAAGGTTTTCCATGACTCTACTAATTACAGAAATGTGGGCAATTCCCTTCAGGAGCTCACCCCACCCTACCTGACTGCTCCCTCTACTGCTATAACCCAGCTGGTTTACATATTATGTGTTATAGAGGGTCCACTATCCCCTCCATCCTAGACAAGCTGGCTCTTTTACATTCCTCTTCATCTCAAAGGTTCATGTAAACTGCTCCAAGTCATATTTGCAGAATGGTTTGCCAAAAACTAAATTCAACGTTGGCAAAGGGGTTTCTTGACTTTTATGAAGTCTTTTGAACAGATCTGCTTCACTATTCATCCCAGGGGCTCCCTCTTCACCATATTAATGAATTTGGCAGTAAGATTGAGGTTGAGAGTCCACTCCAAATGAATTTGAAAATTAGCTTTTATTCTAAGGTGACCATGTGACACTGTATCTAGAAAGAGGAGCAGTCCATGTAAAAGAGAAGTAGGCCTTTAATTTGCCCTACTGTCTCTATTATCAGTACTCTTCCTTATTTTCAAACCTGTACTTCAAAGGGAAAGAACTCCAACTGAGGGTTGGGAGATGATACTCTTCTGAGCCAGGCAATGTTCTTCTCTATTCACAGCCACTCCTCAGCCAAACTGCAGAGTTTGTTAACTTGTTCTACATGACTGTCAATGTGACAGCCAGGGAAACAACCTCAACTATACTCAGCAGTTCTCCATTGGAATCACAGCATGATGTGTGTTAGAAAACTTGCAATATCTCTCATGTTCTTTTTTCTGGGACTGCAATTTGTAAAGCCACTGTAAGCCAGAAGCTGCCAGTGTCCATATTTGTCACTTTGTCGAAAGGACTCGCCTGAAAAGGATGGCAACACAAAGTAGAGCCAAGAGGAGAGAGCTCTGCCAACATCATGTGAGCTCTTGGATTCAACCATGCCTGAAGACAGTACCATCCTTTGGACTTTCTGCTGATACAAGCCAATAAATCTCTATGCTTTCTTAGTTTAAGCAAGGATAGTTGGAATATTTTTGTCACTTGCAATTGTGTGAGCTCTAAATAATAAACAGTGTGTGGTTCAGAGGAAAGATGACTGTGTGAGGTATATTTCCCAATAGGAAACAGATGGCACTCTCAAATTGGGTAATTTTAGAGAATTTTTAAAATTAGGTTCTGTTTACAAAAGTGTAGGAAGGGTGGATCAGAACCACAAGGGTTGTGCATTAACTCAGGGTTTGTTAAAGTTGTGCTGTAATCACCCTTAGGCCTGAAAGGACAAGGAGAGAAAGCAGTAACCAGAAACACAAAAGGGAAGACTAATGTAGAAGTTGCCTCAAAACAAACAAAAAAGATATTGAGTCAAGGGACACAGCTAGCTTAACGTGAGCTCACAAGAAAAGAACCAGGGAGTAAATACACCAACCTCACTCTTGTTGTAATCTCCTGCCTGGTATTCCTGCTGACCATACTCGGCTGAAAGTCAGAGAAGCCTATGATGTCATCCACACAAATCTGCCTCCCAGAACAGAGAATGAGGTTTGGAGGGTGGAAATTGATTTGTAGTTTCCAGTGAAAGGTATCCAGCCAGCCTACATGCTTTGCACCTCTCTCTTGTCCTTCATCCAATTGAAAATACATGGTCTTCTCTCAGGAGAGATATAAGGTTCCATCAGCTTTCATATAATCATTAAGTGATGTCAGTTCCATTATACTGTCACCTGTCTTTCAAGGTCACTACTGAGGGTGATTGTTATGCAGTGTCTATACTTCTTTAGCTGGTGTCAGCAAAGCATGGTGATCTATCCCTAAATCAGGCCTATGCTTTTGTCTCCACAATTAGCTAATAATTGTGAACTCCCCGTGAAGTCATTGTTGTGAATGACAAAAAGATAGAAAAGCGGTAGAAACAGCCACAATATGTATCTGAGCCACCTGCCTCTGTAGTCAGTGAATATGCTCAGGACTGGACTTATGTATATGGCTTCAATTTTTTAGTATAATTCTATTGCTCATATTCAGCTTTAAATTATGTAGATCAGATAACACTTCATGTATAAAGTGAAGTTTGAATTGCATGGTCATTTATATTCCATGGTCAAGTGTTTAGTGTTTATCGAAGCCCATAGCAAGCCAAAAACTGCTTTACCATTTAAACTTTAAGTTGTCAGTTTAAAAAGACGTAGCCTTATTTCAGAACCCTAGATATCTGTGCTGTTGAATTTCCTGTTGGGTTTGCCAGAGGCTTGAAGAGCATCTGTATCTGTCATACAGACTTTCTTTCTCTATGTAAATTAGCAGCCTGCACTGCCAATGTAGACCTGATGCAGAGCCCATTCTTCCTATAGGTGCCAATCAAAACAGGTAACCTTATGAATTACCAATAAATGGGTGAGAGGATTATACCCAAATATATGCATTGCCTATAAAATTCTAACTGGTCCTAGGTGCATACCTTTTTCTAAGTGGCGGGTATTGTGTAAGGTGTAGGAATTTGTCTCTCACTTCACAAAGGATATCACATTATGCCCACTGACCCACCCATATTTCAGACCCTAAAACTTTTTTTTCTATTCTCTAGAATGCATATACCTTATGAAGACATCAAGAGTGTTTGTTACTTCCTGCTTACATAGTAGGAGAGTTGGCTTAGCCCTTGGGCAAAATAGTGATGGTATACTGTAGTCCCTGCCGTGTAACTGCAAACTGCTTCTAATTTTCCTTACAGATTGAAATAGAATGACCCCATAACTGCAAATAAAATCACCAAATGATTAAGTTTGCTATAGTCCACTGTTATTCCCCATGACACTTCTGGCTTTTCCAAGAGCCAGTCATGTTAAATAATATATGATAAGCATAACTACCATTTCATTTCTCAAATTTTTGATAATGACATTAATCTATGCAATATTCCCAGGAATGGGACATTGCTTTTGGTTCATTATATTATTGGGGAAAGAGAGAAGGATTGGAAGGCAGTTCCAAGGGTTTTCACTTGAGTTTTTCTACCATAACATCCTCTACTTCATAAGCCAGGGCACCAATAAGAGAATTTGCTTCTTATTAAATATATTAATTTCCCCAAACTTTCTGGATAATAAATAATTGTAATATTTATCCCCAGTCCTCCTAGAGCTACTATGAGATTTGAGCAAGATTCTGTCTATTACCTGTCTGCTGTAAGCTTCTGCTCATTAGGACACAGAGCCAATAGGGGTCTCCAGGAAACAGCCTCCTTTCATAAAAAAATGTCTAAGAAGCCCCAGTCAGAGCATTTGCCTTTCCTCAGTGAACAGTTACCATAGTAAATGTATTCAGATAACTGTGAGGATGTCTTCCGAAAAGATTTACAGGATTAATAAGTCCATATTGCAATGTCTTTCCTCAAAGGGGCCTGGACAACACCTCATTTAAGAAACTTTAGGTGTTTGAAAAAATTTAGATTTAGAAACTGGAAAGAAGGCATGAAGCCCATTTCAAGGACACAGCTTAGGTTTCTTCACTGTGGGCCAAAAATGTTTCCACTTACATATGCCAAATATCTCTTTAGTAAGCTGCCCATCCATTTATTTTGAGGTGCCCTAAGCATTGTTAAAGATCCCTGCAGATCAAAATTCTATGATTACCACTCTAATCCTGTGGCTTATTATAGTGTTAGCAGAATAATTATTACTAAAGTCCTCTACAAGTCTGAGAATCCCACTACTCACATTAATATCAGTGAGCCCAATTACATTTCATTATCCCCTCCATCTTCTCTGACCTAAAAGGAGCTATCCTGCTACTGGTTTTCAAGCATACTGATATCCCTCACACCAATGCATTTCTTTTTGTTTCGTTTCATTTTTTGTTGTTTTTTTTATATAGGTTTGGGGGTACATGTGAGGGTTTGTTATATAGATAAACACATGTCATGGGGGTTTGTTGTACATATTACTACATCGCCCAGGTATTAAGCTCAGCACCTAATAGTTATCTTTTCTGCTCCTCTCCCTCCTCCCAGCCTCCCCACTCAAGTAGACCCCAGCAACTGTTGTTTCCTTACTTCTATCCATAAGTTCTTATAATTTAGCCCCCACTTATAAGTGAGAACATGTGATATTTGGTTTTCTGTTCCTGCATTCATTTGCTAAGATGATGGCCTCCAGCTCCATCCATGTTCCCCCAAAAGACATGATCTCATTCTTTTGTATGGCTGCATACTATGCATGGTGTATTTGTACTACATTTTCTTTATCCAGTCTGTCATTGATGGACATTTAGGTTGATTTCATGTCTTTGCTATTGTGAATAGTGCTGCAATGAACATTCAAGTGCATGTGTCTTTATGGAAGAATGCTTTCTATTCCTCTGGGTATATGTCCAGTAATGGGATTGCTGAGTCAAATGGTAGTTCTGCATTTAGCTCTTTGAGGAATCACCAAACTGTTTTCCACAATGGCTGAACTAATTAACACTCCAGCCAACTGTGTAGAAGGGTTCCCTTTTCTCCACAACCTCATCAGCATCTATCATTTTTTGACTTTTTAATAGTAGCCATTCTGACTAGTCTGAGATGATATCTCATTGTGGTTTTGACTTGCATTTCTCTAATGATCAGTGATACTGAGCTTTTTTTCAAATGCTTGTTGGCCACAGGTATGTTTTCTTTTGAGAAGTGTCTGTTCATGTCTTTTGTCCACTTTTTAATGGGGTTGTTTGTTTAAGTTCCTTATAGATGCTGGATATTAGACCTTTGTCAGATGCATATTTTGCAAATATTTTCTTACATTCTATAGGCTGTCTTTTTACTCTGTTGATAGTTTCTTTTGCTGTGCAGAAGCTCTTTAGTTTAATTAGATCTCATTTGTCATTTTGCTTTTGTTGTGATTGCTTTTGGCTTCTTTGTTATGGAATCTTTGCCTGTTCCTAGGGCCAGGATGGTATTGCCTAGGTTATCTTTCAGTTTTTATAGTTTTGGGTCTTACATTTAAGTCTGAATACATCTTGAGTTGATTTTTGTATATGGTATAAGGAAGTTGTCCAGCTTCAATCTTCTGCATATGGCTAGCCAGTTATCTCTGCACCATTTATTGAATAGGGAGTCCTTTCCCCATTGCTTGTTTTTGTCAGCTTTGTAAAAAAATCTGATGATTGTAGATGTATGGCCTTCTTTCTGGGCTTACTTTTCTGTTCCATTGGTCTATGTGCCTGTTTTTGTACCAATACCATGCTGTTTTAGTCACTGTAGCCTTGTAGTATAGTTTGAAGTCAGGTAACATGACTTCTCCAACTCTGTTCTTTTTGCTTAGGATTGCCTTGGCTATTTGGACTCCTTTTTGGTTTCATATACATTTTAAAATATTTTTTTCTAGTTCTGTGAAGAATGTTTTTGGTAGTTTGATAGGAATAGCATTGAATCTATAAATTGCCTTGGGCAGTATAGCCATTTTAATGAAATTGATTCTTCCTATCCATGAGCATGGGATGTTTTTTCATTTGTTCATGTCTTCTCTGATTAATTTGAGCAGTGTTTTTTAATTCTCATCGTAGACATCTTTCACCTCCCTGGTTAGCTGTATTCCTAGGAGTTTTATTTTATTGTGGCAATTGTGAATGGGATTGCCTTTCTGATTTGGTTCTCAGTTTGGTTGTTGTTGGTGTATAGGAATGTCAGTGATTTTTGTACATTGATTTTGTATCCTGCAGCCTTACTGAAGTTGCTTATCAGTTGAAGGAGATTTGGGGCTGAGACTATGGTGTTTTCTAGATATAGAATCATGTTGTGCAAAGAGAGATAGTTTGACTTCCCCTCTTCTTATTTGGATGCCCTTTATTTCTTTCTCTTGCCTGATTGCTCTGGCTAGGACTTCCAATACTATATTAAATAGAAGTGGTGAAAATGACATATGTGTTTTGTGCCAATTTTCATGAGGAATGCTTCCAGCTTTTGCCCATTCAGTATGATATTGGCTATGGGTTTGTCATCTATGGGTCTTATTATTTTGAGGTATATTCCTCCAATACATAGTTTATTGAGAGTTTTTAACATGAAGAGAGGTTGAATTTCATCAAAAGCCTTTTCTGCATCTATTGAGACAATCATGTGGTTTTTGTCTTTAGTTCTGTTTATGTGATGAATCATATTTATTGATTTTTGTGTGTTGAGCCAACCTTGCATCCTAGGGATGTAGCCTACTTGATCATGGTGGATTAGCTTTATGATGTGCTGCTAGTTTGGTTTGCAAGTATTTTGTGGAGGATTTTTGCATTTAAATTCATCACAGATATTGGCCTGACATTTTTTTGTTGTTGTTGTGTCTCTACCAGATTTAGGTATCAAGATAATGCTGGCCTCATAGAATGAGTGGGGTGAAAAGTCTCTCCTCCTCAAATTTTTGGAATAGTTTCTCTAGAAATGGTACCAGCTCTTCTTTGTACATCTCATAGAATTCAGCTGTGAATCCATCTGGTCCTGGGCTCTTTTCCATTGGTAGGCTATTTATTACTGATTCCAGTTCAGAGAGTGTTATTGGTCAGTTCAGGTTAATCAGTATCTTCCTGGCTCAGTCTTGGGAGTGTGTATGTGTCCAAGAATTTGTCCATCTCTTCTAGGTTTTCTAGTTTGTGTGCACAGAGGTGTTCATAGTTGTTTCTGATGGTTGTTTTTATTTCTGTGGGATCAGTAGTAACATTCCCTTTGTCATTTCTAATTGTGTTTATTTGGATCTTCTCTCTTTTTTTCTTGATTAGTCTAGCTAGTGGCCTATCTATTTTATTATTTTTTTTCAAAATACCAATTGCTGAATTTGTTGATCTTTTGAATAATTTTTTTGTAACTCGATTTCATTTTGTTCAACTCTGATTTTTGTTTTTCTCATCTTCTGCAAGCTTTGGAGTTGATTTGTTCTTGTTCTCTAATTCTTTCATCTATAAAGTTAGGTTGTTAATTTCAGATCTTTCTAACTTTTATGTGGGCATTTAGTGCTATGAATTGCCCTATTATCACTGCCTTAGCTGTGTCCCAGAGATTCTGGTATGTGTTACCTTTGTTCTCATTATTTTCAAAAAACTTCTTGATTTCTGCATTAATTTCATTATTTACACAAAAGTAATTCATAAGGATGTTGTTTAATTTCCAGGTAATTGTACAGTTTTGAGCAATTTTTATTGTGGTGAATTCTATTTTTATTGCACTGTGGCCCAAGAGCATGTTTGGTATGATTTCAATTCTTTTACATTTGTTGAAGATTGTTTTATGTCCAATTATGTGGTCAGTTTTAGAGTAAGTGCCATGAGTATGGCAATAAGACGAATGAATATTCTGTTGTTTTGGGGTGGAGACTTCTGTAAAGGTCTATCAGATCCATTTGGTCTAATGCTGAATTTAGGTCCTAAATATCTTTGTTCATTTTCTGCCTTGACAATCTGTCTAACACTGTCAGTGGAGTGTTGAAATCTCCCACTATTATTGTGTGGGAATGTATGTCTCTTTGTACGTCTCTAAGAACTTGCTTTATGAATCTGGGTGCTCCTGTTAGGTGCATATTTATTTAGGATAGTTAGGTCATCTTACTGAATTGAATCCTTTACCATTATGTAATGCCTTTCCTCATCTTTTTTGGTCTTTGTTGGTTTGAAATCTGTTTTGTCTAACATCAGGATTGCAACCCTTGCTGTTTTCTGTTTTCCATTTGCTTGGTAGATTTTTCTCCACCCCTTATTTTGAGCCTATGAGTGTCATTACATGTGAGATGGGTCTCTTGAAGACAGCATACCATTGAGTCTTACATTTTTTTATTCAGCTTGCCACTCTGTGTCTTTTAAGTGGGGCATTTAGCCCATTTACATTCAACGTTAGTATTGATATGTGTGGGTTTGATACTGTCATTGTGCTGTTAGCTGTTTATTATGTTGGCTTGTTTGTGTGGTTGTGTGGTTGCTTTACAGTGATACTGGTCTGTATATTTAAGTGTGTTTTTATATTAGCTGGTAGTGGTCTTTCCTTTCTATATTTAGTGCTCCTTTCAAGATGTCTTGTAAGGCAGTTCTGGTGATAACAAAGTCCTGCAATATTTGTTTATCTGAAAGGAATCTTATTTCTCCTTGACTTAGGAAGCTTAGTTTGTCTGGATATGAAATTCTTGGTTGGTCAGGCATAGAGTCTCATGCCTGTAATCCCAGCATTTTGGGAGGCTGAGGCAGAAGGATCACTTGAGGTCAGGAGTTTCAGACCAGCCTGGCCAACATGGTGAAACCCCATCTCTACAAAAAATGCAAAAAATTAGCCAGGCATGGTGGTGCACACCTGTAATCCCAGCTACTTGGGAGGCTGAGGCACAAGAATTGCTTGAGCCAAGGAGGCGGAGGTTGCAGTGAGCCAAGATCACGTGACTGTACTCCAGCCTGAAAGACAGAGCAAGACTCCATCTCAAAAGAAAAAAAGAAAAGAAAAGAAGAGAAATTCTTGGTTGAAGAATTTTTCTTTAAGAATATTGAATATAGGCCCCCAATCTCTTCTGGCTTGTAGGGTCAGAAAGGTCCACTGTTAGCCTGATAGGGATCCCTTTGTAGGTGACCTGCCCTTTTTCTCTAGCTGCCTTTAACTTTCTTTCTTTCATTTTGACCTTGGAAAATCTGATGGCTATATGTGTTGGGGATGATCTTCTTCTGTAGAGTCTTGCAGGAGTTCTCTTCATATCCTGAATTTGACTATTGGCCTCTCTAGCAAGTTGGAGAAGTTTTCATAGAAGATATCCTGAAATATATTTTGCAATGTGTTTGCTTTCTTTCCTCTCCTTTCACAGATGCCAGTGATTTGTAGGTTTGGTCTCTTTACACAATCCCATACTTCTCAGAGGTTTTGTTCATTCCTTTGTATTCTTTTTTCTTTATTTTTGTCTGATTGTCTTATTTCAGAGAACCAGTCTTCAAGTTCTGCGATTCTTTTCTCAACTTGATTTAATCTGCTGTTAATATTTGTGATGTCATTGCAAAATTCTTGTATTGTGTTACTCAGCTCTGTCAGAGCCATTAGGTTCTTTTATGTACCAACTATTTTGTCCTTCAGCTCCTATATCACTTTATTGTGATTCTTATTTCCCTTGAATTGGGTTTTGCCATCCTTCTGAATCTCAGTGATCTTTTTTCTTATCCATATTCTGAATTATATTTCTGTCATTCCAGCCAGTTTGGCCTAGTTAAGGACTCTTGTTGGAGAACTAGTGTGATCATTTGGAGGGCAGATGACACTCTGGCTATCTTGGCCATCTGAGTTACCAGAGTTCTTGAGTTGTTTCTTTCTCATCTCTGCATGAGGGTATTCCTTTAACTGAAGTGTAGATTGAGTAAAGTCAATAAACTTATTTTCTGGATGTCTCTTCTTTTCACTGGGCCAAGTTTTTATGTAGAGTCTTTATTTGAAGCTAACTTCTTGTTTCTGGTTTCAGAGGGGCATATGCTAGTGAGGTGTTTTTGGTGTTGAAGCTTTGGGGTGTGATCCAGCAGGTGACACTTAGGCATATTGGTCAGTTGGTAGACTCTTGCTTGGTTGTGTGGCTTCCTTATTTTTCCTCACAGTTGCAGCTGTGTTCCCTCTCAGTGCTCTAAAAGTGTGGGTTCCTCTCCCCCTCCCTTAAGTGCTGGCTTTAGTTCATGACTTGGCACTCCTGGGCTGCCCACTGCACCTCTGGTGTGATCTCAATGTTTATGTTCTTTCCCCAGCTTAGAGGGAGCAGAGGAATACATCTTAGTAGTGGTTGTGGCCAAAGGTCATTTGCTTGACTCCTCGGGGCTCCACCACAGAGAGACACAGGTCAGCAATTGCTCAGTGCGGTCAGCTCAAGATGGAGGGTTAATGCTCTGGACCCAAGTAAGGGGTTTCCTCTCAGCTGACAAGCCATGGGGGGCAGGTGTGGGACCCATGGGAGACAGATTGGCTTCTGATCCTTGGGCCGATTTTAGCTTATTGGAGGTCTGGATAAAGCTCTTAGGGTCTTTGTTCCTTCATTAGTCTGAGAGTGGCAAGGGCAGTTCCATGCAGAGGCAGTGGCTGAGAGGCTTTTGGTTGCCCCTGAACTCTGTCTAGGGAGTTGCTGAGTTGATACTTGCTCAATAGCTCTGGCAGGACGTGGCTGGAGGATCTGTCTGGTGAGGAGATATGGGAGTGGGCACCCACGTAACAGTCTGGCCTTTTCCACAGGGCTGCTGCAATATGCTTGGGGCCCACTCCAGTCCCTAGTCACTTCAGATTTTTCGGAACCTGTGAAGGCTACAAAACAGCAAAGATGGCAACCTGTTCCTCCCTCTGGGAGCTTTGTCCCAGGGAGATATGGACCTGTTGGTGCCCCGAAGTCACCTGTAGGAAGTGTCTGGAGTCTCCAGTTGGGAGGTCCCACCCAGTGAGGAGGAATGGAATCAGGATCTCCTTTAAAAAGCAGTCTCAGCATGTTTTGGTAGAGCATCTGTGCTGTGCTGGGGTCCACTTCAGTCCCCAGTCACCCTAGACACTCCAAAGCCCAAAGACTGGAATGGCTAAGTCACCAAAAGAGAAAAGATGGCAGCCCTCGCCTCCCTCTGGGAGCACTGTCCCAGGGGGTATTCAGATCCCTGTTTGCTGGAGAGCTTGGGCAGGGGTGTCTGGAAGTCCCATTTGGGAGGTCCCACCCAGTAAGGAGGAATGGGATCAGGCACCCGCTTAAAGCTGCAGTTTGGCCACGTTTTGGTAGAGAAGCTGTGCTGTGCTGGGGGCTCCCTTCCACCCTGGGTGGGCTCAGACTCTCCAAAGCATGAAGGCCAGAACATTAAGATACCCGAAGAGCAAAGATGGTGGCCTGCCCTTTCCCGCCGGAGCTCCTTCTTAGGGAGGTGCAATGCCGCTACTGGTAGCTGGCTGGAATTCCAAGCCAGTGGATCTTATCTTGCGAGGTGCCATGGAAGTGGGATTGCAGGCTGTTGTTGCTCAGCCCGCTCCATTCAGCCTCTTTCCTAGGGGTACGTAAAGGAATCTAACCTCCCACTTTGCTGAAGCTACAGATACTTCTGCTAGAAAGCCCAAGTGTCTAAGGCTCCAGTATCTCCATTCATGCTTGAGTGGCTGCTCTGCCATGTCTCCACATAGCTCTGTTTGTCCGACTGAAGACTAAAGACCCTGGTTGAATGGGCTCACAAGGAGATCTACTGACCCAAGGGTTGCAAAGATCTGGGGGAGAAGCGTGGTTTGCCAGGGTCACTCATTCACTCACCGCTTCCCTGGATGGGGGAGGATCCCCTGGCTCTATCCCAATACATTTCTTAATGCTTTGGTGAATGGTGGGTCCTTTGGGCCCTCCCAAAGTGTATGATTGGGGAGTTGCTAAATAGTGTTGTCTGTATTTATTCAAATAGCCCCATCTTCCTAAACCTTAAGTCTTTTTCCTCTGCAATATGCCACGCAAGTTCCACAGATGAGTCCAGAATTCAACTAGCAAGGCTAGCACACTATTAATGCCATTCTCATGTCCTGGAGATGCCATATTAAATGTAGCCTTCCAGGCAAGTGTAACCATGTAAATGACTTTGGCTTGACCAGTCCTTGTATTTTTCTCCCATGCTCTAAAACCTTTAGAATGTATTCCTACACTTTTTTGGCACCCACTGGAAATACTTGAGTGGTACAGATTGGTCAACTAGTCTTTCCTTTTGTATATGCTTTCCTCACAGAGGCAGGTTTGAATTTCTCAAATATGTCATTGGAAAATAATTCTCATTACAGGCATAAAAGGAAAGAGAGTTTATGAGGTTGGATCTGAAAGAAAATCAGCACCAAGCTGAGTCTACTGCCTTAGATTCAATCACTCACTGAAAAGCTGTTATGCAGAAGAGGACTGCTTTTGGTGAGGGGATTGGGCAGAGACTGCTTCCCCAAGCAAGAGAATTTCCAGAAAAATCTGTAAGCTTAAGGGTCTCAGTTCTGCCAATGTCTGCTCAAATGTCTTAAACTCTTGCCTTAGGGTACAACTCCTTCCTTCCCAGTTTTCTTAGATGAGAAATCTGGCAGACTTGAAGATTTAATTGATGCTGCCATACCACATCTCTTATAACCAAATCCACACCTTGAGCCTTAGCCAATTATGTCCTGCAACAATAAGACAATTTCTTCAAAGCTGCCATTGAGGTCTTCTTGTTCTCCAAGAAGTATTTTATAAATGTTTATATGATAAAAAAATTATATTATTAATATAAATATTACATAAAGTATTATATAAATTTTTATCTATTAATTTCTTTCTTCCCTAAGTACTCTCCTGAAAGAAAGAAGAAGCCAGTTTACTCCATAATTTTTATCCTCTCTACTCTTGCCATAGTGATCTCTCAATGCTATGCCTCAATCTGCACATCATCCTGTTACCCCATCAATGATCATTGGCATAATAGTAATATTTTCCCATGCCATGAATTACCCATTTCTACCTTCCCCTGACAATATTTTTATCCTGTACTCCATAAATTTTAGAGAGACTCATTTTCAGGATCCCATTTGGATATCCATAGGATATCCAGTACCAATTAGCATTGGTCCAGTACCAATACTAATTGTTGTATTATTCAGGGTCAGTGCAGGAAAAAGATGGCACATTTAAATTAGGACAATTAAAAGCAGGCATATTTGCAAAAGGACAATTTGCCAAGACGGAAAATTGAGTAAACCATAAGTGAAAGTGTATTATTCCAGATTGCTTGTTACCCATAGTCCAAAGGCGGCAATGAAGGGAGGAAGCAATTTTCAGAATATGAAAATTGAGATACAAGTGTAGATGGCCACTTTGAGAAGATCTGGAGAAAGAGTGTTCCAGAAAAAGGGAACAAAAGCTGCAAAGGCCCTGAGACTAGAGTGTAACTTGCATATTGGAGGAAGAGCAAGTAGGCTGGTATCTAAACCTGAGGGAATAAGATAAAAGCTATTAGGAAAGAGAATAAGGAGGTGAAGGAGGCTGTCGATATTTTAAGATTTGTAGATCATTTTTAGGGTTTTTGTTTTGTTTTGTTTTTACCGTCCATGTGATGGGAAGATTCCAAAAGGTTTGAGTAGAGTAATGACAACATCTGATTTATATTTTAAAAGAATCACACAGAAAACTGGCAACAACAGACATGGAAACCAATTAGAATTAATTCAGGTGAAAGGCAATGGTGGCTTGGCCCATCGTGGTAGTGGTAGGGTTGGCACAAAGTGATCAGATTCTGAATAACTTTTGAAAAGTAAACCTGATAGGAATTGCTGAGGAGTTTAATATGAGCTGTGAGGTAAGGAGAAATAAAAAGTAACCCAAAGCTTTTGGACTAACTTAAGAATAAATTTGCCTTTGACGGAGTTGGAGAAGATTATGAAAAGAACAGGTTTGGGGGAGACAAACAGAAATTTGGTTTGACACAAGTTAGATTTGAGACGCTTTCAGGAAGCTAAATGGAGGTGTGAAGTAGGCAACAGGGTGTATAGTCTGGAGTTCAGGGGAGAAGTCTGGGTCAGAGATATAAATGTAGGAGTGTTAGCACATCGATGGTATTTAAAGTCAATACTAGATGAGATCACCTAAGGAATGAGTATCAATAGAAAAGAGTACCATAAACTTGAAATGTGACTCAGCTTATGAGCAAATTTCATCCTAACATGTTTATTCTGAGGATCTGTAAAATTGTGAAAGGTCTGGAGACTATTCTGTTTCTCAGTGGAACTCTATAAAATGCTTATTTAAGGTTGCTAAACATCATGTTAGAGTTGATGAAAAAGAACCTGGATATGAGAGAAGATACAATCTCTTTAGACATATTTCTTTATTCCCTGAGGTTTCACACATTTAAAATATGCCAGAAAGTGCTTCGTAAATGCCTCATCAGGGTTTCCAGAAGATGAATGAGGCACAATCAGTACTTAGGCTTTTTGGAGGAAAACCTTTTGTCTGAGTCTAATCCAAAGTAATATCTCAAGATTTTCCTCAGCAATCCTTTGGAGGCCATAGGGAATAGAATTAATACAGATCCACCAGCGACAGTAGTTATGTTTATAGCATGTCTCCTGGTAAAATCACCGAGTCCCCAAAGCAGTCTTGCTGCTCTTGAATAAGAATTTGTGTCTAATACTTAATAGCAATGTCATTGATGGTGTCTCCCTTAGGAAATCTGCTCTGTGAAACCTTAAATCAACCCAATATTTTGATTCATATATTGAAAAACTGCTCCTGGACAAATTGTTTCAACATAGTTTTGATTGTTGGTAATCACAATGCCCCCTGTCATTTTTGATCTCATAGTTGCCCCAGTTTGCATTTGGAAGATAACAAGGGATGGATATTAAATGACTTGTCAAGAGTCATAGTGCAACTTAGAAATTGGCTGTCCTAGTTCCACCCCTGGATTTACTACCTTGTCTTTTCACTTCAGCAAAGGATAGCTTTCAAACTATGCACAGTCACCACCAAATGTCAGTTTTATACACACTAATAAAATTCAGAACAGTTTTGAAGCCAGTTTTATTTTGAACACTTGTTCCCAGTGGCCCTTTAGCCTTCAGATGTTGAGTATTACTTTCCCAATTTTGAAAGATAATGGAGAAAGAGGACAGAAATAAACCCTGGCTGAAACTGAAAAAAAAAAATTAAGTATATCAAGCAATATATAGTTGTGAAATCCTTTACCAGAGGGTTGTCAGGACATACTATGTATTATTTTGTGGCCATTTAGAAATAACGTAGAAACAACCATTTTTATTTTGCTGACCTAGTTGATTGTAGCCCACAGGCATACAGAAAACACTGAACTAGGCCACTGAAGAATTTCCAGGGTTGTGTTCTTCTCCAGGGGCCTGTGCACACCCTGAGGCAAAGTTTTATTTTCTTACTAGTAAAGCTGGGCTGTAACACCTGATCTGTCTACCTTATAAGTGGTTGGCAAAATCACATAAGATATTGCATATTAAAGTACAAGCATTAAATAATAAATAAAAATAAAAGTAATAATAGATGTTAAGTAGCACCATGTGCTAAGCTGTAACAGCCATGCAGCACATCTAAAAGTTGTTTTATTTTCATTAATCTATTTTATACCTAATATATTTAAGTGCTAAGAATGCATTACTCTTGGTGCTGTTCTTACATGTATATTAAAACTGATTATGACCACCTTCTCAACCACCTTCCATCGTTACTCTGCCCAGTGATGAGCCAATTTTAAGGAGGCTAGGAAGTGTGTCGGTGATATGGTTTGACTCTGTGTCCCCTCTCAAATCTTGTCTTGTAGCTCCTGTAATTCCCAAGTGATGTGGGAGGTATCTGGTGGGAGATGACTGAATTATGGGAGCGTGTCTTTCCTGTGCTGTTCTCGTGATAGTGAATGGGTCTCATGAGATCTGATGGTTTTAAAAATGGGAGTTTCCCTGCACAAGCTCTTTCTCTCTTGCCCCCGCTGTGTAAGAAGTGCCTTTTGCCTTCCACCATGATTGTGAGGCCTCCCCAGCCACATGGAACTGTCAATCTAATAAACCTCTTTCTTTTGTAAATTGCCTAGTCTCGGGTATGTCTTTATCAGCAGCTTAAAAACAGACTAATACAGTTGGCAGCCTCAAATCTACTGGAACTATGGAAGCCCTAGAATTTCACACAGAATTTAGGCTTAAGAACATAATGTGATTAAGGTAGGGAAAAGGTGGCTCTGTGAGCTAGTTAGGGAATTAGTTTTAAGGCAGGGTTTCTATAGCAATCACACTGCATTTGTGTCAAATGAATAATGTATGCATAATAGATTTAATGTACATAAATGTATATATAATGATGTATGGTGAGTAAAAATTATATATAGTCAAATTTTCTTAAAATGCTTTTGTTCATACTCTGCAGAAGATGAGAAAAAATGGCAATTGTTCATGTCAAATTGTGTGTTTGGGAAATAAGAGCTGATAGTGATTTTAGGGAGATATAATATGATTGTTCCTAACCCCTTGGCATGACTACTTAGTGGGAATTTGTTCAGGCAGATGGTGTTCAGGAATGAGGCTTCTGATTTCACTTTCTTCTCTTTGTTTCTTCTTTCTTTTAATCATTTTTCTGCTTTATCTGCTCTCTTCCCTTTCACTTCCATTACCCTCCTTCTCTTTCTCTTCCCTCCCCTTCAACTCATTTGAGGCTTTCATTAACAGCCTTTCTCTACCTTCTGCTCATTTCCCTCTCCTGCCTCCTTTCTCCTTTTCTCTCCCTTTCTCCACTTCCTCCCATCTTTTCCTCACCTCCATCATTTTATTTGGGCTTCTGCCTCAACCTGCTAGACCAACACCCCACTTCCTACTAAACTAGGAGCCTTTCTTCCCACTCTACCTAGATCTTGCCTGAACCTTCCCTGCTTCCACAGCCTGCCTGGCTTCCTATCAGGAAAGGACTTTTTCACTGGAACCACAATACCCATCCTGCTGCCCCGATTCCCTCCACATTGCCCCACTCCCCAGAGCAGATCAGATCCCTTGGTCCCAACATTGGCATGAATCACCTCTGACCTCTCTGTCTCTGGGATATAGTGCACTGGCCAGCCTGGATCAACTTTTCCCCATCTATTTCTGACCTGATCCTGCCATTCCCACCCCTCTCCCCAGGGGTCTGTGTCACTGAGCTCCCCACATGCTCTGAACTCAGATCTCCCCTAAGTTAAAACATCTGTACTTGAGAGGCTTATAGTCCAATTGACTATAATTGTTCTTACAGTCTGGTTGGCTAGAAATTGGCAACATGGAGAAAAATAAGGGCCAATGTGTGGGTCTGGAAACTAAGAGGAATGCAAAAGAGAAGGGATTAATGTGGATTTTGGAGGTCACAGAAACTTCACAGAGGAGATAGAACTTGAAATCAAATTAGAGTGGGTAGGACTAAGCAGAGAAGTTATTAGAAATATATACACAAACAGGAAATTACAATTCAATTTATTATGAAAGAGAAAGGAAGAAAATTCACCTAGCCTGTGGACCAGGAAAGATCTGAGAACTGTTCCTGGAGGTGCTGACATCTAACTTGAGTCTTCAAAGATGTGAAAGTTTTATCAGCTAAGACATTCCAGACAGAAGTGCAACATTAACAAAATTCTACAGACAAGAAAAATGTATAGATAAAAAGATGTGTGTTACTAGAGGATGAATGTTGAGACAGGAAATTAATAAAGATTGTCAGAGCAACTCATGGACAGCTTTGCATGCTATGTTAAGAAGGAGGAAGATCCAAAGACCAGGGAGAAGAGATTGGCTAGAAAAGGGTGGGTTTGGGTTGGCTTGAGTCCAGTAGGAGACTGTGGGGCAGATTTCCATACGGCATGAGGAGGCAAATGCTTGTGAATGGGCTGGTACCCAGAGGTCTAGCTCAGGGACTCAGGCTCTGAGAAGCAAAGTAACTTCTGCCCCAGAAGAACAAGGTTCCTTTTATACCTGCTAAACGTCATGCTTCTTGGTATAGGGCAAGGGTAGTACTGAGCCCGTAGCATTCAGTACTGCCTGCCAATTGGTTTAACTGGGACATGCGGAAACTAACAATACATTTACTTCATTGGCAAAAGAAAAAGGTTCACATAGTAGAAAATAAGATTGAAAAGTATAAGTGATGCCCATATTCTAAAAAGTCCTAGAGGGGCTTAGAAGTTTAGATGTTTTAAATGGAAGTTCATTTGTCACTGACCTTTCAGCAAAACCAGGACAAACAGCCCTGGACTGAAGATTCTACTGACAATTCTAGTACAAGAAATGTAGTTCCAGGCAAAGCATATTTCCTTAGGTTAAACATATAAAAATCTGAATTTTTAGTAAAAAAAAAACAATAATAAATTGAAGGGTAATATATTTTGTCAGTATTTTTTACTATAAAATTTATTTACCTTACAAGCTGTATGTTACCACTGTCATCTGCTTGATTTGCAAGCATCCAGCTTAGGTGTCATTTTTCCAGAATAGAGCGTTAGTATGAAAGTGCCCTGTGCTCATGCCTTCTCCATTTAGTAGGCAAGAAAACTACCATTTCCACCTTAAATCTCAGGATTATTTTAAATTAAAGGTAATTAAAAAATGCAAAGTGTCTTGAATTCCTCAATAGAAATGTGCTACATGACTGTGAGGTTCATAATTTTTAAGAAGGCCGAGACGGGCGGATCACGAGGTCAGGAGATCGAGACCATCCTGGCTAACACGGTGAAACCCCGTCTCTACTAAAAATACAAAAATTAGCCGGGCATGGTGGCGCGCGCCTGTAGTCCCAGCTACACGGGAGGCTGAGGCAGGAGAATGGCGTGAACCCGGGAGGCGGAGCTTGCAGTGAGTCGAGATCGCGCCACTGCACTCCAGCCTGGGCGACAGAGCGAAACTCCGTCTCAAAAAAAAAAAAAAAAAAAAAAAAAGAATTTAGGCCCCTTTTTAGCAGCCTAATATCTGTCATGAGAAGAGAAAAGGATTGATTTAGACCCAAACTAGGGTCATTATGGGCAGCAGTATGATCATTTGACTGGAGGTTTCAGAAATTCTTGTTTGAAGGGTAAGAATGCAGAACTGCCACTGCTAATTAGATACCAATATAACAATAGAAAACAACAGCTGTGGGCCAGGCACAGTAGCTCATATTTGTAATCCCAACACTTTGGGAAGCAAAGGTGGCAAGATGGCTTGAGGCCTGGAGTTCCAGATAAGCCTGGGCAATATAGTGAGACCTTGCCTCTAGAAAAAATTTAAAAATTAGCTGAATGTTGTGACACGCACTTGTAGTTCCAAATACTCGAGAGAATGAGGTGGAAGATTTGCTTAAGCCCAAGAGGCAGAGGTTGAAGTGAGCTGAGATTGTGCCACTGAACTCCAGCCTGGGCAACAGAGGGAGACCCTGTCACAAAAAAAAAAAAAAAAGAAGAAGAAAGGAAAGAAAAGAAGACAACAAAACAATCACGCAAGTTTTGCTGGACTACTAAAGTCCAACAAAAAAAAAGTTTTGTCAGTCAAGAATGCCTCCAATTATGGAGGCTGAAAAGTCTCAAGAGCTGCAAGCTGGAGACTTCCTGATGATGGTATATTTCCAGCCTGGGTCCAAAACCCCGAGAACCAAAAGAGCCAATGGAGTAAGTTCCAGTTCAAGTCTGAGTCCAAAAGGAGGAGACAACCAATTTCCCAGCTCAAAGACTGCCCACAGAGGGCAAATTCTCCCTGATTCTGCCTTTTTATTCTATTCAAGCCTTCAATAGATTGGATGAGGTTCACTCTCACTGGGCAGCTCAATCTTCTTTACTCAGTCTACTGCCTCAAATGCTAATCTCATCCAGAAATACCCTCACATATACACCAAGAATCCCAGAATAATGTTTAACCTAATATCTAAGCCCTGACTAGCCCAGTAAAATTGGCACATAAAATTAGCCATCACAAATCCACTCCTTGTCAACCACATGCGTCTCCTTAAACCTTATTTCATCTTCAAATAACGACAATAACAAAAATCATAATTATACTGAACATTATACAACTATCCTGCATACGACTGAAAATTCACTAATCCCCACCCCAAAAGAAGAGGTAAAGTCCTTGAGTGAGGTTTACTCTTCTCCTTCACCTCATGTAACTTAAATAGTATGATATAAAATTAACAATATGTAAATATTATAATATAAAGGCAAGACATCTGATATGGTTTGGCTCTGTGTCCCCACCCAAATCTCATTTTGAATTGTAATCCCCACATGTTGAAGGAAGAAGCTGGTGGGAGGTGATTGGATCATGAGAGTGGATTTCCCCCTTGCTGTTCTCGTGATAGTGAGTTCTCCCAAGATCTGGCTGTTTGATAAGTGTCCAGTGCTTCCCCCTTCTTGCTCTCTCTCCTGCTACCATGTAAGACATGCCTTGCTTCCCCTTTACCTTCAGCCATGATTGTAAGTTTCCTGAGGCCTCCCCAACCATGCAGAACCCTGAGTCAATTAAACCTCTTTTGTTTATAAATTACCCAGTCTCAGATAGTATCTTTACAGAGGTGTGAAAACAGACTAATACAGATCTTATGGTTCCTGATAAGGAAATAAGAGGAGGAAAAAACAGAGATTTTTAAATGTATGTATGGTATTTATAACAAAATAAGAAACAATACTCATGAAAATTTAGTCCTCATTTCTGCAACTGGTCACATGGTCATAGCTGGTATTTATAACTACTTTCTACCACCCATTCTGTATTCCCTTTGCTTTCTCCAAGGCCCTCAATTGGTCATGGTTCTTGACCTGGTGGGATGGCACAGACATTCATTCCTGAAGCATCTCGGCCATTAACAGTCCTGCCTGAATTAGGTTGTTGTAGTTTTCCATTGACCTGAATCACAAAGCATGGCAAAACTAAGAAATGCCTGAAGGAATCTCCTGTATTCCAAGCATACTCTTCTTTACCTTCATTGTGGAATAGTATTCAAATTTCCCCTTGGTAGTCCGGGTCAATCACCCCAGCCAGCACAGTAACTTCTTTCTTTGCCTGTTGATTCAGGGGCATGGGGAGCCCAAAGTGGCCAAGTGGCAGTCTTACCTTCCAGTTCAATATTGTTGTCTTCTGGTTGCAACATTCCTACCTTTGGAACTAAGACCTCTAGACCGGCAGAGCATAAGGTCACAGAAACAGGAAGCAAAAAAATTGCTAGTGAGTCACTACGGATAATAGTGAGTGATGCCACTCCATTTCCACCCCTTGATTCTTGTACTCCATGAATCCTGACTATGGGACAAACAGATCCATATATTGGACACTGATTCAAAGCACATATAGCATATACAGCATTCTTGAGATTCTTGCTCCAGGTCTCCAAGGTATCACTACCTAGCTGGCACTGTACCTGAGTCCTCAAAAGGCTGTTCCACCATTGTTTCAAGCTAGCTGCTTCAAGATGATGGAGAATGTGGTAAACCAGTAAACCCCATAAGCATTGGCCTATTTCCACACTTTTGTTGCTGTGAAGTGAGTTCCTTTATCAAAAGCAATGCTGTGTGGAGTGCCATGACAGTGGATAAGGCATTCTATAAATCCACAGATGGTAGTTTTGCAGAAGCACTATGTGCAGGGATGGCAAATCTGTATTCAGAGTAAGTGTCTATTCCATTAACAAGACAGTGTTCCTTCCATGAAGGAAGCAGTCCAGTGTAATCAACTTGCTACCTGGTAGCTGGCTGCTACCATACCCCAGGGAATGGTGCCTTCCTCTCAAGGAAGAGAGAGAGACAGAGAGAGAGAAAGGAATGAAGGAGAGGGGAAGGAAAGAAGGAGAAGGGAAGGGAGGAAGGAAGGAAGGAAGGAAGGGAGGAAAGAAGGAAGGAAGGAAAGAAGGAAGGGAAAAAGTTTAATTTTTTAATATTACAGACAAACTTTTGCTATGTTTCAGAAAAAAGGACTCCTTTCTGGAGAAATTTATGTCCTCCCAATTTTGTACTTTTGGCCAAAATGAATTTTCCTCCCCTAACATCCATATGCCAATCCTGGCAAAGGATTGCTACTGGCCCACCTTGAGTCATGACTCTACGATTGGAAGCATCACTTTGGCCTAGGGTGGAAGGTACCAGGATTGCCCAAATCTGGGTCACATTTCCATGAGGACAGCAGGAAAGAAGATAGGGGTGCTATCACTTATAGTCAGATACACTGATTGAAAATATGTCCAGAACCACATGGAATTGTGGAGGAGAGTGGTTTCCCAAAGAAAAGGATGTTGGACAAACCAAAAATAATAGATGCCTATTGCCATGGCTTTGTGTCTCCTTTTTTTTTCTTCATGTTAATAAAATTATACTGTTTGACACTTATTCATGCTCATTTTTATGAATATTTAGTTCAATTTTATTCTTAATATAAGGGTAGCTCTGGCTAAATGTGTACAATGTACAATGTCAAATAGCTAGAAAAGCGTGTTGTTAATCATCATTGTTATAGGATTCAAGGCAAATAGGTGTACTCACCAAAACAATCACCATGATACAGATGGTAGCAAGGAACCATAGAAAAACCATGGGATTGAAATTGAGCTTTGTCTCTTATTAGCTGGTGACCTAAGCAAGTGGCTTAATGTCTCTGAATTTGTTTCCACATCTAGAAATAACGGTAATATTAATCTCACAGGATTTTAATCAGATTATGAAGATCCAATGGGAATGTTTTAGCACAGCATCAGTGACAGTGCTTAGTAAATATTGCTTCTTTGTCCCCAACATCTATACACCCACCCACCAATGGCTTCTCATTCTTGTTGAAAAGTTCAATTGGGGGAGTTTAAAGGAAAAATTGACTAAAGTGATTTTTGGCCTATATGACCTCCCAAGCATTTCTGAGAAGCAATCAGATGGAATTCAAGATGAGGATAAGACAAAGCCCAGTGGCCCTGCACGTCTAGCAGATGTAATCTCAGAGAGTAAGTTATGGCCGGAGAACCAGAAGCATTTCAGCAGTCTCTGGGTAAAGGTAGAAGAGTAGAATAGATATCATATTATGAATATTGCTCAGCCTAAATGTCACCCGCTCAGAGAGGTCTTCTCTGACCATCTAACTTAAAGGAGGCCTCCTAGTTTATTTATTGCTCTATCCCCAGGGCCTAGAATGGTGTCTGGCCAGTAACTGACACTCAATAAATACATGTTGAATTAAAGGATGAAAGAAACGCACAGGAGAGAGAAGAAGAGAGAAAGAAATGCTTTTGATTGAGGTCAGGAAACCAAAATAAAGTATATAATGAAGACTTACACTGTATGCTAGAAATATTTTTCAGCTAAAAAAAGCACCTGGTGAATCATTGACTTACTGTGCTGACAGTTTAATCTTAAAGAAGGGTAAGTATGTGATAAAAGGTGGTTTCAGGTATGAAGGAAATAATTGGTAAATCAAATTTAAAAGCAAATTTATTGAAATAAGTGATAGTTAACTTGCACAATTGTACCCAGTGAATTCTTATTTCAATTCCAAAAGAAAAAAAAAATGTGATACTCTGGAGGGAGGAGAACTGAAATCTCTCCCATCTCTTGTTTTTGTTTTGTTTTGTTTTTATGACTGTGTGTACCCATCTCCCATCTATTAGTAGAAAATCATCCCAAGATCATTTGCTTTGTGCCTCCTATGGGCTAGATGGTATTCAACTCTTATTCCGGGAAGTGATAATTATTGCCCCCACATTACAGGTGAAAAACTGAGCTTCAAAGTGGTAAAATGACTTGTCTAAGGTCATGTAGCTGAGGTGGGGTGGGCCATGAGATTTAAGCCCAAAGCTGTCTAATTGAAAGCCGAGGCATCTTTCGTTATGAAAAATAGAAATATACTACCTCTGAGAAATAAGCATCATTCACTCAAACCTATAAAATACCTTATTAAACATCAAAAGCCTAAACACTAGTAAGAACTTTACCAAGGCTCCATCCATAACGTTATTGAAAAGTTTTCTTTAATGAAATGCTTTTATTTTTATTCTGTTTTTCAACTGACTTCTATTATAATATTCAAAGTACATTTCCATAGAAAGACTAGGCCCAAAGCATAATAAAAACATTCTTACTCAAACAGAACTCTTTTAAAAATCATGTTCCAGATAAAGTTGATGTATAATGATAAAATATTCATGTAAACCAAATCACACGATTCATACAAAGCACAGAAATCATATTTATGTCTGGCAAAGTTCAATGGCCTAAAAAAGAAAACAAAGGATAGAAGGTCACTGCCTTCAAATCACTCTTCTATGAAATCCCTTTACCAAGATTCCACATGTAGCTTTGATTGTTGATACTGCTCTGCTTCCAAGCACATATAGAAACTGCTGGTTTTTAAAAATAAATGAGTTTTGCTGGGCTGCAGTGGGAAGGAGACAGTAAAAATCCAGAGGCAGGAATTCAAAATAAGTTGAAGAAAGTCTAATGAGGAAACTGATTTCCAGAAACACACAGCCAAGAGCATCTAAAATATCACTCCTAAGAGTCATCAGGCCACATACCAAGTTTGCTCTTTATTTAATAAATTCATAGAATCATTGCATTTTAATGCCCAGAGGCAAGTGGAAGCTTTCACCTCTTATTTTTTATGCAGACTGAAAACCTGGAAAGGTTAAGTCACTCACTCAGTGCAGGACAGCTGGTTAGATGGAGAGCCTTCCAAATTGTTCCATTAGGGCAACTCTCTCTTTATAAGAGTTACTTTTACAAACTATTTAATAAAAACTGTATTTCACATAGCCTAAGCACAGTAGGCTATGTTAGCAAATTAGCAAACCACTATAAATAATAATTATACTTTCATCAAGTTGTTAAAATAAAATGTTATCTAATAAAAAATTCTTTCTGAAGAAATTTGAACTCTAGAATAAAGATGCTTTGTGAATCTATAAATAAACGAACTGAATTTCAAGCTAAGCAGTCATGCTTGTATTAGCAAGATTCAGCAGTGGGATTTAGAGCAATCAACTTTATACCCAGATAGAATAAAAGGGACTGTGGAGGAGAATTCAGAAACAGCTAGGATATTATTAGCAAAATACTTATTTAACAGAAGTGTGCCAGTTGGCACAGGATACACAGGGACCAATTTGGAGTGGAAAACGAGAAAGGATCAAAGTGCCATGGAAAATAGGAGCGAATGTGAAAGAGCTGAGATGAATCCATACAGCATAACTCATTTCCCTCTGTTGGCAGCTTTTCAGGACCAGCATAACACGGTTCTGTCAGTGGACATGTCCAGCAAAGGTTTAAAAAATGAAACACTTCTACAGCCCCGCCAACCTATATTTAAAAAAAATTAAAAGCCACTCTGACAATGCCCTTGGGGATGTGAGGTTCCAAGAGTCAAGAAAGCACGGAGCTGGGGTTTCTACTTCATACCTTCTTCCCTTTGCTGTGTTTGCTGCACAGACTGGACACACAGTTACAGCAGAAGGATCACAGAATAAACTGACATATTCTATACCATGTTCCTTAAATTTTAAAAGTTTCTTTTTCATACACATTGGCAGCATTTGTATTATTATTTTAATTCTTTGCGATTTCATATTGGACTTTGACATAAAACTGTTTTTTGTTTTTTTTTTTGCCAGCAACAGAACTTGGTCAGCTGCCACTCTGAACTAGTTCCACATGATTTCTCCCCACTATTTATAATGTGATCCAGTTTTGGTGAAAGAAAAGAGTTCATGATCCTTTACTGCAGGAGCTTAGGGAAAGTGCTTTGCCAGACATGGAAAGTTTCTGACCCTTATGGAACCTCATAATGGGTAGGTCAAGTAACTGATCCTTAGAGTAGGTAACAGAGTGTTGGGAACAGGGAAAGATCTCTTGGAAGGTAAAGTTAAAAGGAGAGTACTATATCTGCTGGTTAGTGCATCAGACTGGGACTCTGTACACAGCTGGACATTGGACCTCGGCTTCCTGTACCACTTGGGGGTAATTAGCAAGAGGAGTGAGGTGCAAAAACACTAGACCCTAGCACAAGAGTCACGTGCCTGGTGAGCATGAATTAATCTCACTGAGCCTTAATTGTAACATCTAAATATGAGAATAAACATTAATATTTTCAAGGCTGTTATTTGATAGGGAAATGTCTGTGAAAAAGTCCTTTGCAAATTATAATGTGATATATGGAGATTAGCTATTAATGTTATCAAGCAAATTTGTGTCGTTTATCAGTACACACAGACACACACACTCACACACAAGGTGTAGGGGTGGGGGGAATCTAAGTTACTTCATTATTTTAGTATATGTTGATCTGCCTACCTCATGTAACTTAAAGTAGTCTTATATTACTGTTATGTATTCTATGAGTCTGATAAGATGCAAAATGAATTTGTCTCCGATGAAGTTGAGGCATATTTTCACTGGGACTAACAGAGAAGTCATCATGATTCCACACACAGTATTCCCTTGACTGGTAACAGAGTTGGAAACTGAAGGTAGGTGGAAGAGCAATTTGGGGGTCTACATCATCTTAATGCTGCAGTATCTGTTTAGAAAGGAGAAATTTACGTAGAACGACAAATACATATTGTATAATTCCACTTACATGGGGCACACAAAGTTGTCAAATTTAGAGACAGAAAGTGGAATAGTGGTTACCTGAAGATGGGGTATGGGGGATTGTTGTTTAATGATTGCAGAGTTTCAGTTTGGGATAATGAAAAGTTCTAGACATGAACAGTGGTAACAGACACAATAATGTAAATGTACTTAATGCCAATGAACTGTACACTTAAAAATGATGAGAATGGTAAATTGTATTTGAACTATATTTTACTAAAATTTTTTAAAAGAAAATTTTATTTCAGATATTTTGGCCACTTCATATTAAATAACTGATTTGATTAAGGTTATTACAGATTTGTTAAATGCATAGTACTTAATGATCTACATCAAGTTCCATTACATGTAAGAAAAAGAAAACAGTTATTAATGAAAATATTTTATCATATTATTACTTCTGGATTGGCATGCAGCCATAAGCAAATTTTAAAAAGGCCAAATTGTCCACATTTTACTAAAATCTAGCTTTATTATATCTAAGTACACTGTGTCCCCATGAAGGGAGTGGAGACAATTTCATCAGCTATAACTGAGTCCCAAATACTATAAACTCATAGAGAAAAAAATGTCATTAGTAGGATACATAAAGCAACATGGGGCTCAGTGCAAAAAGAATACTTGTATCACACAGCCTATATCAAAGGTAAATACATGCATAATAAAAACTGTAATGAATCTAAAGAAAAAGTTTGATATTAACAGTAAAGAAAAAAGCAAAGGGAATTTTAGGCATATAAAAGGATCATAAATATGAGGCAAATTTCAAAATCATACATAGAAAATAATTAACTTTGTAATTTCATCACTAGAAATTAGAAGATAGATAAAACATGGAAGATAACCTGTATTTGATCTTAGCCAAAAGGTCAAGAAGCAATGGAATATATCCTGTCTGCTATTCAAAAAGCTATGTCAGGCCAAGTGCAGTGGCTCATGCCTGTAATCTCAGAACTTTGGGAGGCCGAGGCGGGTGGATCACCTGAGGTCAGGAGTTCAAGACCAACCCTGACCAACATGTTGAAACCCTGTCTTTACCAAAAATACAAAAGTAGCCAGGCGTGGTTGCGCATGCCCGTAATCCCAGCTACTTGAGAGGCTGAGGCAGGAGAATCACTTGAATCTGGGAGGCAGAGGTTGCAGCGAGCTGAGATCCCACCATTGCACCCCAGCCTGGGCAACAGGAGTGAAACTCCATGAAGAAAAAAAAAAACTGCTATGGCAATGGAGCTGAATTAGTATCCTTTAGTTCAAAACAGGAGCTAAACAAGATCTGGTGAAATTAAAGGTGTGATATCTTAGCTGGAAGAGAAAAAAAAATGACAAAAGAAACTAGTTCAAAGTAACTCAATTCCTTGAAAAAGGAGTTATTCAATAACTATGTCTCTAAAAGCAAACTAATTCCTAATCTTACAGTCATCATAGTAGATTTTCTGAAATACTGGAAATCTCCAATGCCCTTACTAAATAAATGGAAAAGTCAGATTGTTTTCTTCTGCAAAATAGCAACTTATTTCATAAAAGCATGATTTAAATATAAGCAAGTTGTTTATTTCAGTGCCAATAAGTGCCTTGAAGTCCTTCCTTTTTAATAAACAATGCCTGCTCAAATAGCTCCATTTTTTAAATCTCCAAACTGGGAAACAAGTTGTAGATTGTTTCATTCAAGCCTCTAATACCCTTTGCTAAATCCTAAAAGAAGTTTTATCTCTGAGCCCTTGGACCTCTTACAGCATGGGGGAGCATTAGCAACAACTAAGCTGCACCAAGGCTCGCCAGACAAGAGCTTCGGAGTCAGCCTCCCAGGGAGCAGGGTGATTTCCTCCAATTCTTCCCAGCACACACATCTCTGCCATCTAAATTCTGCTTCCCTTGTTTCCTTTTACCTTTGCCCAACAAACATGGTAGCTTGGTCTCAAAGGAACAACATTTCATTTATTTTCTAATCTTTATTTCCCAGTGTTGATAACTTTTTCTGTGTTGTTATTAAGGTAGCGATGCCAGTTCTAGCTCTTTGGTTGTTTCTTGTTTGTTATTTCACATGGGAATTGGATTTATTGATCCAGTGACTACCAGCAAAGCCAGAAAAAAAGTAAAAGTTCTATTGATTTTCTATTTTCTTCTAATATAACTAGAGATGTTTTTCTTCTTTTAAGAATTTAAAATTCAAAAGTCATCTCATCTGAAGTCTGAAATCATTTTTATATACTTATATAAATATATATTACAAATACACTTACAAATACACTTCATATTATTCATAAGTATACTTTTACATTTTAGTTTTTATAATAGCTGTTTATTTCCATTGGTCAAATGAGATGCACATTATATCCTATCTGAGATGCACAGACCTTCATGCACACAGGTATACACACACGTGTATGTGAACACATATACTACACGCCTATCTTGGTTTTGAGTCTTTATCTTGCTCTTGGGAAATTCTAACAAGACTTTCCCATAAATCTAACTCCAGTAAGTTATGCTAACAAAAGACAGTGTGTTAATGCAAATATGCATCTACAAAGTGTTATGAACTCACTTATGAGGCATTCTCAATCATAAACAACCATATTCTCTTTCAGCATTTGTTGCTAAAATGTACAATAGTAGCACACACAACACACACACACAAAAAAAAACCCTAAAGGAATGAGAACATTTGGCTCATGTAAAGAGTAAACAGATTTTTCAAATATATTATTTCTCAAAGAAATAACCTAGAATGTGAGAAATGAATGGAAAGAAGCAAACTTATTAATGTGTTTTCTTTTTCAAAATCCTGAAAACCAGCCATATGTTCTACATTATGAATATGCAGATGGTCTCAAAGCAGTTATTTTTTTTCTCTAATTAAAACCATCAGAGTAAAATAATGCAGTAGTTTAGGAAGCTGATTCAGCTGGGTCTCTTTTTCCTCTTCTCCAAAAGTGTGCCAAAGCCTCTCCATGTTTACATAATTTGGGAATTCTTGCTGTTAAATGAAAAAGACAGACAAGCAAAGCAGTAGGAAGGGTCCTTGATTCTTGTGTTCTTTGTGGCAAATTGTGCACTTTATGAAGCAAATACATTTCACAGATGGATTTCTCTTAGATACTTTTGTAAAGAACCCACCTTTCACATTTCTTAAGCAATAACCTCTCTGAGTTCAGCACCCTGAATGTTGAAATTGAGTGTATCAAGTTAACCTGTCAGCCTGCCTGCATGTACCCTTAATGTCAGCTGTGAACTAAGCATGTCAACGGGGCTTAGCTAAATTGCTCAAGGTAGAGGTTTGACATTCTAGTGTAATGTGCCATCCACTCCTCTTTGAGGAAAATTGGGATCAACCATGGATGACAAGTATAGGAACTATTACTATACTTGTTCTTCATCTGAAAACGACTCTAAAAAAATTCTGTTTCAGGCTTTTTATCTTTCACATATACAGTTTTCGTTCCTCTGGTCCTTTAGCAACCACAGACTATTTGATTTTTTAAGGCATTATTAGAAAGACAGCCCTAAAGGTAAATAAATTAGCCATATGAAGGTTATATTAACTTTAAATTCATATTATTACCTTGTTTGACATCATTATTCTGATAAAACCCTTTTCCCTTAGCACATATATGTGTTGGGAAATTGTAATACTCAGTCTTCATAAAAGGCGTAGTTAAAAAAAAAAAAGCAACTGTAAGGGAAAGAATGTTGATGAAGACACCACTCTTATAAATTACTCTCTAAGAACCTTATTTTGTTTAACCTACCAAACTTGATAGCTGAACTCATCATTGCTACAGCTTTGACTACCAAAACAAAATGGTAGCCAAGGAATAGCCCAATGAAATGGGGCAAAATGAAAATTACATATCCATTCATCTGGAGAATGGCATTCTTTATAGGAACTTTAAATCCTTCAATGCAAAAGTTTTTTTATTTAAAATAAAATAATCTTACTTTAGCTGAGTACAATGAAAAGAACTAAAGGAAAGGGAAAAAGGGTGGAAAAGGAGTTGAGAAGACTATACTAGATGTAAACTTGATGTTCAACAAATGTTATCTAAATGTTGGCATAAACACAATTCCAAATTTGGAGGGAACATAACGGGAAAAGTCTGAATTTTTTTCTGCCAGGAAGCACTCAGAGGGAAAGTAAACATTCTGCGTAATAAAGTATTCCCTCCCCTTTTCAGACTTCACTAGTCTGAACCAGAATTATTTGTTACATAAATCATCATAAAGTTATCAGAGCAAATTGGAGCTCCAACGATTGTAAGGTCTATTTGAAAAGATGTGTTAGTTGTCTTTTGAGCGCTCTATTGACCATCAGAGGATTTGCTTCGATAGGTGGTGGAGCTGCTACAGATACAGTTGGGAGGACAGAGACCCAAGGTATTTTACAACTCTTAGTCTCTTACTTAACTGCTTGTGGGGATTATTAAGCTCTTGCTTCCAACACACCTTTCTATATCTTGTGTTTCTGAGGCTGGGGCCCTACAGCCCACAGTTCTGCTTTGACAGCTGGTTCCATTAGACTTTACCAATAGGCAATAGGGGAAAGGTGAAGGCTGGAGGAGGAAGAAAGCATCTGCTCCTACTTCTCTGCTTCCTGGATTTCATTTGTTTCCTGTTCCTCTTTGCCTTTGGCTCACCTAGCAATACTTCTTCAGCCCAGCAACAGCAGTTCCCTCCAGTGGCAGAAGTCTGAAGTTCTAGCATTCACAGAACCAGCCTCATGGTGTCACTTCACAGATTCTAGAACAAGTACGTCATGCCCCTCCCAAGGCTCCAACACCAGCCGACCAGTACCCATTCTCAGATGTCTGTGCCCCAGCTGCACAAGGCCCCCTCCTCTAACCTCGGAGACACCAACACCAGGCGGCATCTACACTTGGGAGGCCCTTTCTCCAAGACTCCCTGTCTAATTATCTCAATTTTTCCCCTTTATTCTCCCACCCTTAAGGTGCTAGCTGCCTCCTACAGGTGTCACCAACCACATCATTTGCAGAACCCAGTGAAAAACAAAAATGTGTGCTCCTTGTTCAAAAATTATTAAAAATTTTAAGATGGCAACAGCAGAGCATTAGACGAAGCATACAGCCCATCTCAACAAGGAACCTGTGCAAATGCAGGGGCCGCAAACCCATGAAACCGGCCCTGCTGACCCAGACTACCTCCAAGACATGGCAATGTACCTTTTTGCCATTTTCAGTTCTTTAATTTAAAATTAACAATTCATAATATTGAAAAAAGGTATGGTTTCTATCTCAAGACTGGACCCTAGTCAAGACACTCTTCCATACCTCATAGTAAAGGAGTAAAAAAGAGAACTCAGAACCCAAGTTCTCACCCTTTTATCAGTGTTCACAGGATCAGTGCTCAGAAGTCTATAATTTAAGTCATTCCTAACTCATTTCATCCCACAGTTGTGTCTGTTTCCTAGCAATATATCCACCAATGTTCTGAACACGGTAGTACATGGTGCTGAATTAATACAGCTGCAAGTAACCTATCTCTATATGGTGTTCACTCCCCTGGTAATTAATTTAAACAGAAAAAAATTAATAGATGAAAACTACTTAGAATTTTTAAAATTCCTCAAAGTCCTAAGCAATTTTGAAATCAGATCTTGCAGTAGTAAGCATAATCCTCAATGATTATTTCCCATTCTATTGCATCATTTATCTTAACCTCATTTAGGGGAGAAAAAGAAAGAAAACAGAGAAGGAAATGTCTTTAGACAACAGAGACAAATCGAAGGGCTATCAGCTGTGAACCTGAGCTCCCTTAAGGAGAGAGTGCTTTAGACAAGCATTCTCAGCTGAAGACTCTGCAGAATGGAGCATCCTCAAGTCTCAGTTATTAAAAATAAAATTTTACTCAGTAATGGGAGAGAAAAGCATCTAACACTTATGCTGCAGCTATCGTATGATTGAGTACAGCTACTCTACACAACTCCAGCCTTTTGTCAATAGCCTAAGTATTTGGTACTACCCTACAATTACCACTTACTGAATACTTACTATGTGTCAGGTCCTGGAGTAGACATTTAAACACAGATTTTCTTATTAACCTCCTATCAACTCCAAAATGATATTGTCATGCACACATTCATAACCAAAGAACTAAAGTTTAGATAGATTCAGAAATACACAGATGGCCATGCTTAATAGTAACTCTAGACAGCACGACATAAGATTTGTCTTGATTTCTTCTAGAAACAAAACCAAATTCTCCTAGATGTTTTTACAACATTCCCAGAGCCATTGTTATTAAACTAATCTTTGGGGCAATTGTTTCCCTTAGAGATGAATTAACTTAGTAGATCACTAAGGGATCCTTTCCTCAAGGTGGTATCATGCCTAGATAAGTAGAGACCACCTAGGGCAATAACTGTATTAGGTCAGCCTCTAACCCTCTAATACCATTTTGGGTCACATACACAGAAGGTAGCACTAGAGACACCAAGAACTAACTTAATAATTTAGAGTCAGGTGGACCTCTGAATGCATCGCAATCAGAAAAAAAAATCTAGAAAAACTTCGTTCATTATGCAAATATTTTCATATATCTGGCTGTCTGATATTATGGAGACAGACTGTCTGAACACTTTTATGAGTTCTTTAGCTTTTATTTAGGTATTTGGCATTAGCCTGTACTTTTCCATACAACTACTTGGCCAAGCTCCTTAGCCATCCCACAACTTTTATGGGTCAAAAATAATTATATACATATATAAATCCCATTTCCTGTTACCCTTTTCTTGCCTACTAGAGTTCATATGAATGAAGGATTTATAATTTTTTTGCTGTAAATAATGATGTTAAACATAAAGGTAAACATATGGTTTGGGATTTGCATCTGAATAAGCATGGAAAACATAACTGTAAAGTGCTGGTGGGTGCTGAATTATCTGGCTACAGGAGTGGGTAGTCCATTCAGGAAGGCTTGGGCAGCTTTACCTCTGCAGATTCCTAAATCTGCAAATCTATTTAAAACCCAAAGCAGAAAAACTACGTGTCCAATCAAGCACAGTGAGCACAACTTGGAGTCTTTCTCTACTAAACACATATGCTTTAGAAATGTAAAGAGGGTAAAGAAAAAACCTGCAGAGTTTCAAAACTCAGGAAAAATGCCCACAAAGGCTAGTTTTATTATGCAGACTGATGGCAGGCAAGGGGATCATTAAAAGCAACTCAGTGCATGCAAGCAGCCTTGTTTCCCAAAGACCTGTAAATAATAATAATCTGAAGGAATTCAATATTAGGCAGACACTTCTCCCCACCATTCACCGATTGATTGAATATATTTGCACTTCTTTAACATCAGCAAACTCCTCAGTCTAAAATGGCTTTTCAAAATATGCAGCTCTGTTCAGACCTTAATAATATACCAAAGTTGCCTATGGTAAAAGCCCATGCTATATTATCTGAATTTTTTTAATGCAGTGACTATACTTCTAATTATCCCTCCACATATTCTACTCTCAGTTATGAGCAGGACCATTTACTCTTTAACAGCAACCTTGCTACAAGAGCACTTACATTGACATTAGCATCTACCCTACAGAAATATGTCTCAGAGCTGTACATGCCTATGTTTACTCATGTTCATCTTAACCACATAACTAATGCTCTAGAATGTACCAAAAGGCATGTGTAGGGGAGGGAGTAAAAGAGGGAAAATGAAAAAAAGCGTTCTAGAATAGCCCCTAAAACTAATAAAGCATTTCTCTTATCCTAGGTTCTGGTCTAAGCACTTTAAGTATGACTTCATTTAGTATTTACAGCACCTCTAGGAAGTAAGTACTATTATTATCATCCCAATTTTACAGTTAGGAAACAGAAACAGAGGGATAAAGTAACTTGCCCTAATTTACACAAATGAGTAGTGGAACTGTGATTCAAACCCAGGCATGCTCTTAATTATAATGTCATGTGTTGTCTTGTTAAAAATAAGAATCTTTTAAAAGATTATCCCAGGAGGATAACAACACAGATGGCTGAAGTCTATAATCAAGAAGGAACCAAAATAAAAAATGTTTAAACCTGCTCCTCACTATCTTATATCATAGAGATGATAGATGGTTAGATACATATATAATGCATCCATTTATATACAAAAAGTAAGTTAACTGGAAGTACCTTCATAATTTTGTGGAAAACTGAGTCAGAAAACAGTATATTTGAGGAATTAATTCTTTAAAATAGAAAATAAATTTTTTTAATCATGATATTATGTATCAATTGTAATGAAATACCCCAAAAAGAGCAAAGCATGGGGAAGAATTTTATAGGAAACTGCAAAATCAGGCTGAATAACTCTTAAGTCCTACATACTCAAAATCTCAGATTTTTATATGAAAAAATAAAAATTACTTTTTAAAGCATCTACCACCCATCTCTGCTACCCATCTGTACCTTCATTGGCATACGTCATAAAAACTTGGCTGTAGGACTATTTCTATATATCATGTGCAGTTACATTCAGCTAACAGTTTGGGGACTGCAGGTATGAGAATTTTATCTAGTGCTATGAATCTGACATGTTTCTGCTCTCTTTTAGGAGTTCACAACTGAGAAGGAAGAAGAAAGACACCAAATAACACCAAACCAGATGTGCTCTGAGAAGTGCTAGTCTACAGAAACAGCAGAAGAGGGGTGAAAGCCAAGTGGGGCATCTGAAAAACCTTGTGGGACAGTTGAGATATGAGATTTAGGATGTTGTGGCTAGAAATATGGGAACAGGGCATACAGAGGAGAAGCAGATGAGTGATGCCAGCCAAACTATGTGCGGTCTAGGGAGAAGGAAGAGGTCAGCTGGACCCTGAGAAGCTGGAGCATGGATTGTGGCATTGTCAATTGGGTCAAAGAGATAACCTAGGAATAGAGTGGAGAAACTCATGTCCTTATCTAATGAAGCTGTATTTTTCCCAAATACCAGAAAAGAATGAAACATAAAAGCATGTGATTCCTTCTAATCATCTAACTCTTTCCTGAAAGCGAGGAATAGCTAAACAAAAGCAATAACAATAACAAGAACAATATAGTCCTTCCTTCACGGATTCCACACACATTTTCAGTGGAAAAACTGATTCCTAGTAAGTGATGCAATGGACCAAGAGTCAGTAGAACCAAGGTCTAGCTGTGGTAACTTAAATTGTTCACAACATAACTTTGGGTCAATCTGGGTAACAGTTTCCTTAGCAATAATGCCAGTCAGCTGGATTTGCAGAAAGAGCCTGCTGAATCCCACCATTTCTATGGCGTTGTCTCAGAGAAGGTAAGAAAAAGCACAGCCCTCCCTCCACCCGCTCAGTATATTTGGGCTTCTGCATGCACTTTCACTTGAAGAAAATGTGCTAAACTTTACAAACCATTTGAGAAACACCTGACTACATCATCTCTAACATTCCTTTAGCTGTTACATGCTATAAATCCATGCTATTTCTTTTGTTCATATAACTTAAAAGTGCATTTCTCATTAACACCCAAATATGCACCATATATATATTCATGTGCCATTGTGAATGCATTTGATAAGGCCTAACATGGGATCCAGTTTTGTTTCTTCATCTAACAGGCTTTTGGATATGTTTTCTCATATTTGCTAATGGACATATAGGTAGGCAAACGAACACTCTAAATGCAGAGCATGATTTGTGGTATAAAATAATAGAAACCAAGTAAAATTTTCCATGGCAAATGAGTTTTTGACTTAGTCATTGTCCCAGCAGTTCTTGGTGTCCTGAAAAATGCAGGAGATTAACCAGACTGCTGGATGCCAAATTTGCCAAATCTCCTGTCTTGCTCCATTAATCCCTCAGTGACTCAGAGAATGTAGTTCTTAGCAAGTTGCCTAGTCAGTAAAATGGCCAGCATACAATGATATGTAAGCATTAACTAACAAGGATGAATGATTCTTCTTGACTTCCTGAGCAAGTGACTTGGGCAAGGCCTAAGGGAGAGTTAACACTAAGGCCAGCCTTAGGCCTGACATGAATGGTTGGGTTCCCAAATTCCAGAGGATAGATTGGTTCCAGTCAAATAAGAGAGGTAAAGATCTATTTTGTGCAAGAGTAAGCCATATTCAAAATTGAAAATCTAAAGATGAATTTTGGAATTTCCCCCGCTACATGACCCTTAACTCCCCACAGCTCTGCTTCCCAGCACCCAGTGCCTTGTGCCTTTGGCCGGCTCTCAGATCCCGTAGCAGCTGAGACTGCCCATCTAGGCCTTTTCTTTTCTTTATTTAATTTGTAGAAGTGCTCACTGCTCCACACCTTTGCCTATCTCCCTTTTTCCAGCACAAAGGCCACCGGAGCTACATCCCACTGCTTAGGACTGCTCTCTGTTAGCTTTTAGACAGGAAATGTGACCTGCACATCTGTGTTCATGTTTCAAGCTGTTAGTGAAACTTGTAACCTATCCAGGAAAGAATTAACCTGGCATCATGTGAGAGGTTCTACCAACTAGTTCTGACCATCCTGAAGACAAGAATCTTAACTGCACTAATTGCCAGGAGGGCTCTAATAAAATCTGGAAGTTCTCTTTATTTTTAACTTAGTGAGTAAGAAAATGAAAAATGGATGAGCCTTAAAGGATTGAACCTAAACTAGAATTAGATACATATTTATTTTATTATACAACTGACTTAGGCGACAATCCAGTCAGCAGATCATAAAGGATGCACAGTGGGGGTTGTGATGTATATTTCCAGTTCCTCATCAGCAAGACTCAGTGAAAACCCTTTGTCAAGTGTGACTGAGAGAATGATTTCCATATTGTCACATCCTGCTAATCTTCCACACATCACCTACTCTTGTCCCACACCAGACTGCCATGGGAATGGGTACATTCTTATATCCCTATTGTTAAACATAGTCTTTGTATTTGCTCAAGGTTCAGATTTTAATAGAAATATTTTAAGCAGTATTATTGCTAAGAGGCCGTGTTTACCTCCAATATGCAGCCCTTGTTGTTCCCTACTTCTTTCAGGAATGGTGTGTGTTTGTGGCTCACACCCATCTGCAATCTCCCAACTGCACTTAGCTTGCTTCCTGTGTGTGCTGCCGGATTAACATTACTGCTGTACTGAGATACTGGTGAAAATTATAGTCCATTTGTTTTCATAAGAGTAGGAATTTTCAGTGTCAAGGCATATTTTTTTAAATGAATTCTCCTCTGGAGCAGAAATGTTGAAACCATAAAGATTCTATTGTGATGTCATTAAATCTCATTAGGCTTCTGTGTAACACGGATAATTCCTAATAGCATATACAGTTGCTTCCTTAATATGCCACTTGGATGTTTTAAAGGCACTCGAAATAATATTTCACACAAAAAAGCTTGAATTCCATCTCATTTTTCAATATTGGTTCCTCCCAATCCTTCTCCACCTCATCAAAATCGCACATTCAGCCAGTAACTAAAGTCAAAAATGTACAAGACATCCCAGTTTTCTCATTTCTCATTTTCCCTGTCTAATCCATCAGTAAAAGTTGTAGGCTCAACCTCCAAAATATTCCTCCCTTACTCCCTCCTCCACATAGCCACAGCCACCATCACCTCTGACCAGGGCTATGTATGCTATGGCCTCCTGATCACTCTCCTACCCTCATGTCTGCACCAGCTACAGATCATTCTTATCAACAGAGTGACATTTATAAAATATAAATCAGATCACTTCACTACCCTGAATAAAACTCTTCCTACTGAACTTAGAATAAATTCCAACTCTTACCCATTACCTGTTAAAACATACGTAGTCTTGCTTCTTCCTCCTTCCCAAGCTCCAAGGGCAAGCAACAAGGTCTTCTCCATTCTCTTGCCATAACACGTTTGACAGGTGGCACCTTCTCATTCTATGGGTGTCAGTTCAAATGTCACCTCCTTCCAGGCCATTCATAGCCACCCTCTTCCCTTGACCTAGTCAGACTTGAAGGGTAGGGTAGCCTAGCTATTCCCTTTATGGCCTTTACTTTGTCTGATTGACAATATTTATTTTTTGGTATACAGCCTAGCATCCACTTCTAGGATGCAAGCTCCATGAAGACAGAACCTTGTCTGCTTTGTGCATTGCTCTATCTCCCACCACATGGCAATACCAGGCACAGAGCAGGCCCTCAATGAATATATGATGGCATTGAATGATTATTTGTTTGGAATACTGGCTGTGTCACTTACTTAACTGGGTTACCTTTGTAACATTACTTAATTTCCATTTGCCTCAGTTTTCTCATCTATAAAATTAGGACAAAGCAGAATCGATCTCATTAGGTTGTTGTGAAGATTAAAATAACATATGTTGGCTGGGCATAGTGGCTCATGACCATAATCCCAACATTTTGGGAGGCCAAGGTGGGAGGAACTTTTGAGGACAGGAATTCAAGACCAGCCTGAGGAACAAAGCAAGACCCTATCTCTACAAAAAATACAAAATATTAGCTGGGCATGGTGTCAAGTGCCTATAGTCCCAGCCACTTGGGAGGTTGAGGTGGGAGGATCCCTTGAGCGCAGGAATTTTAGGCTGCAGGGAGCTATGATTGTACCACCACACTCCAGCCTGGGCAACAGAGGGAGAACCTGTTTCCAATAAATAAATACAGAAAATAAAATAAAATATGTAAAGCACTCAAAAGAGCACTAATTAAGTATTATTATTGTTATTGAAAAACTAAATGAGCCACCTCATGTGAGCTTTATTATCAAGTAATCACTATCAAGAAACAAATGAATTTTAAAAAGGGCCCTCTGAAGATGACACTTTAACCAACAGAGAAATTCCAAAAAAGAAAAAAGGGCATATCTGATTTTACGGTAAATGGTGGGTGAGTTTTGTGGGTCCCATCAAATTCTTCTCCAGGACTTGCTCCTCTTTCTAAGCATAAGGCTGAAGCTAACTCTATAAGGAAGAGCACACAGTACAGTATTTGCCTGCAACTGTGGTCATTTAACCACTCAGTCTCCTTTCATCTATGAAATAGTAAGATGATATATACCGTATTATAATTACAGTATATTAAAAAATAGCTATATAAGAATATCTAAGTCAGAGAGTTAGATGAGATGTATACAACTTACATAAAAATACATTGCCTATATGAAGACTAGCAGGAAGTTGAGGTTGGCAGTGTTGTCTCTTTATTCCCACTCAATTACTTGGGTCCCTTCTAGGCTAGGTGCTAGGAAAGTATCACATGCTGACTGTGGATGCTTGCAACACTGAGAATAAAACAGAACCCTGATCTCAAGGAGTCCAGAGCATGGAGGGAAGGCGGCCCTGTAATCCAAGTGAACACTGCCATGATGGCAACCAGGGGACAAGCAAGAGTTCCCGAGGTTGCTCGACCCGGACCATTACTAACTCCATCTGCAGTGGGTGGGGGGTTTGTTGGGGAGGGCTTCCCGATCTCAGCTGCTGTGACCCAGAGACTGGTCTTGTGGTCAGGAACATATCCAGGAGAGCAGGAGAGCTCTGAAACTGATCTAGAGTTTTGGCTCTGTTTGAGGTACACCTAAGCTGGCCCCGAGACATTCAAACCTCAATGAAACTCAAACCGAATGTGCTATTTTCCAACTTGTAAGCTGACCCTAGGGCCGCCTGTACTTCTCGGAAGTTCTCTAAATTGAAGATCTAGAGCCAGGATAAACCACTAGGTTTTCTTGGAATGCCCATTACTGCTGCAATCACCTCTTATCTGCCTGCCTGCTTCAAAGTATAAAGAAATTTTATACTTTTTGAGGCCCAGTGTAAACCTCCTCTCCTTCAAATTGCTTTCCAGTCCCCTGTGCATATTAATCTCCCCCAACCAACCACAACCTGCCCCTGATGTATTCTTTTAAAGTCACAAAATCCATCATATTTTTATTGCATAATTATTTATCTTGGCACATGTTTCTTACATTTGATAACACAAACCACTAATAGAAAAAAATAGGAATGTGTTCTTTTTTGGGGGAAGAGGGGAATTTTCTGCTTTGTTTTCAGTGTTTTGCATAGACACTTGAGCCACAGTCACAGACTCATACTCTGAAACAAAGGCCCTAAAAAATGAAATGAATACAGTATTTGAAATGGAACAGGTCTGGTGCTTAGGAGAAAGGGAAAAAGGGGGCAGAACACAAGAACATCTTTATATTGTAATTTAAGTAATGTAGGGAAGGATTTCCAACCAACTCTGGCACTATAATCTGCCTAAAGTTCTTTCCACTGGGCGCTAACCTGACTGGAGACTCATTTGGTTTAATCATGACTCTTTTTGAAAAAGTAAGTATCATCTAGTGAGGTATCAGTCACTCATAGAAGGTGTAAGATTATGTTTAAAGACAAGCAGATGCTAAGGAAAACATATGTTAAATAGTGAATCAATAAACATTTGCCTTTTATTAGCTGAATAACCTTAGAAACAATCTCCCCCAACTCTTAGACCCTCAGAATATTTGCTCCAAAACAGGGATAACGAAGCTTTTTTTCAGAGAACTGGGGTAAGGATATGGATAAGGTTTATGTGAAAGTGCATGAAGCAGTAGGAACTCATGTGGTAAGTTCCTACTGTTCACATTGTGGGAACTCCCTGCAACATGAATAGCTAGTTTATCATTCATTAATTCATTAGCTAATACCTATTTATCCCATACCTACTATATGCCAAGTGCTATGGCTACAGTAGTAAACAAGAAAGAATAGTCCCTATTTTCATGATGGGAAAGATGCATATTTAGCAAATTGTAGCAAAATTAAATAATTGCTACTGTGACATGTGAAGAAAGAACAATAGAGCACCAAAAGAGTGAATAACAGGGAGAGCCTTCCCTAATCTTTTGCGTGGTTGGTTAGAAAGGACTTCAGGAATGGGAATCCATACACGAGGCAAGAAGAAATTGTGGAACATGATGCTTCCTGGGTAATGCTTGTGCGGCCAAAGAACTGCTTAAGATAATAGAGTTTAAGGGCGGTAGGGAGGGCAGAGGTAGCGACTGGGATGGGCATGAGAACAGATAAGGAAAGTCTCTAAATTACGAGTGAAAGATGAGATATGGCTGCTGGGCATTGTCCCAGCACAGTCCTAAGACTAAAACAAGCAGCTATTAAGGTGCCATCATATCTGAAATGTTAATAAATAAGATTTTTTTCCTTACAAGCTCCTCAGTTGTCCCTCCTCTGCTTCCTACCTCCCTCACTTTCATCCCAATCCCTGGGAAGCCTATACTCCTAGGCATAGGAGAAGAATATAACCGAGCAGAAAGCAAAACACAGCAAAAATTTTCCTAGATAATGTTTCCGAAGACAAAGTCTTTAGGTGCAGAAAGCACTCCTGACATAAGCAAGTGTTTGAGACCAAGGGATGTAAGAAATGTTGAGCTTCTCAAATCAAGGAGATTGGGGAAGGTAGAGTTCCCCGCAATGCCTTTGTCTCAACTGAAATGTACAAAATATCCCCCTGGCTTGGGGAAGGGAAAGAGAAAAGACAGTTGGCGACAAAACAATGAGAGTGAGTCTAGAGGGGGCAATTGTTCTGCCCCTAAAATGTGGCCAAGCCCAAGAAAGGTATGAAATCTCCAAAAAATAAAGAACCACTCCTTCCTTATAGAACCTCAAGGTGTTGGCAAAACCCTTGGGGATGTACTGGCTGAATGGCTGGTTGAGACACACATGGTGAGTCTCACATGCCCTGTGAAATGATCTGATAGTTCTTGTACTCACAGACTCTTCATGCAAGTAGTCAACGGAGCCAGAGCCAACAGGGCTAGACATAGGCACAAGGTGCATCAGGACAGCAAGCCGTAGAGGCAAATGACCAAGTCCCAACAGGATAATAGAGACCTTGAAACTTCCTATTTCAGAGAATTGGGTAGAGGCTATTTAGGAATCATTAGGACATTGAAGACACTGAATTGACTGAGATGAAATAACACTTCTTTCACAAAATGGAGGTTTAGAGATAAAAAATAGTTGTTACATAAAAACTAAAAGTTATATGTTTGCGTGCCTTAGTTTGTGAACTGAAATTCACACCTACTACACCTAGATGTTCTTAGATGCCAGTTTTGCTTTTCCATCACCTGAGCTCTTCCCAGACTCCTTTATTTCAAGTTAAATTTCTGCACTTCGGTTAAGTCCCAGGATTACTGCAAAGATGCTTTCTAAAGGGAAAACAAATCATTACAGATTTTGCTATTATTATTGTGAACCTATGTGTCCTGCTGTGAAGTGGCCTCCATTTAATAGGCTGCAAAAAAAAAAGATGAAAAGCACAGCAATTATTATCCTCCTCAGATGCAGGAACTGAGCTCAGGCCCCAGCAACTGGAAATATGTATATATCCTGGTGTTGGCAAAGCTTTTAGCCGTTCTGCCTGGAGTCTTTCTTTGAAGTATGTCCAAATGGGACTTTGAATACCAGACACTAGCCACTCCTTGCTCTCTACTACAGGATTAAGAAACATGGTTTTGTTTGATGGCATGTCATCTAAGGTGGTTTTTACCTTTTAAATAAAAAAGATTACTCAAGCTTCAAAGCTAGTTGTTCCTTGGCAAAGGGTAACACAAATTCTTGGGGGAAGAGAAAAAGGATAAAAATTCTGAGTCTTTCTGGTTCCCTCTGGAGTTCCTTGTTAGGTCACTTTCACCAATTAGCTCCCAAAGATCCTTGCTGACAGCAATTTATAGATGAAAATCCAAACCAAATGAGCCCCAGCTGTGGGACAAAGGCTTCCATGGTAAAGCAGGGAACAGATTAGAAGCTGGCTTAAGCACACACACACACACACACACACACACACAAACACACACAAAACTAACTACGGGAATTCAGCTAAGGAAACTCAAGGAGGTCTGGACTCCAGGGAATAAATTCTGAGTCACTCCAGCCATTTCCCATCTCTCTCTGTCCTTTTTTTTCCTTTTTTTCTTTTTTTTCAAATCTGCATGGCCTGATCCTCAGGCCCTGACTCAATCTTTCTGCATGCTACATTGAGTCACTTGGCCTTGAAATCTGAGCATGGTTAAAAGTTGAAAATCATTCTAGGGTCTGTTTTCTACCAACCTCCTGGTATACCATTATTTTGTCCTTATAAAAAGGAGATAAAAATGTCACAGGCAGAACTTGGAAGAAAAATTCAAGTAAATAGAACAATAAACTTCATAAATAGAAAGTGCTTTCAGAGTGTGTCCCAGGCAAGGTTATGCATGGTTTGAAAAGAACTGAATTTTAATAGACAAAATGTTGCACTCTAAATGCTTTTTACAATGGTAGCCCCATTGTGACCAGCTTTTCAATTAGCTCAGGAGAATTGTGTTTTTCATGTGATTTTGCCAAAACTTAATATTCATAGAAATGATACTGTGCTCAGGATACCTGAGATCAGACCCGAGGAATTTCTCTAAATAGCAAAGGGACCAAAAGGTCATTGCAGTACCTGCAGAACATTAGAGAAGGAAGGATTAGAAAAACTACACCAACAAAATGCTTGTATCTTTGCTGTATAAGTTTGCTAGGACTGCTATAACAAAATGCCACAGAATGAATGACTTAAACAACAGAAATTTACTTTCCCACAAATATGGAGGCTAAAAGTCCAAGATCGAGGTCTTGGCAAGTTTGATTTCTCCTAAGGCTTCTCTCCTTTGTTTGCAGATGGCCACCTTCTCACTGTGTTTGTCCCGTGGTCATTCCTGTGCGTGCACACATCCCTGGTGTCTCTAAGTGAGTCTAAATGTCCTCTTCTTATAAGAACACCAGCCATATTAGATTAAGATCATTTTAAATTACTGTCTTCAAATACAGTCACATCCTGAAGTAACAGGATATTAGGAGGTGGCACAACTCAGCCCACAACAGTGTCTTATACCAACATTTAATGCTGCTGAGTATTATAGCCACAATCTACATAGTTGGGGTCTTAAAAGAAAGTAGGTCACACAGGTAACAATACTCAGATAATGAATAATCATAATTTGTACTCATGTTATTAAATCAATATATTTTCCCTGTATATTGCAGAATACGCTCTTGCCACCCACCCCTCACCCCCCAAAATCCCTATGGTATGGTAAGCTCTGTGGCTCTCAACCAGCAAGCTCTGTCTCCATTTGGTCCAAGAACTGGAAGTAAGGAATGCCTGATACAAATGGCAAGGGTGCAATGAAAGGAGGGTGGGAAGCACTTGGAATCCCTGCGGCCCCTCTTTCTCCCCCACAGGTCTCTTCCTAATTCTCTCCACTCCCAAAAAGTGGAGATTTCTAAGGTTGACTTCTAGAAATAAATGGTGCTATAATTCTAACACATTCCATCCAACTCAATAGATCAAGAATGTATTAAGCAAATATTTTGGACCAGATACTATGTCAAGCACTGAAGGTGACAAAGAACCTGGTTTGAATGAGGCTTTGACCTCAAATAACTCTTTTTCTTGTAGAAGGGAATGATTCCAATAAAGATAACCAACTATAATGTAAGGCAGAACAGAATGAATGTAGGAAGAGTTAGAAACAAATACTATGTGTAGTAGTACTTCAATGAAAAACAAGAAATAAATACTGCTTGGAATATATAAGAGGAAGAGATCATCTCCAGTTGGGGCTGTTAGAGAAAGCTCCACAGAAAAGCTGGAAGATGGGCTTTGATAAAGGTATATGACTGATAGAGAAGTTGGGAAATAGAGAAAAAAAGAACATTTCATGAGACAGGAAAAACACATTGTATGTAGTACAATCAGGAAAATATAGATGCGAGCCATATTTTACCTTGTTTGAATATCAGTTAGTGTTAATTTAGTAGACAATGGGGAGCTATTGAGGTTTTTAGGAAAGGTGTCAGGCTGTCTTCGTTTTGCTTTATAGAAATTAATCTAACAGCAATATATGTAATGGGTTGGAAGGGGAGTCTGGAGAAAGGGGTACTGGATTAGAAGTGATTGAAGTAGCCAAGAAGAATTAATATAAGGCCAAATTCTTGGCTACAGTGAAAATGGGGAAAAGGAAGTTGACTTGAGAGAATCTTTCAGACATTTGGCGTTAAACACAAATTGGGCTAGGAAGGCAAAGTCGAGAAAAAGTACTTCCTATATGACAAAATGAACAGAGAATTTTGTAGAAGAGATGACAAAAAGTGTGGCACATAGTCTTTCAAAGATGGCTGTGTTCAGTCATTCTTGCATTGCTATAAAGAAATACCTGAGACTGAGTAATTTATAAAGAAGAGATTTTGATTGGCTTACTGTTCTGCAGGCTGTACAGGAAACATGACCCCGGCATTTGCTCAAGTAGCTTTCACTCATGGCAAAAGGTGAAGTAGGAGCAGGCATGTTACATGGCAAAAACAAGAGCAAGGGAGGTGGGAGGTGCCACACAGTTTTAAAGGATCAGGGAGAACTTACTTCCACGAGGACAGCAGCAAGCCATGAGGCATCTGTCGCCATGACCTAAACATCTCCCACCAGGTCCCATTCCAACACTGGGAATTACAATTCAACATGAGATTTGGTGGGGACATACATTCAAACTATCTCAATGGCCCCAGACAGTCTCTCTTCTCCTGGCACCAGCATGTTACTACTCACCCCGAGTTGTGGCATATTTCCCCTCCCCTTGAATGTGGGCTGGCCTCGAGACCTACTTTGGCATGTAGATTGTGCCTGATGTGACATTCTAAACTTCTTAGCACAGTTCTTAAGAGAAGAGATCTCCTCTTGGAACCCAGCTGCTGCAAGGGAAGGAAGTGTTGACTAGGCTACTGAATGATTAGAATCCAAATGAGAGAAACTCTGAAGGAGGAGATCATCTTAGAGGTTTTTCCCAGCTGAGTGAAGACCCTAGATAGGATCAGCAGAAGAACTGCCTTGCTGATCCTCACTCAACCCAGAGAATTATGAAAAATAATAAACCATTGTTGTTTTAAGCCACTAAGTTTTGAAGTAGCTTGGCACACAGCCATAGATAATGAAACATAGGGTTAAGCCCATAGGGAATCTGTATTCATCTGCTTGGGCTGTCATAACAAAATACCACAGACTTGCGGCCTAAACAACAGATGTGTATTTTCCCATAGTTCTGAAGGCTGAAAGTCCAAGATCAAGGTGCCAGCATAGTCGAATTCTGATGGGGCTCTCTTCCTGGTTTGAAGATGACACATTTTCATTCTGTCCTCACATGACCTTTCCTCTGTGAGCACCAGAGAGAGAGAGAGAGTTCTCTGGTGTCTCTTCTTACAAGGACATTAAACCTATCAGATCCAGACCCTACCTTTATGACATGGTTTAACTCAGTTACTTCCTCAGAGGTTTCATCTCCAAACACAGCCACACTGGGGGTTAAAGCTTCAACCTATTAACTTGGGGGGACACAAACATTAAGCTCATAATATAAAACTTCAAAGTCAAAGAGATTTTTTTTTTCTAGAGGCAAGAGTGAAAGGTAGAGAGGTGGATTAAACTCAAAACTGTCAAGGCTTAGAATCACTACACAACCCAGCACAGTGCCTACTACATTGGATGAGCTCAAGAAATCTCATTGAACAAACAGAAAAATGAATTACTTGATAACTTTTAGGTGGAGCCTCAAAGTATAAAGGTTGTTTCAAGGACAGTTTTATGGGTAATACCATGTCTCAGGGAAGAATCAACTGATTCTCTGAAATAAGCTAGCTGAGAATTCTTAAAGAGGATCACCTACAGGCCAGGCACATTGGCTCACGCCTGTAATCCCACACTTTGGGAGGCCTAGGCAGGTGGATCATGAGGTCAGGAGATCGAGACCATCCTGGCCAACATGGTGAAACCCCGTCTCTACTAAAAATACAAAAATTAGCCGGGCATAGTGGCATGTGCCTGTAGTCCCAGCTACTCAGGGGGCTGAGGCAGAAGAATTGCTTGAACCCAGGAGGCGGAGGTTGCAGTGAGCCGAGATCGTGCCACTGCACTCCAGGGTGGGCGACAGAGCAAGACCCTGTCTCAAAAAAAAAAAGAGGATCACCTACAATTATATATGAGTGGTATATGGAAATACGTCTACAAGATGTTAACATGGAATACCTGGAGGAGCAGTGGATGGTCAGTGTGAATGGAGAAAGAGGAATGGAGAGGAAAAAGAGCCAAACCAAATAGGAAAAGAAAGGTGACACTAAAAGCTACATAATAAGATTTTATATATGCATTTATGGAAAATAATATGTAATTGCTTTCGTATTTTTAAATGACAAGGACCACCCATCCAGAAGGAGTATATGAATGATTTCTTCCAAATATAAGTCACAAAATAAACAGAGATAAGTTGTCACTGTGATAGAAAAGATCAAATCTTCAAATTGCAGATAGTAAGCCCAATCTCAAGACAGAATTAATAAAAGATGGTTTGTGAGCTCATACAAAGGGCTCATGGGCTTGTCTAATAGAATCCTGACAAACTGGCTTCATTTTCTCTTTATCCCATAGACATAGTATACTTTGATTTCAGCAAAGCATTTGAAATATTATTCAGTAACAATTTTGTGGGCAAGATTAAGAAATAGCTGGTTTAAATAGATCCTGCTATTGTGGGAAGGAAGATTTGTAGTAGTTTGGCACAGGAGTTGTTGGACAGGGCCCTGTCCAGGAAGTTATTTTGTGAATATCTTAAAGATTTTTTTAAAATTCTCAGATTTCCAGACAATAAAAAGTTGTGAAGTCTTACTAAAATGCTGGACCGAGATCTTAACAGGTTGGAAGAATGGATCTTCACTGAAAAGCTATAATTTAATAGGAAAAAATATAAAAGTCATACATAGGTTAAAATAATAGTATTGAGCAGATTTTGTTTAAGTATGGTTTGTGTGAAAAAATAAACAAAAGTTACTTGTAGTTTGGCTGACAGAAGGCTCAATGTAAGTCATGTGTCATTTAACCCTAGGAAGTTAATAATCTCTTTCACTACTTTCCTGGACATGTAAGTTCAGACAAAAGGAGAATAATAGGCTACTGGTTTGACTGCATCTGGAATATCATGTTTCATTTTGAACAAAGGGGAAAATCAGGTAGTGGAGATGAAGGAAGCCACATCATATGTAGAATAGTGAAGAAACTAGAATTTCTATGCTATATGGTAAATTGCAGCTGTTCATTCACCACCACTACTTAATACAAAGTTCTGATATTTTAAGCTTGTTAATGGTCCCCATCTTGAATTATTTGTTGCCTTTCCCCTTCTCGACCTCCCGATCTTCCCAGCTTCTGACCTTATGATACTTTTCTCCCTGGTAAAGGACATTATTTACTCATTGATTCAATTCACACATATTTATGGATCACCAGCATTCTAGACAAATTTTCTAGGCATTTGAGAATCAGTGAACAAAACAAACAAAAATCTCTGGTATCATGAGGCTCACATTTTAGAAGAAAGTGACAGACAATAAACAGACATTATAAATGTATATATTTCATGGTATGTTAAAGGTTGATAAATGCTGTAGAAGAAAGGAATGAACAGAATACTACAAAGGGGTTCAAGGGCACTAGGAATAAGGTGGAAGCATTTGCAATTTTAAGTGGTTTTGTCAGGGCAGGCCTCTTTGAGAAGGTGATATTTGAATTAAGTCTTGAAGGAGGTGAAGGAGTTACTCACATGGCTACATGGGAGCAAAGCATTTCAGTGCAAAAGCCCTAAGCACTGTGTGACTAGAAGGGAGTAAGAAGAAAGGTTATCAGGAAATCAGCTCAGAGAGATAATGGTGTCAGGTAAGAACTTCAGCTTTTACTCTAATTAAGGCGAGAATCCATTGGTGGGTTTTGCTCCTCTAATCCATTAGAGAAGCAACGTGATCTGACTTACATTTCTAAAAAAAGCCAATCTAGCTTTGTTGTGAAGGACAGATTCTAGAGGAGCAAGATGGGAGCCAAGATAACAGTTACAAGGCAATGGCATTGATCCAGGTGAGCAGCAATGCCACTCACATCAGCACAGTAGCAGTGTAGGAGGTAGAAAGGTAAAGCAAACGAGACTTCCTGAATGTTTAGATGTGAGACTGAGTTTTTTCAGCCTGAGCAGCTTGAAGGATGAAGCTGCCATCAAATGAAATGGGTGAGTGTGCAAATAGAACAGCTTTGAGGAAGAAGATCAAAAGTTCAGTCTGGGATATATGAAGTTGGAGTTGTCTATTAGACCTTCACATGGAAATGTCAAGGAGAGAGTTTATTACATGAGATCTAGACTACAGATATAAATGTGGAAGTCTTTGAATGTAGGTGCCATTTTAAGCCATGAGACTGAATTATAGCATCAAAAAAGTGAGTGTAGGCAGGAAAGTGAAGAAGATCAAGGTTGAACTCTGGGGCTCTGACAATAGGAAGTCAGGGATAATAGAAAGATGGAATAAAGCAGAAAAGGAGAGTCTAACATGTAAAAAAAAAAAAAAAAAAAAAAAAAAAACACTAAGATACTGAAGTGCCATAGAGGCCAAATGAAGAAAGCATTTCATCGAGAAGGGTGTGCTGAACTGTGTCAACTGCTGCTGATAGGTCATGTCAGATGACCACAGAGAATTGACCATTGGCTTTAGCACTATGAAAGTCATTAGTGTGTTTGATGAGAGCAGTCTAGTGGAACGGTCAAAGACAGAGTCAAATTAGAGTGGATTCAAAAAGGAATAGAAAAAAAGGAATTTTAAAATGTTGCTACAAATGCACAATCACTAGAAGAAGTGGGGTCAAGAAAAGATTTTTTTAAGATGGGAATGATAACAGAATATATGATTGTGGCTAAGAATCAGTAGAGAGTAAAACTTGATAACGTAGGAAAGACAAGAAAAAAATTGCTGGAGTGATGTTTTTGGTAGATAAGAGTTGATGTGATCTAGCGAAAAAGTGGAGAGATTGGTCATAATGAGGACACAGAAGTTCATCCATGGAAGCAAGTGGGAAGGCAAGTGATGACACTAGAGATGCTGTCATTGGTTAGATGGGTTGGTGAGAGTCTGAGAAAGTTCTTTTCTGGTTGCTTTGATTTTTCTTAGATGTGGCACTTGACTCTGATTCATTCTTAAACTGAGATATTAATTATTTCAACTGTAATGCTGTCAGTATCACAGGAAAATGGCTTCCTTATCCAGCTAGCCCGATGACCTAAAACCTCCATGCAGAACCTTTGGCACAGACGTTTGTACATCCTAGAAAAGAGAAGATACATAACGTTTGTACATCCTAGAAAAGAGAAGATACCTAAGGAATACCACTAGATATACTTAGTATTTGACTCATTGGTATTTTATGTAGTTTTAACAAGTAGAGTGAATTTAAAAAACAAACAAACAAACAAACAACAACAACAAAATCCAAGCTGTGAAGTTAGAACCCATAGTCCCTTCATTTTCCTTATCCTCATCTTCCTACCCTCACTTTCTCTAGCTTCATTCTAAGCATAAGAGTGGTCCACCACTCCACCATCACTCATAGGATGACTTGCTGTATCATTTTTACTATGCCGCCAGTGTAGAGAAGCAATGATGATCACTAGGAAGAAAAAGAGATTAGAGACTCCACCCTCCTCACAGGACCTACTCTGAGGGGGCTCCTTGGCTGTCTTAACTGAGTCTTGTGAATAATGTAGTTTCTTCAGAAGGCTTTTGTAATATCAATTATGATAGAAGAATTTGAATCTAAAAAACTGCCTGAAACTAAATCATCTGATTAGCCCTAGTCATTAATTAAAATGCCACAATATTAATAATGGGTCATGGCCTTATCTCTGCTCAACGCACATCAAAACGGAATTTAGTTTTCATTGTTCACACATACATAGTGGAGTGGCAAAAGAGCTGATCACTAATGTGGTGTAATTAAAAGGAGGCCTACAGTCTTCTCAAGAATATCTCCTCCACTTTCCTGAACATGGTACTGTCAATGACAGTTATTTGGGTTAAGTTTTTATGTCTCCAAATAGCCTCCATTAACAGAAAAGGCACAACCAAGAAAAAAGCCCATTAAGATGGCCACTCTCAGTAATATATTCCAGTGATTAGCTCATCAAATTAGCAGTCTGCCACCAATGTCAATGAATTGCCATGTGACTATGTGACAATGAGTACAAAACTTTCAAAGAGGTGGAAAGGAAAGGTCAGGAACCTAAAGCAAAATGTGGGATGCCACTATAGGGAAGGAGCCTGAGGCACATGAGGATGCTGGGCTCCTAACAAAGGAGGTGAGGTAGAATGTTATCTAGCACCTGGACACATGAGTCTCCACAATTAAACTCCAACATTCCAATTCACTGTGCAATCAGAAGATGCTTTACCGATGATGATAAGGCAGTTTAGACAGAGGAAATAAAAGATTAGCGAATCAGCCTTCTCTGGTGTAAACAGCCAGATCTCCAAATAATCAGCCTTATTTAATCATTTGATAAATGCCTAGAAGAAGACTGTGTCCTAAACTCTTAAGTTTGAGAAAAGCCATAAGATCTTAAGGTAAATGCAAACTGACAGATTGATTAGGCAGGGAAATTGAAGAAAATTAATATTCCAGATGAAATCATTCAGGTTAGTACTGCTTTTAGAAGAGGGGCAAGTTATATTCACACAGATGAGTGACATTTTACACTAGCATGTTTAATGCTGTCTCTCCCTGGGTAATCTCATGTATACCTGTGACTTCTCTCAAGCATTGCCTCTGTTATTCCTGCAGCCAATAGCCGGTTGATGGTGATCTGCTAAGTGAACATTTCTCTAACAAAATGTCCCAGGAGCCTAACATACTAAAGTGTGAAGACAGAGGAAGAAAAATGGGTGGTGTTTTGACTTATTCTTAGGGAATACAGCATTTCACCAATCTTTTTCACCCATGGAACAGCCCTTGGCAAAACTTCAAAAGTCATGGGCATGTTGTCTGTGAAGCTGGAAAAGCAGGGGAGGAAATGGACAGGAAGCTCAGCCCTTCAGTTATGATCGTAAACATCTTCTGGGTAGATGTCCCTGAGGTATGGAAGTGAGAAAGAAAGATTAATAGGTCATGATCTAATCAAGAACATATTTTTATTTAAAAGCATAACTAATAAATAAAGAATGTAGTAAACTCATTTCAAATGAATAGGCACAGCAAAGACATAAAAATACAGTTCAAAACTACAAACTTTGAAGCATAAGTTAAAGTTTTTTTAACCTCCAAATAATTGCTACTCTTATTCTGGTTTTCATTTTGTATTGAGGAAAACTTTGAACTTACACTCTTATAATGAGTGTTCATAAATTCCTGACCTTATAATTGTGCACTACCTTTTTCTTAACCAAGGTTTAACTGCTTTAGAGTAATATCAAAGGCATTTAAGCACTTATTTTCAGTTAACCAAGGAGTAGGCATTAATTTGCCTCCTTACACTCATGATTACCTCTGCTTCTTACTAGTCAGCCGTGGCATCTCCACTGGAAATGCCTGACATTCCTATTATCAGGTTCATTCTTTGCCCAAACTCTGACTTCCTTTTCTTTGTCCTTCTCTTTCCTTTCCTATCACTCTCCCTAGATAATATTGTCCAAATTGTACTCATGTGCAGATGATGCCCAAATATGTAAATCAAGCCAAAATTCCCATTTTCCAGGCCCTCACCGCCAACTGTCTTTGAATATCTCTCTCTAGATGGCCCATCTGTATTTCAAGCTGAATGGCTCTAGAAGGAATGTAACATATCCATTCCAAAATATGTTGTTGTGTGACATCATCTTTCAAGATAATCACTTTCAAAATCTTAATGTCATCCTTGAGTCAACTTATCATTGTCCACATCAAGTAAATTTTCATGGCCAATAATTTTTTCTTTCCCAATCGCTCTTGCATAAGCTCCCAACTTTTCACTTACATGGGCCCTGCCCATGTGCACGTTCTCGTTTCTCTCACTGGGACTCCATTATCACAGTTTAACTGGTTTCCCTGTTCCCCTGCCTTCTGTATCTGTCCCTTTCCCTCTGCTCTCAGCAGTAATTTCCTTTCTCACTCCTGCTAAACTTTCCACACATGAAATTAAAATCTAACCTGGTATACACTGACTCCAGTCTTTCCTCCTACTACAATTCTACCTCATCCTCATCTGTCGAAATAACAACCACACCAGTTAGTCAGCATGGACTAAGTTATGCTGTAATAATCATTTCAAAATCTCAGTGGATTTCAGCAAATATTTGTTTCTTAGTTATGATACCAGTTCTCTATTCCATGTTGTCTTCATTTTAGGTCCCAGAGGAAAGAGCCCCTGCCTGGAACCTGATGGTCCTGTGACAGAGAGAAAAAATTGATGGCAAAACTATACAATGGCTCTGTGAGCTTCTACATACATTTCATTGTAAACAAAACAAATGGCCAAGCAAAACAAATGGCCAAGCCTGGCGTTAATGGAGTAGGAGGTCTAATTCCTAGATCTCCAAAACATATCAGCAAGTATTTTGAACAAAGAATACAATCTACCACACCATCATTAAAGGTACACCAAAAATCCCAGCATGTTTTTGGTGTCTTGATTCTTTTCCTAGACCAAGGTATCTCAACCTTGCTACAATGGACATTTTAGACTGGATAATTCTTTGTTGTGGGTGCTGTTTGTGCATTGCAGGGTGCCTAGCAACATCTCTAACCTCTACCCAATAATAGCCAGTAGGCTTCACACACACTCACTCAGTCAAACTGGCAATCAAAAATGGCATCAGACCTTGGGAAATGTTTGTTCCCTGGAGGGGCAAAATCACCCCCAATTGACAACCACTGCTCTGATCTATGAGTCATTAAAGAACAGGAATGATGTCTTAGTCATTGCTCCATCTGCACGGCACTAACCACTATAAATGGTATAAACTTAATAATTGTAATATAATAGAATGGAAATTACAAAATAGAATTTTCTTTATTCAAAAATTAAGGGCAATATTTGTATCTTGAATGTCTTTTGAGAAAAACATAAACTTCAGAGACAACTAATTTAAATCCTAGCCTCTCCACTTAAAAAATCTGGGAAATTTGCTTATCTTCTCTAAGCCTAAGCTTCTTTGTCTTTGTAATGGAGACAACAGCACCTCCCTTGCAGTTTTATGGTGATAAGCCAATGTATATTACTTGGCATATGGCATGTGCTCAATAAATGGTATCTATCAGCAGCAGCAAGAGGAGCACTTTCTCCATCACACATAAAATATGAGATGTTTAAAATAACGTTTGTCCTTTGGCATAGAAATGCCAAAAGTTACTCCCAGAAAGAGAGCAGCATGGTTCCACAAAACACTGCCTGCATTTGTTTCTCCATAAATAAGACTTGTTGTCAAGAAACTTGAGCTCAGCGGATTGCCATAAAACACATAAGCTTGGCTACGAGCAACAGGTTTTTGTGGCACTTTCCTGGATGTCAGCAGAATCTTACACATCAGGCAGCAAAGTGCAAAACATATGCCCTCAGCAACTTGCCAAAAACCAATAAAAGGAATCAATAGCAAATCCAAAATCGAGGCAGGCAGCCGCAGTTTGGGGCCGCAAGCCCCCATAAATTCACATGGAAATGCACTTTATTTTAGCAAGAGCCTGACTAAACAAAACCATTTCAAATGATAAAAAGAACATTCATATAGCTACATATCATACAGTCAGGAACATCAAAATGACAACTCTCTTCAGGATTTTTTAAATCCAGTCATTTGGAGCAATATATGTTGACAAGTCCATTGGTTTTGCAGTTAGAAAATGTTAACTCAACAGAGTAGAACTGGCCTTTTGGTAAGAGAGTGGCACATTGGAAGATTATCAAGACATGTGGCATTTTATATCCAGGTGCAAAATACTTCCTTGATTTCACGTTAAGAAGTTCGTGGCATGGTAATGACAAGTTTAAAATACACAGAGAAGAAAAGTCTCAATTTATAAAACACAAGTTATACAGCCTTTTTTCAAATTAATGTGATTCATTGTCCAGCATAACTAAATGGGAAGGACGTGTGGCTTTGTATGTTTTATTTAAAAAAAAAAATAATTATGAGACTTTCAATCTGGTGGAAAGATTTAGATCCCAGGCCCTGGAGACTAAAACACTTCCCAGGACCAGCACCAAATGCTGTTGCTGCTGCAGCCACGGTAAAGAGCTTGCATTTTTCTGTGGGAACTCAGATTTCAATCCAAACACCATTGTGCTTCAACCTATTTCTTCAGTAAAACTGGGGTCAGCCAGCTCAAAACATTAAGCTTGTTGACCCTGCACATCAACACTCAGAAACCTGCTGCCACAAAGATCTGGTCCCAGCACCGTAAACTGATCTCTTCCTCTGCAGCAAGAGCTGCACACCATGTAATCCTCCCAGGTACCTGCCTGCCATCTGGCCTGAAGGCCCCCTCCCTCCTTGCAAGCAGTATTGTAGCAACCAAATGACTTTTCAGCAACAACACACTCTCCGCTCTAAAATGTATTTTCTTCACTTGCAACATTCCTAATACTGATGGGGAAGTTTGGCTTAATGAGCCCCAAAAGGCAGCCTTTACATAGCTTACTGAATTCTAATGAGATAATTAAACCAGATAGCACAAATCTTTATTTATTTTTGCAGATATAAAACAAAGAGTGATATTATGTTATGTGCAACTAACATTCCATAAGCAAAGCATTTCCAAACACTTCACAAACTTAATAATTTAAAATTAAGCCCGAACTCAGAAATTAGTACTTGCTTTGGTCCAGATTCTGGAGTTGTCATATGATATTTTATAAGAATTTACAGAAAATAAATACAAAAATCTTCATTCATGCATACATTTAGGGAATAAATATTTATTCCACACCCACTTTTTGTGCTAGCCACTATTCTGGGCATCCAATTGTAGTAAGGTTCTAAGATCAATTTCAAGTTATGATTTAAATATTTAAGATAAACAAATGGTAACAACAAATATATATATATGTATATATATGTATATATATATGATTTAGACTAAAAAATATAGACTGACAGTTTCTATTTTTTGTTTATTTTCCCTGACCTCACCATTCCATCATGGGTAACCAGTCAGAAATGTGCACTTTTTTGTGTGCTTTTTGTTTTACGTATTTTATGACTCTTTCAACTGTGGAAAGATTTGCAAAGTAGAGTAAGAATTAGTTTTCAGGAAGTAGTTTTGACATGCAAATCAAAAGCAGAGGCCTATCAATATGGCTGCTTCTTCAGTGCTGAAGCCCTTTTCATAAGAAAAAAATTGTTTAAACTTAAGGTAAAAAGCACTGGAATTTAGTGCATTGCTATTCCAGAAAACTTTTCATAAAAAATGGGACAATTTTCATTGTCAAAAAGTTTTCTTAAAACATTGAGACAATAGTTTTTTTGTGAAAGCATGTTGGTGATTGCTAGGGCTTGGGGAGAGAGGAGAACGGGAAGAAGAAGAAAAAAAAAACATTGAGACAAAAAGATTTAAAGAAAACATTTGTAACCGGGAAAAACTGGTTAATTCTTTTTTTCTTTTTTTTCATGTAAACTAAAAAATACGTAACTTTCTCATACAGAGTTTTTTCATTTCTTTTGTACAAATGTTTAAAAGATTGCTTAAACTACCCTATATGTTTTTAATTTTCCATCATTTTCTATCTTAGTTGCCAAAGCCTTGTCATTTGTTCTCTTTGGGAAGAGGACTGAAAATGAGTTAGATGAGAAAATAAGCGAGGGTTAAATATTGCCTCTTCCTCTTCTCTTCTTTCCTCATTCCTAATTGATTTCTTCTGGGAATCAGTGGATCCTATTGATATTCCCAGGACAGGCTTCTGGCAAGTCAGTGTTAACCAACAGTATCACAAAGCAATGCTGGACTGCTCTATACAACAGCAAGCACCAGATGGAAAAGCGAAACACTTAAACATCTGGAAATTCTCAGAAAATTGTTTCACCTGAACAAATTATCTGAATTATTAGAAATGAAGCTTTTGCTTTCCACTTGGATGTGTGTTTTTATAATAGTTGTTGGGCTAGAAAGAATGTCTTAGTGAACCTACAATGACCTCCTCAGTTTAGCTTTCTCCAAGAGGAAGACATAAATTAACCAAGGTTGATTGGGACAATAGTATTATAACATCAACTATTTTGATATCTTTCATCACAGCAGGTAGACATGCAAGAAAGACAGGTGTGATGAATGCCCTATCTTGTGCCATTCTACCACGTTTCTCTGCCTTAAACATTATTAGCAATTTTAGCCACACACACACGCACACACACACACGCACGCGCGCATCTCAGAGATGTGTTTAAGTCAAATGTCAATAAGAGAAGATTAAGTTATTACATTTAGTGACAATTTCCACTATAGAATTTACCAAAGTACCTTTTCAACTATAATGTCAGCTTAAGTTGGACAAATTTCACTTTGGAAAATATTAACAGTAACCATATTTTTGGCTGGAGTTTACTGACATCAAGACACTCTACTGATGAGGACTATACATACCAGAAAGCTCTCCAAGGAAGACCCTGTATCCAATTTTGGGAATCGGAGGGCCCGAAGGTGAGCCTGAGGAAGGCAAGTTCTGAAATCTGAGCCCTGAGTCACAAATCCACATGCTGATCTGAGTCAATGTTAAGTGATCTAGGAAGCCAGGTGCAGTCTCAGGGAATGGGGCTGGGAGCAACTAGACTAGGGAAACCAGAGAGCAAATTATGGCTAGAATCTGGGCCCAGAAGGAAAATGCAGTGAGGAGAAACCCAGTCAAAGGCAAATGAAGCAGATGACTATGAATATTGAATAAGGAAGCTGCAATAGGATCCAACTGTTACATGGCACATGGCAGCAGGCCGTGCATTCACACCAGACACCGAAGACTGGGTTTCACACTACATTCACTGATAAGAACACAGCCCCGGCTCCTGCCAGTCCCACTCCTCAATGGTTCAAAGAGCAGGCAGGGTAGAGGCAGACGTTCAGAGCAGCTCCACAGCCCCTCATCCAAAACCTTTGGGCTAAATATGTTTTGGAGTTCAGATGTTTCAGATATTAAAAGGCACACAACAATTTGTATGGATCTCTGAAGGAATGATGCTCAGTGAAAAATGCCAATCACAAAAGGTTTCATAATGTATGATTCCATTTATTCAGTATTGTTGAAATACCAAGTGTTAGAGAACAGATTAATGGTTGTCAGGGATCAGGAAGAGAGGCAGTGAAGGTGGTGGCTGTGACTACGACAGGGTAACACAAGGGATCCTTGTGATGAAAACTGTTCTGCATCTTGATGGTGGTGGTCACACAAGTTTACATGTGACAAAATTGCACAGAATTTTAATACACACAGACACACACACATAAAGTGAGTGTATGTAAAACTGGTGAAGTCCAAAAAAAGTCCATGAATTTTACCAATGTCAGTTTCCTGGTTGTGATATTGTACTACAGTTTGCAAATGTTACCAATGGAGGAAATTGGGTGAAGAGTATACTATATCTCTGGTCATTTCTTACAACCACATGTGAATCTATAATTCTCTCAAAATACATTTTAAGGGAAACATTTTAACAGGCAATAACATTTTAAAAGTGCATATTTGGTATATTAGTGATATATAATGGTATAAGTGAGATATAGTGGTATAAGTGAAATGTAGATTATAAAAAGCCACCTGCCAGCTTGGGTCAGGTGTTGTGACCACATGAGTTCAGGTTTAGTCAGGTTTTGCTGCCAAATTAGCCATAAAAACACTTTTTACTTTTTCAGAGATTTTTGGATTTTGGAAGTACAGATAAAGAATTATAAACCCATGTCCAGCTCTGGCCATAGAGGATTGGTAACACTGACTAATTTGTTTGATATCTTCTGTTTCTGCTTTCTTACTTCATGTTCTATAGAGAAAAAGTGGGTGGGGATTGCAATTTTTTAATATACTTTCATCACAGAAGGAGATGAGAAAGGGCTGTTCTTATGCACACTTTTGAGAAGTTAGACAGCAATTTCCAGGGTAGATCTGGCAGAGGAAGGCTATGGAAAGAAAGACAGGATCAGCATGGAACAACAGGATACTTCTTTAACTTCTCCTAGAGTTTCTGCATACTACCACTTTGTTGTTTGATTGGAAACAAGTTTTCAAAATGTTTTGAAGTTCTTAAATTTTAAAATAGTCAAAACATATATGTAAACAATATGCATTCATTTATAATTAACTAGCTGACATTTTCTATCAGTTTGTATTATGCACTTTTCTGTTCCTTTTCACTGCAGTGGAGAGATTTGACCCTATCTGAAATATTTGACCATAATTAAATACTTCATGGGTGTAACAGCTAGTCAGCATTAAATAAGGTAGGAGTTCAAAATGAGCAATGGATCTCATCAAATTAAATTAGAATTCAAACAATATGAAAAGAACCTAATTTATTCACATTACCTGAGTCTCAAGTGTTAATCTACTCTGCACTGTTCTACCAGCTGCAGTTAGAATTATCCTATGAAATATAAAGATGACAATATCCCTCTCTTTTGTTCTCCTTAGTACATGCAGAACAGTGTTTGAGCTCTCTAGGGTTAAAGAAGATGCCCACAATAAGCTGGCTGCAGTTGAGCACAGCTGAGAGTCACATGTCTCTCCATTCTGCCCATTCCAGACTATGCCCCTGATGCATCATTGATGTCCAGTTTTCTAAGCAGGCCATGCTCTCTCATCTCCATGCTTTTGCGTATGTTCCTCCCTTAGTGTGGAACACCATCCTCCCCATCGTTTACCTGGACAACTGCTTTGATCCTGGAAGGTGCCATTTCTTTTCCTAGATGCCTCCGGGATCTCTCCTCTCCTATATCCAACAGGATACAGGGCTAAGAACCCATGAGCACCTATCAAGAAACTTATCATGCTACATTATATTGTACACCCCTTAATGTGGGAAAGTGAATGTTTCTACTTCCTCAAAGCTTAGTATAATGCCTAAGATAAAGTAGCTACTCAATAAATAAATAAATAAATAATAGTTTCTGTTTGACAAATGGAAGAACAAATAAGTGAATGTAAACATCAACACAACATATCAACTAAAAAATCCTGTACTTTGTTAGCTGTAAGACTGGCAAGTCAGTTAACCTTTCTGTAACTCAGTTTGCTCAACTTTAACGTAGGAATAATGTAGTTCTTGCCCCATCAGTTAGATTAAATCAGCTAGCACATAGAAAACAACTGTGCCAGCTAAATATTTAGGAAGCACTTAGCAAACATTAAAGTTATGAAGTGCAGGCATGCGTTGTGGAGAACTTTAAATATACTTTCTATTCTGTAAGCTAGGGAGAGCCACTGAAAGATTTTAAGCAGCAAAATAATGTATGCAGTTCTGTTTTAAAAAGAGTGTTCTGGCGGCAGATATAGGGTAGGTGAGAAGTAGAGATCCTGGTGAGAAGTAGAAGCAGAGACCATAGTCAGGAAGCTGTTGCAAAAATCCAGACAGTGAGTAAGGAAGCCTTGAACAGAACAAGATAACCAATTAGACAGGGAGACTGATCAAAAAGGAGAAGCTAAAAATGAGTTTGTAGCCCAGTAACTAGAAAGACAATAATAAAATGGGGAGCAGAAAAATGGTAGAATTTATTTTAAGATATTTTAGGACACACAGTCTTGGGGACTCCAGAAAATTCACATGATATCTCATGAAAGGATTACATAAATCCTTTGGGATAAATATGGAATATTATATAAATTAATAAATAGAAAGCAAGGCCCAAAGGCAATTATAAATGAAGATTTAGAACTTCATGAAGATAGAAAGACTAACACTAGAGTTCAACCTGGAAATACTGTTAGATATGATCCTTGAGCCCTTGAAAATCAAGAGGACTAAGGGTGAGCAGAAAAAAAGAAGAAGAAAACCAGCAAAGTATAATCCATGATGAAAAACCCTCCAGTGGTCTTTCCTCTTTCCACCTACTGGTGTGGATTTAGGGTGTTTTCCTGGTAACATCTGGTCAGATTCCACACAGATATCTTACTTCCTTCCCTTAGAAATTGATGTGCACCTCTTTGTTAGTTAAGTAATGATTTGCACTTGGGATAATGTGAATCATGAGCGGCAACGGTAACATGAAACTCTCAGAAGCAAAGCAAGGAAGAGCAAAGGACAGTCCCCAACACTGACACTGTGAAGCCCAGGAAGGGAAACACAGAAGCTCTTTGACATTCTCTTTAGATAGTGGTTCAAATTCCATTAAAGCCACATTCTTGTCAGATTCCAGGATCTTGTTGAAAGAAAAAAGGAAGGAAAGAAGAAGAGAAAGAGGACAGAAAAGGAATGATAGAAGAAAGGAAAAGAATGAAAGGAAGAAAGTTTGTAAATGACACCTAAAGGAAAGAGGAGAGCAATTATCAAGAAATAGAAATGATGCTTTATAAAGAAGATACTTATTTAGTTCTCCTTATAATTTACAAAGAGTCAGAAAAAGAAAAGTGGAGAAACAAAGACAGAGATGGGGGCAAAGTTTTCATAGGTCAAGCTAAGTGCAAGTAGAAAAGTTTAATATATAAAAAGAATTGCTAGATAAGTGTGCCTCTTGCTCCAATTAAGTCTCAAAAAGAGTCCTAATTTGTCTTATATATTTTGTCCCACAAAAAAAGTAAGTCTTCAGTTCTCTGTTCATCTTGGTGAATGAAAAAGAACATGTCTTCTCCCATTCGTGAATTATCTCAGGCCTTGTTTCTGCTTGTTCTTCGGCATGTCGTAGTCCAATGATATTTTGATTCAATAGTATTAGGTAGAAAGAAGTAAACATTATTACACATTTATAAGTGATGAGAGAAAGGATGAAGTTAAAACAAAAGACTGATAAGAGTTAGGGTTTTGCTTTGCAATTCAATGCTCCATAATACCTGTGGTGTTTTTTTCTTTAAATTCCCTCAAATTTCTTGACATGCTTCTCACAGAAATGTGGAGACTGTATCCACTCTCCTTCAATCTGAGCAGGCTTGGGACTTCTTCAAACTCTAATGTATAGTGGAAAGAGCAGTTTGTGACATCTGAGGTTATGTTATAAAAGTCTGTGCAGGTCTCCATGCAGTTCTCTTGGTGTGTTTGCTCTCTGAACACTCTTGAGATGTACCTCTCAAAACCCAGCTGTCCATCTGTGAGAAGCCCAAGCCACAGGGAGAAGCCAAGTGTAGACACTGCAGTAGCAAGGCCCAGCTGAATGCAATCTCCAAGTTATCTCAGCCCAGGAACCAGACATGTACGCAAATAAACCTCTGTAATTCCAGCCCCAGTCATTTAATCTTCCCAACTGAGCACCAGATATGGTGAAGAGACAAGCCATTCCAATCATGCCCAGTTCTAATGCCAGAGGTACAAAATCCATAAAGATGTTAGAATGGCTGTTGTTTCATGCCAGTAAGTCTGGGGTGGTTTTATGCAGCAATAAACAATATATAAGCTCTTACCAATGAGAAAAATAAATAGCTATATCAAGCTGAAAAATTTTTTAGGAGTTGAACAATTTGGAGAGTTGGGGAGGAGTTTCCTACTTTGACATGAAATGGGCCCTAGACAACGTCATTGACTACATTTTAATATCATTGCAACAGTACAAAATAAAATTTCCTTAAAAATAAGTGTTTTTTTTTTCTAAAATTCCTCTCATTGAAAAAGAATTCAAAAGCATTATTAGAAAGCATGAGCTTTGGGCTAGAGAAAAAATTTTTTACACACTCTTCTGTCTTAAGTAAATATTCTCAGATGGCTTAGATGGTTAGAATTGAGGTGTGGGTGGATATAATATTGAAGCACAAAGGGTAGGTAGTTTACACTCCACATTATTAGCAGAGCTAAAAACAAAGACTCTTCTTTACCAGAATAAATAAAAGCATCTACATACGAATTAGCTTGATTGTGGTAATCACTTCACAATGTATACCTGTACATATATCAAAACATCACATTGTATACCTTGAATACATATAATTTTTTATTGTCAATTTTACCTCAATAAAGCTGAATGAATAAATAAATGGATAACACCTACTTATAATGAATAGCTTCTGTTTTGATCCATTTTGGAAAAAAATACTCACAATAAAGATGACTGCCCATGGTTCTAAAACAAAATTTTAGAAATTTTTTTCCAACCCCAACATTTGTGAATAACAAGTCATAATATGTAAAAAAAAAACATCAGAGAATTATTAGATGTTTTATTAAGTTTCTAGAGACTATTTCAGGATTGTCCCAGAGTTAGCCAAAACACCAAAACTTCTTATATGTATTGCAGTATAAAATGAAATCGGAACACCTGCAGTCAAGCCATAGTTTATCCAGTTGCTAGGTATGAGTCAGCACCACTGCACCTTTCTGAGGTTGAATTTCCTCATTCAGCAAGTGGAGATGATGGTCCCTACAATCCCGTCACTGAGTTATTGCCAGGCCTCAATGAGTTTGTGTGAAAAATGTTCTCACGCTAATGCCAATTGAAACCACAATGAGATACCATCTCACACCATTCAGAATGGCTGTTATTAAAAAGTCAAAAATAACAGATGCTGACAAGACTGCAGAGAAAATGGAATATTTATACAGCATTAGTGGAAATGTAAACTAGTTCAGCCACTGTAGAAAGCAGTTTGGAGATTTCTCAAAGAACTTAAAACAGAACTATCACTCAACACAGCAATCCCATTACTGGGTATATGCCCAAACAAAAATAAATTGTTCTACAAAAAAGACACATGCATTTGTATGTTCATCACCACCCTATCCAAAATAGCAATGACAAGGAGTCAACCAGAATGCCTATCAATGGCTGACTGGATAAAGAAAATGTGATACATATACACCATGGGATACCTGCAGCCATGAAAAGAAATGAGATCATGTCCTTTGAAAAAACATGGATGCGGCTGGAGGCCATTATCCTAAGTAGACTAACACAGGAACAGAAAACCAAATGTCGCATGTTCTCACTTATAAGTGGGAGCTAAACATTGGGTACCAGTGAACCTAGAGATGTGAACAATAAACACTGGGGGCTACTAGAGTGGGAACAGAGGAGAAGATACAAACCTTGTCTGAATCTCTTCTCAGACAAGGGGGGAAGGGTTGCAAAACTATCCACTCAGTACTATGCTCACTACCTGGGTGATGGGATCATTTGTACCCCAAACCTCAGCATCACGCAATATGCCTATGTAATAAACCTGCACGTGTACCCTCCTAATCTAAAGTAAAAGTTGAAATTATTTTTAAAAAGAACCAGATTTTTTTAATTCTCAAACTAAGACACAATAAACATTATTATTATTAAAGTTTATAAATATCAGTATCAAATTTCTTATAAATATCAAATGTCAAATTGTATTGTGTTTTAATGTCAAACATTTTTTTTCTTATTCCACAGAAATCTGTAGCTACATGTAGTATTCACTGGCACTCAAGTTAGCAGAATATTTTATTCATCATTGAGAGATTAGCTCTCCAATAATTGCATGATTGTTATTCTTTTGAATATATTATGACTAGTATTTGGGGAAAAGTATGTTTTATTATTCATTTTTTTGAACATCAAATATTTATTAAGCCAACTACTAAGTGTGAGGCATTGTGCTAGAACTGAGGAAACACTGATAAGCAGAATAGTCACATTCACTGCCCTCATGGAACTTACAGTCTTAGAGTAACATGGATGTAAGATTCCTTCCTGAGTGCAGAGAGAGATCTCACATAAATCAGGATATAATAAAAGAATCCAGGAGAAACCAGAGTTGAATCACCCATGTATTGCTAGGAATTATATTCAGCTGCAAATACTAGAAACCATACTACAGTAGCTTAAACATATGAGGGTGCTATTCTCTCATATAAAATGACATCTAAAAGTAGGCAGTCCAGAGCCTGAAGGGTAACTAGGTTCAGCAGGGACTGAGACTCTGTCTAGCCTTCTGCTCTCCCATCCCAAGTTCATGCCTTCCAGCCTCAAATTTATAGGATGGTTCCTACAGTTCCAGCCATCACACCCATTTTCCAGCAAGAAGGACTGAAACAGAAAAGGGCAAGATGTGCAAACATCCCTAATTTGGTCACTTATTCGCCATCCCTGTTAAGAAGGAAGAAAAAAATGTTAACAGACAGCAGTTTCCCCACAGCTCAAGACTTAAGGGCCAGATTATTCACTGGGGCTCGGTAGGGGTCACAATCCTGTATATACAAATTAAATGGGAGCCAAGTACGTCTCTTGAAAGAGATAACAGAAAAAAAAAAAGGAAGATAAAACATAGGCTATGGGATGCTCAAGTCACAAAAATTTAAGTGTTTTAATGAGGAAACAGCTTTTAATTCCTGTCCAATGATATAAAAAAATTTACTATTAGACCTGCTTCTGGGACAGGGAAGTCAAAATGCTGGCCAAAATCCATGTCACTGAGAGGTAAGCTTTGAGCTAAAGGACAAACAAAATAATAAAAATGCTTACAAAATCCTATCAAAACTTAATGTGCAGAGAACGGCTAGAAAGATTGCTCTCTTCCACTCCCTGGGCCAGCCATGCTAATTACATAAGAAGCACTTAATAAATATGTGTTGAATGAATTAGTCATGGTACATTTTCCCACTGAAACTAGACATGCCCTCAGAATCCTTCTCACACTTGTCTCCAGCAGACCTTATCAATCTACCACAGACGTAATGAGAGGGGAAACAAATCTGCCATCATCATGCTAGAGCTGAGTAGCCTAGGTTCAGCAACCTATCTGTTCCTTGAAAACTTCAATTCTTTCTTATTAGGTATTCAAGACTTTTTAGGGGAAAAAATGTCAACAGTGCTAAGAATAAATAAAAGAAAATAATTTTTTCCTCTTAGCACAGAATTCAAAGAGGGATAGTAGTAGTATTAATATAGGCCTAAGAACTAAGTAAGGTAGAGGAAATACGATTTCATGTGAGAAAATCTGAAATAACATTAAGACTTGGGGAACTATGAAAACAGCTGCTTTCCTTACATGCAGTTTCTCCTTGTGGAGCGTAAATGTGAGTGTGTATGTGTGTATTGTGTAGATGTCATGTGTTTTAAGAGAGAGCAAGATTCTTTTCTATCAGAAAACCCCATTTGTAATTTATTCTAGATGACTACCAGTCTGCTGAAGATGATTTTCTGAGGAGAGAAAGTCAACCAAAACATCAGAAACATTGAAGAAAGCATTCACTCAATTAACATTTCTTAAGTACCTACTATATGCTGTGCAGTACTGGTGCAGGACTGCTATGATAAAGAAAATTGTCATTGCCTTTGCCTAATGAAAATGGGGAAGATAGACATTAATCAAATTAGCACATTAATGATTAATTACAAACTATGTCAAGCACCCTGACAGAAAGGAACACAATACCATCCATAAGATCCTAGAATAACAACAACAAAATGTATACTGAAGCACTCATAGGAATGTTTATGTGTGCCAGGTAGGAAGAAGGGGAGACAGGGTTCCAATATGGAAGCAGTGCCTTCAAGAGCTCCCAGGCAGGGTGTAGCACAGTAGGTCTGATGAACTGAAAGGAGGCCTGTGTGGCTAAAGAAAGAACAGGCAGCAAGTGTTCAAAATGAGACTGAAAAATTATCAGGGAGCACCCACAGTGCTTGGAGGCCATGGGAAGGTTTAAATTTTCATCTTAACTGCCATAGGAATCCATTAAAAAAATCTTAAGATGTAGGTGACATGATCGTATTTGCACTGCATGGTTAGCATGTTCTTGATGCGAAGAGAACACCATAGCACCACGTGGTAAACTGGAGTTACCAAACACATAATACAAACAAACAAAGAAAATGCAGGAGCGAAGAATTTTGTCAGATAAATCCTGACAGCAGCATGAATGATAGGTTGATAAGGGCAAAACAGGACACTAGAGAGATGAATTTGAATAATACAAAATGTAGAGGATGGAATTGATTTATGATGCATTTAAAATGTGGAAGTTGATGGAGGGAAGGATCTAGAATGACTCCGGGTTTCTGGTCTGGATAAGTGAATGGACGGTGTTGCTATTTACTGTGATCATAAACACAAGAGGAAGACCAGATCATAAAAGAAATATGATTAATCAAGCTAGACTTAGTTAAGTGTTCATGAGACACCCAAATGTATATATGCAGAAGAAAATCAGCATGAATCCGTATCTCAGAGGCAATTTCACAAATATATCAATTTATAAGTCATCAATATAGGGACAATAGTTAATGTCATAAAGGTGAATAGATCACATAGGGAAAGTATTTATAATGATTTACCATCAACTATAAAATAACGTTGGGTATTGGCAGCTACAAGAAGAGCCCAAGGTAGGAGAATGAAGAAAAATTGTCAAGGAACCATATAATTAGAACCTTTTCAAAAAGGAGGGTCATAGGGGCACATGAAGAAAGACATAAAGACAGAAAAGTGAACATTAGATTTAGCCATTGGAAAGCTTTGGCAAAGCAGGGTAAGTTGAATGGTGGGAGGGGCACCAAAGTGCTGTGGGAAAGGAAAATACAGGTAATAAGTGACTGCAGGCTGTTCTTTCAAGAAGTCTGGCTAAGAAAATAAGTCATTAAAAAGAATGGAAACAAGAGAATGAATAGAGTAAAGAAGCTGTCATTTTTACAATGCAAGAGACTTAAATATGTTCATAGGCTATGGAAAAGAGTAGAGAAGAGACAGTACCATCAGGAAAAGTAGACCTTTGGTGAATTGCATGGTATTTGTAACTGGACACGTTGTTTCAAATTCTACCTCACTATCTGTCCATCTTGAACAAATTAATAATATTCACTAAGCCTCAGTTTTTTCATATAATTATTATGAGGCTTAGAGAAGATAAATGTATACCTAAAGAGCATAGCATAATGGCTATTAGAGAGAAAGTGCAGCACTCATTTAATGATCTCTGTTTTTACTATTATGCATAAACATTAAGTGACAAAGTGACAAAATATAGTTTTTGTTAATGGTAATGATGAAGAACATAAAGTCATACAAACAGAAAATTAAATATATTAGAAAAGTTAAACAATTTGTCCTGTGTCACACAATCTGAAAAAAGGAAATTAGATGAATAACAGTTCAGCAAATACTACAAATAACCAGCTGACTGTAAGATCAGATCATAGTATCAACATTGCTTTAAGAAGCACACAACTATATCACTAGAATTACAATATATACTACAATATATAATAACATATTACTATAATTACAATTACTATGTCTGAGACATAGTAATTGCTATTAACAGTTTTGCTGTCATAAGCATTGACAGAAGTAGGAGAAGCCAGTGTTTCACCGTAAAGTAAACTCTGGTGCCATGTTTAAGTCAATGTGGTCGCACCTACTCCCACACCTTCAAATATTACCTTCATGTAGATAAATCCCAAATCTATGTAAGAGCTCCACCCCCTATGAATTAATGTTTCCATATCATAACTTTCTGATACCTCACTTGTATTGCAAACCCTAAAAATCTAAAATCAAAATCACATTTTTTAATCTCGTTCCTTTCCCCATCAACACACATATCTATTTAGTTAATGAAAGGGATCATGGGGAACTATTAGTAGTTGGACAAAGAAAGAAAAAAGTGAGAAATAGAAAAGGGAAAAAGAAACGAGTAAAGGAGAAAAAGAAAGACAAATAATGAAGGTAGGATGAAGAGAGATTTTGAATTCCTTGACAATACCTGAAACCTTTGAATCAAATCAATGTTTCAACCTAGTAACATTTTCTACTCTTTGCTGTTGTTTTTTAAACTGGGAATAAACAAGCTTTGTCGATTGACTGATTCCCCCATTTATTCATGCATTCAGCAACTATTTATTAACCAACAATTGTGAGAACAGTCCTTGTAGACATCACCAGAAGACAGGAAAACTATGAGCCACAATCCCTATCCTCAAGTTGCTATTAAATTCTCTAAGAAAAATAGATGTTATACAAAAAAATTATCAAACAAAGTTCAAATGATGGGATGACATTCCCAGACTTCCTGATGGTGCAGAGGTAGATAGAGATACTATTCAGTGGCTCACATTTGGAATTTCCCCTTGGAGGCCTCTAAACAGATTGGCACCCAATAAATGTTTATTGAATACAACAATGAGTTAAATACAGTAGCTCAGTCCTCCCACAAACCCTACTTTGTTCATTTATTTTTATTCACCATACAGATTGCATGTATATTTTGACCTTCTGAGACCATTTTTTCAGTTGTGCAAAATAAATTATGTCCATTAACAAATAAACTTGAAATAATATCTTCATTTTACCTTTCCTTGCCTCACTCTAACACCAGTGGAAGCTGCTTGAAGTTTGAAGTTATCACAATGGCTTACAGCTTCATTCTTTGATGCGTCTAATCAGAGGCATTTCTCACTTCACCTGAGATGGCATCGATATATATATGTACATATATGCATATATATGTGTATATATATATCTATGCACATATACATACATACGTATACGTGTGTGTGTGTGTGTGTGTATATATATAGAGAGAGAGAGAGAGAGAGAAAGAGAGAGAAAGAGACACTAAGGCAACAATTTTCCTTTAAAAAATGCTTTTAAAAACTCCAGTAAAGTCAGGTTACATCTTAAAGAAAATAGCTCATTCAACTTTCAAAGAATTTGACTACTAACAATTCAAGTAAAAATTATCTTTTGTGTTAGGTACAAGGTTGGATAATACATTAGATTACTTAAGAGTGAAGGCTTGGGAATCAGACTGCCTGCCTTCAAACCCCAGCTCTACCTTTTTTTTTTGCTCTGTGAACTTGATAATACTTAACTTTCATTGCTTTGGTTTTATCATCTTTAAAGTAATAATACAAATATTTATCTTATAGGATTGTCCTTTTCAAAATGCCTAACACAGAAAAAGTGCTCAATAAATATTAGTTATATGGACTAGTTCCTCTCCCACAGAGCTCATAATCTTCTAGAGAGAAAGCTACGCAATGCATAGTCACAATGCAGTGCTACGAGTCAATGTATGAAATACTCTGCAGAACAAAGCAGGAGGTAGGGAGTAATTCTATCAGGGGAATTCAAAAGATGTTTTGAAGAGGAGCTGGCCTTTGATTCTTCTACTCAGGCTGTGTCAACACGCATAAATCCATACAAACAATGTTATTAATTAATGTTTAATTATAAATGGCTGTGTAATTCAATCAAAATGATTAAAACCTCTGGTTAAAAACTGAATACTCGTGTGCAAATATAAGATCCTCCTCTTTTCCTTCCCTATCTCCTACCTTTACTCTGCCCTTTAATAGTTCTTATTCCTTCCTGCCCTCCTGTACTAGCCCATTTTCACACTGCTATAAAGACATAGCTGCGACTGGGTAACTTGTAAAGAAAAGAGATTTAATTGCCTCATAGTTCCACAGCCTGTATAGGAAGCATGGCTGGCAAGGCCTCAGGATAATTACAATCCTGAAGGAAGGTGAAGGGGAAGCAGGCACATCTTAAGTGGCTAGAGCAGAAGGAAGAGAGCAAAGTGGGAGGTGCTACACACTTTTAAACAAACAGATCTTGCAATAACTCACATGCTATCATGAGAACAACATCAAAGGGGAAATCTGCCCCCGTGATCCAGTCACCTCCCACCAGGCCCCACCTCCAACCTTGGGGATTACAACTTGACATGAGATTTGGATGAGAACACAGACCCAAACCACATCACCTCCCTTTCCTCCTCTCTGTTCTTCTCGTCTCTTCTTCTCCCTCCCTACCCTCTTTCCTCCACCACAAGAGCTTTTTCACTTACATTCCTAAACATGACTCTGGAATTTTCTTTAAGAGGCTTCCCAGAATGACAGTCATGCCAAGGTGCCACAGTAAATAGCTGTAACTGTTTATCTGGCTTCCATGTTTCACCTCTGAGAGATGTAGAGAGGAGATAAAATCAGAGTAAGGTGAAATATCTTCAGTGGGTTAAGTTTTACGGAACTCTCTCCTACCATTGAGCCAATTGAATCTGGGTTTTTCCATCATCTGAAACTTACAGAATGTCATAGGCTAAAAACATGGCACCCCAAAATACATTCATGTCCTAATCCCTGTTACCTGATATAGGAAAAAAGAAGCCTTACAGATTAAGTTATGGATACTGAGATGGGAGGATTGTTCTGGATTATCTAGGTGGGTCCTAAGTGCAATCACATGTGTCTTTACTAAATGAGAAACAGGGGAAAATTTAACACATGCAGAGGAGGAAGCAATGTGATCACAGAGGCAGAGATCAGAATGACTCAGCCACAAGCCAAGGAATGCTGGCAACCACCAGAAGTCATCTAGAGCCTCCTGAGGTAGCCCAGCCCTGCCAATACCTTGATTTCAGCCCAGTAAAACCACTTTTGGACTTCTGGCATCCAGAATTGTAACAGCATAAATATCTGTTGTTTTAAGCCACCAGGTTTTTTGGTAACCTGTTTTAGCAGCCATAGGGAGCTAATACATGGGCTTATCAGTGACCCTTGTCTTGTCCTATAATGTTTTTAGGTCTCCAGGCTCTCACTTTTAGAGGCTGTCAATACTCATAAAATGGGCCTCAAACATTTTTGCTTAATCTTAGCCCTGAATCATTTGCCATTACATATTTTAGATTGAGCCTTCAGATACTCCCAATTTCTAACCTCATTATTCTTTTTCCTATTTATATCACCCCACCAATACAACTGTATATTTCCTGTTAACTTTGACTTGGATTTCCTCATGACTATCCTGGGGTGTTCTAGTTGGCCCGGCTTCTCCATACATAGCCTATCTGTGAGTTCACTCCAACCTTTGAGCACGGCCAAGCTTCTTTTGGATAATCTTGACTGCTCTCATGTCAACTGGTTCTTCTGTTGTTGTTTAAAACCAAAACACAAGGCCAGGTACGGTGGCTCATGTCTGTAATCCCAGCACTCTGGGAGGCTGAGACAGGTGGATTGCTTGAGCCCAGGAGTTCAAGACCAGCCTGGGCAACATGGTGAAACTATGTTTCTTTACTAAAAAATACAAAAAATTACCCGGATTTCGTGGCACACTCCTGTAGTCCCAGCTACTCGGGAGGCTGAGGTGGGCAGATTACTTGAGCCTGGGAGGCTGAGGTTGCAGTAAACTGATACTGCACCACTGCACTCTAGCCTGGGCAAGACAGTGAGACCCTGTCTCAAGAAAAAAAAAAAAAAAAAAGAGAGAGATAGAGGGAAAACCAAAACATGATAAGATATCAGTATCTTTATGCCTTTCTTTTGGAGAATATTCAATTCTCCTGAACATTTCCTGTACCTATGTATATTTAAATAAAATCCTGGTCCATGTGTTTCCAGATCTATGAGGCCTATTGAGTGTTGAAAGTTAATATGTATCATATTTCTCTAATCTTGCAACATGAGCCAAAGTGAATAAAAAATTGAAATCTGTGTTTAATCTGGTAAAGCACTTTATGGTGAGCTATTCAGAATGATAATTGACACGCTCAGCTGTAAAAACTGTGTGGAATTATCTGGTGCTTTAAGGATTAGGTGGGTGCACAGTAGATGCTTCATAACTTATTGAATAGATCAGTGAATACGTTTAACAAGTAGTTTACCTTACTGGATTAAGCATTTTTTAAATTCTTCAATATAGAATTTAAGTATTTGAGTATTTAAATTATTTAATTTAAATTTAATTAAGTATTTTAAGTATTTAATTAATTTAAGCATTTAAGGATTAAGCATTTTTAAAATACTTAAATACAGAAGCCACTTTGTATTTTTATTCTAATTTACCTAGAAAAAGGACCTGTGTAATTTCTGCAAAGAAGAATGACAATTTGGGTTTTTTAATGAGATGATGAATAACAAGAACAGGAGATGCTTTATCTTCCTCTAAATTTTTAAAAAGAAATTTCTCTATTTTGAAACAGAGAAAAATTGCTTTTTGCAAGAAAAGCTGAGACGGCTTTTGAAGGCTTAAATCATCCAATTCCATTCCTGTCCTTGCTTCTGCCCCACAACACGAATGCACAGTGTAACAAATAGGTGCCATCTGCCTTTTAATTATCTGAGTCAGAATAATGGAAACACTTAAGAAATGACAACATGGTCTGGTCTTTATTCAGTTAATTAAGAGTAGCTATTTTGCTTGTTTGAAATTTTACAGAACAAACAACCAGCTAATCTTTCATTAGCAAACAGTCAGTCTGGAGTTGTAGAGTTATACCTTCAGGCCACATCCAATGGAGTGAATTATCTGAGGCAAGATGGTTATTCAGAAAACAGTAATAAACTTCAGGCTTGGGATTTGGAGTTAACTATTTAACTGATTTTTAAATGGAATTTAATCATTCCACACAGATAAGAAAAAACCTAAGAAGAAAAGCAAAAATAAATGTTCTAAATACTAAAATTATTTCAGAAAATAAAGATGGGAAATTGAAAAGGCACAGAGAAAATTCCTTGCTTAGTGGAAAGTTATTCCATATTTCACTGTAAATCAAGATTGAAGTGCATTAAATGCTAGCTAGTTACTCATAAGGCCGTATTTTTTCCAATGCATTTAAACAGTAAGATCCTCTTACTTTCCAAGCTTAAAAAAAATCATTTCTCTTTCTGTAAAACAAATTAATTACTAAGAATCCGGAGTTCACTCCGTCTTGTATACAAGTTGTTATATGTTTACAGCATCAGAATTCAGAAGCTGTACTGCCAAGATTGTAGGCTTACAACTTCCAAAAGTGAGGAATCCCATGTTTTCCATGGTCCCAAGTTCTAAAAAGAATTAGTCACTTCACCTCTCATCACCCTTGATGTACAAGTAAAAGTTCTGATCTTTTCTAAAGTAAGGTTTCAAAAGTGAATGGAAGAGGTGGCAAAATGGGAAGTCAGGCAATGATCATGTTATCAAAGGTGTTCCTGGGAGGCTAGCAAGATAGCCGAATAGGAACACCTCTGGTCTGCAGCTCCCAGGGAGATCAACACAGAAGGTGGGTGATTTCTGCATTTCTAACTGAGGTACTCAGCTCATCTCACTGGAACTGGTTAGACAGTGGGTGCAGCCCACAGAGGGCCAGCTAAAGCAGGGTGGGGCATCACCTCATCCAGGAAGCACAAGGGGTTGGGGAACTCCCTCCCCTAGCCAAGGGAAGCTGTGAGGGACTGTGCCATGAGGAACGGTGCACTCCAGCCAAGATACTATGCTTTTCCCATGGTCTTTGCAACCCACAGACTAGATTCCTTCAGGTGTCATCAGGGCCCTGGGTTTCAAGCACAAAACTGGACGGCCATTTGGGCAGACACTGAGCTAGCTGCAGGAGTTTTTTTTCATACCCCAGTGGTGCCTGGAACACCAGGAAGACAGAACTGTTCACTCCCCTGGAAAGGGAGCTGAAGCCAGGGAGCCAAGTGGTCTAGTTCAGTGGATCCCACCCCAATGGAGCCAGCAAGCTAAGACCCACTAGTTTGAAATTCTCGCTGCCAGCACAGCAGTCTGAAGTCAACCTGGGACACTCAAGCTTGGTGGGGGGAGGGGCGTCTGCCATTACTGAGGCTTGAGTAGGCGATTTTCCCCTCACAGTGTAAACAAAGCTGCAGGAAAGTTACAACTGGGCAGAGCCCTCCATAGCTCAGCAACGCCACTTTAGCCAGACTGCCTCTCTAGTTTCCTCCTCTCTGGGCAGGCCATCTCTGAAAAAAAGGCAGCAGCCCCAGTCAAGGGCTTATAGGTAAAACTCCCATCTCCCCGGACAGAGCACCTGGGGGAAGGGGTGGCTGTGGGCACAGCTTCAGCAGACTTAAATGTCCCTGCCTGCTGGCTCTGAAGAGAGCAGCAGATCTCCCAGCATAACACTTGAGCTCTGCTAAGTGTCAGACTGCCTCCTCAAGTGGGTCCCTGACCCCCGTGTTTCCTGACTGGGAGACACCTCCCAGCAGGGACTGACAGACACCTCATACAGGAGAGCTCTTACTGGCAGCTGGCGGGTGCCCCTCTGGGACGAAACTTCCAGAGGAAGGAACAGACAGCAATCTTTGCTGTTCTGCAGCCTCTGCTGGTGATACCAAGGCAAACAGGATCTGGAGTGGACTCCAGCAAACTCCAGCAAACCTGCAGCAGAGGGGCCTGACTGTTAGAAGGAAAACTAACAAACAGAAAGGAATAGCATCAACATCAACAAAAAGGACATCCACTCAGAAACCCCATCCGAAGGTCACCAACATCGAAGATCAAAAGTAGAGAAATCCATGAAGATGAGGAGAACCCAGTTTAAAAGGCTGAAAATTCCAAAAACCAGAGCGCCTCTCCTCCTCCAAAGGATCACAATTCCTCACCAGCAAGGGAACAAAAATGGACGGAGAATGAGTTTGACGAATTGACAGAACTAGGTTTCAGAAAGTGGGTAATAACAAACTCCTCTGAGCTAAAGGAGCATGTTCTAACCCAATGCAAGGACGCTAAGAACTTTGAAAAAAGGTTAGAGGAATTGCTAACTAGAATAACCACTTTAGAGAGGAACATAAATGACCTGATGGAGCTGAAAAACAAAGCATGAGAACTTTGTGAAGCATACACAAGTATCAATAGCCAAATTGATCGAGTGGAAAAAAGGATATCAGAGATTGAAGATCAACTTAATGAAATAAAGTATGAAGGTAAGATTAGAGAAAAAAGAATGAAAAGGAATGAACAAAGCCTCCAAGAAATATGGGTCTATGTGAAAAGACCAAACGTACGTTTGATTGGTGTACCTAAAAGTGACAGGGAGAATGGAACCAAGTTGGAAAACACTTCAGGATATTATGCAGAAGAACTTCCCCAACCTAGCAAGACAGGCCAACATTCAAATTCAGGAAATACAGAGAACACAACAAAGATGCTCGTTGAGAAGAGCAACCCCAAGACACATAACCATCAGATTCACCAAGGTAGAAAGGCTCAAAATAAAGGGGTTGAGGAATATTTACCAAGCAAATGGAAAGGAAAAAAAAAAAAGCAGGGGTTGCAATCCCACTCTTTGATAAAATAGACTTTAAACCAACAAAGATCAAAAGAGAAAAAGAAGGGCATTACATAACGGTAAAGGGATCAATGCAAAAAGAAGAGCTATTTTAAATATATATGCACTCAAAACAGGAGCACTCAGATTCATAAAACAAGTTCTTAGAGACCTACAAAGAGACTTAGACTCCCACACAATAATAGTGGGAGACTGTAACACCACACTGTCAATATTAAACAGATCAACGAGATGGAAAAGTAACAAGGATATTCAGGACTTGAACTCTGCTCTGGAGGAAGCTGACCTAATAGACATCTACAGAACTCTCCCTGCTAAATCAACAGAATATACATTCTTCTCAGCACCACATCACACTTTTTCTAAAATTGACCACATAATTGGAAGTAAAACACTCCTCAGCAAATGCAAAAGTACAGAAATTATAACAAACAGTCTCTCAGACCACAGTGCAATCAAATTAGAACTCAGGATTAAGAAAGCAGGAACAATCTAAAATCGACACCTTAACATCACAATTAAAAGAACTAGAGAACCAAAAGGAAACAAATTCAAAAGCTAGCAGAAGACAAGAAAGAACTAAGATAAGAGCAGAACTGAAGAAGATAGAGACACAAAAAATCCTTCAAAAAATTAATGAATCCAGGAGCTGTTTTTTTGAAAAGACTAACAAAATAGATAGACCCCTGGGCAGATTAATAAAGAAGAAAAGAGAGAAGAATAAAATAGACACAATAAAAAATGATAAAGGGGATATCACCACTGGTGCCACAGAAATACAAACTACCGTAAGAGAATACTATAAACACTTCAACACAAATAAACTAGAAAATCTAGATGAAATGGATAAATTCCTAGACATATACACCCTCCCAAGTCTAAACCAGAAAGAAGTCGAATCTCTGAATAGACCAATAACAAGTTCTGAAATTGAGGCAGTAATTAATAGCCTACCAATCAAAACAAGTCCAGGACCAGATGGATTCATGGCCGAAATCTATCAGAGGTACAAAGAAGAGTTTGTACCATTCCTTCTGAAACTATTCCAAACAATAGAAAAAGAGGGACTCCTCCCTAACTCATTTTATGAGGCCAGCATCATCCTGATACGAAAACCTGTCAGAGACACAACAAAAATGAAAATTTCAGGCAAATATCCCTGATGAACGTCGAAGTGAAAATCCTCAATAAAATACTGGCAAACCAAATTCAGCAGCACATCAAAAAGCTTATCCACCACGATCCAGTTAGCTTCATCCCTGGGATGCAAGGCTGGTTCAACATACACAAATCAATAAATGAAATCCATCACATAAAGAGAACCAATGACAAAAACCACATGATTATCTCAATAGAAACAGAAAAGTTCTTCAGTAAAATTCAACAGCCCTTCATGCTAAAAACTCTCAATAAACCAGGTATTGATGGAACATTTCTCAAAATAATAAGAGCTATTTATGACAAACCCACACCCAATATCATACTGAATGGGCAAAAACTGGAAGGATTCCCTTTGAAAACCGGCACAAGACAAGGAGGCCCTCTCTCACCACTCCTGTTCAACATAGTATTGGAAGTTCTGGCCAGGGCAATTAGGCAAGAGAAAGAAATAAAGGTATTCAAATAGGAAGAGAGGAAGTCAAATTGTCTCTGTTTACAGATGACATGATTGTATATTTAAAAAATCCCATCATCTCAGCCCAAAATCTCCTTAAGGTGATAAGCAATTTCAGCAAAGTCTCGGGATACAAAATCAGTGTGCAAAAATAACAAGCATTCCTATACACCAATAATAGACAAACAGAGAGCCAAATCATGAGTGAACTCCCATTCAACATTGCTACAAAGAGAATAAAATAGCTAGGAATATAACTTACAAGGGATGTGAAGGACCTATTCAAGGAGAACTACAAACCACTGTGCAAGGAAATAAGAGAGGACACAAACAAATGGAAAATCATTCCATGCTCATTGATTGACAGAATCAAAATAGTAAAAATGGCCATATTGCACAAAGTAATTTATAGATTCAATGCTATTCCCCTCAAGCTACTATTGACTTTCTTCACTGAATTAGCAAAAATTACTTTAAATTTTATATGGAACCAGAAAGGAGCCCACATAGCCAAGACAATCCTAAGCAAAAAGAACAAAGCTGGAGGCATCATGCTACCTCACTTCAAACTATGCTACAAGGCTACAGTAATCAAAACAGCATGGTACTGGTACCAAAATAGATATGTAGACCAATGGAACAGAACAGAGGCCTCAGAAATAACATCATACATCTCAGCCATCTGATCTTTGACAAACCTGACAGAAACAAGCAAGGGGGAAAGGATTCCCTATTTAATAATGGGATTCCCTATTTAATAAATGGTGTTGGGAAAACTGGCTAGCCATATGCAGAAAATTGAAACTGGACCCCTTCCTTACACCTTATACAAAAGCTAACTCAAAATGGATTAAAGACTTAAACATAAGACCTGAAACCATAAAAACCCTAGAGAAAACCTGGGCAATACCATTCAGGACATAGGCATGGGCAAAGACTTCATGACTAAAACACCAAAAGCAATGGCAACAAAATCCCAAATTGACAAATGGGATCTAATTAAACTAAAGAGCTTCTGCACAGCAAAGAAACTATCATCAGAGTGAACAGGCAACCTACAGAATGAGAGAAAATTTTTGCAATCTATCCATCTGACAAAGCGCTAATATCCAGAATCTACAAAGAACTTAAACAAATTTACAGGAAATAAACAACCCCATCAGAAAGTGGGTGAAGGATATGAACAGACACTTCTCAAAAGAAGACATTTATGCAGCCAACAAACATATGAAAAAATGCTCATCACCACTGGTCATTAGAGAAATGCAAACAAAACCACAATGAGACATTATCTCACACCAGTTAGAGTGGTGATGATTAAAAAGTCAGGAAACAACAGATGCTGGAGAGGATGTGGAGAAATAGGAATGCTTTCACACTGTTGGTGGGAGTGTAAATTAGTTCAACCATTGTGGAAGACAGTATGGCAATTCCTCAAGGATCTAGAAACAGAAATACCATTTGACCCAGCAATCCCATTACTGGATATATACCCAAAGGATTGTAAATCATTCTGCTATAAAGACACATGCACAGGTATGTTTATTGCAGCGCTGTTCACAATAACAAAGACTTGGAACCAACCCAAATGCCCATCAATGATAGACTGGATAAAGAAAATGTGACATATATACACCATGGAATACTATGCAGCCATAAAAAAGGATGAGTTCATGTGCTTTGCAGGGACATGGATGAAGCTGGAAACTATCATTCTCAGCAAACTAACACAGGAACAGAAAACCAAGCACCGTGTTTTCTCACTCATAAGTGGGAGTTGAACAATGAGAACACATGGACACAGGAAGGGGAACTTCACGCACCAGGGCCTGTCAGGGGGTGGGGGGCTAGGGGAGGGATAGTATTAGGAGAAATACCTGATGTAGATGATGGGTTGATGGGTGCAGCAAACCACCATGGCGTGTGCATACCTATGCAGCAAACCTGCAAATTCTGCACCTGTACCCCAGAACTTAAAGTATAATTAAATAAATAAATAAAGGTGCTCCTGACAGAGAAGGACTTCAGAGAAGAGAGAAAGCCCTCTGTCTGGTGTTCTCCTTCATATTCTAAAGTCTGAATATCTGAGAATCATACAAGCAGATTTTGCCTTTGACCTTTTTCTACTATAGTTCCTAAGTTTTCTTTCCAGTCATACCAGTTCTGTGTCATCCATTAATTAGAATTAATATTAACAACAACAGCAATACCCGAATAGGCCTTCAGTGATTATTTAATTGGACCCCCTCCTTCTAGAGATAAATTACTAGTCCCAGGTCATATCGTTAGTTTGTTGGTGGCTGCCCACAGTCAGAGCTGGGATCTACTATGTGATTCTGATCACCCCTCCTGGGTCTTTCAAAAAGCATAATTTGTCCTTGCCAATGTGCTGGAAGCATAAGAGACATTGCAGGGATTAACGCTCCATCTCCACACTCCTCCCAGACCACTTAAGCTGTTTGGCTCCCTCTGCTTCCTTAACATGTTTATTTTTTTGTTTTAAACTTTCCTTGTCTTTCCTGTTTCCTAAAAATGTTCTCTCAATGGGTCCTTTGCATCTCTTTTAGGATGTGACTTTTCTGTTTTTCTCCCTCTGGTTGGCTACATATGCTGCATCAGTGTGCCAGAGCTACTCTCCTCCCTCACTGCCCCACCAGAGCCCTGCTTCAAAAGAGGAAATCTCTCTAACACAGGAACCTTCCACTGTGACCCCATCTTGTCTTGACTCCTTTTGGCTGTTGGTTAAAATACTTGAAACTGAACATAATCAGATGTGAGGCTTTGGTAAGTTTTAGCACATTGTTTCAACAAAAATGTTTGATACCCTTCATACTTTTATACAACAAAATTAAAACCATCAGTCATTGCATTCAATACTTAACATTCTAGATTTTGCAGTCATTTTGCCTTTAAGATAGGAATTTTCTTCTCTTCTGGCTTCTTGTGTTTGAATTGAATACCAGTGAGGTCATAGTATATGCCAGAAAGGGCTTTTAGAAATCATTGCCAGTGCATCAGTAATATCACTGCTGAAGTGAATGGGGGAATTACGCAAAATCCAATCAAAAAATAACTCAGATGGATGGCTATGCCCCTAAAGAAGAAATCCTCGAGGGAAAAATACCACACACATTCACACAAATAATCCAGCCTTAATTAAAGCTCATTCTTTGTCAGCATTGTGTCTCTGTAAAGTTTTCACTTCAAATCTAGCAGAATGAAGCAGAGTGTCTTTTCTCATTTTTGCGTAATTTATCTTGACTAGTCTGTTGATAAGCAAACTTGGTTTTCAATCTGTTTACTTCCTCCCAAAGCCTGACCAAATGAAGTCTGAAAAAAACACTATATTTTTTTCCACAGGGGAGGATTTTAGTAGTAGTATTATTATTATACTTTAAGCTCTGGGGTACATGTGCAGAATGTGCAGGTTTGTTACATAGGTATACACGTGCCATGGTGGTTTGCTGCACCCATCAACCTGTCATCTACACTAGGTATTTCTCCTAACTCTACCTCTCCCCTAGCCCCCGATCCCCTGACAGGCGCCAGTGTATGATGTTCCCCTCCTTGTGTCCATATGTTCTCATTGTTCAAGTCCCACTTATGAGTGAGAACATGCAGTGTTTGGTTTCCTGTTCTTAAAAACACTACGTATTTTTACCATTCCCACCCCTACTATTTTGCTCCTATGTGCAGTGAACCTCACATTTACTCAAGTTTTGATAAATATCCTTTTCCATCCTACACATCAACCATTAAAACAATCTAGTCATTCTGTTCTTCAGGATTACTGATTCCCAAATACATATTTGCTCTCATATCTCCCTTTTCTCAAGCTGATAAATGGCTCAAAATATTTCTTTTATAAAATATACGCAAGTGGTTTGACCACATGTGACAGGCAACTCTGAACAACCTTGAAAATAACATCCATGTTAATCCATAGATAGAGAATGCAAAATCATCACATGAAAGTTAAGTAGCCTTTATTCAGTGACAAGGGTGAATATAGCCAATAATGATTTCAGAATACTTGAGATGGCTCTAAGAAAGCCTGCTATGAATTACAAAATCAGGTTTGTGGGACTTTGACACTGTACTTCATGCTGTTTGTAAGAAGTCAATATCCTAATGTCATTTTTCTTCCAACACTTCCTCAGCTTTCATTCAAAGATACCAGGTACCTTTGAGATGTAGTGAGCTTAGTTGAAAGAGCTTTGCCTCTTTCAAAAAGCATCTTACTTTTTGTTTTATTCAAATGAAATAGCATCTACTAGAATTTCCCCAGCAAAATAGTAAAATTTTATAAAACAATGTGATAAAGAAAAATAATAGCTACCATTTATTTAGCCTCTACCATTTATAAAAACCAAGCAATCTAAATGTCTTTTTCCCTTATATTCATCCTGTAAAACAGGTGTTACTGGCTGTGTTTTATAAGACTCAGATTAAGAGGTGGACAAAGGCCACAGAGCTAATAAATGACAGAGTGGAGATGCGAATTCGGTTCTCTCAGATGCTAAAGCTCAAGCTCTTTCAACTAAGCTCACTACAAGATGCCTGGCATTGCAAAGGTGCCTGACATCTTTGAATGGGAGCAGAGGAAGTGTTGGAAGAAAAATGACATTAGGATATTGGCTTCGTGTAATAAACAGCACGAAATACAGTGTCAAAGTCCCGCAAAGCTGAAAGCTCACACATTTTACAAATTCAAACATAATTTAGCCAATGTATTCATCTTGCTTTAGTAATTAAAAGAAGCCTAAAGTTATAGCATATATCTCTGCCTAAACCAAAAATATGTGTTGCATAGTTTTTTTTTAAAGTCATCATATTTTGACTACAGTAGGTATAAATGATCAATATGGATCTCAAACCATTCAGTCTGATGGAGGAAATCTTTGTGGCTCAGTTAAACCCCAAGATGTTTCAATTTGGTTAAGTCAATTTTCTTGACTATATATAGACATGTTCAGCTAAGAAAGATGTACACACTTTAACAAGTCCTAAAGAAAAAGTTTTGTTCCAGAAGATGTGGGGAATCGGGCAGATAGATAGAAGAAAGAATCAGGCAATGAAAATGTGAAGCAAGCCAGTGTTGTGGAGTTGACACATTATGTATAATACCAATTTCTACAAGGTAGATGGGAGAATGTCTTGTCTAATACAAAAATATCTGACCTAATAGACCACAAAGAAGAGCTGGATTGTTTCTCTTTGGAGCTGCATGCTTTTTTCTTGACTTGTCTTGCACTATCAAGAGTTACTCTACTGAATTTGAAAGATTAATTTTGTCGTCAATCTCAAGGAGATCACTATAGTCACAACTTTTTTTCTCTTCAAATTCCAACTTTGTATTTAGAAATATAAATTTTACCATAGTCTTAAAATGCCTCACCGAGGGTAAACAAAAACATGTTTATGCAACAGCTCCCTCTAGACCTTAAAAAAAATAACCAGTGATTTGATATAAAAGGGACGCTGTGTATCTTCAGGAAGAATTAAGATTTCTCGCATGAAATTACTTTTTCTAATTACATTTTCCTAATTGGCTGGATTTACCCTAGTATGTCAAGTCATGTGTTTGAATGATTTCTTGTGATCCTTCAGAGAGACACTCAGTAACAAGAGCCTATGTGTGTCATTTTATATTTGGTCAGAGAATTGTTCATGCTCTAATTATATTATAAAAGGGACAGCTTCATTAACCAAAGTGGCAGAAATAACAAAAGCATCTAATTCTTATTCCATCTGGACATTTCACAAAGCTGAAATACTCTTCCTATTCAAAACTCTGTCTCTAGTGCATTTATTTAAATGAGCTTTCAACAGAACTATTGACTAAAGAGAGAAGATAGACTCAGCTGTGCTAAAACCTGATTTCCTCTGAAGTACCAAATCGTTTCATAAATATTTCAGCATGGAGAAAGGAAGGGAAACATTTTAAATTAGGAAATATGGCAGTCTGCTGATTTAGGAATAATCAGAAATGTCTCAAGTCAATTCAAATTTATAAAGCACCTACTGTATACTAGGCTATTGTCAATACTAATGATGCAAAAACAAATAATAGCAGTTTTGACCCTCAGAGTTCTTGGGGCTGGTGGAAGAGATAGGCACATGAATAAACAGTTTAAAGATAAAATAGTGCTCTGGTAGAGGCACAAAAAGTCTAAATAGAAGTAACAGCAGCTTCAACTCTTTTAAGCCTCTGCCTCCTCTCTTGTGCTAAGTGTCATCTATGTTATCTCATTTAATCTTCACAACTAATTGATGTGATCAGGTGTTGTGAAATACAGTGAATGCAATCATTTGATAAGGATTTATTGAGTGCTTACTAGGTTCTGGGCCCTATATTATGCACTGGATAAACAGTGGACAAGAAAGACAAAATCCCTACTTTTGTGGAACTTCTATTGTCTCGGGAGAACAGAAAACAAGCAAAATAACTATTTCATATATATATATGTATATATATTTATTTATATATATGTATTTCATATATATATGAAGGTGATCAATTCTATGAAGAAAATTAAAATAAAATATGAAAAGGGGGGAGGAATGCAATTATAAATGGAGCTGGCATCAGGGAGGTGTCACTGAATGAATGACATTTCAGCAAAAACCTCAAGGAAGCAGGGAGCTAGCCACATGAGTCAGTGAGGCAAGGGGCTGTTCACATGAGGAAGTGACAGAGCTAGCTACACCTAGGAAGGGAGGGAGCTAGCAACATGACAATGTGAGGAGATAGCCTTGCTGAGTCAGGGAGGGGCCTGGTCACACTGAGGAAGAAAAGGAGAAGCCACCTCTGTGAGGAAGTGAAGGAGCTAGCTGTACCGAGGAAGTGAGGAAGCTGGCCACACTAATGAAGTTAAGTAGCTAGCCATACTCAGAAAGGGAGGGAGATAACCATACCTGTATCTAGAGAGAGGACATTCCAGATAGAAGCAATCATAAATGCAATTATCCTGAGACAAAACATCCCCAGCAGGTTTAGAGAAAGCAAGCAATGTGTAAAATAATGCCATTTCTGTAAAGTATGTGGTGTGTGTACAAAGAGGTACACGAAGAAATATTTACTAATAGAAATGTATCTCTGACTTGTAAGATTTCAGTTACTTGTTATCCTTGTCTTCAAATGTTCCGATTTGTTTGAATTCTTCCTAATGGTGGTGTATTATTTCATAATCATAAGAAATGCTTTTTTTCTTTATGGAAAAAAATTGAATTGGCGCATGTTCACATATGTATTTAGTGACTCAACAGACTGCTAACTCTCTCTCTATCCATTCTTCCTAAGTAATAAACACCCCAGTATACATTATCTACTTGCTCACTTAAACAGTTTTAGTTTCTAACAACTACTTTACCCAGACTCTTTTCCTGCTAGGCATAGGCATGTGAGTAGGTTTGTCAAATAATCTGTAAGTGAAAGGATTATGGATGATTCAAGATAAATGGCCTTAATGGTGGGCCCTTCATAGGCTTTTCCACCTTCTCTTCCTACTGCTGGCCTGGAATCGGACATAATCACTGGTGCACAAACACTTTCTTGGGACATAAGGATGAGGGTCTTGTCCTAGGGATGTCAGAAACAACTTCATAAAGCACCTTACCAGCCCACTCGTGCATTAAGACTTCTTTCGTAGCAAGAATAAGATCTTACATAATAAAACCACTCTTATTTTGGTGGTTTTCGAACACTTGCAGCTGAATTCAATTCTAGCTAATGTTATACACAAGACGGTATTCAACCTATGTCTCCTTTGACCATATTTAGTGCTCTTGCCATTATGCCACAGTTGTCCCTTGCACCAGAAGCAGATCTTGGAAGAGCAGATAAGTAAGTTGAGAATTTGGGTTGCACCAAAACTTGAGAGAGCCACGTGCAGTTGTGTGCTAGAGGAAATATTCAAAAGGTTATGGATCAACTAGAAGCAATTAGAAATAACAGAATTTACTAACAAGCCAAATTAATATTTCAAAAGACCAAAGCTTTCCTTTATACCAAGAATACCCAGTTAGAAAAAAACCAATAGTAGCAAAATTTATAAAATAACTACCTAAGAAATAAAAAAGGAAATGTGCAAACTTACAAGAAGAAAACCACAAAACTTTAACAAATGAATAAAATGGGCTAAAGAGATAGTCTAAATAGTTCTTTAAAAGTAATTACAAAAGAGAAAACTCAAATATTATAAAAAAATAAAAGTCCCTTCTTTACAATAATAAAAGATACTTAAAAGTTAAAGTACTTATAGATGCATAATATTGATGCAGAAATTAACAAATAGATTAAAGGAAAAGAGTACAGCCCAGAAGCAGATTCATATGTACATGAATAGTTTATGTATAATCAAAGCAGCACTTCAAATTAGAGGAAAAATAATGAATTATTTAATCAATGATATTGAGAAACTATATTCATATGGAAGAAAATAAGGTTAGAGCCTCACCTCATTCCAAATATTAAAATAAATCTCAGGTTGCTTAAAGTTTTAAATATAAAAAAGCTCAAAAAGCACTAGAAGAAAATGTACAGAAAATATAACTAGAAGGAATAGAATGCCTTTCCAAGAAAGACAAGAAACCCAGAAGCCATAAAGGAAAAAAAAAAATGTGAACAAGACTGTATAGACTTTAATTCTGTTTGACAAAGTTGCTGTAAATATGTTAAAGGACAAACAGCAAATTGAAGAAAATATTCTAATATGGAAGTGGACAAAAGCTAACTTACCTAACACACACAGAGTGTCTTCAAATCCATAAGGAAAAAGCAAAGGTAAAAAATATAAACATGTAACTCAAAAAAAAGAAAATAAAAATTCTCAAACTTACTAGTAAATATACAAGACATGAAAATTAAAACAATATAGCATATTTTACCTATGAAATGGGCAAAACCTTAAGACTGATAATAACCAGTTGTTAAGGTGTAAGCTAGATGTTTTCTAGTCCTCCAGATCATGACCCACTCTTCTCCACCCAACTGCACAGTTCCCTGGGAGAATGATCTGTATGGACTCCCTCAGTGAACTCTCTTACCCTCTGACTTCTCTATGGATTTTACCAAAGAGAAGCAATAGCAGCTCATCAGAAGGAGGCTAGAGTTTTTACTCACCTGCCCTCTTCCACTTTTCCAAGCCTCAAGGCTTTGCACCATCCCTTGTGGCTACCCTACACCCAGCACACACCTGTGGAAGAGCCCTTTTAAAGCTTCCAATTTGAGTGTGCCATTTGTCACTGCCAGAGGGGGTGAAAAAGATGACATTTTCAGATTCTTTTGAAAATTACATTACAAAAGTGTAATACATTAGATACCCATAAAAACATTAAATGTGCATATCATTTGACTCAGCAGTGCCATGTTTAGGTATTTATCCTTCAGCAATATTCACTGCAAGATTATCTGTAACAAGGAAAAATTAAACATAATCATCATCAATAGAGAAATGGTTAAATAAATTATGGTATACCCATACTATTAAAAACTATGCTAGTGTTTTTAGAAAGAAATAGCTTCATTCTCATTATTGTATAGAATTCATTGTTTAATTATAGTACTATTTATCCATTCTACTGTTGGTCAGCACTAGGATGGTTTCCAGATCTCGGTTACGACAAATGTTCACTGTTGTGAACATTCTTGTACATGTGTTTTGATGAATATATGTACCTATTTCTGTGGGTATTTATGGAGGGGTGGAATGATTGGATCATGGAGCATGGATGTTCAGATTTAATATCAACTTCCCATGGCAGCCATGGGAATGGGCTGCTCAGATGCTGTGCTGTGGGAGCACAGGTGACTGACACTCCCAGCTTCTGCCCTTCTGGATTTGTGTCTGATTGCACCAAGGCCACATTTTCCCCAAACTGCCTCTAGACAATGACTGAGCATGAAGTTAAGTAGTAGAACAAACCCATTCCTGTGGGACATGGGTTTCACCTAATTGACAACTTTGTTTCAAGAACTCTTAATTTTCCTAGCTAAAACTTTCTTAGATCTGCTCGGCAGTTGGAGACTCTTCTTACCAGTCCTCCTTCCTCCTTCTGCAGGTGTCAGACCAGCACTATGGCTTGGAGGCCCTCCCACCCTGCTCATGCTCCTTCCCTTTACTCCACAATAAATCTCTTGCATGTCTACTTCCATTTTGGTGTCTACTTCTCAGAAGACCCAAACTAACAGACAGTTTGCAAAGTGTTGTACAAAATTACTCTCCCACCAGCAATGTATGAGTTCCACTTGCTCCACATCCATGCTAACACTTGCTATTTTTTGTCTTTTTCATTGTAATTGTCCCAGCCTTTGCAGTAGCAGTAGTATCACATTGTGTTTTTAATTTTCATTTCCCTAATGACTAATAAAGTTAAGCACTTTACATGATTTCTTGTCATTTGAGTATCCTCTATTGTGAAGTACCAATTCAGGTATTTTTGCTTAATTTTCTATAAGGTTATCTGTCTTTTTAATTTATAAGAGTTCTTTTCCTATCTAAATATAAATCATTTGTTAGGTATATGGATTGGAAATATCTTCTACTACTTTGTGTGTTGTATTTTTGTTCTTTTAATGTTAACTTTTGTTGAACTGAAGTTTAATAGCATGCAAGAATATGGATGAATCTCACAAACATAATGTTGAACAACAAAGAAAGTGCCAGATATAAAAGTGTACATACTATATGATTGCATTTTGGATAATGTTCAAAGTGGGAAAAATTAATCTACAGTGTAAAAGTAAAAGGGCAAGATAGTGACTAGCCATGGTATGGGATAGCCAGTTACTGAACGGAAAGAGAGATTAGCAGAATTTCTGGAATGCTGATAATGTTCTCTTCCTTGATGCTGGTTACATGTATATGTTCACCTTGTAAGATGCATCAAGTTTTACACTCAAGATTTAAGCAATTTTTTGTGCATGTTATAGTTCAATAAAAATTTTTCAACAAATAGAGAGCTATGCGTGTTTTAGGAAGAAAAAAAATTCTATTATATTGCTGAGTGAAATAGATGTGTCACTAGACCATATATAAATAGCATTAACCTGGCTAGGTGACGTAGCTCATGCCTGTAATCCCAGCACTTTGGGAGGCTGAGGTGGGTGGAGCACGAGGTCAGGAGTTCGAGACCAACCTGGACAACACGGTGAAACCCTGTCTCTACTAAAAATGCAAAAAAAAAAAAAAATTAACTGGGCATGGTGGCATGTGCCTGTAATCCCAGCTACTCAGGAGGCTGAGGCAGAATAATCACTTGAACCTGGGAGGCAGAGGTTGCAGTGAGCCGAGATCATGCCACTATACTCCAGCCTGGGCAACAGAGTGAGACTCCATCTCAAAATAAATAAATAAAATAAAATATATAGCATTAACCTATTTATTTGCAAAAATTTGTGTATATATGCTTAGAACAATAACTGGAATTAAGCTCACTAAACTGCTCCTTAGCCAGTGGAACTTTCTGATTCTCATTAAATGACCATTTTTATGACATGAACCCCCAAGCAGAAGTGGTTATTAGAGCCCTCAAAGATAGCAACAGCAACAATATACGTTTAAATTCAGGGTTACTAAATAAAATAATTTTTGAAACAATACTTTTATTTGAGAATTATAAAAATATTTTAAAAAGGACAAAATCCTCTTTTCAAGCTAATCCTCTTTAATAAGTGGTCTTCTGGAAAAATACATGTTTCTAAAGACCATGGAATTCTTAGAATGACAAAAGGCTTCTAAAAGGAAAAAGAACAAATTCTTCCTCTCCAGCCAGCTTCTCCACAAAGTAAAAGTTACGTTTAAGCTGGGTATTGTGGTGTGTATCTGTAGTCCTAGCTACTGGGGAGGCTGAGGCAGGAGAATTGCTTAAGCCAAGGAGTTCAAGGCTGCAGTGAGCTATGATGACGCCACTACACTCCAGCCTGGATGACAGAGTGAAACCCTATCTCTAGAAAAAAACAAGTTACATTTATTTATGCAAGGAGACATGAACGTTTTTCTTCTTCTATTTTAACTTCCTAAATCCTACCTATTGTTCATTGCTTAACAAGCATCCCCTGCCTGACTCAAGACCCCTGGACCATGCCAGTGGGTGAGGATCTCTGCCTCTTTGACTATCTAGTTCTTACCCATTCTGTATGACATTTCTTATTGTGAAATTTTCCTGCTGTTTTGTTATATTCCTGAAAAAATTACTTATATCTTCACAAACTAGACATGATTGTAGTTTGAATATCATCTGGTTTTATCTTCTCATTTGATTGAAAAAGAAATCCAAGTTCACACCTTTAGTGAAAAGAAGAGTAAAATCCCCTGCTCACTAAGCCAAAGTCAGGCAAGTAGAAATGGATGACAGCTTGTTGCTCTCCTCTGGTAGCCTACAGCTGAGAAAGTACAGGCTAGTCCCCACATAGGCATAAATAGGAGAGAAAGAATAGAAAATTGACAATAGATTTGAATTATTAACATCAGAATCTACTTAGAGCTGCTGCCTTTACTCAGGGCCATCATGGAGAGAACAAGCTACGAACTGTGGCCTATAATGGATGACTTTCTCATAATGATGAGAGGTTTCAAACAACTGTGCTAACATGGCCAAAAGGAAAAAAAAAAAAAAGCATGTCCTATAGATCATGCCTTTTCATTAGCCCATGCAAACATCACAGAATGGATTTACAGAAAACAAAAACATTTCGTTGAAAGAATTCAGCAAGCCAACTAACTTGACATTGTGCTGGTAAAAATAAAAAGAGAATAGACCAAATTGTTAGCATTGGTGTCATGTAAACCTAGTTTCAAAACCAATTTAACTATCACTGTCACTTCCGGGCATACAACATTTATTGAGTGCCTTAGGCTGTTTTCCATTGCTTATAACAGAATACTTGAAATTTGTTTTTAAAACAAACTTGTTTTTTACAGTTATGAAGGCTGAGAAGTCCAAGGTCAAGGGGCTGTATCTGGTAAGAGCCTTCTTGCTGGTGGGAACTCTCTGCAGAGTCCCAAGGTAGTGCAGAGCATCACATAACAAGAGAACTGAGCTTGCAAACTCAAGTCTCTTTCTCTTCTTATAAAGGCACCTGTCCCACTCTCATAAACCATTAATCCACTAACTCATTAATCCATGAATAGATTAATCCTTTTATGAGAGCAGAGGCCTCATGATCCAATCACTTCTAAAGGCCCCACCTCTCAATATTGTCATATTGAGGATTAAGTTTCAACATGAGTTTTGCAGGGAACAAATATTTAAACCACAGCATTGTGTTTTCCTCCAGTTATAGAGGAATCCATGAAATTGTCATGTCTTTGATCATCCATCATAGCCTGTCTAACTAAAGCAATAGCAGTGCGGATTCTTCTACCCGGCACAGATTCAGTTTCATAGTCATGTATACATGTTAAACCACTCCTTACAACTTATTTTCTCTTTATTTATAATTACCTCACCTTTATTTTGTATTTTGATGTTATTATTTTGTAATTTACACTCTGGTTTTAAGCAATTTCAAATGTTTATAGAATTATTGATTAATAAATATATAGACAGCCACAGAGATAGATGTCATTAATTGGATGTGGGGGACAACAAAGATTTGGATATTTAACTCAAGCTTTCTTGGTTTCTCCTAAAGCACTGTTCCCAAAGTCATGGGAACCACCCCTTGCCTCAGCATGCCCTGGATGTTATACATGGAGTCAAAGGAGATTATTTTCAGAGCTTTAAGATTTAATGACTGCCCTGCTGGGTTTCAGACTTGTATGGGGCCTGTAGCCCCTTTGTTTTGGCCCATTTCTCCCATTTGTAATGGGAACATTTATCCAATGCCTATATCTCCATTGTATCTTGGAAGTGACAAACTTGCTTTTGATTTTACAGGCTCACAGGCAGAAGGGACTTAGCTTGTCTCCGATGAGATGTCAGACTGTGGACTTTTGAGTTAATGCTGTAAAGAGTTAAGATTTGGGGGACTGTTAGGAAAGCATGATTGGTTTTGAAATGTGAAAAGACATGAGATTTGGAAGGGGCCAGGGGTAGAATAATATGGTTTGGCTCTGTGTCCCCACCCAAATCTCATCTCAGATTGTAATCCCCATGTGTCGAGGGAGGGAGGTGTTTGGATCATGAGGGTGGATTCCCCCATTCTGTTTTCGTGATAGTGAGTGAGTTCTCATGAGATCTGATGGTTTTTATAAGTCTTTGGAAGTTCTTTCTTCACTTCTCTCTCCTGCCGCCTTGTGAAGAAGATGCCTGCTTCCCCTTCTGTCATGACTGTAAGTTTTCTGAGGCCTCCCCAGTCATATGAAACTGTGCATCAATTAAACCTCTTTCATTTATAAATTACCCAGTCTCAGGGAAGTTCTTTATAGAAGTGTAAAAATGGACTAAAACACACAGTCCTAAGGAATTGAAAATTAGATGATGAATATAATTTTGTTACCAACTTTGATGAACTTTCAAACAGTGTGATTATCTGAAGCTAGAACACTCCCACAACTTGTACAGCTTGCAAAGAACTCATTTCTGGAGACAAAAGGTGGAAAACCAACTATGTCTTTCAGACAAACTACATTATTAATATTTTTATATTAATCTTTTATGAAAATATTGTTAGCAATCTCCTATAAACATATTATTTTGAAAACAGATATATACATTTTCTTGTTTCTGATGGTTATAAGACTCTTAGCTATTACAGGCATCAAAACCAAGAAAATGTATAGACACACACACATTTAAGTTAAACATACTACATAATGTATGTGACTAAAAAGTCAAAGAACCCCTCTTTACTTGCTTTGAAAATATGTCATCATTCTTCTGAAACATTAGTTCTATAAAAGAAAGAAAACAATACATAACTAATCTTTGGGTTTGATTGAAACCATTTGTTCCATGATTGTGTGCTGTCTGAAGTCCTGTCTGAGTCTATCTTTGAATCTATGTGATGATGTCTGAGTCTATCTTTGAGGCCATGTGATGGTTAATACTGAGTGTCAATTTGATTGGATTGAAGGATACAAAGTATTGTTCTTGGGTGTGTCTGTGAGGGTGTTGCCAAAAGAGGTTAACATTTGAGTCAGTGGACGGCGAAAGGCAATCCATTGACCCACTCTTTATCTGGGTGGGCACAATCTAATTAGCTGCCAGCACAGTCAGAATAAAAAGCAGGCAGAAGAACATGAAAAGACTAGACTGGCTTAGCCTCCCAGCCCACCTCTATCTCCCATGCTGGATGCTTCCTGCCCTCGAACATTGGACCCCAGGTTCTTGAGCTTTGGGACTCGGACTGGCTTCCTTTCTCCTCAGCTTTCAGACAGCCTATTGTGGGACCTTGTGATCACGTGAGTTAATATTTTTAATAAACTCCCCTTTATATATACATCTATCCTATTAGTTCTCTCCCTCTAGAGAACCCTGATTAATACAGGCTATCTTAAGCTGTCCAACACCATTTGCTGAAAAAGGCTGGTCCTACCATTTCATGTGATATATATCATGAAAGTAATAAGTGTCACTCTGTATGTCATTCTGTTTGAAGCTTTGCTTTAGGAAGAAAGTCCTTATAGCTCTTCTTTTATTTAATTAATTGTCCCCTAGTAATTATCTAGATAGCTCAACTGGGTTTTAGGAAACAAAAACCTTATGTTATTTTAATTGAGTATATCTTCGATCTTATTGTTGAAAGTGAGCCTTACTTGATATTTGATATTAATCACAGACACTGAAGAAACAGCTCAGGGACCTGGAATTGTCATCTGTGACCAATCAAGTCCCTCTGGACACAACCATTGCTCAATGGAGCTTTAACTTGTTGTGCTGAGATGTCATACCTGTCAGCTAACTCATACATCTTTCCAAGGACGTATAAGGTTTGTTTTCTCCCTGTCTATAAAGGCAACATATGTTCCCAGCATTCACTGACAGGTTTTAACAGTATTTTTCCCCTAGTCGTGCTGTTAGTTGAGTTGTTAAACACAGGAATTTCTGTTTTGTCTTCAAATAATTCAGAACTACAGTCAGAACTAGGGGAAAATAGAAAAGCAGATTGACAGTCTAGCTGTCAAGATTGTCCAGCAGTTGCTTAGCTGTTTATAAGCTAAGCACTGCTTGTCCTCCTTCCATTTCTCTAGCAAATGGAATACTGAGGAAATATACCTGGACTTTATAGATGTAGACAACTGGAAAACATCAATATAGGTGAAGTAGTAATTTAATGAAAGTTAATCTTAAATTGTCCAGTTACTTGTGGCTAGAAAATTTTTTATGATTCATACATAGACCTGCATTATATCTAAGCTCTGCCTAAGAGACCAGAAATGCTGGGTGGTAAGCAGAGGCAGTATAAAGCAGAGAAGATGCTAAGGACTACATGGAGCTTGGAGGTGCCCCACCCCAAGATGCTTTATTCTAGTTAATAATGCCACATAAGCAAGTGCAAGTAATAGTAGATAAAACTATGCATAAGGGTAGAGATAAAAGAGAAAGTTTGAGTGGTTAGCATGGAAGAAAATCATGAGAAGGAAGTGAGGAAAATTTGAGGTTGGGTAAAAATTGGTTGTCAAGTATTTAAAACCATAAATGCTGGATATGAAGCTGGGTATTCTTTTTAAGTGATTCTTGAGACATCTCTTGGGACAGTTTCCTCATTCTTGGTATATATGGTGTTCTAAACAATGACAGTGCCGCAGAGGGAAAGGAGGTGAATTTTCCAGGGACTCCAGAAAGGATATAATCCAAGAAGAGTAATTTTACATAGAAGATCATAGGCTCATTGCTAAAGAGGAATTTCTCTATTTATGAGAAAATGAAAACATGTTCAGAGTCTGGTAAATGCAGCCCAGGTCTATAATGCATCCAAAGCAGTGTGGAGACTGTAGTTGTGGCCATGACTAGGATCAAACAGGAATAAGATTCAAAACCCTTCAATGATTAGGGTTTGCTTTAGGCTTCCCACTGCAGCTGCATCTATTTACATTTTTTAAGAAAACACACTAATTATGAATAAGACCTTTGGAGACCCAACCTACATCAGGACTAGAAGAAAGATTTAAAATTTTTGTCTCCATCTCAAGCAAGCCAGAAATGCACACTTCATTAGTAACATCACTTTATGTCCTGGGCTCATGTGGCAGATTTATTCACAAAGTAAAAAGTTAAGGTTGGTTTTTTTCCCCCTTTCACAAAAATTTAAAGCCAAAAAGATAAGTTTAATGAAAAGCAATTATTTACATACTTTAGTATATGGCTTACTTCTTAGGTCAAACCAAAGGACAAAACCTGGACTCGTCATAATTAAAAAAAAAACACTTATTGATCCACATAGTTGTCCCAAATATTAGTCATAAATCACATTATGCCAGGTCCTTCGAGGAGCATAGTAATTTAGTAACTCTTCGTTGGTACACTTGTCTCATGTTCTTTTTGCAAAGTATTTTGTGTCCTCATCTACTATCAATATCTACCTGAAATAGAATGAGTAAAGTTGATCTCTCAGTGAATTATTGCAATGCCCACATTCCCATATCCTGGCCAGGAAACAGGATCCTAGGGAATGTGGGCAATGCAATCATTCACATGCCCTCAGTGTGGTCATACCTGGCAGGCCAACAGAGCATGTTTCTTTCATGCAGGGTATGGCTGCAAACCCTCAAGGACAGCATGGCCCACTCTGGTTTCACTCTTACCTCTGAAATGTATCCCTCATTGGAGTTTGAGAGGCAGCATGACTAACTGTGATTAGGAGGCCACATGGTATGATAGAAAAAAAAAAAAACCTGAATTTGGAATCAGAAGGCAAGTTCTTGTTCCAGTTCTGACTGATTGGCTACATGACTTCAGGCAAGTCTCTTCAAATCCCTGTCCTCAGTTTCTCATTTGTAAATAGGGGTCATGACAAGTTACCCTACCTGGTTGTTTTTGAGGATCAAATAAAATAATATGTGAAAGCAATGAAATAATATATATAAGTGAAAAATTACATCATTAGTAATCAAAATTTCATATTTTCTAATCACAGAAATTAGACTGCCCCTACACAGTTACATTAACTGATTTTCCAAAAGAGGCCAATTAAAAAAAGACCCTGGTTTCCTTGGTTAAAAGTGCATTAGCAGAATGTTTACTCTTCCAAAATGGTTGTAATTATCTTGAGACTCCAGTGTACCACTTGAGACATGTAATACTGTCAAGATTTTGAATCTACATTGATTTATTCATATTCACATTTTTCTCATGACCGAGTGAGAAGAATGAGTAATGACAAAAATAAATGCTGCTCCCTTGACAATTTCTGATTTCAGAGGCCTCTTTCAGTCACATTTAATTGTAGGTAATTAATCTCAGAACAGTGTACCTTTACCTTACCTGTCCTTGGAAAATGGGTGAGCAATATTGATAGATGAGGCTCAATTAAAACCTTGACTAAAGTTGACATGGGAAGATTCCCAGTCTCGGGGTCAGAAAACCAGTGCTCTGGACCCAGCTGTGCTAAAAGCACAAAGTATGTTGACATGACACCTAACCTCTATGGAATCTGCTTTTCCATCTGTTAAATAGATAAAAGGGAGATTAGTGTTCAATTGTTCTTAACTATTTTGTGTGTCATGTGTCTCTTTAAATATTAAAACTCACAGCCACTCTTACCTCTATCTTCAGACTACTTAACACAAAATAAAATTTTAGCCAAGTTCAGGGAATTCGAGGACCTACATAGACCATCTACAGAAGACTTCAGAATAAAAATCTCCAAATTAGAGCCTATGATCTTTCCACCTTGCATTTCTTTCCTAAAATGGAAGGCACACGTTCTTGTTTGGGTCACAGACATGAAACCATGGCCTGGTGTGGCCCATTTTCTTCCAATAATAAAGATTACCTACTCTGATGATATACAGAAAAAAAAAAAACTCAGTGTCTGCCTACTATATTCTTACAAAACAGATCACTTCTGACACCAGATGTGTGGGGGTTTTCCTCACACACCAAGCAAGCAATCAGTTCTGTAGTGAATAGCAGATGAGTGTCCTAAAATTCAGTTCAATTCTGATACTATCTGCCTGGAGATTAAGTCAGATCCCACAGGTTGAGGACTCAGTTCCACAGTACTGCCCCCCACACTGCTGATGCCAGACCAAAATCTCAGGTTGTTTTACCCGTGATTCTGTCCAACCAGCTATAAAATGGGATTTGCATGATTTACTCCTTGGGTATGAGTAATTTGCAAAATCAGCTCACAGAATTCAGGAAAATATATTAATTGCCTTTGCCAATTTATTATAAAGTTTATTACAAAGGATACAGATGAGGAGATCATTAGGGCAAGGTATGGGAGAAAAGGCACAGAGATTCTATGCCTTCCCCGGGTGTGCCACACTCTAGGAATCTCCATGTGTTCGGCTATGCAAAAGCTCTCTGCACGCAGCCCTTTTGGGTTTTTATGGAAGTCTCATTGATACAGACAGGAAGCAGGAAAATACAGGGTAGAAGAGGGTGGGGTCCCTGGCAAGGGCTCCACCCTCAAGCCTGGACCCATGGCCCTAAATGAAAACATGCATTCCTGTTTTCCCACATGAAGGTTGCCCTTTTCAAAACCCTCCTGGCCTGCCATGTCCCCCACCCTGTACCCATAAAAACCCCAAGCTCCACTGGCAGAGCAGCAGAGTGGAAATACAGAGAAGGAGAGAAGAGAAGAAGTGTCTGAACGTTGAGAGGAACAGAGGCAGTTGACATTAGCGAGGAGTTTGGCTGGGGATGGTCAGAGAGTAGTTCAGCCCAGGACAGCAGAAGTTCAGGGAAAGATTATATTCCCACTTTATCCCTTTTCCAGCTCCCCTTCCCACTGAGTGCCACTTCCACCACTCAGTAAAATCTCCTCATTCACCGTCCTTCAAGTCTGTGTTACCTCATTCCTCTTGCGCACTGGACAAGAACCTGGGTGTGTGTGTAAGAGGTTGTCACACTGACTCTCCACTGAGCTGTTTGACACTTAGCTGTCCACAGATGACAAGTGCTAAGACAACACTGATTGTAACACATGCCCTCTGGGGCTCCAGAGGTCACAGGCAACCCCTAGATGCTGCCACAGGCCAGTATGGGTTTGTTCCTGCTGGTACCCAAAGGCATTCGCCCCAGCTCCTGCACCCACTCACCTGTATGCTCCCCCTCCTGCAAGGGGTTTGAGCTCACCTCACTGAGTAAATGAGCCACATCCCTGTCACAAGTTCTTTGAAGGGGTCAAGGGAACTCTCCTGTCTCGTCATTATATAGGCATGATTGATTAAATCATTGCTCATTGGTGATCCAGTTAACCTTCAGCCCCTCTTCCCTCTCTGGGGGTTGGGTGGGGGATTTGAAAGTCCCAGTGCTCTATTCCTGCCTTGGTTTTTCTGGTGACCAGCCCCAATCCTGAAGCTACCTAGGGTCTGCTAGCCATCAGTCAACTCATTAGCACACAAAAGACACTCACCACTTTACAGATTCCAAGGGTTTCAAAAGTTCTATGCCAGGAAACAGGGACTAAGGCCAAATATGTATTTTACAACATGTATTCAAAGACCACCTTTGGTCTTTGAATTTGGTCTTCAAACATGAATCCCTCATATCGAAAGAACATATAACTCCAGAGATACTGGCACATTACTAGAATCCTACTCAGTCATTAATGATAAGTCCACTTCATTATCATAATATAAGAATGTCTCCCAAGGTGAGGCTACCCAGGTTTGCAGGCTTCCATTCAGTCTTGTAAGGTTCCAAAAGCAGGAGTGGTCTCAGCAAACATAAAGCTCTACCCCTTCAGGCATCTGGTATAATTGAGCTGGAAGACAATATCATCATTACTTGCTCCAACCTCTTTTGAGGTGTTAATGTAATACTGAGTTTACCTCATTACATGACAAATTTATTTATTCCTTTACCTTAGCTACTATTCTTCCTTCTCTTTATTTATCCAAACTTTCCCATCTTTGAAAGGGACACTAGGTTTGGCCACTGTGATTGTCTAGACTGCAGTCAACAATCCTAATCTAGCAAATGCCTTCTCCTCACTCCAGTCCTATTCAGATAGGATAAGGTTACACAGGTGCAGAACTAGTGTGCCATCTTTACCACCAGGCAACATAGCCACATTCACTTTTAGCCCCAATTTTGCCAGATGGAAGGAAGGCACAAATCATCCCCATCAGGCCCCCAGGAATTCTGACAAAGGGTTTAAAAATGTAGTAACAGTTTATTGCTCAGTAGTAGTTGCTAGAAGGTGCTCACAGGTTTTTGCCATAAGCCCCACTTCATGTTCTACAGAGGGCTATCCAACAGACAAATTGTCCCAACCAGAGCTCTAGCTACTATTGTATACTGTGTGGGCCCAGGCAATCTTCCTAGCTCCCATTTGCACGTTCCTTTAATAGTGATTGAAGGACACATTTATATGCCTTCTGTTTTATAATGCTAAGTATAGGAAATATTTCCAAGTCATATACGTTGTCCATCTCCAGGTGAAAGAGACATAATCACTTCACATGAAGCATGTTCAAATATACCAGTCTCCTCCAAACTTAATTCCATCAACCCTTACTTTACTAACTGTAGCCTCCATTAGGACTTTATCAAAAGATTTTTGATACTAAGTAGGAAAATCTTCCCCTGACCAGATATAACATTCCATGTTTAAACATTCCAACTTTTATAATTCTATCAATCCCTACATTTTTATGTTCTAATTTCAAGAACTTCTATTTCCTACCCCATCAAGAGCAACATAAGGTCAGATACATCCAGGTCGGTGCACGTTTGTGTCTTCCCACAGTTGAAATTTTATTGATGTTATTTCAATCACAAAAGTATTGGGCTAAATGGAGTTCTCAAGGAGACAATTCTCCCTAGTACCCATTCATCGGTAGTCAGAGCTGTGGGTACACAGGCTTAAGGCATTCCACAAGTCAGTCCATATCATAAACCATACATAGTAGCATACTTAGTCAATGTATAAATGATATAGGTTAAAATTTCACACCAAACAGAGTAGCATTTAACATCAAGAGAAGAGGGGATAGGAAAAAAAAGGTTTAACAAATCAGCCCAAGGAGAGTGACATAAATAAGGACAGTGTCCTGGAATCAGACCTTGCTTTGGGCAGAGCTCGCTGTGGCAGATGCCAGGTGCTGATTATGAGTGACAGCCAGATGGGATCTGTCAAGATGGCCATGTCAAGCTTAAGAAGTCCTGTTCCTTTTATGGTCCTGGTGAGGACTGATAATAAAGTGTTATACTCTTATCTGGTTGGGTGTTGTCTCTATTGGATAGTGAGCATATGGACTCTTTTGGCTTGATGTCTTTTGAAATGTAAGATGGAGTCTTTTTCTAAGATGGACTCACTTATGTCGAGGATATTTTGTGCAACCCGCAGATCATTTTACCCTCTCTTCTGGAAAAGGCTTTGTGTCTCCAGAAGGGTGTTGAGCAAAATGACCCTGACCATTTTGTCAATGTTTATCTTGATTAATCTGTCACAGGAAATTTCAGATCAGATTTCTCATTTTAATCTTTGCCTTTTGACTTTTTGAATTTCTCCAAAGTGGAATAAATGCAGCAAATGTGTGTGGGACCAGGTGGCTGTCTTTGATCCATCCAACCTTAAATAGTATTGTATTAAGACCTTTGTTTTAACCCCATCAATTTCCATTTTATTAATCCCATTTCTTATGAGAAATAAAAATAAAATTTGAAGCCCCGGAACTGACTGAATGAACCCTTTTTTGGCCGAGAGGATCCCAGAGAAACTTGGAAGCTGAGTTCCTTGTTAGGATGCCATGGAACATCAGACTCACCTAGTTATAACCCCTCCCTTGCTAACTGCCATTAGGCTTTTTTCCCTAAGGGTTAAACAGAAATCAACCCTTTCAAGAGACTCCATGGCTGATTTCTACCGACCACCTGATGCTGCCCCTCCCTTTTGTGATTTAGGCATAACAAATGACCAGCATTCCTCCCTGGTAAGAGAGCACCAACCATGGGGTGGGTATGGCCAGTCTACAGAGGATGCATGGTGAGAGTTCATGTCCTCTACTTCACCCTTTGCCGTCATCAGAGGGCTGAAAACTCCACGCTTGGATCATGCTAATGCTGCCATTTTTTTAACATGGGATGAATGGAAAAGCATGAAGCTCAATTGCACATGACCATGTTTATCCTTCCATAAATATTCATGACCTCTCCTACAGCATAGGAATATGTATATTCAGCCACCTTTGTCAGCATAGAACCTTGTCTTTTTATTCCCTCCTTCCAAGGGCCTGTTTCTAGCTTCTTGCTGTAGGCTATGCTTCTCAGCCTGTCAGAATGGCCACCCTGAAGTCTGCAACTCTTTGTGAGAAATACAGCTCTCCTTTCCAAATTTATGTACCTCATCGTTCTTCATTTGACATCTCATAACCATCTAAAGATTTTCATCCTGCTAGGTAGAGTCTTATGACTCTCCCTTTCCTTTTTCCTCTCAGCTTTACCTTTATCCATGTCTACTTTACTCACCTTATTTCTTAACAACAATCTAAAAATTTTCATCTTCCTGGAATAACTCTTCTCTTTGCCCTTTCTCCATTCTCTTGTTAATTAACCTACTATGTGTATTAGCACCTGTAAGACTCATGAGGGGAAACTGATACAACAAATTTAATAAGGCTTCCTCAACTGTCTTTCGATTTTGCAGCAAGGTCATATGGGGGGGTCCACATTAAAGGAGCACCCTTAACCACAGCATTTACAACTTGGTTAAGAAGCGTATTTAGCAGGTGAATATCTCAGTCATCATAAAGCCAATTCCACATGGCTTGCATATCAATTGCTTCATCTGTGGTGTTCCACTTGGCATGCATAGGTAGAGTCAGGCAGGCTCCTTCTCAGGGTAAACAAAGTTCACAGTGGCTTTTATCCAGTTCATCAGTGTGTCTGTTTCCTCGGGAATCACTTCCCATGTATCTAGATTGTGTATAGCAATCTGTGATTGTTCCATAATTAGCTGTGAGTCCTGCATCAACCCAAACATGCTCTTTAACTCTGCTGCATTTAAAACTAAAGATACTGCTCCTAAATTTGTTGCTCTCACAGTCGATTTTAGTAAAGGCTCTTCAAGAATCTGATGATGCCAGTCTACAAAATGAAATAATTTCTTCACATTACACCCTCTGGTTTTAATAGTTTTCTTGATTTTGTTCTTCCCCCACATTGACTGTTTCTTGGTAACCACAGGACTTATTTTCTGTTGTCCTTGCATAATTTTTCCCTTGAGGGGTGACTCTGAGGCTCGTGGCCAACGGTTGTTCAAGAGTCAAGGATCAACCCAGCACTCTCTTTTACTTTCATTTTAACTACTACAGATAACAGTAGCTTTTTTCTTATTATCTTTGATTTCCTTATGCATCCAGTGAACCAACTCCCAGGGAGCTGGATCCTTGTTTAAACTCCATTGGTAACTTTCACCTTCAGGAAATGATTGCAGCACAGTTACTGCTTCTTACCATGAGTGACCACATGGCCACCCAGGAATCCAAAGTTCTTCATCCCCTACCCTTTTATGCTTTTTGTTTCTGAATCACGTGTTTCCACAAGCCAGGGCTGTTCTAACGAAACCCACTTCTCACATACCAATTCTGACAATACAGAAGAAGAACAAATTCAGTTTCTTCCCATTATCTGCTCAGATCTACCAATGGGTATTTAACACTACTGCCCAGCGAGATAACAGCATCATCTTTGCAAATAATGTCAATGTTCCTAAGTAATAGAAATGAATTCAATTTGTCTCAATGATACCCAGAGAATTGGTTGTCCATAGGCCCTGAATTTTCTCTCAGGCCACTCTCTTCCCTAAATGAAAACGATGCTGATTAGTTTTGTCAGAAACTGTAGGCTCTCACTATTTGCATTCTCCTCTGAAGAAAGTACAACTTTCCTAATTCAAATCAATATTAACCAAATGTTACAATGGAATAAACACATTTTCAGATATTAAAGTTCTCCAAATATTTTGCTTTTGTGGATCTTTTTTTAGGAGATTGCTGGAGATTTGGCTCATCAAAACAAATAATTAAACTAAAAAGAGCAATATGTGAAATCCAGGAAGTGAGAAGTGTAACACAGAAAGATCTCTTTGACAGCAAGGATAAGTCCAGAGACATAGCTATGCAGAAAGGAGGATATGTGGAAAATAGAATTAAAAGTTATTTCTACAGAGCCATTAGAGGGTGTACAAAACCTTAATCAGAAACTCGAAAAAAAAAAGTCAAGTAAAATAATAAAAGGATTATTAGAGGTGAGGAAGGATGGAGGTGAAAGGGGATAGCAAAACATCGGTTAAAGGATACAAATGTATTGATAAATAGGAGGAATAAATTCTAGTGTTCTATAGGACTAAAGGGTTATGAAAATTAACAACAATTTACTGTGTACTTTTAAATATCTACAAGGGAAGATTTTGAATATTACCAATGTTACTGATGGAAAAGATTCAAGTTACCCAAGTTACTGGCGGCGAATTTGTATGGGTCCACAGCAACTTTAGTCCTTGCCTCCTCAGAGGAAAAAATTCAACTCAGAAGCATAAGGCAGAAAAAGAGACTGGGGCAAGTTTCAGAGCAGGAGTGGAAATTTATTTAAAAAGACCTTAGAACAGGAAAAAAAGGAAGGTGTGCTTGGAAGAGACCCAAGCAGGCATGTGAAGGTTAAAGAGAGAAGGCCAAGTGCCCTGTTAAGCCATGATCCTAGGACTTTTATACACTGGCCTCTTTCTCGTGATTCTTCTCTTAGGGTGGGGCTTTTTGCATGCCCAGGGCTTTCCTTACCCTTCAGAATTGAGCATGTACAGTGTGTTTAGTGAGTTATACGCATGTCCATCTGAGGCTTTCTTCCCTTTTCTGATGGAGTGTGCCCCAGGAAGATCATACTTCATTTTTGTTTCTTAACACACATGCCCAGGAAATTGCTTCTCCCTGGGGCCTGCATTCAGTTAACATTTTGATGTTAACAGGTGTGGGCCATCAGGAAATAGCCTCTCCCTGATCATTTTTAGAGAGGCAATGTGAACATTGCCAAACCATCACCTGACATTTCTAGTGGGTTAGGGGAGAGCCCTCTCCTGCCCTGCTCATGCCTATCTACTTGTAATACTAATACAAGGAAATGATAAATGCTTGAGGTAATGGATATGCTAATTACCCTGATTTGATCATTACATGCTGTACACACGTATCAAAGCATCACACTGTACCCAATAAACAGGTGTAATTATTCTTTGCCAACTAAAAGTAATAATAAATGCAACAAAAACTTCTAAGATGGAAAAGGTAGTGAATGGCAAAAATAAAACTACACTAAAAAATTCACTTAGTAATAAACATTTACAAGATAAAAATAATAAAAACTCTAAATATGGCCTTAACCATAAGCTATTTGGCAAGTTTTTAGGAAATCAAATATTTGTATATGTGAAGAGGGGTATAGGAAGACAAAATCTTCATCTTCTACCATCAATAGATAATAAGTAAACATAAAATATAATAAAACATTAGTATGAATATGCCATTAGAAATGTGTAAGTAATTACTGGAAGCAATAGCTAAAAGAATTGAATATAATTGTACCTGGGGACTGGAAAACAAGATGTTGAGAGATTAAGGCAAACTATAATATTATTTGACTTTTATAACTGTGTACACTAAATACCTTGATAAAAATCAAAATTAAACATTAAAAAGATAATAAGAAGAATATAAGATAGACGATAGTCATATGTGCCTCACTCTGGAGAGGAGCAAAATGTTGCCATTGTTCTCTTCAGAATCTAAGGAGATTCTGCTTCTACTCAAGGTCATCTTTATGTAACCTCTTCCCAGACCCCACAGTAGGTTCCAGACAGTATTGGAATTGAAGCTGTTTCATGATCTTTCATTATTTGTCTTTAGCTGTGATTAAGAAGTAACATAAGAACTCCTAAGAAAAAGATATTACCATTGCGTTTTAAGTCATCGTTTTGATTAAGTGACTTAGTGCCATGTTAATGCAATATTGTTGACTCAAGATCAACTGTGTGAAGCTCAGCTTTTGTCTTATCAAGTTCCATGTATTCTGTGCTTTCAAAGCCGTCACTCATTACACCGTTGTTGCCAAAATCAATTCACACAACTTCTAATTTTACATATGCTAAGCTAAAAACAAAGTGGCATACCAATCAGGAAATCCTGACTACAGATGTACTGAAAATGAAGGGTATACCCAGTGCATTTGGTTGCTGAAAAGGAATGTTCCAAGTTGCTACTGCCTGCTGAAGATTAAAATGCTCTGCAAATGTACTGACACTTCCTCCTTCCACCTTCGCTGGTATGACTGATTGTTTCCATCTCAGAAAAGATAATGAAGAGCAATCAGACTGGGTCTCTTAGTAGGAACACGGACAATTTTTTCCACTTTGTCTACCCAGCAGATGAAATAGATATTGGACTTGGGCATGTAACTAATGAAATGAGAACAACAGACTTTAAGAGTATGAAAGGAAAATCCTGGGGCCCCAAAATTACTAAACCAAGGGAAAAGTTAAGCTGGGAGTGGCTCAGGACAAACTTGCCTTTCATTCTATTCAAAGTCATCCCTTTGCTCACTGAGACAGATGTATATTCTGATTGCTGCCTTTGGAAAGGCTTAGTAGAAACTCAAAGAATGCAACTGTTTGTCTCTCCCCTACCTGTAACCTCCATGGAAGTATCCTCCCTGTTTTAAGTTGCCCCTGCCTTTCTGGACGGGACCAATGTACTTTTTAAATATATTGATTGATGTCTCATGCTTCCCTAAAATGTATAAAACCAACCTGTGCCCCAACCACCTTGGCCACATGTCATCAGGACCTCCTGAGGCTGTGTCATGGGCATGTGTCCTTGACTTTGACAAATAAACCTCCTAAAATGATTAAGACTTGTCTCATCATTTTTCTCAATTGACATCTGGTAACCATGAAGGAATTCTGAGTAAAGATGACCTGGTCTGCAGCCGCTCGTCTATCAGTGTTTGGTACTGGCTTGGGCACCTATAGCCCAAACTGATAGGACAATTGCTGAAGCCCAGGAACTCTTTCCTTCAGGGATCCCTGATCTTCCAACTTTTTTTTGTTGGGGGTCTGAGGTTTATTTGCTGTTAAAAAACTCCTTTTGGGGGGAGTTTCTACTCTTTTCCATCAAGGAAGGCAAGCCTGCCTCTGCATCAGCAGAGAGCGATTTTGAGCTTGGGCCCCATTACTAGGTAAAAAAATCGGTTTGGGATTCTGTCTCGAAAATTCTTTTTAAACGATTAAAGTTAGCATTAACAACCAGCTGATGTTAATTTCTGCTTACACATAGAACACTCAAAAATCTTATAATTTGTGTAATCATTGTTGGTTTTGCTTAACTATTTTTTTGTTTGTTTCTGTCTTGTTGGGGTTTTTTGTGCATGTGCTTTGGTCCTTTCCCTTATAGAGTTCAACCAACTCCAAACCCTCTAGCACATGAGTGTGGAATCTTCCACTTGGAAGAACTAAGAGCACCTTGCTCCCCTCAGCCTTTCAAGGCATTTTCAGGCGACTGAGAATCACGTGAGGGTGTCTGGGAGGAATGCTTCCTAAGACATGCAGCCGCTCTAAATAGGATTCCTCCTCAGAAAAATGTATTTAGGGTCTAATCTCAACCAGCAGGTGCATATAAGGAGCTGACCCCTCCCACAGCTTTAGCCCCTGACATACTGTGCCAGGTAGCCACAACATGGGTGGACCAAACCAGTTCAAGGGGTAACGGCCCTGAAAAGCTAGGCCTGTGAGCAGCACATTTTGGGTCCAACACCTGTACCAACTTGGTCAAATTCAAAGGTGAACTCTTAAATAATGGGGAGAAAGGTCTCTAAAGTGGCTAAATACCCACAAAAAAAAGGTGGTATGGTGGGGGGAGGAAAATGGCCAGCAAAAGGAAACAAAAAAGAGGAAAGCTTTTGGTTTTGACCACTAAAGGTACTTTCTTTATATAACAAGGCCCCTTTTTGCCAGCCAGACCAAACTGAAAGAGCAAGAGCTGTACTTCTGAAATAGCAGCATTTTGTCCTAGCTGAAATATGGAGATGATATTTCAAAAGTTTTTTTTTTTTTTAAGGAACTCAATGGTTAAAAGTCAAGATGTGTAAATGTGTGCATATTTGTATTTAAAAAGCCTTCATGTTTTGGGGTTTTTCTGTTTATTTTTCTCTCCTAGAACCTTGCCTTTTTTTGAGCAAAAAAATATTTTTCTTCTCAGTTAACTGAATTCTATTTTCACCTGACTTTTTGACTAAAATAGTTATTGCAACAGAGGCTACTCTTGGGTTTTATAATGAAGAGTGTAATTTAGACACTCAGAAGCACCTTTACTTAAAAAAAAAAATTACGTGCACTGAAAAAGCATCACATGGTCTAACCTCAAAATAATTATCATTTTTTGAAGACCCAGGATTCAGTGTGGGCTCTGCCAAGAGCTCAGAGATCCAGTTAAAAAAAAAAAAATAGGTAGTCTCTATCTAAATAAAATTGGTCTCCTTTTACAATCCATTGATAAATTTATATAATTTTATGTTTGATTGGCTAAAAGAAAAATAAAATCATCTCCTTCTGACTACCCTATTTTTATGAATTCGAACAGACCACCAGACTTTTTCTCTCTGTACCTTATGATGCAAATTTTTCTATTTGATTTTCACCTGAGTTGTTTCCTTTAATATGCAAATTTAAGGCTATTTAGCTGACAACTGCCTAGGGTTGTGGAACAGGTTATCAAGAATTGGGAAGTCTAAAATAGGAAAAAACAAAAAAGGATCTTTATGAATCTGTAAGATGTACTTCTATCCACATGCCTGATATGTCTATGCATTTATGTGTTGTGTACACAATGTTTCACTACTGAAAATACATAAAAGAGCTCTAATTAATTGGTTCAAGAAAAATAAAAGCACTTGAATCAAATACTTTATCAGGAATAAAGAAAAGACTAGTCAAATGTTTTTTCAATTTTATATAACTTAAGTAAAATCTTTAATAATAAGCTAGCTTTAAAATTATTGGTAAAGTAATATTAGAAATGTCTTAAGAATTGCCAGCATACATTTTTGTTTGCATTTATTAATCAAGGAATTTCATACTTATCCCTGCCAAATACTGTAAGGTATCAAAATTTGGCATGGGGGTTACAAAACTATAAACCCAGCCCAAAATAGAATGATCTTTTCTTGTGTAACTTTTAATACATAAGACATTGATATTGGTTTAATAAAAATAGCTGCATCTTGAATTTAGTAAGATTACCATAACCTCTAATCCTGTGGCTTTCGGCAGTCTAGTTCACAGGCAGTAAGAAGGTTTGTTTGGGGAAAGGACTATTATTGTGTTTGTTTCAAAGCTAAACTGTAAACCAAGTCTCTCTGAAAGTTAGTTTGACCTATGCCCAGGAATGAACAAGGACAGATTGGACGTTAAAAGCAAGATGGAGTCAGTTAGATCAAATCTTATTCACTGTCTTAGTTATAATTTTGCAATAGCAGTTTCATGACTTTAAATCATGACTATTGCAGTTTTCATAAACAATCTAGGTAAACAATTAAAATAAAATAGGTAAATGTAATGGGATAAATACTTGTAGACAAAGTTGTCATAATTTATAATATAAAGATAAATTAAATAATATATATTTTATTATTTGAGTATTTTCCAATAAAAATATATTGTAGGAAAATACTCCTGCTAAAAGAAAAAAGTGTGCCCTTTTTACAAAAGATGAATAACTTTTGTCTAATTCAAAGCTTATTTAAAGGCAATGTATAAAATAAGGTAAAAAGGGCCAGGAATTAAGAGAAATGTAAAGAAAGTTATAGAAATAAAGAGGTTTCTTTGGTTAAAAAAAAAAGCTTAAAGAAAAATAATTTTATATAAGAAAAAAATCTTGAATGGTAAATTTAAACCTAGAATAAAAGGACTGATTGTTTAAGAAAGAGCAATGTTCAGGACAAACCAGAAAGTCCAAGCATGTCATAAATGATCTTTGTACATTATAATAAAATAATTTTTAAAAAACTCTTATATAATCAAGTTGTTTATAATTAAAGAGAAATTGTAATGGCCTTTCTAGAAATTGGGCTTGATGTAAAAAAACACTTACACACTAAATAACTGGTTAGAACAATGAAATTTTCTTACAGAGTTAATTTACTCTTAATAAATGATAAAAGATTTTAATTTTTTTTAACCCACAGTTCAACTTTTATTGCATCTCATCATTTTTTAGCTTTCTCTCCCTTTATAAAAAGCATGTTTTCTTAAAGGTCTAAAGGAAATGTTTTCTGCCAACATAATATTATGTGCACTGCAGAAGATCTTTTCTTTTGCTTTTTGGTAACTGGACTAATAGATTTTACGTTTTATCAAAATAATTCCTATGCCATTATTATTCAGTTTGGCTTGCTTAGGAAAAACCGGAGATTTAAACATTTTTAAATTAAGGTTATTACATTCGTATAACTTCGTGTATGTGCTTTCAAGTCCTTGTGACATTGAGTTACAGGGCTTTGACTCCTAGGTCTAAATGGAACACCAAGTCCTGCTAAATCTTAAACACTGACAACAATTAAAGCCTCATCTATAGGCCCTGTAGAAGATGCTAGTCAAAATACACTGCATTTCTAAGACACAGGGCCAGAAATTAAAGCTTTTCAAGTCCTCAAGGCCCAGGGACTATTGCAGAAGAGGTGGGTGCATGAGACTGTAAGGGCTGATTTTAAAAGATAAAATAAGTTCTGTTTCTCTATAAATTAATCATTAATGTCAAAGGCACACTGATGTAAAACCAGTAACTTGAAACTGTTCTTTTGAACTATTGACAGCTTTTAACGATTTAGTATATTCCTATGAACAAAATTTGGAGCATATTTGTTTCTCTCTATGTGATTTCTGCAGAATTTGGAAACTATTTGTGAGTATTCTTAACTTATGGCAGTACAGTTTTTGGCATAAGTGTAATAAAAATCTGTTTTTATTTGTAACAAGACACTATTGGAGAAATTGGTTATTTTACCATGGCTTTAATTAGAATGGTGTGCTTTCCTTTAAGGAATCAAACTTAACTGATGGAGCCTATAAAAGCCTTTGAGAAAACTGGTCTCATATTTTACACAGTCCCTGCACAGGGTTTCTGACATGTGGTAAGTAAAAAATGTCACTTTCTGACATTTTTTAGATAAACTGGGTCCAGGAGCCTAGGTTTATCTTGGAACCTCAAGAGGAGAGGAAATCCACCCAACTTATAGGTGTTTCATGGTACAAATCCGTAACTGGGCTTGGCTTTTAAAAAGTCTTAACTGAGATTCTTTCTATGGAACAAAGTTCCATCAAAGCCAATATTAAAAAGCCTATGTGAAAAAGAATTATTCTTGCTGCACTGCATACAAATAATGTGGCCAAGTAAAATAAAGCAAATCGGTTCTACCAGGATTTTTCTTTAGTAAAAATGGCAAACTGGAGGGAGAAAAATTACCTTTCAAAAACTATAATACACCTGCTGTTAGATTCTAGTCTGGCCCAATGTTTTTCAATTTTTATTATTTTCTACAGTTTGGACTGAATTCTATTTTTTCTTGGCTACAAGACTTCAAAATAATGTTTTCAATTTTTATTTATTTTTTCCTAATTTGGAGTCACTAAAAACTAAGCTGTGCTTTTGTAAAGTCCTATGAACTAAAACTAGACAACTTAAACTTCAGAAGAAAATAACAGCAACCTATTTACATACATAAGTTACTTTCATACCTGCTTACTGATGTATAGACTTCAGAGTAATGTGGCCTATATCAATTTTGCAGGATTGTCCTTTTGTTTGTTGTTGTGGGAAGTCAGGGACCCCGAATGGAGGGACCGGCTGGAGCCGTGGCAGAGGAACATGAATTGTGAAGATTTCATGGACATTTATCAGTTCCCAAATAATACTTTTATAATTTCTTATGCCTGTCTTTACTTTAATCTCTTAATCCTGTTATCTTCGTAAGTTGAGGATGTACATCACCTCAGGACCACTGTGATAATTGCGTTAACTGTACAAATTGATTGTAAAACATGTGTGTTTGAACAATATGAAATCAGTGCACCTTGAAAAAGAACAGAATAACACCGATTTTTAGGGAACAAGGGAAGACAACCATAAGGTCTGACTGCCTGCAGGGTCGGGCAAAAAGAGCCATATTTTTCTTCTTGCAGAGAGCCTATAAACGGACATGCAAGTAGGAGAGATACCGCTAAATTCTTTTCCTAGCAAGGAATATTAATATTAATACCCTGGGAAAGGAATGCATTCCTGGGGGGAGGTCTATAAAAAGCCACTCTGGGAGTGTCTGTCTGATGTGGTTGAGATAAGGACTGAGATACGCCCTGGTCCCCTGCAGTACCCTCAGGCTAATTAGGGTGGGGAAAAACTCCACCCTGGTAAATTTGTGGTCAGACCAGTTCTGTGCTTTCGAACCCTGTTTTCTGTTATTTAAGATGTTTATCAAGACAATACGTGCACCGCTGAACATAGAACCTTATCAGTAGTTCTGCTTTTGCCCTTTGCCTTGTGATCTTTGTTGGACGCTTATCTGTAGTTCTCCTTTTTGCCCTTTGAAGCATGTGATCTTTGTTCTGCCTTTTGCCCTTTGAAGCATGTGATCTACTCCCCATTCTTACACCCCCCACCTTTGAAACCCTTAATAAAAAACTTGCTGGTTTGAGGCTCAGGTGAGCATCACAGTCCTACTGATATGTGATATCACCCCTGGTGGCCCAGGTGTAAAATTTCTCTCTTTGTACTCTTTCTCTTTATTTCTCAGCTGGCTGACACTTATGGAAAATAGAACCTACGTTGAAATATTGGGGGCGGGTTCCCCTGATAACTGGCAAGCCAACATGGTTTTCTTTTTCCTAAGTGCATGTGAGAACCCAATTCCCTTTGGTAAGTGTGGAGAAGTGTTCATCGGTCCAGTCCACAGAAACACTTGTTTGGCTCCCTGACATTTGGTGAGTTGTCTGTGTATTGTCTGGGGTTTGTTGTTGTTTTCTCCTTTCTTCTCCCTATTTTCTCTCCGTAGAAAATGAGAGTTCACAACCTTTTAAAAATAAGCTTTCCTAATAACTCTTATATGTACAGGAATAAATCATCCAAGTCATAAAAGATCAGACAAAACCTGGGACCAGATACTTATTTTCTCCTAAAATGCTTTCTCCAAAACATTTGTAAAAAAGGAAGGGGGAAAATATGAAAGGAAAATCTTGAGGTCCCAAAATTACTAAGCTAAGGGAAAAGTTAAGCTGGGAACTGCTCAGGACAAACCTGCCTCTCATTCTATTCAAAGTTATCCCTCTGCTCACAGATGCGTATTCTGATTGCCTCCTTTGGTAAGGCTTATTAGAAACTCGAAGAATGCAACCATTTGTCTTTCACCTACCTGTGACCTGGAAGACCGAGTAGTCCCTGACTTTCTAGATGGAACCAATGTGCTTCTTACATATATTGATGTCTCATGTCTCCCTAAAATGTATGAAACCAAGCTATGCCCCAACCACCTTGGCCCCATGCCATCAGGACTTCCTGAGGCTGTGTCATGGGTGCACATCTTTAACTTTGGCAAATAAAGCTCCTAAAATGATTGAGACTTGTCTCCTCATTTTTCTCAATTGACAGGAGAAATCATTTTGCTGTCTCCAACCACAAACCCCAATCACCATAAGAAACATACCCTAAGTTCACACCTTTGAATACTCAGAAAACATTGAGGAAGACAAGTTAGACAGTTTACTCTCATTGTTACTAGGAAAATAGCTCTACATACAAATCCTATTGAAGTGCATGAATTTCCAGGTCATTTTTCTCTAGTCTGCAAAATGCATTTATATGCACACTCCAAACTGAAAAGAATTTTTAACGATAGCCAGCACCATCTATTGTATATTTTATATTTCTCACTCTGTCTTTGCCAATTATGCAATACTTTTAGAGACAGGGATCTTACTTCTTCCAAAAGCAGCCTGATCCTGTATATCAAGGAGAGTTAGGGAGATCTTTCTTTCATCTATGGCTCAGTGATTTCCACCCAATTATTATTTTTATTTCCTTTGGAGTCATAAAAACAACAACAAATCTAACCTCATTTCCATATTATAGCCCTTAAAATAGTTGGTGACAGCTTCCATTCTCTCACCACAAGTATTCTTTCTCCCACAATGCCCAGCTTCTTCAGCTTTATGTTATATAAACATATGTTGTTAGGCCATTCTTGCATTGCTATAAAGAAATACCTGAGGCTGGGTAATTTATAAGGAAAAGAAGTTCATTTTAACCCATGGTTCTGCCAGCTGTACAAGCATGGCATCAACATCTTCTTAGCTTCTGATGAGGGCCTCAGGAAGCTGCCAAGTATGGCAAAAGGTGAAGGGGAGCAGGTGTTTCACATGGTGAAAATAAGAGAAAGAGAGTGAGGGGGAGGCGACACATTTTGAAACGACTAGATCTCGTATGAACTAAGAACTCACCTATCACCAAGGGGGTGGTGCCAAACCATTCATGAGAGATCTGCTCCAGTGATGCAAACACCTCCCATCAGGCTCCATCTCCAACACTGGGAATTACATTTCAACATTAGATTTGGAAGGGACAAACATCTAAACCATATAATATACCATGGCCCTAATTCTGTTCACTGAAAGAGTATTGTTTGATTGGGCTTTCAGCAGGGGTTTTGAGTCAGAAAAGCCTGAGTTCTAATTTTACATCACCCCTGAATGTGTATGACTCTAAGTGAAGCATCTAAGCTTCAGTGTTCTAATCTAAAAAAAAGGCAATAACAATATTTACCTCTTAAGAATATGAGTAAAAACTAATCAAGGTGCGTGAAATGAATTAGATATCAAGATAATACTGCATTGCTGCTGTGGTGGTTGAGTATGAATGTGTTTCAGTTTGTCTATTCTCTGAATAGAGATACATCCAAGTCTCAATATACTATTTCAAGCGTGATCTGAACAACAGAGAAATGTCATAATCTTGCACCACTGGGCACAGCTTTCATGATTGGCAGGACTCTTTCATTTCTTTATTCACTCATCAATCATGCAAAAGGTATTAATTTCTGCTAAGACCATGGAGCCACATCATTCTCTCCAACTATCCAGGATTGGCCCTGACCAAGGATACCAATAAAGGAAAAACTGGAGTATGTTTTCAATTTCTAAGATTCTCCTTATGACCCTAAGTAGAAAATGGTAGTGTGCTTTCTCTATTACGAAGATGAAAGAAGAAAAGAAATAATAAAAACTGCCAGAATTTCCTTGTTGGTTCATTTTTAACAGTTCAGGATGTGACCAGATGCCAAAACAACCCTGAAAACAGGACTTTGGCTATCTGAGATGGAACAGTTACAAGTTAGACAACAGTGCTAATGACAACTTGCTTTATTTGCTATCAATATTTAGACCTTGGGGAAAAAATGCGTTTGAAGAAAACTTATAACTATCTTTGGAAAAATAATACATTTGAATTGATTTTAGTTTAATTTTTTTAAAAATGTGTCAATAACAATAGGTGACCAAACAACCAAATCAATGAGTATGGCCCTGGGTTGTTTTTACACTCTATATACTAGGCTTCTCAGGGCAAAGAAATGCATACAGCCTTGGAGCTTTGGGAATAAGAAACCACAGGAAAGATGGCAAAGCTGAAAGCATGACTGTTTGATTAGGAGCAATATGTAAATCGTGTGAATTAAAATAATTGAATCAATTATTAATATAATTATTTTGTTTTGTTTGCAGACAAAAATAAAAAACATGAAGAGGCATAAAGGATGTGAAAAATCTCCCATAACACTGCCACCAGAGATAATTGTCATTTTAAAAGTCTGTAGAAAGAGAAAAACCACATGTTCTCACTTATATATGGAATCTAAAATAATTGAACTCATAGAAGCAGAGAGTAGTGGTTACCAGCAGCTGTGGAGTAGGGATACGGAGAGATGCTGGTCAAAGGGTACAAAGTCACAGTTAGACAAAAGGAATAAATGCTATGTATTTAAGGTGATAGATACACTAATTAGCTTAATTCAATCATTCCACACTGTATACGTATAACAGCACTGTATACTCCATAATTATAGATGATTATAATTTGTCAAAAAAATTATTTTAAAAGAATCTATCAAAAGTAAATAAAATAGATAAAAACTCTGTATATAAGGCATATTTTATACCTTTCAAAAGTGGTATTTTGAAAAAATATATTTTATAAGGCACTTTTAAACCATCATTAACAAAGATCAGAAATAGTAGAAAAATTGTTTCTGAATTCTAGTAGCAAGAGCACTAAACTGGGATTTCTATACTTTTTTATTTAATTTCTCCTCATAATTACATAATGCCAAAGATTCATTAAAAAAAGAATGTACATAGTCTTTTCCAGGTGGTTTTGGGCACAATAACTATAACATTGTAGAAATTAGGCAAATCATTTTAGCCTGCTTTTTGTGTTTAAACAAGAGTCGTGTCAACCAGAAAGCAAAAATCTAGTTATTGAATAGTGAATGGGTTCTGGGGAAAGAAAAAAAGAATATGTTCAGTGAAGACAAGTTTTCTGAAAAAGGAAAACAAAAAACCAAAAAAAAAAAAAAAAAAAAAAAAAAACTTTCTGGTAAACTCAGATTTTTAATGGTATGTAAAAATGTTGGAAAAGAAATGTATAGTGTACTCAGTGAAAAATATAATTAGGAAAATAATGAAATTAAAATAATGTTAGAAAAGCTAAATTATAAAGTTAATAGAGCTAAAGATAATAAGGACCTTTTCAGTTAGATTTAAAGCAGGTAGAATCAGGAAGCTAAAATATCCCTGAGTGTGAAAGATGGTGCTATGTTAATAGAAGTTTGAATGAAGATAGAATGAAGTTTTCCCTTTACACTCAACTTCCCCTAGGAGAAGAAGGGTCTTTACATTAGAAAGCATAGACAATCACTCAAGTCCCTTCCAATTTGAACAGAAGGGATTCTAGGGATGTTGCATTTTTCAGCAGATTGAGCTTTGGGTAAATACCACCGGACATATGGTTTCAAATCCAAAAACTTCTTAGAAGTTTAATAACTAAGAGACAACTTTTCACAGAACAGTACACCTGATATCAAAAGATTGAAAACATTATATTAGGAATATGATTATAGGACACATAATATAACATACATATGTAAATAATTACATTGCTGCCTACAACTTAAAATTAAAACCCTAAATTCAGGAGGCCAATGTTAAAAGAGAATAACCTCAGCATTTCAACTATAGCCTTGTTTGTTTCTCAACTATCTGAAATCACAAACTGCTTAAAAACCTATTATTTATTTCATTTTTCAGAATATTTGCTTAAGAATAAAGAAATTCATATTATGTTCTTAGCTGCATCCAGAAGGAAAAGCTAAACTTCTATTTTGCTCAAAAAAATTCAATGATCTTCCATATTAGTCAATGTCCTGTGATTATTCCCCTATGGTTTCATTAGAATTAAATGACAAGCAAGCATTCAATTAGCGAAAGACACCGGAGAAGTAAGATGATATTCCACTCATGTCACAGGAAAATAATTTACAATGTTTTAACAACATAAGTTATGTTAAATTTGTGGCATCATGAAATTCCTTCTAGATAATTTCTTACATAACTCTCAAAGCTAAAATGTAATACAGTATCCACATTCTTTTTTATCAATAAAATGAAAAACAAATTTAAAAACACTTTAAATAAATATATTTAAAAATTAAATATATGAGGATATATGTGTATGTACACATGCACACACATGTGCACATACACACAGTTTTTTTGTTATTTTGTCTTTTGGTAAAGAATGTTAAGCCACATGATTTTTGCTAAAACATGTACTCTTAACTGGAAATGCCTATCTGTCTCTAGGAACTATCCAATCAACCTTGTTGGTACCTCAGTGCTATTGTTGTAATCTGGGGTGCACTCAAACTGAAATAAATTTATGGAAGTAATATGTGGGACTTGGGGAGGGAGATGTAATGCTGTGTAATAAAAGTAATATTTTTTAAATTGGTGGGCTTTCTACTGTACCCTTCTAAGTACATAGCTTAAAGCATTTTGTTGTGGTTGGGTAGGAGAAAGGTGTGACTACTGATTCAAAATGCAAAGAGAAAGGGCAACTTCTAATTTTCAGACTAGGATTAAGCTGCAAGACGCATGCTATTGTCTTAAGGCATGATTTTCTAAGTAATGGAATTCTTACTTTCTTTGAAAAATCAGTTATTAAGCCAAGAGGAGTCAGTCCCCACTTTTTTAAAAAAATATATAGAACATAACCATTAAATATTAAGTCTTCCATTAAGCCTTGGCTAGAATTAAAAGAGAAAATAAGATATAGGGGAAGCAGAGAGACTTAAAGAGGGCTGACTAGAGGCATCTGGTACTTGTCTCCTCCATAAAAAGAACTAAAATAGCACACACTGAGATAATCACACTTTGAATAGATTATCTAGGATTCCAACAGAGAAGTGAGAGGAAACACCTAAAACAAGGAGAGGGAAGCTAGGCAGTCTACTCAGCCAGGATTGGCTGGGATCCTGAATAGGCTTCCCAGTGCAGGAAAAGGGCAAGTGAGAGATCCCCAGAATGGAATCCTCTCTTATGGCTAGGATTCCATAGTAGAAATGGAATCCTAGCCATAAGAGAGCACCTCAACCCTCACGGCCCTGAGACTTACATAGGGAGCTGCCTGGAAACTGCACAATATTGCTCCAGAAAGGGAGATCACACTGGGTGTCACATACCCCCTGAGTCCTAAACACCTGCAGTATAGTGCTAATCTGAGGACCCATTCACCATCAGACTGCCTCCTGCCCTGGGCCCCAGCAGCCTCTGCATCTATACAGCCCTGAAACCCTATTGACATCACATACCCACAGTCTTAGCTGCTGCTGGCTGCTGCCCCCAGAAGTATAAGCTATTGGCAGCAATCATGCTTCCACCAGCAACTGAGTGACAGTACATTGTCACATGCCCTAATGACAGACTCCCCTTTCTGCAGCCACCACAGCTGCTGGCTGTAGCTGCTTGAGCCAAAGCCCAAGCTACTGACAGTAACAAGCCATCCCCAGCAGTGGAGCCATGGTGCATTTACAAGCACCCTGAGGAAAGGCTACATGGCTCACAGCCACTACATGGGGCTATATAGCACATGCCCCCCAGCCACCTGCCTAAAGCTGCTGTTACAGAAAAGAAACCTACCTTCCCCAGCAGCAGGGCACAGCACAGCCAATGCTCTCCCCACCCAGGTATTCTTCCAGGGACCTGGGGATCATCCCACCCCTGCCTACCACAGCCAGTGCCTGAATGCACCGCCAGAGGGCCTGAGGACCAACACAGTTATCCAGACTCTCCTCCCAGTGCTTAAACACACCATATTGGGGGCAAAAAGATCACCCAGTTTCATTCACCACCATTGGCACCTAAGCACTCCTCCCAAGATCCTGAAGTCAGATTCACCCAACCAGCCACTCTTGACACAGGATTCTTTCAGTGCTACCTTGTGAGCTGCAAAGCACAGCCAGGGGTGCCTCTGCCCAGGCTTCAGCTGAGCCCACTGGGCTCACTCCACCCACTCAGTCTGGCAGGCTGTGCCCTAAAAGGGTTGCAGCTCTTCACTCCTCTAGTCCAGCCAACAGAAGCATGTCACAGCTCTTTTTCACTCATGCCGCCCACAGCTCACCAAACCAATGAGAAATGTGTTACAGTTCTTTTACTTTTCCTGCTGTTTGGTGGGTTTGGGGTTTTGTCCCATGACCAAGAAGAATGAGGTATGCAGTCGCCGGAGAGTGAGCAAGGCAAAGAAGAATTTTATTGAGCAACAGAAAAGCTCTTGACAAGAGGGAACCTGAAGTGGGTAGGCCTATGTGAGACGGGGCCTGAAAGCAGGCTCAGCTGCATGTCTGAGTCCAGGTTTTAACAGGTTTGGAATGAGGAGGCATGGCTACAGGTATCCTTGGAAAAGGTAACATTCAATTGGTTAAAAAGCATTATTCAGAAAGAGCCAATCAGGAAAGAGTGGGCAAACAGGAACAGAAGTTCTCACCCTGTTCGTAGACTCTATCTGGAACTGGCAGCTCGGTTTCTCGGCTTTAAATTTTCTTTGGTTTGAAGGTTGGGTTTTACCGGGGACCTGCCCCTGTATGCCTAGGAATTTGTCTGTCCCCTGCCACTATCACTATCACCACAGCTGGCATCTATCTGCACACAGCTCTTGTGGGCCTATCAACTGGCATAACCAGCTCAGTGAAGCCACCACTCACACTGGTGCAGACCACTCAGGAGCCAGAGGATTGTCCCACCACTGCTACTGCCATTGCCCATACTACATCTGCTGCCCAGAAGCCTGAGGACATGCCCACCCATCAAACCCACTTCTGCCACTGAAAGCACCCAAACAAGCCATGTAAGTGGCCCAAGAATCAGCCTCCCTGAACCTGCTAACACGAGTGTCAGCATATACCACCCTGGGTTCCAAGGACAGCACGCTTGGCCCACTATTACCACTAGTGGGGCCTGAGGACAGGCCCAATTAGCATTCCCGTTACTGGCAATACTTAACCACAGATTCCACTAACAACCACAGCCTATACCACTGAGGAGATTACACACACCACTGTCGGTGTTTACAACCAAATAAATTATATGGAGACTCTACTACTTCATACACACAGAAACAATACCAAATGCTCTATCTAATCAACACCATAGATACATCTTCAGGAAAAAATCTTCCTCTATGAAAGCAAACCCAAAACATTAGAAGAAGTAACTGCTACCCGAGATATGCAGATATCAATGTAAGGACACAGGAAATGTGAAAAAGCAAGGAAATATGGCACTTCCATTGAAACACAGTAATTCTCCAGCAATGGATTATAATGAAAAAGAAACGTATGAAATCCCGGGTAAAGAATTCAAAATAATGATACTAAAGAAGTTTAGTGAGATATAAAACAAAATAAATAATACAAAGAAATTAGAAAAACATTTCAAGATACAATTAAGAAATATACTAAAGGGATAAATGTCAGAAAAAAGAAACAAATGGAAGTCCTGGAACTGAAGAATTTATTGAAAGAAATAAAAAAATACATTCAAAAGCTTCAACAACAAAGTAAATGGAGCAGAAGAAAAAAAATTCAAAACTTGAAGACAGGGCTATTGAAATAACCTAGTCAGACGGAAACAAAAAAGAATGAACAAACCCTCTGTGACATCTGGGATACCATGAAGTGACAAAATTTTTGAGTTTTTATTGCCCCATAAGTCAAAGAGAAAACCAAAGGAATAGAAAACCTATTTAATGAAATAATAGCTGAAAACTTCCCAAGTCTAGCAAGAAATTTAGATATTTAGGTAAATAAAGCTCAGAAATTCTCAAATGGGTAAAATTCAAAAAGGTCTCTTCCATGGGACATTATAACTGTCAAAAGTAAAAGAATTCTAAAAACAGCAAAAAACAAAAAAAACAAAAAAAACAAACAAGAAAAAACAGAAAAGAAAAAAGCAACCAGTTACTAATAAGGGAATCCCATCAGATTAACAGTATTTCTCAGCAAAAATTTTACAGGCCAGGAAAGAATAGGATAATATATTCGAATTGCTGAAAGAAAGAAAAACTGCCACTCAAGGATATTATACCCAACAAAGTTATCCTTTGTCAATGAAAGAGAACTAAAGTATTTTTCAGACAAGAAAAATCTGAGGGAATTTATCACTAGGTCACTTGTATCACTACAAGAAATGCTGAAGGGAGTCCTATGCCTAGAAGAAAAAGAACAATATCAACTATAATAAAAACACAGAAGTATAAAATCCACTGGTAGAGCAAACACAAAATAAAGAAGAGAAAGTACTCAAATGTTACCACTAGAGAAAACTGCCAAACCACAATGATAAACAGTAAGAGAGAAAGAAAGGAACAAAGGATATATAAAATAACCAGAAATCAATTAATAAAATGACAGAAGTAATCACTCACATATCAATAATAACCTAATATGTAAACAGATTAGACTTTCCACTTAAAATACATAGATTGACTGAATGATTGAAAAACATAATCCAACTATATGTTGCCTATAAGAAATTAATATCATCTGTAAAAACACATAACGGTAAAAGTAAAGGGATGGAAAAGGATATTCTTTTTCCAATGCAATTGGAAATAAAAAGAGAGCAGAAGTAGCTGCACTTATATAAGATAAAAATACTTTAAGTCAAAAACAGTAAAAAAAGACAAAGAAGGTCATTATGTAATTATAAAGGGATCATTTCAACAAGATGATGTAATAATTCTGTACTTATATGTATCCAACACTGGAGCATCCAGTTATACAAAGCAAATATTATTAAAACTAAAGGGAGAGACAAACTCCAACAAATTATAGTTGGGGACTTCAATGCCTCTCTTTTACCATTGGATAGATGATATGGTTGGGCTTTGTGTCCCACCCAAATCTCATGTTGAATTGTAATCCCTATAATCCCCAGGTGTCAAGGAAGAGACCAGTAGAGGTAACTGAATCATAGGGGTTGTTTCCCCCATGCTGTTCTCATGCCAGTGAGTGAGTTCTCATGAGATCTGATGGTTTTATAAGGGACTCTTCTTCCTTTGCTCAGCAACTCTTCTCCCTGCTGCCCTGTGAAGAAGATGTCTTGCTTCTCCTTCACCTTCCACCATGATTGTAAGTTTCCTGAAGGCTCCGCAGCCATGCTGAACTGTGAGTCCATTAAATTGCTTTCCTTTATAAATTACCCAGTCTCGGGCAGTTATTTATAGCAGTATGAAAACAGACTAATACAACAGATCATCTAGACATAAAATTAACAAAGAAATGTTGGATTAAACTAGACTTTAGATCAAATGAATCTAACAGACTACAGAACATTTACAGAATTTTCATCCACCATCTGCAGAATACACATTCTTCTCATCAGCACATGGAACATTCTCCAAGATAGACCATATTTTAAGACACAAAACAAGTCTAACAAGTTTTTCAAAATAGAAATTATATCAAACATCTTCTCTGATCAAAATGAAATAAAACTAGAAATCAATAATAGTCAATAACTTTGGAAACTGCAGCAATTTTAAAAACATCCTTATAAATGACCATTGGGTAAGAAAAAAGTTAAAGAGGAAATAAAAAAATTTTTTGAAACAAATGAAAATTAAAACATAACATACCAAAATCTATGAAATACAACAAAAACAGTGCTAAGAGAGAAGTTATAGCAGTAAATGCCTACATCAAAGAGGTAGAAAGACTTCAAATCAATAACCTGATGTACCTCAAGGAACTAGAAAAGCAAGAGCAAAACAAATCCAAAATTAGTAGAAGAAAAAAATTAAAAGATCAGAGCAGAACTAAATAAAATAGAGACTAAAAATATACAAAATATCAATGAAACAAAAAGTTGGGTTTTTTTTCGGAAAAATGAACAAAATCAATAAACCACTGTCTGGAATAACTAAAAAAAAGAGAGAGAAGACCTAAGTAAACAAAAAAGTAGCCATTAAAACTGATACTACAAAAATAATTATGAGATGATTATGAACAAATATATACTAACAAACTGGAAGACCTAAAAAAAAAAATGAATGAATTCCTGGACACACACAACCTACCAAGATTGGATCAAAAAGAAATAGAAAACTTTAACAGACTTATAATGAGTAATGAGATTGAATCAGTAATAAAAAGTCTTCCAACAAAGAAAAGCCCGGGACCAGATGGCTTTACTGCTGAATTATTCCAGACTTACAAAAAAGAACTAACACCAATTCTCTTCAATCTATTCCAAAAAAAAATTGAAAAGGAGGAAATTCTTCCTACCTCAATCTATGAGGCCAGCTTTACCCTGATACCAAAACCAGGCAAGGGGACAAGAAAAAAAAGAAAACTACAGGACAATATCATTGATGAACATAGATGCCAAAATCCTCAACAAAATACTACTAACGGAATCCAATATCACTATATAATATGATGAATAACTTGGATTTATCCCAGGGATGCAAGGATGGTTGAACATAAGTAAATCAATAAATATGATACATCATATTAACAGAATGAAAGATAAAAACCATATGATCATCTTCAATAGACACAGAAAAAGCATTTAATAAGATTTAATATCCCTTTACGTGTAAAACTCTCAATAAGATAGGCATAGAAGGAACATACCTCAACATAATATGAGCCATATATGACAAACCCAATGCTAACATCATACGGACTGGGGAAAAGCTGAAAGCCTTTTCTGTAAGAACTGGAACAAAACCAGAATGTCCACTTTTACCACTCCTATTCAACATAGTACTGGAAATCCTAGCCAGAGCAAACAGACATGTGAAAGAAATAAAAGGTCTCCAAATTGAAAAAGAAGAAGTTAATTGTCTCTCTTTGAGATGATATGATCCTATATCTGGAAAAACCTATAGACTCCACCAATAAAACCCTCTTAGATCTAATAAATAAATTCAGTAAAGTTGCAGTATACAAAATCAACATACAAAAATCAGGAGCATTTTTATATGCCCATAATGAATTAGCTGAGAAAGAAATCAAGAAGGCAATTCCATTTACAATAACTACACGCACACTTGCACACACGTGCATGCACAAACACACACACACACACCCCTAAACCAAAATACCTACAAATAAGTTTAACCAAAGAGATGAAAGACCTTTGTAAAGAAAATTACAAAACATTTATGGAAGAAATTGAAGAGGCCACAAACAAATGGAAAGACATCTCATGCTCATGGATCAGAAGAATTAGTATCGTTAAAACGACCTTAGTACTTAAAGCAATCTACAAATTCAATGCAATGTCTATCAAAATATCAATGTCATTTTTCACAGAAGTAGAAAAAACAATTCTAACCAAAAAGGGCCTGAAGAGCCAAAGCAATCTTGAGCAAAAAGAACAAAGCAGGAAGCGTCACACTATGTGACTTCAAAATATACTACAAGGCACTAGTAACTGAAACAGCATGGTATTGGTATAAAAATAGACACATAGATCAAAGGGAAAGAATGAAGAACCCAAAAACAAACCGACAGATTTATAGCCAACCAGTTTTCAACCAGGAATGTGCAGTGGGGAAAAGACACCCTCTTTGATAAATGGTGATGAGAAAACTAGATATCCCTATGTAGAAGAATGAAACTGGATCCCTATCTCTCACCATATACAAAAATCAACTCAAGATGGATTAAAGATCTAAACATGGAACCTGAAACTATAAAACTACTAGAAAAAAAAACAGAGGAAACACTTTAGGACATTGGTCTAAGCAAAGATTTTATGCCTAAGACCTCAAAAGCACAGGCAACAAAAACAAAAATAGATAAATAGATAAAAACAGATAAACAATCAACAGAGTGAAAAGACAACTTGTTGAAGGAGAGAAAGTATTTGAAAACTAATCATTTGGCAAAGGACTAATATTCAGAATATATGACAAACTCAAACAACTCAACAGTAAAAAAGCAAATAATCACATGAAAAAGTGGGCAAAGGACACGAATAGACATTTCTAAAAAGAAGACATATAAATGGCCAACAGGTATATTTTAAAAAATGCTCAACATCATTAATCATCAGGGAAATGCAAATCAAAACCACAATAAGATGTCATCTTACTCCAGTGAGGATGGTTATTATTAAAAAGATATAAAATAATGGATGCTGGCCAGAATGTGGATAAAAAGGAACTCCCATACACTGTTAGTGGAAATGTAAATTAGCATAGCCTCTATGAAAAGCAGTATGGAGAGTTCTCAAAAAAATAAAAATAAAGTACTGTATGATTCAGCAATCCCATTACTGGGTATTTATCCAAAGGAAAGAAAATCAGATTTTCAAAGGGATACCTGAACCGATGTTTATTGCAGCAGCACTGTTCACAAAAGTAAAGACATGGAATCAACCTAAGTATCCATCAATGGATGAATGGATAGAAAATTATGGTATATATATACAATGAAATACTATTCAGCCAAAATAAAGAATGAAATCATGTTATTTGCAGCAACACGGATGGAGCCAGAGGTCATTGTCTTAAGTGAAATAAGCCAGGCACAGAAAGATAAAGATTGTATGTTCTCACTCATATTTAGGAATTAAAAACTTTGATCTTATGGAGTTAGATAGTAAAATGATGGGTATCAGAGGCTGGGAAGGGTGTGTTTGGCGGCACTGGGGGCGGGGAGGAGGATGGAGAGAGGTTGTACAAACATACAGTTAGAATAAATTCTAATGTTTGATAGCAGAGTAGGTTGACTGTAATTAACAATATATTGTATATACCCTAACCCTAACCAAAGTAACATTACATTGGCCACAAACTTCGGTTGTATATGACAGCAGGCAAGCAATATCAAGTCACCAAGGTACATTTAGTTTGAGGACTCTGAGTCTTCTCCACCACCCAAGACCACATAAGTCATACGCCTTCTCCATACATGTCTGAGGAAAAAAAGCAGGGAGAGAGGGAAGCTGCTGAACAACTGGGCAGATTATTTTATGAATTGAAAATTTAAATTATTAGATCAATAACATTTTAAACTATACAGAAAATTTAATTTTTTTTCCTGCTATTAGTAAATAAGGATTTTGGAAGAAAGCCAATTAGTTATAAATGTAATAAAAATTTTGCATTTCCATTGTAAGTTTTAATTGTGAATTAATTGGATTTGTGAAACTGCTACCTCTGGTTCTGCTCACACAAAAATCTTGATTCAAATTGCCAGCTAATTCCATCAGAAACAATGGTTCTTTATACTGAGTCTTTGTGGATATGACCTAAAGATTTCCAGAAAAGTGTAAATCCATACCCTGCACAAAGAACCATACACAATTTATGGTACAGTTACCTTAGGTATAAATCTACATGAACATCTACAAAGGATGCAAATTCAGAGTCTCACCCTTCTGTTTTCTCCTCCAAAAATGTCAAGGAAAACCCTTGGTTCTAGCTCTTGGGCTTGTCTCCATTCTGGTCTCGTCTTATTCTTCACATGTCGTCCAAGTTTCCCCTAAGCATGCCCCAGGTTTTCTTGTCTTGTTTTGGTGTTGTTTGGGGTGTTGCTTCCTTTTACCCGGGCCCTTCGTTATTATCTCTGCTAACATACTTGCTCTAAGTCCCCTTAGGAGCATTCTACTTAATGAATTTCTACTGAAATTGACTGCCTCAAATATGCACTGCCACATTCTGCCTGCCTGCTTTATTATCCAGAGGTTGGCTTGTCGTTTGCCTAAACCTGAAGTTCTCTTCTAGCAATAATGCTTTTTATCCTTTACATGAATAAATTGGGCATGAGAAACACCCTCGAGGGTTACTGAAAAGACTCTCCTCAGAGTTCAGCACAGGACGCTGTGAGAATTCCTATGCAACATCGTTAAGCACCCCATACCCAACGGTGTGCAAGTTTTGGCATGGAAATGGCAGGTATCGTAGACATTGCAACTTTCCTAGCACATTTCCTCCTGGATTTACGCTTACAAATACATTTTTGACAGCAGTAGTTTTTGCATTTATTACATATTGCTTTGGATAAATTGCTTAGATATTTACTAGTTTTTATTATTATTATCCTTCTGAATGTCTTAAACTTTGGTAGCTACATGAATACATTGCATTTGGTGAGTCAAATTATAGTTTAGAATTTAAGAAGTTATATCTAATGAAATTGTAAGAAAATTTTGCTTTGGGACATTTGACTAATAAAGATTTTTATTCTTCTGTGAAATCTAATGATAATTTCCTTCTAATGCAATAAAATTTTCATTTAAAAAGGGCTGTATATTTTCTGTTATGTTCTTACATAAAGACTTTTCCAATACAAAGAATTAAATGCAGAATAAAGCAGTATTTTATTTCTATGAGATGGGCACTGAAACCAATACACAACACATTCAGAGATCAAAGCTAACTGTCCCATATTCTTGTCTCATATCTTGGGTGTAGCTTCCTTTTATCGGGGCCCCTTCTGGCAAGCCTCTGACCAGGTTAGCTAGACATTGAGAAGAAGAGTCCAGAACTTCCACCTCCATGCCTCCATTCCAGATTACCTATGGAATCTGAAATGAAAGAGATGCAAACAGAGAAAATGTATTTTGCTAATGTGAGTGCATATTCCCTAAGATACTATACTCATGCACTCAATTAAAAATAATCAGTCTCCTAATTGGTCCAGGTGCTGAACTGTGCTCTCTACAATACACAATGACACAGTCTCCACCTTCCAGGAGCTCACAGACTTGAAACGAAAATAAGATGTGCACAAGTTATCCCAACAATAAGGGAGAGAGAATGGAGGCAACAGAAACAGTACCCACAATAATGCTAGAGAAGTTTGAAGGAAGAAAGTGACATCCAGCTTAATGTTTGGCAAAGAGTTCAAGTAGAAAACGGCTTTTGAGTTGAACTTTGAAGAATGTGCCCTATTTTCCCATGGTAGACATGAGAATTGTAGCTTTTACAGGTGGAGAGTAAAATAAAAAATGTAGTGGGAAGTCTATTCACGGCGTACAGGCAAAAATCAGAAACAGGGACAGGAAAGCACTGGGAAATGGGGCAGCAGAAGGAAGGAACAGAGAATGTTGCATACAAGGGGAAGGGCAGGAGTTACTTGGTCTTCAGTCCCAGTCCTGCTCTAGACAACCAAGGCTGTCAGGAAATCAGAACCATTTTCCAAAGCTGCAAAACTAAGGAAGATATGTTTGTTCAACAAACAATAAAGTGGGCTACTTAAGAACATAATCCCCTAGAACAGGAAAAGCTGGCTGTGTTAGGGTGCATCGCCTTTCTGCTGTATTGGTTCAAGTTGGCTGATTTAAGAATCTGTGCCTCATTAAGAGTAAAAATGTAAGCAAGATCAAACAAAATTTACATAAGATGTTTTATTCAGCTGAATTCTCCCTGAAATTCAAATTGGCTGAATAAAAACAAAGACGCTGAAAGACTGTTAACAAAGTCAAAATTTTATATGATCTGTGTATATGCGGGCTGAAATTTTACAGTAAAGCTGTTAGCTAGAATAAAGAGCCATTGGCTTACATTCTTTCAAAGCTATCCCGTCATCAAGAACAGAGATAATCTGTGACCAATAAGATTTCCAAAATAATTATTCCAAGAAATCTAGAGATTTGCATGTGTTGTCATTTAGAAGTAAGTTTGTGATTAATGTGAAAGCAAAGAAAATTCTCTTGTCAAAAAAAAAGATATAGGTAGTGTTTAATTTATCAAGATTGCATACAACACTACCATGCTATTTTATGACTCTGAAAACACAATTTTCGTAGAGACAATTGAGGGAATTAGATGTGCAATTTCAAACTATCCATTGAACACTGCGAATCGCTATTATTTTATGGTTGTTACTCACTAGCAAGTTATTTTCTGTGCCCTTTTAATTTGAGGAACAATCTAAACAACATCACAGTCCTAGAATCATTACTATGTAATGTCAGTTAAGAGGCTTTTAATGGAAGGCACTTCCTAATGGAACCATCTATATGAGAGAAAATAATCACATAGAGCCCTGGTCCAATAAGACCTTGGCATTCAAAAGAAAAGGACAGAATCAAAGACACTGAAGAGGAGAAAGGGACATTATAATGTAGCTAGATGTCTCAAGGGGGTATTTTCGTCATTGTTTTGTGCTATATGACTTAACGTTGGCTTGCACCATCCACTTTTCTCCATAAATCTAATCAAAATGGCAGCTTAGAAAAAGTAACAAAGCCCTGAGGTCTTCCCTGATATCCTGGCTGATACTGTGTACCAGCTGCTCCACTGTCACTGCCTTACCTTCTTTTTCTTCTTTTTTAATTTTTACAAAGTTCTTCACCCCTTCTAACATATCATATCCTTTACTTAGCTATTATGTTTATTGTTTATTGTCTGTCTTCCTTGACAAAATATAAGATCCGCAAAAAATCTTTGTTTTGTTCACTGATGTTCTGATGTACGTGAAGAATCTACAGCAGTGCCCTGTACACATTAGGCCCTCAGTAAATATTTGTTGAAAAAAATAACTAAATCCAGTACTTAAAGGAGTGCACTCTTGAGAATTAGTTTTCTACTGGTGAGATTGGTAAAAGGCTCTAAATGGAATTGCTGAAGCTATAACGTAGGAAGACTAAAGAGATTTAATATGCCAAGAAAAAAAAAGTGTATGCACTCAGGCTTACATATCAAGTCTCAGATAAAGAATGGGTGGGGGGGAACAAAACTCATGTAAATCTTCAGCTATGCCCACAAGTTCTAGGAGGGAATGTAAGTAGAGTACATTACCAGAAAGAAAATAATCTACTATATGCTGGTTGTATACACACATGAACACATGAAAGCTGCTTAAAATATTATTTTCCCTGTTGAATCCCTGTTCAGGTGGTTTAAAGCAGATTTCTCAATGACACAATGATTGGCAATTTGGGTTAGATAGATGTCTGTTGTGGGGGCTATCCTGAACCTTGAAGGATGATTAGCAGCATTCCTAGCCCTGCTCACTAGACACCAGTATCACCTACCTCCCACACAAGCTGTGGTAACCAAGTATAACTTCAGAAATGACCAAATGTCACTCTTTGCTAGTGGAGGGGAGGCATTGTTGAAAAGCACTACTTTCGAGTCTGTCTGGGTTAAGTATCTTGCAGTCTTTCTTTCTCTGGCCTCCCTTCCTCTTCTTTCCTTCTTCCCAATATTATGTCTATATTTTTAACCCGTTTACCTTTCCCCCACATTCCTGGCTTCACCCTGGAGGCTTTTCAAGTTCACAATCGTCACTATTCCTCTCTTTGTTCTGAAAAGCTGGTGCATGATTTTTACTGGCCATCTCAAGAGGTAAGTTTAGGTCAGTCAGATTCTTTATAACAAATTATTACCAAAAACAAATAGAAAGAAAAGAAAACAAGTTCATCTTACGGACACCAATCACCTTTCATAGCATAATTTCTGAGCGCTATTAGACAAAATTTCTGGCTTGATACCTGCACCCTGGGGATAGAAGGAAAGAAGAGAAGAAAGAAACAGGGAATCATCTTTGCTTCACCCCATCCCTTGTACCCAGTTATCTCAGAAGTGGGGAAATGGAGTTCCTAGGCAATTAGCACCCAAGAACTGTATACTACATTCAATAAGAAATTTGAATGAGCATGACTTTCACTTCTGACAGCTCCAAGAAAGAGACTAAAACCTACATCCTCAGCTCATGATAGGGAATCGAGATGCTGCATCTTATTTGTTCTGATGTTTTTTTCCAATCATTCTTAAGCATCAAAAACCCTTGTCAGAGTCTAACAGAAGCAAAGAAAGGTAGAGAAAGGTGTTAAAAAATAGTACAACATTCAATCTCAATTCTTGCCTAAAAGAATTTTTTTAAATGCTGTTTCAGCCTTTAGTTTTGCAAGTCACATTTCATGACAACACTGTCTAGAAAAATGTACTGTGTGCCCAAGTCACCAATACAAAATCAAAACACCCACTATAAATGTGATGGTGAATCAAATTCCACCAGGCAGAAATAAACTCCCAAGGAATAAGCTTGAGATTTTCCGGGAAGCACTGATTCTTTCAGGGCAGTATAGGAATCATTTGATGTGCAAAAATTTAGGAGCTTTCTGAACACACAGCTAAACAGGTGCATACGCACACCACAATTAAATTGGGAGCTCATTTTCTTGAATTAACAGCAGGGATACAAAGGTGGAGACAGAAGTTTGATCTAAATTGGACACTGTTTTCCTCATGCCTTTGTACCGTCCCAGAATTTTTTTTCTTGTACCTTCCCAGAATTTTTTTCTCCCCTTACAGCCAGTTTTCTTATGCTTCTAGACTATTTCCTTGCATTTTTTTGGCTTTGAATACCCTATACGTGAAAAGCTACCCATCTTCCTTAAGGCACACTCTCCAAAAGACCAGATGAAATTACTTTCAACTGTTATCAGCCCTGAGAATGTTTCGCTTAACTTCTACTATACCTTCCATTGTCAGACTAAGGTGGCCTAGAAAAAAGAAGGTAGAGAAAACAATATGGGGAAAAGAGAGAAATCAAAAGTAATTTGGCACCAGCATTTTCAGAGCATCCATTGAGTATTATGGAGTGAAAAAGGAGCATGTTTATTTATGGGGAAAATAAGACAAACAATCTAGACACAGTAGCTTTCTCTTTAAATAAATAAATTCATGCTAAACATAAACATTCTAAAATTACTTTCTTAAAGTCTGTTGAAATGTCAAGTTGAATAAATTTTAAGTAAGATAATCACACATTTTCTTACAGGAAGGTGAATTTTGGGTTAGATTTAAAAGGAAACTGGAATTGTATGTTTCAAAATAGCTAGAATAGAATAATTTTAATGTTCCTACCACAAATAACATAAATGTTTCAGGTGGTGGATATCCCAATTACCCTGACTTGATCATTATAAATTGTATACATGCATCAAAATATCACATGTACCCCCAACAAAATAGGTACAACTATGTACAACTATGATTTACCCATTAAAAATACAATAAATAAATAAGTAATTTTAAAAAGCAAATTAGAGATCTAGTGGATAGATGGAATGGGGAAGAATAGTGTTAAAACAATTATCTTTATAACTGGAAATATGTCTCAATGTTTGTAATAAATATTTAAAGCTATTAATCTTTATTTAAATAAAATGTATCCTATCAATCATATTAAAACAGAGTTCCGGTTCCCTTTCTGCCAATAAACAACTCCGTGACCTTAATAAAGACTTCCCTCGTCCCTGAATCCCTGTTTCTTAGCTGTTAAGTAAAACAATTAGATTAGCTTTTATCTTAAAGTCTACTGAAATTGATGAACAAAATTTGCATAGTCTCTGGGACTTTTAGTCCTAAAGACTTACCTGGAATACATGTAAAAGCATTATTTATTTTACATTATTCTTTATGTTGAAAACTCCCCAAATGCTTAAATTATAATTGCTCAAAAATACCTTGAAGAAAAATGGAAACATAACCACAAAATGAGTTCTAGGTATTTGAGGAGCAGGCATTTACTTAAAGAATGTGAAACAAATGCCCTATAAAGGCCCTCCCCATTTGTTTGTTGAAATGTTTTAATTTTCTACCTTTCTAACCAGGCTGACATTATATTATGCAAGACAGATAAAAATAAAAGCAATCTAATGTGTTAACAAAAATTATAGTATATCTGATGTGCACTACCTATTGTTTCCTAAAAATAAGAGCATTGAGGGATTGGAGCTAAGCTGGGCGGTTTCAAAAGGGGAATTGAAGTAAATGGGAAAGGCTTGGAGCATGAGGCACCGTAAAGGCGTGCAAACTTTTCCAACAGTGAAGAAGCTGGGACTCCCAGGCTAAGTACATCAGAAAGCCCAAAGATGCTGAGGTAGCCAGGGTGGGAATGAGCGAAAGGCGCTGTGAAGACAAACCAACTCAAACTGCATTTTTCCTTTGCTGTCACACCACAACATCCACAATCAACACAGAAAATTTCCATGACCAAACATGTGTGAGGTCTTCCACACACACCAAACAAGCAATCAGTTATGCAGCGGCTGCCAGCTAGGTGCCCTCTAATTCAATTCCTACACTATCTACCTGGAGACACCATCAGATGCCACAGGTTGAGGGCTCAGTCCCACAAGATCAACTCCCCCACCCTCTTGCCTTTAGCAACCAGTCTCAAGTCCGGGCCTCCTGAACTTCTGACCAACTGGCTTCAAGTTGGGGCTCCTAAGTCTCCCTCTTTGATTTTGATTAATTTGCCAGAGTAGCTCACAGAACTCAAACACTTACACACATTTACTGGTTTGCAATAAAGGATTTTTCAAAGGAAACCAAGGAAGAGATGCATAGGACAAGGTATGGGGAAAGGGGCGTGGAGCTTCTATGCCCTCCCTGGGTGCAGCCCCTTCCAGGAACCTCCATGTGTTCAACTCTCTGGAGGCTCTCTGATCCCTCCCTTCTGAGTTTTTATGCCATTGCATAGGCATGATTGATTAAACCATTGGCCATTGGCTGTCTCCAGTAGATAGTATGGAAACTGAATTGGAGGGCACCTAGCTGATGACTGCTGTAGAATTCATATGTGGGGGGAAAACCCACACATTGGTCACAGAAGCCTTCTGTGTTGATTGTGGTTATTGTGGTGTGAGAGCAGAGGAAAAATGCAGTTTGAGTTGTTTTTACCTCACAGCACTTCAGCCTCTCTGTCCTCCCCAGAAGTCAGGGGTGGGGCTGAAAGTCCCAACCCTCTAATCCACCCTTGTCTTTCTGGTGACCAACCCCCATCCTAAAGCTACCTAAGGGCATCCAGCCATCAGTTAATCATTAACATACACAAACACCATCACTCTGGAAGACGTAAGCATTTTAGAATTTGCATGCCAGGAAACAAGAGTCAAAAGCCAAATACATATTTTACAATGTCACAGGACCCCAGGTTGCACAGAGAAGAAGTGTAGAGGATCACGAAAGGTAAAGTTCACCTACTTTATGGTTTTACCAAGGGCTCTCCCTGTTTAGATACAAAATATTTGTTGAAGAATGTTGCCATATGCAGAGACTCACGAGGTGTCTTAATCCCAAAGTGAACAAATACTCACCAATAGTGTTGGCAAACTCTGCTGTATCTCATGGACTTCAGCGGACCTGTAAGGAGACCAACTGTGCTGTGTCAGATCAAGGCTTTCCTATTGTAAGAGGAGACAAAGTCCCAGGGGACTGACCCACTTTTACCAAGCCGACTTCTAGAAAAACTCAAATTCCCAGATGCTGGAATTCTTCCAGAAATGAAGCAATTTGGTAAGTTGGTGGCTGAGTCAACTAGTCCTGTTAGATGGTCAACATTGTTTTGTTTTTTTTTTTTTAATATTTTTAAGTGGCAACTCTAGTGTATGAGAGAATGAATGCGACAGCTCAATTTGTAGAAAGCTGCCTTGACTCTCTTGGCTCCTTCATAAACCCTGTAACTAAATGAAAGTTTAATAAATCAAGGGAAGCTACCTTTCTTTTTTCCATATTTACCCTTCCCCCTCACCTCACTCATAATTTTACAGGTTCCTTTATCAACATTTAAGGTGGTTGATCATAAAGTGGAAATGTAGAAGATTTTCTTTAACCCTGAATTAGCAAACCAAAAATTAGAATTTGTTGCATTCCTAGAACTAAGGTCAGGGTTCCCAAGCAGGTACTCAAGCAAACACAAAGACAAAACTTCCATTTCATTTCAGAAAAGCCTCCATAATCCCATGAGTTAATTCCCATAATAGATCACCTCATCTATCTATCTATCTATCTATCTATCTATCTATCTATCTATCTGTCTGTCTGTCTTTCTGTCTGTCTCCTGTTGGTTCAGTTTTTCTGGAGAATCCTAATACATATACTCTTTTTCCTGGCTCTTTGAGTATAATATGATTGGCTAGGGTTAAGGACATAGCCTCCTGTACCCACTAGCTCATTCCTGATTTAAGGAGTCCCCTCCAGTCCCTCAGAACACCACACTTTTTGTCAATTATCATTTGCATTAATATGCTTGAAAAATGTCACTTTCATGCATAAAACACCTCCATACTAAAAATAACTCCCCTTCCTCTCCCACTCAAAAAGAGAACTCTAATATAATGGTTACATATAGGGAAAATTTTGAACCTGAACTTACTTTGTAAATTACATTTAAACATTCACAAAACGTAATACCTTATTTTTTATAACAGATTATTTGTGAGGTACTCTTACAACAAAAAAGAACAGTCCATTGTGTCCTATCTAACCCAAAGATTAAAATAAAATAAATATACTTCAGCAAAAATAACTATAGACAATGAATGCTATTTGTCAGGAAGATATAAATTCCTATAAGGAAGTTTTTCTGATTATTTTACTCAAAGGTATAAAAACTTCTCAACCAAAATCAGTTTCTACTAGAATATAGTCTGTCATGTTTAAGTCATGGCAGCTGAGCCAGGACTATATTCTACACTACATCAAGTAAGATAAAGGAGCTCCAGAAATACTTTAAAGCAGGAATTTAAAGTGTAATTAGGATGGCTAACATTTAAGTGATATTCAAGTTGCTCCTTTATGAGGCTTGCAAGGCCTTTTGGAATCTGACTCCCATATCCTCCCTTTCCAATCTCATTCCTCATCATTTCCCCACTTCCCTCCTCTAACAACCTCCATCCATCCACATTATGCACTTCAGCTATTCTGAACTTCTCTCCTGAAACCAGCCACTCATAGAGCAACACTTTTCAAATCCTGGCTCTACTTGAGTAACCTGAGGCAAGTTTCTAAACTCCCTGTGACCCAGTTTCCTCATCCTCATTTCTAAATTTATAACAGTAACACCCAAGTCATAGGGTCACTGTAAAGATCAAATGAGATTATGACTACTCATATGAAATTCTTATCATAGTACCTCATGTAGTAAATGCCCCCAAATACTGGTTGTTGTTAACAGTATTGATTCTTCTGTGCATAACATTTATTCCACTCCTCACCTCCTCTCACATACTTAGTTCCTATGCATCTTTCAAACATCAGCTTAAATAGGAAAGCTTCCCCAAATAACTGCCTCTTACCTAGGTGAATATTCCTCCTATTTGTACGACTGTAATCCCTGCACATCCCATATCAAAGAACTTAACATCACTTGCCGTTATCTCCTGTATGTTGTTCCTATTCTCCCACTGAACTTCAAGCTCTGTGAAGTACTTCATTTATTCAGCTCCCCATTTAATCTCCATCCTCTGTCATAGCACTTGCTACATATTACGCTTTCTGTGTTTGTTGAAAGAATGAACGAATGAAACTCAACTGGCAAGGGAAAGTCAATTTGGCTTTAATTTAGATTTTGGGTTTTTTGCTTTATTTTTAATATAGTCATGGTCTCTTCTGTGAAAATAGAAAAATCTAAACAAATTAAATTTAACAGACTTTAATTAAGCAAAGAACAATGCAGGAATGGGGCAGCCCCTGATCCAGAATAGGTTCAGAGATACTCCAGCACTAAATGGTTGAAGAATATTTATGAAAAGAAAAAGGAAAATGTGCACAAATGGAAGTGGAGCACAAAAACAGCTGGATTCTTTACAGCTTGGCATTTGCCTTACTTAAACATGGTTTTAACAGTTGTCTGTCTTGGATTGGCTGAAACCCAGTGATTGGTAGAAGAATAGGTTACCGCCTGTTTACATGTCTAATTAAGTTACAGTTCACTACGTACAGAGAAGCCTTTAGGCTGAACTTAAAATTGTAAAGAGACAGCTGTAGGCTCGACTTCATGTAACACTTCTATAGCATGTTCAATTAGCTAACCATAGGCATCATTTCTCTTCTACCCTCCAAAACTACTGATGCTACTGGAAAAGAGAACTTCCAGCAGTTGTTTAACTGGGAATAAGTTGAAAAATTATTTGAAATGGAAGCCACTAGAATGAATTGTAAACACTTCCTTAATCTTTCTCCTTTGTATGCCTCAGCAGATAAGGCTGCTTCTGTGCCCCAAAATTGGGACCACATGCTCCGTAGTTTCCTGCTCTGACCAATTGCTATTTGTGTTACCAAAGCATATTTTGTAGATTTTATTTGAAAAAAGAAAGTTAGAAAATACTCAAAGTATTGTATAACATGAATTCTTCATTTAAATTTATCATATTTGATCTCTGAAAGCTAAATAATTAAAATCCCATTTCTACTAAATTATTCTTTTTTTTCATGCAAAGGCTAAATGCGAGATCTAACATTTCACAAAATTTTGGGTCTTTTTTTCAAGACACATGACAAAATATAAAAGCATTTTTATCAGGATTAAAGTAATTTATGGAAACTGTAGCTCCACATTATAATTCACTATGTAAGCAATGATCTAGTTCTATTACAATATTATGTTTTTTAGTACCCATTATGATTGTGTGTTAAGTGCTTTCCTTGCCACGATAGTAAAGTTACACACATACATAGTAAGCAATTATAGGTATAATACTCACCACTGTAATGATAAATAATAAATAATGACATTTCTTAAACTCTAGAGATGTATTTATCTATTCAGCCAATAATTATTAAGTATCAGACACTGCGCAAAGAATGAGCATATCATGGTGAACAACAGAGAAATGGGCCTGGACTCCTGGAACAAGATGAAAACGTTACAGAAATAAGCCTAAAATATATGTATATACTTATAAGTTATAATAAAATGTACAAAGAAAAAAGACACTAAAAGACAGAAGGAATCTAATTTAGATTGGAATGTTAGGAAAGTCTTTCCGAGGATATGGTATTTAAAATTAAACTGAAAAGCATGAACACCAATTCTATGCAAACTCTCTCAGAAAATATAAGAAGAGGAAACACTGTATAAAAATCTTCAATAAGGCCAGCACTGTACTGACACCCAAGCCAGACAAAGATAGAACAAGAAAGGAAGAAAGGAGAGAAAACTCCCAATAATATTCCTCATGAAACAGGAGGAATATTATTGAAATTGAAGTGAAAGTCCTCAACAAAATATGAGCAAGTGGATTCAGGAATAAAAAGAAGACAACATACCATGACTAAATATGTCAGTAAATGTAAATCTGGTTGAACATTTTTAAATCAATAGATATAATTCACCACATCAATAAATTAAAGTAGAAAACCATATAATCATCTCACAAGATGCAGAGAAAATATTTGACAAAGTTTAACATCCACTCATGATAAAACCTCTCAGCAAAGAGGGATTGTGGAGCACTTCCTCAACTTGAAAGTGAGCATCTCAAAAATACTTCCAGCTAACTTCATAGTCAGTGAGGAAAGACTGAATGCTTTCCCTCTCAGAGTATGAACAAGGCAAGAATGTCCTCTCTTACTACTCATATTCAACACTGTACTTGAGGTCCTTGTCAGTGCAATAAAAGCAAAAAAATAAAATAAAAGCATCCAGAGTGGAATGAATGGAATAAAACTAAAACTGTCCTTATTTTAATTAATTAATTTATTTATTTATTTGGAGACATAGTCTCGCTCTGTCGCCCAGGCTGGAGTGCAGTGGCGCGATCTCGGCTCACTGCAAGCTCCACCTCCCGGGTTCACGCCATTCTCCTGCCTCAGCCTCACGAGTAGCTGGGATTACAGGCGCCCGCCACCTCGCCCGGCTAATTTTTTGTATTTTTAGTAGAGACGGGGTTTCACCGTGTTAGCCAGGATGGTCTCGATCTCCTGACCTCGTGATCTGCCCACCTCGGCCTCCCAAAGTGCTGGGATTACAGGCGTGAGCCACCGCGCCCAGCCAAACTGTCCTTATTTTTAGAGAACGTGATTGCTTGTGGAGAAAATCTCAAAGAACTTACCAAAAACTTAGTAGAACTAATAAGTGATATTAGCAAGAATGAAAAAAACAAGGTCAAGTTTATTTTGTATATTGTAGTTCTGCATTTCTAGATAGTATTTCTGTATTTCTATTTTTTCCATATGCTAGCAATAAACAGTTAGAAATTGTAATTTTAAAATAGCATCAAAAACATAAAATGCTTAGCTATAAATCTAACAAAATATATGCAGGTTCTGTGCTGAAAACGGTAAACCTCTAATAAAAGAAATCGAAGAAGATCTCAGTAGAGAGCTACATCATGTCTATTGTTGGAAAACTCAATAGAATTAAGATGCAAATTTCCCCCAAAGTAATCTGGTTGCAAAGCAATTCCATTCAAATTCAAGTAGACATTTTCTTTTGAAATCTACAAACTGATTCTAAATATATATGAAAATGCATAAGAATAAAAAAGTCAAAATACTTCTGAATGAGAACAAATTTAGAAGACTCACACTATCTGATTTCAGGATGTATTATAACATAGTGTAATACTGGTGAAAAGACAGACATGTAGATTCATGGTATAGAATAAAGACTAGAAATAGAGTAACTATACATGAGCAATTGATTTTTCACAAAAATGCAAAGGCAATTCAATAGAGAAAGCATTGGTTTTTAACAAATGGTGCTGGAACAACTGGAAATCTATATGTAAAAAAAGTTCTAATTCATACCTTGTATCATACACAAAAAGTAACTAAAATAGATCATACTCATAAATGTAAACCTATAAAACACATAGAAGAAAATTTACAACAAAAATCTTTGTGACCTTGACTTAGACAAAAATTTCTTGGACATGACACCAAAAATATGACCCATAAAATTATAATAAATTAGACATTATCATAATTTTAAATTTTTCTCCAAAAGATGCTGTTAGAATAAAAACACAAACCACAGACAGAGAAAACATTTGCAAAACACATATCTAATAAAGGGCTTACATCCAGAACACATAAAGCCCTCTCAAGCTCAATAATAGGGAAACAAATAATTCCATAAAAATACATAGGCAACAGATTTGAGTATATAGTTCACCAAAGAAGATATAAGGGTGGCAAATAAGCTTATAAAATCCGATGTTGAACAACAGGGGTTATAGGAGAAATTAAAATTAAAGCCACAATGAGCTACTGTTACATTCTATTAAAAGGGCCTAAATTTAAAAAAAAAAAAAATTAAAAGATGACAGCATCAAGTTCTGGCCAGGATATGAAGCACCTGGAACACTCATACATTGCTGGTGGAAGACAAAATGAAACAGCCATTTTGAAAATCATTTTAGCAGTTTCTTATGAAATTATTATTATTATTTTGAGATAGGATCTTGCTCTGTCACACAGGCTAGAGTACAGTGGCACCATAACAGCTCATCGCAGACTTGACCTCCTGGGCTCGATCTTCTTCCCTCCTCAGCCTCTGGAGTAGCTGGGACTACAGGCACATGCCACCACACCTAGCTAAATTTCTTATAAAATTAAACACACTTTACCATATGACTCAGCATTTCACTTTTAGGTATTTATTCTGGAGAAATGAACATGTTATGTTCATATACAAACTTGTAAGCAAATATATACATAATGAGATTATGTTTAATATCAAAAACTGGAAACAACTCAAATGTCTTTCAACTGGTAAATGGATAAACAAATTGTGGTATAGCTGTGCAATGAAACTGTATTCAGAAATCAAAAAAAAAAAAAAAAAACTACCAATACCCACAACAACCTGGAAGAATTTCAAATGTATCACTCTTAGTGAAAGAAACCAGACTCAAAAATCTATATACTTGTTTAATGATATTTGTATGTCACTATGGAAGAGATCATTATTTGCCAAGGACTGGGAATGGGATGAGGGGTTAATTAGAAATACACGCAAAGTAATATTTTGTGGTGGTGGAACAGTTATAAATTTTAACTGTGGTGGTGGTTACATGACAGTGTGGACCATTCAAAATTCATTGAATTCTATACTAAGAAAAATGAATTTTAGCATACTTAAATTATATCTCAATAAACTTGACCTACAAGATTAATAGCTCCCACTTACTGAGTACTCTTCCCAAGAATTTTCCAATCCTCCTATATATACGAAGTACACTCTAGTCTCCTCTTTTTAAAATGAAGTGACAACGATCTTAAATAGTGTTGTCCTGCATTTCTTTCTTTCTCTCTTTTTTCTTTTTAAGACAGATTTTCACTCTGTTGACCAGGCTGGAATGCAGTGGCACAATCTCAGCTCACTGCAACCTCTGCCTCCCAGGTTCAAGTGATTCTTGTGCCTCAGCCTCCCGAGTAGCTAGGATTAGAGGCACATGCCACCACGTCTGGCTAATTTTTTTGTATTTTTAGTAGAGACAGGGATTGACCATGTTGGCCAAGCTGGTCTCGAACTCCTGACCTCAAGTGATCCACCCGCCTCAGCCTCCCAAAGTGCTTGGATCACAGGCGTGAGCCACTGTGCCCAGCCCTTGTCCTGTATTTCTTAGTGTGAGCCTCATATTAAATTTTGAATATTCTAATAGCCACGTTTTTGAGTCACTGAATCAGGTGAAATTAATTTTATCGATATATTTTATTTAACCCAACATATAAAAAATCTTATTTCAACATGTAACCAATATAAAAATTATTAATGTGATATTTTACATTCTTCATGTTTGACTAAATCTTCAAAAATCTGGTGTGTATTTTCTACATCTCACTTTGGACTGGTCACATTTTAAAGTGCTCAATCACAAATGTATCTGTACCTGTCGGATTGGATGGAGCTGACCTAGAACGTTTTCCAAAGCTGCGTTTGAACTTCTGCTCTCCCTGCCCTACACTCTATAGTAACATCCACAAACATTTGATGAACGGAATTGCACCTAACTCAATATTCTACTGTGGGCTATAACAAAGTCATAATTCTACTGAGGTTAAAAAGAAGGAAATATTATTTAACTATCTGAAATTGAAATTGAATTACTGGCAACTTGTAAGTTTTATATTAAAGAATATTTTCTCTTTTTGACAAAAATTCTTTCCTCAACAGACAGCAAAAAGACTGACTTAAATGAACACCAATGTCCCCGCATAACAACAAAACAGCTGATTGATGACTTAGTGTAGTGTGGTTGAAAAAAAACAATATTTTTGGTGCCTGAGCTGACCAACCGGTGAATTTATAATGGCCTTTGTAGATACAGTCTTAAGGCTTTCCCCAAAAGTAGAACTCAGGAAGAAAATGATACATTTCTAATTTTGCCTGAAAGTTATGATTAATGATTTACATTTATAGTTTCCCCTTTTAAAAATTATGATAATATCTCTTCTAGCTAGTATGAGAGAAATTACAACTCCTAACCAACAGGTTTCTAGAACATATTTAAACTGTATAAAAAGGTATAGCAGATGAATGAATGAATGTTGAAGAGAATAAAGAAACAAAAGTTCTCATACTTTATTGGTGGGTGCCCAAAACTGTACAATTCCTATGAAGGATAATTTATCAAGATCTATCAAAACTATATTTAGCATATTTATCCTTTAATGCAGAAATCTCTCCTCTAAAAATTTAATTTCATTTCTAAATCAGAGAACTGTTTATAGATAGACATTATAAAGACATAACTCTTGTAGGCAATTATGCAGGTGGAATCTAACAAGTGTAACAATAAAAATTACTTTTAAAATAATAATTCTTATGCTTTTATCTTCCTCTTAAACAATCCAGAGAAAGTGTTACAGAAGCAAGTCCAGAAAACTAAAAAATGAAATAAAATAATAAAGTTAGTAAAGGATTTACTTCAAATTTCTAAACTAATAGCCAATTTGTAAATTTCAAAATTGAAAACGGTTCCCTGATTTAGAAAATACAAAAATATTCCTGATTTATGGAGTTTTCATATTAACTATTTAAAAACAGAACACATGAAAACCATATACATATAGGTTTCATTGTAGGCAGCAATCTTTCAATAATGGATAAACTAAAAATGTGCTGTGTATGGAACTCGTGTTGACTGTAGACACTAAAAGCAGGGCTTCCAAGAATGCTGCCTTAAATTGAATAGAAAGAAAAATGTTAAAATATATTTTTCAGAAGTACAACTACAGCTATGCTGGTAGATAGATAGAGTATCAATCTTAGTCCCCAGACTGAATTGGCAATAAAGCAACATTACTGCTTCATGTTTGCTATTTAACTTAATTTCTGATATTTACCCTTCATTCAGCTGAGGAATAGATACTTTAATGTCACTCATTCTTTGCCCTTACCATCCTTATCCTCCTATCCCACAGATCCAATACACATGTCAAGGGTTTCAAATCCTGTGCAATGTTGAGGTTTCAGGAGAGGGGCAGGGATGGAGACTGTACTCTCCAGTCATTGATCACGCAAAGGTTACAGCTAAGATGTTCATCACCTGTGCCCTCAGCATCCCATCTGATCTGGCTATTTTCTTCTGCTCCATATGGCTCTTGGGGAAAAACAGGAATCTTCTCCAAATAGGAACTCTGTCCAGTCCTCCTAGACATAGCCATAAAGTAAGGCCCTGGTCTCTACTGCTTTGAAATCCATAGATAAATCTCTCCTCCAGCCTGGGTGAATCTCTTTTTAGTTTCTTACTACATCCAGGAAATTCTGTTGACACATCCTGTCCAAAGTCAGAGACCAAGTTAATATAAAAGCTGTATTTGGGGACAGGTCTCCTGATTCTCCAGCATGTGCACTCTTTATTATACATCATGTGCACACTAAAATCTACAACCATTGGAGAAGTCTATCACACCATTTGATGAATTATTTAATACAGTTGAATTTTGTGCATTTACAGAAACAAACTTATATAGCCATGAGTGTCTAGGATGACCACCTTTGACTTAGCTCTTAATATATACCAGTTGCATTGCTAGAAACTTAACATGTATTGTATCATTGAATCTTCCATATTACAGATGAGGAGGCTGAAATTCAAAGGATTTCAGTTGATTTCACAATGTGCCCACTCATGACAAAACCAGAATTTGAAGGCAAGTTTGAGTTAGAGCCCAAAGTCAAACCATTAAGGTATACTACTCTGTTACATATTCAGAGGTGAGGCCTGTTTTATAAGCCTCACAAGCTACCTGCAAAGGTAATTATGTGATGCTATAAATTAAGTACCATTTATTGCTCAATTTAGATATGATGCATCAATAATGTCACAAAACTGAATGTACTTCAGCACGCTTATAGCTAATATTGACATCCCCTGAAAGGCTTCTTCAGCAATTTACAATTTAGCTCTTCTACCACAATAGATAACATCTACAAAAATAGTTCCCAATTACCAGCACAATATTTCAAAAACTAAGTCAGTGTTTTAAAACATATTTTATGATACAATTACAGCAGAAGAAATGAATACATACATAACTTTATTTATCCTCTGTAGTAAATTTGGAAGTAATAAGATATATCTTTCTGTGTTACTCTCTTCCTTCTAAATTTGTGGTTTCCAAATGCAACTTTCCATAGACCAATTACTTTAAATACATTTTATTATATAAGCCCCTTCCTTGTGTTATATTATAGGCTTCCATTCCATCAAGGTTGAATATAATTCAGGGTTTGATAATGTCTCAACTTTATTAAAACAGGACTTAATTTTTACATAATACAGTCTTCTCTGAAAACCAGACTGTTTTCACATAGCTGTGTGTGGTCTGTGAGCCAGGCCCAGGAGCTAAAAACCACACAGGATGGATTATTTTCATTACAGCCATTATATCTGACTTAAGCTATGGAGAATCAACAAACACTTACCAGCTGAGATTCTATCCACCTTGCATCAAGGCCTTGCACATAGTAGGTACTCAAGAAATATTTTTTCTTAATTGGCCAAGAAATAGCTTTGCAAGTGCTTAGATTGTCTTACGGTTTTGTTCATTGTCTTTAACTAAAATCTGTTTTAATTGCATACAATATGCATCACCTAAAAATCTTACTAAAAAGCAGATTCTGTTTCCAGTAGTGTAGGGTGAGGCCTGAGATTTTGCATTTCTTACACTCTCCCAAGAGATGCCTATGCTTTTGGTCCGTGATACACATGATGAGCAGCAAGGTTATAAATCTTATTTCAAAACACATTAGTGTTTATATCATTGTGCTCCTGGAGCACCCTGTACCTCCCCTAACTTTATCACACTATTTATAATCTTGTATTTATTTGCCTATATAGCTTTCTAAACTATAATCTGTCTGGTGATGGGCACCAAACGTATCTGGTTTCCTGTTGTGTTCTCAGGGCCTAACATAATTAATACACAACAAATAGTTACTGAATGTCAGTTGACCAAATGAATGATTATGTACAAGACATACTTTTATACACACTCTTGATCATATGTAAATACTCCTCTAGCTACCTGTTCATTAAAAATGTCACCATGACTTTGAGAATTTTTCAAGGTCAGAGTAAAATCATCATTCTGATCATGGCTAACTTTTATTGAGTACATTATGCATTCACTCATTGAATCCCCACAACAGCCCTGTAAGGTAAAATTATTATAATTCTCATTTTATTTATTTAGTGTAGTTTTTAAAATTTTTTTAGTTGACAAATAATAATTATACATTTTCATGCGGTACACAGTAATGTTGCAACACATAAAATGTATAGTGATCAAATTGGGGTAATTACCATATCCCACTAATCATATTCATCATTTCTCTGTGTTGGGAAAATATTCATTATTTCTCTGTGTTGGGAACATTCAATATCCTCCTTCTAGCTATTTAAAACACCGTATTATTGTTAACTATAGTCACCCTACAGTGGAAGAAACACTAGAACTGATTCCTCTTACCTAGCTATAATTTTGTATCCTTTAACACAGGGGTCTCCAACCGTCAGGCCACGGACCAGTGAGAGGTGACAGCGTGCTGGCAGTCCTCACAGCCCTCGCTCGCTCTCAGCGCCTCCTCTGCCTGGGCTCCCACTTTGGCGGCACTTGAGGAGCCCTTCAGCCCACCGCTGCACTGTGGGAGCCCTTTTCTGGGCTGGCCAAGGCCCGAGCCAGCTCCCTCAGCTTGCAGGGAGGTGTGGAGGGAGAGGCGCGAGCGGGAACCGGGACTGCGCACTGCGCTTGGGGGCCAGCTGGAGTTCCGGGTGGGCGTGGGCTTGGCCGGCCCGGCACTAGGAGCAGCCGGCCGGCCCTGCCGGCTCCGGGCAATGAGGGGCTTAGCACCCGGGCCAGCGGCTGCAGAGGGTGTACTGGGTCCCCCAGCAGTGCCAGCCCACCGGCACTGCACTCGATTTCTCACCAGGCCTTAGCTGCCTTCCCGCGGAGCAGGGCTCAGGACCTGCAGCCGGCCATGCCTCTGCCTCCCACCCCCTCCATGGGCTCCTGTGCAGCCCGAGCCTCGCCGATGAGCGCCGCCCCCTGCTCCACGGCGCCCAGTCCTATCGACCACCCAAGGGCTGAGGAGTGTGGGCGCACGGTGCGGGACTGGCAGGCAGCTCCACCTGCAGCCCTGGTTCGGGATCCACTGGGTGAAGCCAGCTGGCCTCCTGAATCTGATGGGGACATGGAGAACCTTTATGTCTAGCTCAGGGATTGTAAATACACCAATGGGCACTCTGTATCTAGCTCAAGGTTTGTAAATACACCAATCAGCACCCTGTGTCTAGCTCAGGGTTTGTGAATACACCAATTGACACTCTGTATCTAGCTATTCTGGTGGGGCCTTGGAGAACCTTTGTGTGGACACTCTGTGTCTAGCTAATCTGGTGGGGAGGTGGAGAACCTTTGTGTCTAGCTCAGGGATTGTAAACGCACCAATCAGCACCCTGTCAAAACAGACCACTAGACTCTACCAATCAGCAGGATGTGGGTGGGGCCAGATAAGAGAATAAAAGCAGGCTGCCCCAGCCAGCAGTGGTAACCCGCTCGGGTCACCTTCCACACTGTGGAAGCGTTGTTCTTTTACTCTTTGCAATAACTCTTGCTGCTGCTCACTCTTTGGGTCCACTGCTTTTATGAGCTGTAACACTCACCGCGAAAGTCTGCAGCTTCACTCCTGAAGCCAGCAAGACCAGGAGCCCACCGGGAGGAATTAACAACTCCAGGCGCGCCGCCTTAAGAGCTGTAACATTCACCGCAAAGGTCCGCGGCTTCATTCCTGAGCCAGCGAGACCACGAACACACCAGAAGGAAGAAACTCCGAACATATCCGAACATCAGAAGGAACAAACACCAGACACGCCACCTTAAGAGCTGTAACACTCACTTCGAAGGTCTGCGGCTTCATTCCTGAGCCAGCGAGACCACGAACCCACCAGAAGGAAGAAACTCCGACATCCGAACATCAGAAGGAACAAACTCCAGACACGCCACCTTAAGAGCTGTAACACTCACTTCGAAGGTCTGCTGCTTCATTCCTGAGCCAGCGAGACCACGAACCCACCAGAAGGAAGAAACTCCGACATCCGAACATCAGAAGGAACAAACTCCAGACACACCACCTTAAGAGCTGTAACACTCACTGCGAGGGTCCGCGGCTTCATTCTTGAAGTCAGGGAGACCAAGAACCCACCAATTCCGGACAGACCAGTACCAGTCCATGGCCTGTTAGAAACTGGGTGCAAAGCAGGAAGGGAGCAGTGGGTGGGCAAGGAACAAAGCTTCATCTGTATTTACAGCTGCTACCCATTGCCTGCATTCCCACCTGAGTTCTGCCTCAGCTGCAACATTAGATTCTCATAGGAGCATGAACCCTTTGTGAACTGCCTGTGAGGGATCTAGGTTACCCATTCCTCATGAGAATGTAACTAATGCCTGTTGATCTGAAGTGGAACAGTTTCATCCCCAAAACATCTGCATCCTCAACTGAGGAAAAATTCTCTTCCACAAACAAGTCCCTGGTGCCAAAAAGGTTGGGGACTGCTGCTTTAACACATCTCTCCCTCTCACTTCCTTCTCCGTAATTCCCATTTTAAAGGTGAAAATAGAGGCACAGAAATGTTAAGTACCTAATCCAAGTTACACAGCTAGTAAATGTCACTGCTAGGAGTTAGGCTGCACAGTTCATGCACTAACTACTACACCATGAAGATGAAAAAACTGAATCATTCTGGACTAGTCAAATTTCTTAACCTTAATGTGCTTTAAATCTGCAGAATGGAGATCAGATCCCATTCTAAAAAGTACCCTGCAGAATTCCATATCTAGTCGACACTCAGGCATTCTCAGATTTAATTCTCTTCTTAAGCAACCCCACAGGTTTATGTCATGAAGTAATGTGTAATTTTGCTAGGATACAAATGTCAATGACAAAAGCTGTGCAAGGCTGGCCCACCAAAATAGGACACTTGGTTGATACAGGAAGGGAAACCAGTAAGGAACCCAACATTGACATGAGCATGTAGCTTTATTTTCCTCATCTCCTGGTGCACATTAAAATTCCAGAAAAAATGGTATGGCATAGTGGTATTCTCAAATTTGGAACTTGTAAAAGTTTTAAGATGTATCGCTAGACAAATGTCAAGGACCCACTCCATGTTCCTGGCTGACATCCTCTGATATGGTCACCTGAATTATACATTTTTCCATAATTAAGGAAAAGCAGATATTGTATGCATTTAAACATATTATCTCTATTTAAAGACTGATAATACACAGCATTGTTTATGAAGAGAACAAAATCATATAACTATATTAAGAGACAAGTTGCTATGGTAACCATTTCTCTGCTTAAAAAGAGAGGCAAACCCTTGTGTTATTGGAAGATTCTCTCAGCTTTTAATAGCAAGCATTATGTATTATTTTATGTATTGGGCCTGCTTTTTGTCTTATACGAGATAAGTTTCCATGTTACCTTACTTAACAGAATAAGTCATATTGAATATTTAATAATTAAATGGAAATTGTATTGGGTGATGCACCCTCAAAGGCAAATAAAAATTATGATTAAATATCTCACCGAGTATGTTAACAGATGATCACACATACCTTGAAACAACTGCGTCATTCTATAGTCAATAGTTTCAATTGTCTGTAGATGTTATTTATTTCCAGAAAACTATTTCCTAGATTAATAGAGGAAAGTTAACATATAAAACTCTGTATTTTACACCAAGATAATTTTTTACCCACATTATTTTCTTACGTTTCATTGGCAGATCCTTTCCTGCTTTCCCATACAGTGATGGATGTATTATAATAAAAAAGGCTTTCCTAATCAGTGCCAATACTTTCCAGATTTCCTGCAAACAGGAAAGATCATAAATTTTCTTATACTTTAACAACACTTCCCCAACTCCATTTAGCCACTTGCTTGTTGCACTGACCCAGATAACTACAATTTCAGAACATAATAACAGCAATAATAATAATATCACTCATTAAGTTCTTGCCTAATATCAGTATTAGTTTGGTTCTAAGCACTTTGCATGAGACACCAAATTTACAAACTTAGCACAACTAAGGGAATCTAGAGGCAGTGTGCATTTAAAGATCTCATATTTGTTTATAAAAAAGAGATAATATTTAGCATTGATTTTAAGGGTTTCTCTTTTAATCCTTACAATAACCCCATGAGCTTACTGCTAATGTATAGATCAATTTCCATGTCCTGTAAGTTTTCCCTGAATTGCACAGATTAAGAAACTCAGTAACTTTCCCTCAGGTGTCATAGTTTATGAAATAAAATAAGCTATGTGTGGAACGTAAATGTATTAATAAGATTCAAAAATAAGTGTTCATACCAAATAAAGACAGAAAATTGGCTAGTGAAACACGTAATGAACATTCAACACTCCAAATCACAAATGCAAAAGACACCAACATTTCCTGTAATAATACATGAAAGCATCATTTTTGCTTTTTGTTTTTTCAGTATCCCTGGCATTGTGAATTTATACTTTACATAAGCAATGACATTATGAATACTATATTTATACCTGAGGAAGCCTAGAACTTAAATATTTGCAAATACATCAGATGAACATATGGTTGCCAGTTGTTACTGCTATCTCATTTTCTTTCTGTAAGAAGATGGATTAGTGAATTATAGTAATAAAAAAGCAAGCATGCTTAAGTTAAAGCCTTTGCCTATGATTTAGATAGTTTCTTATAATACATTGGTGTATGAAAGGAAATCAAATTATTTAACTGACTAGATTTTCTATTCATACACAACTATTTCCAGTAAGCACTCCCACAAACTGTTTATATAGTATTAGTTAGAGGATATAATGAAAGAGCAATAAAACAAACTTCTTTATCACTGCACTTAATAAACACCTGAAGTTCCCCAATGCGAACTTTCAGTTATAAATAATTGACTGTATCCACATTTTTCTGAAATCTGATAGACTGTGTCACCTTGCACTTAGCCTATAATGGCACTTAGTTTTTCCTAATTCTTCTCTATGCTTCAAATTTTTAAAAAATCAGTTCTGTTTAACCTTGTGAAGATGCAAACTGGTGATAGAATGGATTTTCTACGCTTTTAAGTAGATAAAAAAGGACATTCTTAATTATTCCAGGTATGTGTTTTACCTCAATCATTCCTTATGCCCTGTATGTCCTGAGAGCAAGGCCCATTCAGCCAAGAAGATATTATTTGAAGTCTTTTGTACATAAGTAAATTGTTTTCTGAAGTCAAATCCCAAAGGGCTTTGCAAAATTTCATTTAGTCAGGTGGGCCAAGAGCAACTACTACTTTCTGTAAGTTCCAATAATCTTTCTGGCCCTATGGGGGCATTTACTCTATGAATTATGCCTAAATACCCTAAGGAAATTGAAACGAGTAATTTCTTTATTTCGCTAGTATTGGTTCAGACCACTCATTATATTAATTCTAAAAATCCTCCTTGGAGGCAGGTTAAGTGGCAGCCTCATTAGTAATGCTGCCCAGACAAGGACAAGAGGCTCTGTGGCCTGCCCAGGGACTGACTGTCAGGCGGCTGGCATCCAACTCCTGACCATGGGCCCATCCATTGGTCCTGAACACCCTAGCCACTGAAACCGCTTTTTAATTGGCTTAAATGGGCTTGTTTATTTTCCACTTTTCTGTTTATTGAAGTAGAAGTGGAAACTGGCCTTCAAAGACCAGTCTATCAGCATCTCCTTCCTTGGCTCGCCTGACCTTCAGGCAGTGCAGCTGCCTGAACTGAGTTAAAAATGGACTGTCAAGCTGGCTTTAATTTCTGCTGCTCTGCGTCCGAATGTCCTCCCACTGATCTGTTTATCACACCCTCTATACCCCTTCTGTTGTTGTTTTTCTAAGAGTTTTATGCCAGGACAGCTGAAACTGCCTTTCAAGGTTCTAACCTGCAAATCCTTCTACACATAATCCTAGAGGGCCTGGGAGCCAACACTGGGATCTCTACTGTAGGAACAACCTTCTCCCTCCAGGCATCCCCTAACGCACCCCAAGCTGACTCTCTGAACAGATCATCTCCTACTGGCACACCAAAGCGAGAAAACCGTGGCTTAATAACTTTGGAAGAAAAAAATCAGGTTTGGCTTCTTGCTCATGGGCTATGCGGGCATGTTGCCTCTTTCCAGGGCTCCTCTGCCTCTCTGTGTGTTCCTGTGCAGGACCGCACGGAGCCCTCACAGGGATTATCTGCTGATCCCCAGCAGAATATAAAACTCTTTATCTTCAGTCTCTGAAACCTCTTCAAAATATCCCAAACCAAAGATCCTCCCAACAGGGCTCGCCAGAAACTTCTGCCTCCGGAAATGACAGTTGCTCTCGATGCACGGATAGAGGAGTACCTAAGATCCTACTAATGGTATTGTGTGTTTCTTGGCAAACTCCCGCTCAATTCAAGCTCCCCGCGCTCTGGGGCAAGGTCTAATTAGAAGAGTGCCAGGCTCACCCTTCCTGCGAAGAAAACGCATTAGCCACAGATGTAAGTGCACGAAGAATGCCAGGGAGCCACGGAGTGCGTGGGGTCATTAAGGCCCTTCTTAAAATGCTGGCGAGCCTTCGATGCGGGAAAGGAAAACTAGATCTGACCGCTTGCAGCAGAGGAGGATACAGAAACCCTGGGAGGCAGAGTAGAGTTGACTGGGTTAGAGGCCAGAAATAAGTGCATAAATGATGCTCAGTGGACGTTGCAACAGATTTAAGCCAAGTGTTCAGGATGACACAGCAAAGCCCCAGGACAAGGAAATGCACAGATCGCTTAAAGCTTCCCGCTGCCGGGAGCAGCCTGAGTGTGAAAGCGCGGACGCTCGGGGAGGGGTCGCACTGAACAATCAGGTTCAGGCTTTGACGAGTCGTGCACCCGGAATTGCGGTCCCAGTGGCCCGAGATCTACCCTGGAAGCAACAGGTGTCCGCTCTACCACAGGCTTATCCTCAACTCCCTGTGGCTAGGCTCGGGCTCCCTGGAAGTGTAGAGGTTGAAAGGGGACCAGACTCTGGAGGGGAGGGGCGGGGCGCTGGCCGGGGAGGGGCGGTGCAGGTGGGCGGGCCTGAGCAGGGTGGGGACTGGACCTATAAAGTTCTCGCTGCCCCGGAGGCTATGCTACTGCGAGGAGCCGGCGCAGGGTGGCCCGGGAGGGGTGAGCAGGGTGCCGCTGGCTGCTGGGGTCTGCAGGTCACCGAGTCCCCAGGAGAGGGGACTCCTAAGAAGCCACCTGCCTGTGTTTACCCGGCAGCGAGCGCGCAGGCCCCCGCGAACTCCTGGCAGGTGAGCGAAGCTGCGGCCTTGGTGGGGGCAGCGGGGCCGGGGGGCGCTCCGCGGGGCAGGTCGCTTCCAAGTTTTGCGAACTGTTGAGTTAGTTTCAGGTTGCGGCTCCGCTCCCAGGGCTTTGTCAAATTGAGTTGCAGAGGCCGGTTCCACCCCTTTGGCAAAGGAGTTCCTCCGCTAGTTCGCTCCCGGGACGCCGGGCATTTTAGGAGCCTCTGCACGACTCGCCTGCTTTTGCAAATCCGTCTCTTCTCGCCTCATTTTTTCCAGCGCTCAGGAAAGGCCGTTGCGCCTCGCGAAGGAAACAGAGCCGTTGACCATGGTTGCAACTGGCAGTTTGAGCAGCAAGAACCCGGCCAGCATTTCAGAATTGCTGGACTGTGGCTATCACCCAGAGAGCCTGCTAAGTGGTGAGTGTCCCCGCTGTCCACCCTTCTCCCCTCCCAAGGTCGGTGCCTCTGGATCTATTGGGTGGGCGGGCTTTCGACTTCCTCCCCTACCTCTATGTAGGAGGTGCCACAAAATCCATCTGAGGAGACTCCTTTCCAAATTTTCTAACATCTTCTCTCCATGATAGAAACAAAAGTAGCAAAAGTAGAATACCCGAGGGCTGCATCTTTCTAGTCTGGTGCCAGTAGGCCCCTTGGGATTAAGTTCCTTATCTTACATGATTGTGAAGAACACAGTTATGTGTGTTTTAGCAAATGTATTTACCCTGTAATCAATATCGCCCCTCCCCCTGAATTCCGACGCACCTATTTGCCAGGTATTCCTCACTCTCCCCTGACTCCAGGGAACTACTGATCTGATTTTTATCATTCCAAGTTAGTTTTGCCTTTAGGTAAGTGGAACCATACAGTAGGTATTCTTTTGTGTCTGGTTTCTTTCCCGCAGCCTAATGTTTTTGAGATTCTTTTATGTCCGTTGCTTAAATCAGTGTGTTCGTGTTTATTGTTTATTACTGAGTAGGATTTTCAGTCGTGGATATATCCATTATTCCATTTTTAATGTGAGAAGGAAACTGTTGAACAGCAGCGGTGCTTGACTTGCTGTCATTTGGAATTTTAACAGCAGTTTCTAGGTGAACACACTGCTCTGACACTAAAGAGCTGTAAGAGCATAGATAAACTGCTTAAGCTCTTCGTGTTTTTCTCCTTTCAAGGTGAAGTGGTTGATGACCTAATTTACAGGCCAGAACTCCAAACTTACACGAAGTGGAGAGGAAAAGCCAGTGGCTGATGAAGGTGGAGTAGGCTTAGAGAGAGGAGCTGGGAGGGCATCTGCCTGCACCTTGTTCATTTGACTCCGTGTGGTGTGGCATCCTGCCAAGGGGTAGGATTAATTTGAGGTGTAGGTGACCAAATGCAGAGCTATCTCTTTTCCTTTGAGCCCAGCTAATTTTATTTCCCTAGGACTATTTTGTTTTGCTTGGCTAAGAAAAACCACCCAGCCGGTTACAAATATCCTCATGAACCTCAAAGGTCTTCTCTGCACAATTTTTAATTAAAGAGGCTAAAGCTAAAATTGGGACCTACAGGCCACTCCAGTAAAGACTTAAAGACACAAATTTGATAGATCTTTAATATAACTCTTAAAGCTTTAATACAACTCTTCAAACATAATAGTAAAAATTCTTTATTTTACAATACATGTATTCCTACAGTTAGAAAGTAACAACCCCTTAGTCCAAAAAACAAAGTTATAACTTTTTATTCCAGAAGTAATGCATGTTTTCTGTAAAACAAAATTAGAAAACCCCCATAAGCAAGTAGGAGAAAAGAAAAGAAAATCACCAATAATCTGGGATAATCACAAGTAGATTTTTGATGCATAGTCTTCACGGTTGTGTGTGTGTTTTGTGTACACACATAAATTTAAAGAAAAGTGGTTACATCCTATCTACTCTATTTATCTAAACCTTTATTTCATACATGAACTTTCATTCATGAGAGCTTAAATTATTCGCTATATTACCTAGCTAGTTAACAGTTAATTGAGGTCAGCTGACTCTGAAACAAATACAAGAAAAAGGCAGACATGGTAGATAGAGGTAACCAATGTTGATATCTTGGTGTTTTTTTTCTACTCTTAAATTTTTTCTTCTGTATCTAAAAAGAAAACTCCATTTCTTACAGATTTTGACTACTGGGATTATGTTGTTCCTGAACCCAACCTCAACGAGGTAATATTTGAGGAATCAACTTGCCAGAATTTGGTTAAAATGCTGGAGAACTGTCTGTCCAAATCAAAGCAAACTAAACTTGGTTGCTCAAAGGTCCTTGTCCCTGAGAAACTGACCCAGAGAATTGCTCAAGATGTCCTGCGGCTTTCCTCAACGGAGCCCTGCGGCTTGCGAGGTTGTGTTATGCACGTGAACTTGGAAATTGAAAATGTATGTAAAAAGCTGGATAGGATTGTGTGTGATTCTAGCGTCGTACCTACTTTTGAGCTTACACTTGTGTTTAAGCAGGAGAACTGCTCATGGACTAGCTTCAGGGACTTTTTCTTTAGTAGAGGTCGCTTCTCCTCTGGTTTCAGGAGAACTCTGATCCTCAGCTCAGGATTTCGACTTGTTAAGAAAAAACTTTACTCACTGATTGGAACAACAGTGATTGAAGGGTCCTAAAAAGGGAAAATATATAAAGATTATTTCATGATTGGGTAGTAAAACTATTCAGCTAGTCAGCTAAAGTCATTTGTAGTTTGCCCCACCTGCCCTAAATAAGAAACCCCAAATGTAGTCTCTTTTCTTTCTGTGTTTCACATTCATAGCAACTGCAGCTAACAGGCTGATTTTCTGGCCTTTGGAGAAGTGATTCAAAATAGTGTAGATTTTCTGCATAGATCCCATTTTTGTACAGAATTGAATGGGATGGAATAGGTAAGCAAAAGTAGAAGCCCATTTGAGTTTTACATTTGATTCCACAATTTGGTTTCAGGTAGGCTTGGTAATAGACTATATAAACCAGATTTGCCTATTTTGATTTTCATATGGCTTTTTTTTCTGTAAGTTTTCAGAGGATTTTTTAAATCACAGAATCATACTAAATGATATTTAGCCTATCAAAACTTCCAAAAGCCCACACCACCAGTTCCTGACTCAAATTTGAAGGGTTTTTAGACAGGAGGGTAGGATTAAGTAGGTGAGTTTAATTAAAGCTTAACCCTAGGTAAGAGTAAATGAGAAATATTACGGCAATAATGGAACTGCTTCACTGTTTCTTGGTGACTTCCTCACTCTAATGTTTTAAAGAGGCAACAAAAGCTTGTGGTGCCATTTCAGTAACCACGGTGTTGTTTTAGATGCCTTTATAAGCTCAGTTTCCCCTGTTCTTAAGTGTTGAATACTGTCTTTAAACTAGAAAAATGCAAAATATTGAACTGATATTTTTGTGTGTAGTTGATTACTCTTCCATTGAGTGAATGATGAATACCTGTGAGGATAGGAAATTAGTTCTGAGATCTAGTCCCTCTCTGATTCACTTAGTAATCTATCCTCTTTTCAGTATTACATGTGCTTAATCTCAGATGAACCATTTCACCATGGCAGTGTTATCTCATCTCTGGGCTTTTCTGGGAATTGAAGTATCTCTCCTTAACCCCAATTGTCAAGGGTAGTAGCTGTATACTACCACTTTGAATTATTGAAACGGGTCAATTTACGAAGTCTGCATTGGCTATGGAGATATGGTTTATAGTACAGCCTAGAGAATGAAACTCACCGTCCAGATAACCATGCATGCACCCAGATTTTTTCCACCTTGGATACCTGTCACTAGGGAATAATAAAGGCCTGATTTTTTGTCTTATTCCAACTAAGTAGATCATTATCTCTTTCCTTTTTTATGTTAATGAGAGAATTTAGCCTCCACTCAACAATGTTCAATTCAGCAAGGCTTTCATATCCTTGCTGTGGGTCGTGGATAAGGAGCTTATTCAGGTTTCCTGCCCTAGCTATTAGCTCCACTTCACATGCTGGAGACCGGCGTAGGGACAGATGTATTCATCCTGGTGTTACTGAAAAACAGGTGTGATCCTGTTACTGATACTATAAGTGACCTAAAATGTCACTGTTCAAATTAGCCAGTGTTCTAACAAACTAAACTCTTCAAATGCTTGGAAAGATACTACAAAGCCAATCTTTATAGAATTGGGCCAAGATAAATCTATGTTGTTTTGCATGGCTATTGTTAAGCTCCAAAGGTTCACTGTGTTTCTGCCGCTGTCCTGGAGTTGTCACCACTGACTGGGCAAGGCTTCTTGGGCATGGATGTAGAACTGTTGTCCTTTTCCCACTAACAGTTATCTTTGACTCTCTTGCCTGTTATGCTTACAAAATGGTGATGGCTTATGGAAGGCTGTTAAATTAATATTCCTGTTAAAGGAAATTAAAGTTTGTCTATTTTTGACAATAAAACATTATATATTTTTAATTCTCTTGTCCTCTTTTTTTTTTCTTTCACCTACTTGATGCAGTGGTCATAGGATCAGGGCTGCAATTACAAGGGCTGTAAGTAGGGATGGCTCATTATAAACCTTATATCAGAATTCCTTATGGGCCTGATAGAAGTGGGTTGTGCCTTCATCTCATTTGGCAAAATTGGGGTTAACAGTGAATGCAGCTATTTTGCCTGGTAGTAAAAACAGCCCACCAGTTCTGGACCTGTGTAGCCTAACCCTATCTGAATATGAGTGGACTGAAAGGGAGCACCTGCTAGACTGGCATTGCTGCGTTCCGCCTAGACAGACAGGGTGTACAAATGGAGGCAAACCTTTGCTTCCAAAGGTGGAAGATTTGGGGTATAAATGAAGAGAAGGAAGAATAGTCACTGAGGTTAAAGGAATTAATAAATGGGTTATATAAGGATGGAAATCCAATATTATCACTTCAAAAGAGGATCAGAGCAAGTGATGATGATGTCTTCCAGCTGAATTATAACAGATGCCTGAAAAGGTGAAGCTATGTTTGCAGAGACTACTTTTGAAATCAGACAGGGTCGAATGGAAGCCTACAAACTTGAGTGACCTCATCCTGGGAGACATATTTATACTACACAACGGACTTGATTAATTATAAATGATTCAGTGAGATTCTAGGAGTGCTGCAGTATCTTTTAAGTTGTATGTCCTTTTGATGTAAGGAATTCTCATTGGAAGATTAGGGTGGTCTTTAAATATATATTGTGAAATATACATTTGGTCTTAGTCCCTGTTTCCTGGTATAAAACTCTTGAACTACTTAGATTCTTCAAAGTGATGAGTGTCTTTTGTATGCTAATGATTGACTGATGGCTGGAAACCCCCAGGTAGCTTCAGGATGGGGCTTGGTCACCAGAAAGACCAAGGCTATATTAGGGTGTTGGGACTTTTAGCCTCACCACACCCTCACATCCACCTGAAAGGAGAGAGGGTCCGAAGATTAAGCCAATGGCCAATGATTTAACCAGTCTACATAATTCTACATAACGAAGCTTCCATAAAAACCTAAAAGGACTGAGGTCAAACACCTTCTGGATAAGTGAACACTTGGAGGTTCCTGGAGGATGGTGGGCCTGGAGAGGGCATAGAAGCTCCTGCCCCTTCCCACATTTCTTGCCCTATGCATTTCTTCATCGGCACTCATCAGCATCTTTTCTACTAATCTTTATCATAAACCAGTAAACGTAAGTAAGTGTTTCCCTGAGTTCTGTGAGCTGCTCTAGCAAATTAATCTAATCCCAGGAGGGAGTCATGGGAACCCTAATTTATAGCAGGTAGTCAGAAGCACAGGTAAAGCAAGCTGAGGCTTGAGATTGGCATTGGAAGTTGGGGGAGGGGGACACCCTTGGGGACTGAGCCCTCTACCTGTGGTATTTGAGGCTGTCTCCTGGTAGTGTCAGAATGGAATTGGATTAGAGGATACCCAGCTGGTGTCAGATGGCGGAATTGATTGCTTGTCTGATATGTCGGGAAAACCCACACATTTGGTCACAGAAGGCTTCTGTGTTCATTTTTGAGTGATAAGGTATAGGAGAAAGCAAGTTTGATTATTTTTCCCTCAGTATTCTCAGAATGGGTAAAGGATGTTGTTTTCAATAACTGGTGCAATAACAACTTTTCACAGGAGATAAATAAGTTGAATGCATACACATTGAGCATAAAAATCAATTTCAGGTTGATTAAGGAATTAAATATGAAAGGGAAACTTAGAAGATAGAATTTTCGTAATTTTCTCGTAGAGGGAAGAACTCTTAAATAAGACGTCAAGATGCCCTGAAACATCTCTTTATCAAATAATCCTATAAGGAAGATAAAATTAAAACTCGGGAACTGGAAGAAAGTGTTTTCAACACATATAACTGAAAAATGGTTTGTAACCAGAATACGTCAAGAATTCTTGCAAAGCAATAAGAAAAACACAACCCCCCAAAAAATACGTTGTCAAAAGCCTGAATAGGTATTGTATGGAAAAGGAAGCCAATCTGGCTGATAATTATATGAAAAGATCCTCAATCTAATTAGTAATCAGAGAAATTCAAGTTAAAAGCAATAATAAAATATCAGTATAGACATCCACGTTAGTAAAAATAAATTGATAATTCCAAAAGTTGGTGAGGACACAAGAAAAAAAAATCAACAAGTCAATATATGTATATGGCATTATTTTATAAAATTGAATGATAAGTATATTTTGTGAACCAGCATATCAAAGAGTGTTCTTCAAACTATTTTTTTTTTTGGAGAGAGAGGGTCTTGCTCTGTCACACAGGCTGGAGCACAGTGACGTGATCACAGCTCATTGTAGCCTCTATTTTCCAGACTCAAGCGATCCTCCCGTCTGAGCCTGCCAAGTATCTGAAACCATAGGCGTGTGCCACCACACCCAGCTAATTTTTTTATTTTTTATTTTTTGTAGAGACAGGGTCTCCCTATGTTGCCCAAGCTGGTTTTAAACTGCTGAGCTCAAGTGATCCTTCCACTTTGGCTTCCCAAAATCCTGGTACTACAGGTGTGAGCCACTGTGCCCTGCCTGTCAAATTTTTTAAATTGTCATTCAAATTATTTATCCTAAGTTTAAAAAGTTGCAAATGATGTAAAGTCCAGAATGTGACAAATACTGGCCTTTTAAAATAAAACTATTACATCATCTTTTAAATATTTCCAATGGAATGTAAGTAGCATAGTAATTTGACATTCAACAACATCTATTTAGAAAATATTATAAATAAGGTCTTCAACAGAATTAAATTTTTTCAGTGTTACTTTTTCTTCATTCCTGTATCTTTTCAAAGTCTACAATTTATATTGAGTTTTCTTTAATGTAATATCTTTTAAACTTAAAAGTCATTTATTATTATTTCTTCCCTGTAAAAAAATAAGATTATAAACTGAAATTAAATTTTTTCAAATTTTCTGTGACCGACTCTTTAAATGTCCATTTTTGAGTGAGTTAACTTTGCAAATAGTAATAATACACAATGGCCAAAATAACATGTTTTCCAAATTTTTGAATACTATTAAACACAATAATAATAATAAGCTATTTCTTAATGAGAGGACTCTTTAGTTAATTAATTCGTGGTTTCATATTGGTTTTTTGCTAGAATTGAGAGCTTAGCATTATTTCTTTCCATCCTTCCTTTTCTCTCTCTCTCTCTCTGTGTCTCACTCTCTGGCCCAGCCTGGAGTGCAGTGGTGCAATCCCAGCTCACTGCAGCCTCAAACTCCTGGGCTCAAGCATTCCTCCCACATCAGCCTCCCGGGTAGCTAGGACTACAAGGGTGCACTGCCATATCCAGCTAACTTTTTAATCTTTTGTAGAGATAGGATCTTGCTATGTCACCCAGGCTGATCTCAAACTTCTGGCCTCAAGTGATCCTCCTGCCTCAGCCTCCCAAAGTCTTGAATTCTTTCAAAGCAATAAGAAAATGACAAACAACTCCCCAAAAAGTATATGGTCAAAAGCCTGAGCCACTATGCCTGGCCATCTATTTTTGTTTCTATAGATGTAATCTCTGAGAAAATCTATTCACATCAATAAGATGGGAATGTAGGAGATTTGGTTATTACAGTATCACTCAATCTTTGAACTACTTTCAAGATATATACTCAAATCACATAAATATATATCACCAAAAAATTATCTTAAATGATCAATCTGCACATAATTCAATCAGGTTTTCTTTCAATATTGTTGAAATAAAAAAACTGAAACCACCTGACTCACAAAAGTACTTGTTCTCTAATTATATTAGTTTGCTAGGGCTACAATAACGAAGTACCAAATACTAGAGAGCATAAACAACAAAAATGTATTGTCTCACAGTTCTGGAGGCTAGAAGTCCAAGAACAAGGTGTCAGAAGTGTTGGTTTCTTCTGAGGCCCTTCTTTGTGGCCTGTAGGTGAGGCTGTCTTCTCCCTGTGTCTTCACATTGTCTTCCCTCTGTGTGCATGTCTGTGTCCTAATCTCCTCTTCCTATAAGGACATCAGTCATTGGATTAGGGTCTACCCTAGGGGCCTCATTTTAACTTAATTACCTGTCTAAAGACCCTATCTCCAAATGCAGTCACATGCTGAATTACTGGTGGTTAGAACCTAAGAATTTGGGGTTAATACGATTCAGCCATAAAACCAAGCATTCAAATAATACACAATACTATCCTAGAGCAATATTTCAAACTGTCCCTTTCTTTGGCACTCTAGGAGTTTGTACGCTCCAGAATAAAGCATTATAGTAAGATTGACCAACTGAGAGAAAGGTATGTCATTTTGTGAAGTGGGGAAAGAGGATAAAGAGCAAATATAAAATCGGGACCTGTGTCTCTGACAAAGTCTCAGAGAGATCAGTTTTAGAAAAGAGTGTGTATAGAAGCAAAATGTTTAGAAATTGGTTCCCCTAAAACTATTTACACCCTACATATCCACATATCACATGGGAAACATTTGTATATCCTTGTACATATATCCCCGTTTTAAGACTACTGCCTTTTATTCTTGCACTAATGTGTTAGGAGACTCTCACAGGAGTTCAGCAACACAACTGTCTGGAAAAGCAACGTGGACTGCCCATCAACTGAGGAACGGGTACATGAATTGTGGGTATCATCATAAATGGAATGCTGGTCAGCAATGAAAATGGCCTTTAAATTACAAACGAGGCTGGTCTGAGTGCAGTGATGTTTACAAGCAATGTATTACAACCAGTTACAGATTTTTTTTTTTTTTTTTTTTGAGACAGGGTCTTCCTTCCATTGCCCAGGCTGAAGTGCAGTGGCGAGATCATGGCTTATTGCAGCCTCAACATCTCTGGCTCAGGTGATCCTCCCACCTCAACCTCCTGAGTAGCTGGGACTACAGGCGTGTGCCACCATGCCTGGCTAATTTTTTTAAATATTTCTTTTAGAGACAGGATTTCACCATTTTGCCCAGGCTGCTCTTGAACTCTTGGGCTCAAGCAATCCACCTGCCTCAGCCTCTCTAAGTGCTGGGATTACAGGTGTGAGCCACTGTGCCTGACCAAGATTTTTTTTGTTCCTTCTCCACTCCTACTACCTCAGTTGATTAGCCTTTAAAAATAAAATAATAAACTACAAGTTATCTGGATGAATCTTTGGAATATATTATTGATTACAAAAAGAAAGTCACAAACGAACAAATAGAGCTTTTTTCTGTTTATGTAATAAAGACATAAAACATTAAAATGTTTAGGGATGCAAATATATACGATTTATCTGTTTAAAAGTCTGGGGATTTGTAAGCGCAAATTTTGGAAGAATGAATACGTCTGAAGAGAGAGAAAAGTAAGTGGGAATAATAACAGATTAACAGAAAACATCAAAGGAAATAGTAGCAATCATTTCCTTAAATTTGGAGGTATGCACAAATATGTTATTGAATCATAACTCCTTATGTTTTACATGCATTTGATAAATCTCTTTTTGTGCTTAATACTTAATAAAACATTTAAAAATGTTTAAAGGCAATTTAAAAACTTAAATAAAATTCTAGGGGAAAATAAAATTATCTGTATCTCTACCCAAGAATTTTCTGCCAGTCATGGTGGCTCATGCCTGTAACCTCAGCACTTTGGGAGGCTGAGGCACAAGGCTCACATAAAGCCGGGAGTTCGAAACCAGCCTCAGCAACGAAGTGAGACTCCTGTCTCTACACAAAATTTAAAAATTAGCTGAGTGCAGTGCCCTGACCCTGTAGTCCAGGTTACTCGGGAGGCTGAGGTGGAAGGATTGTTTGAGCCCTGGAGTTCAAGGCTACAGTGAGCTATGTTCACACCACTGCACTCCAGCCTGGGTGACATAGCAAGACACTGTCTCAAAAAAAAAAAAAAGTATTGCCATTGCATATGGTTAATCTTGCAATAGATTTACCTTTGCGGAGGATAATATAAAGTGATTTTTGCCGCCTGAACATGGAATATCCGAAAAATTCTCACAGATTATATGCTGAGGAATGCAAACGAGTTAAACAAGGCTGCTGAAGAACTTGACCATCTGGATAACTAAGACTTGATCTTATTTTCAGAACTAATAATTAGGTAGAATTATTTACATAACAAATACTTGCTAATAATTTACGAATATAAAAAGGATACTTTTTCACTCTATCCAAACATGCTGAAGGAAAAGCAAAGACAGATGGTTTGATTCATATAAACCAAATTATAGCTCAAGTGTGGCTTTGTTGAGAAAGAAATTTTCTAAACCTGTTTCAAGGCAAAACTCTAAAGCCATTTGAAGGGAATATAGAAGAGCATTTTGCAGTATTCTATCAGCAACAGCATAAAGATATTGAGCCAACGGCTACCGTGTCAGAGAATCTTCTGGGTAGCTACCACCTAATTCAAAGTGAACTTGCTATCGCAGACACTGTGAAGTCTGAAGGAAGTACCAGCAGCATCAGGACAGACAAGTTTAACGTGAAGGGAAGTGAATCTGGTGTCAAAGAACTCTCAAGGGTCTAAAATTAACCCAACTTTCAAGGTAACATATTAGCCTGCCACAGTTTCATGGATACTTGTAGAAAACACAAGACTCCAAGGATTTTACTACTGCTCCATAGCCAGCAGCATGAACATCAGCATGTTTGCATCAGTCTACTCTTCCCTTTAAGTCCCACAGGAGTAGTAAGGTTAGGCCCAGTTGGAGGCCTATGGGTTACATTGCAGGAGAGGAACCCTGAGCTTAGGGAACCCAAGAGGATGCCTACCCTTTGCTTCAGACACTATCTATCTTCCACAGTTTTCCACTATAAAAATATCCTTGAAAAGACAGTCCAGAACTAAAGGCAATCACTGCCTCCCTTTTAAGACAAGCAGAAATATGAGAGAACCACGGAACCACGGAGAATTGTCTCCCACAGCCAGTGTAAGAACTGGGCCTCTATTAGTTCTTACAAAGTAAGCTATATATATATATATATATATATATACACATACACACACACACACACACATATATGTATGTATATATATGTATATACATATATATGTGTATATATATGTATACACATTGTATATATATGTATACACATATATGTGTATATATATGTATACACATATATGTGTATATATATGTGTATACATGTATACACACATATGTGTATACATGTATACACACATATGTGTATACATGTGTGCACACATATGTGTATACATGTGTGCACACATATGTGTGTATATATGTGTGCACACATATGTGTGTATATATGTGTGCACACATATGTGTGTATATATGTGTGCACACATATGTGTGTATATATGTGTGCACACATATGTGTGTATATATGTGTGCACACATATATGTGTGTATATATGTGTGCACACATATATGTGTGTATATATGTGTGCACACATATATACACATATATGTGTGTATATATGTGTGCACACATATATGTGTGTATATATGTGTGCACACATATTGTATATACACATATATATCTATCTATCTTAAGGTCTGAGCACAGATATCAATCATATTTCACACTGCTTCCTCTATTGTCTTTTTATAATCTTAACCAACATTATTAGGGATAAAGTGAATTGCAACATAATAACTAAATAATTTTCCTGGAAAATATAATAGTACCGAACTTGTATGTTGTAATAGTCATTAGACTTTCCCCAAAAGTTCTGCTTCTTCTTCTGGAGATAGGATATAATTATATTTCTCCACCACTAAACCCCCTTGAAATTAGCTAAGGTCATCTGAAATGCTTTCACCAAAGAAGTGTGACCAGAAATGACAAGAGGACACATCTGTCAGTCTGAGTCACTGAGTAAAGAAAATTAATCCAGTTCTTTCACTGCTGACTCAAATTAAAGCTATAGTGTAAGTAAGAAATAAACCTTCTGTTAACATACTGAAATTTGGGGGATTTTTGATATTACAGCATAATCTGATCTATCCTGATTAATACCTTTGTACCCAATAATATGGCCTCAAAATAATAAGTGCAAATTTGCAAAATTAGAAAGTAGATTGAGCAACTTACAATCATAGTGGACCATACTAGTACACATCTCTCAATAATTGAGAAATCAATCAAAAAGAGAATTAAAGAAGTGAAAGATGTGAATGACACCATAAACATTAGTTTTATGTACCACATTTAATGACCATGCCTGGAACTATAAGCCCCCACTTAGTAAACACACATTATTTTCATGTATACATAAAAAATTTACAAAAACTTAAATTTTATAATACAAAGCAAACCTTAAATTAACAAAGACTGTTCTGTGAAATGAATTATAAAAATCTAAAAACCAGCCACAAAAACCTCACACATTTAGAAATTTAAATACAAATATGCTTCTAAAGAATTTATGGGTCAAAAAGATAGTTAGAAAAAACTTGGAATTTAATGACAATGAAACTGTTACACAGCAAAACACATAGTATGTGGTTAAGGCAGTTGTTCCTTGGTGAGCAGGTGTAGGCATACATGTCTCCAAAGGTCCAAGGAGGCTGAGAGGCTGAAGAAAGAGACTAATAAGTCTAGTTTCTCAGAAAGAAACATGTAATAGAGACTTACAACAGAAACCATGTCTAGTGCAGCCACCATGAAATGAGATGGTGAATCTCCATGCTAATACCCACCAGAACCAGGGTTTATTTACCTTAGGGAATTTGCCTGTGGGCCAGATTTATGATTGGTGTCTGTTTACAATAACATTTATGGTACACAGTAGATAAAGTAGAAATCTTACAGGCATTTCCAGAAGAAAGGAGCTGATGAAACTATTATATAGCAAAACATACGGTATGCAGTTAAAGCAGTTTTCCTTGGTAAGCAGGTCTATGCATATCTGTCCCAGCTGAGAGGCTGAAGAAAAAGACTGATAAATTTAGTACTGAGGTTAATCAGCAGTCAACATGGCAGATTCATATCCAAGATGGGGTCACTTTAGTACATGAAAAGTACTAAAGTCCACAGCAGTACATGAAAAGAAATGTATAGCCTTAAATCCTTGTATGAGAAAAGAAAAAAGATGAAATCAATGAGCTAAATGGCCAAGTAAAGATGTTACAAAAAGAAATAGAGAAACCCCAAAAACTAGAAGGAAGGAAATGATAAGGATATAAGCAGAAATTGATGACTTCGAAAATATAAACAATAGAAAGGATCACAAAAATAAAATCCAATTTTTTAAAAGACTATTAATAACATTCACAAACTGAAAATGGACAAGAAAATAATGGAAAGCATCCATCAGCAGCTATAGGAATGAAAATGAGGATATATAGACAGATACAACAGACAGTATATGAAAAATAGAAGTACATACTCCAACAAAACTAAATCTCAATATTGTGTTGACTGAAAAAAAGAGTAAAAATGATCAGTATAGTATAACATATTATTCATGAATCTATGTGTGTATATATATATATATATATATATATATATAGTAACATTGTAAAGCATAAACGTAAAAAATAAAGTCCAAATTCAGTGTAATAGTTACCCCCAGAGAAAGCACGGAATGAGACCTGAAAAATCAGTATAAGAATATCTCTAATCTGGAATGCAGTTATTTTCTCATTCTCTATATGTTTCTATTTGCTTGAATATTTTATAATATTTTAAAGGACTGATTATTCATAAGGGGATTTACTCAAGGCATAGAGTTGTACATAGAAATAATGTGGCAACAGAAAAAGTTTTGAAATTACTCTGAGCAACTTGAAGGCAGAGACTTGGATTTTTATCTTCGTCAATGTTTAGTAATTTCTTTGTTAAACATATTAGTAAGAGGTGAATATGGACTGCAATGTGGAGGCTTTTGGGATGCCACACTAAGAAATGTATAGTTAGTTACGTGGTTGAGCACTTTCATGTTTATAAGCTTTTACAACATAGAATTTTGGGTAAATCAATCAGACAATATTATATATAATAATTTAATAGCCTTTAAGAGTCAAGAGGCATGAGGTCAGTGAAAAACCTATTGAGGTAGCCTAGGTAGGAGGGCAGACATATCTAAATTAGAATAGAAACACTTTATGTTAAAATAATAATAATGATAATAATAATTAGCTCAAGGGTCATTACAAGGAAAAATGAACGGGCTTTGGTATATGAGTCTAAGGAAGAGAAAAAGGAGGGTATCAGTAAATTTCTGGTATTCAGGCTTTTCTGCTGCTTGTTTAATATAGAAGGCAATATTGTCACCCACAATAGGCAATGAGAGAACTTAGAGAACCTTAAACAAGATAGCAACCACACATCTTACATCTAGCATTATTTCCATTTTAATAACTGTCTTAAGTAGGGTTCCCAGGAAATAGACACTGAGATGGAGATTTGCAAGCAGGAAGTTAATGTCCTTCCAGTCAACACCACTGGAAGAGAAGGGAGTCGGACTGAGCAGAGGAAATGGTTGAATAGTTGATACAATCTCAAAAAAAAAAAGGAAAGAAAAAGAAAAAGGCTCTTAACTGATGTTTCAGGGAACTTTAGAGTTAGGATGCCATTTGGAGTTAATTACCCTGAGGCAAGAAGGTTTGACCTCTATCTGCTGCCCCTCTGACTAGACACTAGAAATGAGCTGCCACAGGGTTGGGGTGTGTGCCTTTGGACAAGGCAGCTCTTTTCAATGGAAAGCAATTCCTGAAGTGTTGGCTCGTCTGTGAGCAGTCAGTTCCCGACACTTCCATCAGGAGGGGTTATGCTTGCTCCAGACATGAAGAGGGAACCTGGGTGGCACATCACAGTGTCCACCCTCGTCCTTTGCTTATGCTATTTGGATCCACTTATGTTATATAATAAGTTCTGGGCCTAGCTCTTCCAGGATTTTAATTGGTCTATTTTACTGGGAAAACTGACAGAAAAAAAGCTTGATGGGGCCAACTATAGCCCTCCCACATCCATGAAATCAGTGGACACACTGTGACCTGGACCTAGCCCTGGACCCCATTTAAACTAGTAATAACTCAGGGGTCATTATGATGCTTTTTAAGTTTCAGGTTATCAAATGTCAACTCAGACCCTGTATTAGTAAGGGTTCTCAGAAAACAAAACCAGCTGACAAGTGCTGCGTGTGTGTGTGTGTGTGTGTGTGTGTGTGTGTGTGTGTGTGTGTGTGTGTTTGCAGTGTTAAAAGAAAAACCTTAGATAAATTTAACAAAGTTTAATTGAACTAAGAACAATTAGCAAATCAGGCAGCCCTCAAACCAGAATAGATTCAGGGAGACTCCAGCATTGCCTTGTGGTTGAAGATGATTTATGGATAGAAAAAGGAAAAAAGTAACATACAGAAAATGGAAGTGAGATACAGAAACAGACAGATTGGTTACAGCCTGGCATTTGACTTATTTGAATATGGTTTGAACAATTGGCTGCCGTTGATTGACCAAAACTTGGTGATTGGTAGATAAGTAGGTTACAGCCTGTTTACACATCCAGTTAGGTTATAGTTTACTATGTATGGAGAAACCTTCAGGCCAAATTTAAACTATGTAAGGAAGTGGCTTTAGGCTAAACTTCATTTAACAGCAGTTTGCTGGGAGAATTCCTTTTTGCCTGGTGAAGGTCAGCCCATTCTATCTAGGCTTTCTACTGATTGGATGAGGCCCCCCACATTATGAAAGGTAATCTGCTTACTCAGAGTCTAATAAATGAAATGTTAATCCCATATTAAAACAAAGAAACAAAAACCTCTGCAGAAACATCCAAAATAAAGTTTGAGCAAATATCTGCGCACTGTGGCCCAGGCAAATTGACACATAACTGTCATAGACTCTGTGTCCAAAAGACTTTGAAATTACACATTCTCCATTTCTACTGTACAGCAACCCAGACAAACGGCTATAGGTCACTTTGGGGAAGGACTAGGGGCATCAATATTCTATACACTTGCCATGGGATTGCTGAATTTTTTCCTCCAAAATGTTCATCCTCCCCTTTAGTATAGGCACACGTCATTTTATTGCACTCCTATTTATTGAGCTTTGCAGATATTGAGTGTTTTACAAATTGAAGGTTTGTAGAAACCTTGTGTCAAGCAAGTCTATCAGCACCATTTTTCCAACAGGTTGTGCTCACTCAAGTCTCTGTGTCACATTTCGGTAATTCACACAATACCTCAAACTTTTTCATTATTTTATCTGTTTTGGTGATCTGTGATCAGTGATCTTTTATCTTACTATTGTAATTTTTTGGGAGCACCACGAACCACACCCATATGAGATGGCAAACTTAATTGATAAAGGTTGTGTGTATCCCAACTGCACCTCCAACCAGCCCTTCCCCCACCTCTCTCCCTCTCCTCAAGACCCCTTTTTCCCTGAGACACAATGATACTAAAATTAGGCCAATTAATAACTCTGCAATGGCTTCTAAGTGTTCAGTTGAAAAGAAGATTCACATATTTCTGACTTTAAATCAAAAGCCAGAAATAATTAAGCTTAGTGAAGAAGGCATGTCACAAAAAAAGCCAAGTGAAGCTTAGTGAAGAAGGCATGTCATGAAAAAGCCAAGACAGAGCAGAATGTAGACCTCTTGTGCCAAACAGTTAGCTAAGCTGTGAATGCAAAGAAAATTTCTTGACGGAAATTTAAAGTGCTGCTCCTGAACACATGAATCATAAGAAATCCAAACAGCCTAATTGTTAATGGGTAGAACGTTTCAGTGGTCTAAATAGAAGATCAAAATAGCCTAACATTCCCTTAAGCTAAAACCTAATCTGGAGCAAGACCCTAACTCTCATCAGTTCTATAAAGGCTGAGAGAGGTAAGAAAGCTGCAGAAGAAAAGTTGGAAGCCAGCAGTGGTTGGTTCATTAGGTTTAATGAAACAAGCTATTTCCTTAATGTAAAAGTGCAAGGTGGCCAGGTGTGGTGGCTCATGCCTGTATTCCCAACAGTTTGGGAGGCCGAGGTGGACAGATCGCCTGAGGTCAGGAGTTCAAGACCAGCCTGGCCCACATGGCGAAACCCCGTCTCTACTAAAAGTACAAAAACTAGCCGGGCGTGGTGGCAGACGCCTGTAATCCCAGCTACTCGGGGGGCTAAGGCAGGAGAATTGCTTGAACCCGGGAAGCAGAGGTTCCAGTGACCCGAGATCATGCCACTGCACTCAGCCTGGGCGACAAGAGAGAGACTCTGTCTCAAAATAAATAAATAAATAAATAAATAAAAGTGCAAGGTAAAGCAGCAGGTGCTGACATAGAAACTGCAGCAAGTTATCCAGGAGATCTAGCTAAGATCATTGAAGAAGGTGCCTACTGCAAACAACAGGTTTTCAATGGAAAAGAAATAGCTTTTTATTGGGAGAAGATGCCATCTAGGACTTTCATAGCTAGAGAGGAGAAATCAATGCCAAGCTTCAAAGCTTCTAAGAGCAGGCTGACTCTCATATTAAAGACTAACGCAGCTGGTGACTTCAAGTTAAAGCCAATGCTCATTTACCGTTCCAAAAATCTTAGGACCCTTAAGGAAAATGCTCAGTATACTCTACCTGTGCTCTATAAATGGAATAACAAAGCCTGGATGACAGCACATCTGTTTACAGAATGGCTTACTGAATACTTTAAACCCCCCATTGAAACCTACTGCTCATAAAACAAAAACAGGGGCTGGACGCGATGGCTCACACCTGTAATCCTAGCATTTTGGGAGGTCAAGGCGGGAGGATCACTTGAGGTCAGGAGTTTGAGACCAGCCTGGCCAACATAGTGAAACCCCATCTCTACTAAAAATACAAAAATTAGCTGGGCATGGTAGTGGGCACCTGTAGGCTACTCGGGAGGCTGAGGCAGGAGAATCGTTTGAACCCGTGAGGCAAAGGTTGCAGTGAGCCGAGATTGCACCACTGCACTCCAGCCTGGGTGGCAGAGTGAGACTCCACCTCAAGAACAAAAACAACACAAAAGAAAACAAAAACAAACAAACCAAACGAAGAGATTTTTTTTCCACATATTACAGCTTATTTACAATACCCCTAGTCACCCAAGAGCTCTGATGAAGATGTACAAGAAGATTAATGTTGTTTTCATGCCTGCTAACACAACATCCATTCTGCGGCCCATGGATCAAAGAGCAATTTCAACTTTTAAGTCTTATTATTTCAATAATACATTTTGTAAAGTTTTAGCTGCCATAGATAGTAGTTCCTCTGATAAATCTGGATGTAACTTTAAACCCTCTGGAAAGGATTCACTATTCTAGGTGCCATTAAGAGCATTGTAATTTATGGGAGGAAGCCAAAATATCAATATTAACAGGAATTTGGAAGAAGTTGATTTCAATCCTTATGGATAACTTTGAGGGGTTCAAGATTTCCGTGAAGGAAGTTACTGCAGCTGTGGTAAAATTAGCAAGAAAACCAAAATTAGAAGTGGAGCCTAAAGATGGACCGAATTGCTGCAATAAAACTTGAACAGATGAGGTGTAGCCTCTTATGGATGAGCAAAGAATGGTT